>NC_000019.10:53490874-54115874 GCF_000001405.40 Homo sapiens
TTCCAATGTAATGAGAGTGGCAAAGCCTTTAATTATAGCTCACTCTTAAGGAAACATCAAATAATCCATTTAGGAGAGAAACAATATAAATGTGATGTATGTGGCAAGGTCTTTAATCGGAAGCGAAACCTAGTGTGCCATCGTAGATGTCACACTGGGGAGAAACCTTACAGGTGTAATGAGTGTGGCAAGACTTTCAGTCAGACGTATTCCCTTACATGCCATCGTAGACTTCATACTGGAGAGAAACCTTACAAATGTGAAGAATGTGACAAAGCTTTCAGTTTCAAATCAAACCTTAAAAGACATAGGAGAATTCATGCTGGAGAAAAACCATACAAGTGTAATGAATGTGGCAAGACCTTTAGTCAGACGTCATCCCTTACATGCCATCGTAGACTTCATACTGGAGAGAAACCTTTCAAGTGTAATGAGTGTGGCAAGACCTTTAGTCGGAAGTCATCCCTTACATGCCATCATAGACTTCATACGGGAGAGAAACCTTATAAGTGTAATGAATGTGGCAAGACCTTCAGTCAGGAGTTAACCCTTAAATGCCATCGTAGACTTCATACCGGAGAGAAGCCTTACAAGTGTAATGAATGTGGCAAGGTTTTTAATAAAAAGGCAAACCTTGCACGTCATCATAGACTTCATAGTGGAGAGAAACCCTACAAGTGTACTGAGTGTGTCAAGACGTTCAGTCGAAATTCAGCCCTTGTAATTCATAAGGCTATTCATATTGGAGAGAAACGTTACAAGTGTAATGAGTGTGGCAAGACGTTCAGTCGAATTTCAGCCCTCGTAATTCATACGGCAATTCATACTGGAGAGAAACCTTACAAGTGTAATGAATGTGGCAAGGGTTTTAATCGGAAAACACACCTTGCATGTCATCATAGACTTCATACTGGAGAGAAACCTTACAAGTGTAATGAATGTGGCAAGGTTTTTAATCGAAAAACACACCTTGCACATCATCATAGACTTCATACTGGAGATAAACCTTACAAGTGTAATGAATGTGGCAAGGTTTTTAATCAAAAAGCACACCTTGCACGTCACCATAGACTTCATACTGGAGAGAAACCTTACAAGTGTAATGAATGTGGCAAGGTTTTTAATCAAAAAGCAAACCTTGCACGTCATCATAGACTTCATACTGGAGAGAAACCTTACAAGTTTAATGAGTGTGGCAAAGCTTTTAATTGAAAAGCAAAGCTTGCACATCATCATACAATTCATACTGGAAAGAAACAAGTGCAATGAGTGTGGCAAGACCTTCTGTCACAATTCAGTCCTTGTAATTCATAAGAATTCATACTGGAGAGAAACAAGTGTAATGAACGTTGCAAAATTTTTAATCAACAAGCACACCTTCCACGTCATCATAGACTTCATAGTGGAGAGAAACCTTAGAAATGTGAAGCATGTGACAAAGTTTACAGTGGCAAATCGAGCCTCAAAAGACAGGAGAATTCATACTGGAGAGAAAGCTTACAAAGGTGAAGAATATCACAGAGTTTTCAGTCACAAGTCAAACCTTGAAAGACATAAAATAAATCATACTGCAGAGAAACCATAAAATTGTAAGAGTTCGTGACAAGGCTTTCGGGCATGACTCACACCTGGCACAACATCCTAGAATTTATACTGGAGAGAAACCTTACAAGTGTAATGAGTCTGGCAAAGCCTTAATGAGCAGTCAACACTTACTCACCATCAGGCAATCCATGGTGAAGGAAACTTGACTAATGTAATGATTGTCACCAAGTCTTCAGTAACGCTACAACCATTGCAAATCATTGGAGAACCCATAAGGAAGAGAGATCATACAAGTGTAATAATCGGCAAATTTTTCAGACATCGTCCATACCTTGCAGTTCATTGGCGAACTCATACTGGAGACAAACCTTATAAATGTCATGATTGAGGCAAGGTCTTCAGTCAAGCTTCATCCTATGCAAAACATAGGAGAATTCATACAGGAGAGAAACCTCACGTGTGATGATTGTGGCAAAGCCTTTACTTCACGTTCACACCTCCTTAGACATCAGAGAATGCACACTGGACGGAAATCTTACAAATGTCATCAGTGTGGCAAGGTTTTCAGTCTGACTTCACTCCTTGCAGAATATCAGAAAATTCATTTTGAGATAATTGTTCCAAATGCAATGAGTAGAGCAAACCATCAAGCAGTAATTGACATTAAAGTGTTTATGTTAAGAGGATTGGGCCAGGTACAGTGTCTCACACCTGTAATCCCAGCACTTTGGGAGGCCAAGGCGGGTAGATCACTTGAGGTCAGGAGTTTCAGATCAGTCTGGCCAACAAACATGAGCCACTTTTCCCAGTTTGCTTTTTGTTCTTTAACAAAAACTGATAGGGATTTTTATGGGTACCGTGTTGAATCTAAATCACATTGGGTTATATAATCATTTAACAATATTAATTTTTCCAATCCATCAATATGGGTTATATGTCTGTATATGTTTTTAATCATATTGATGTATATTTGTAGATTTCAAGGTACAAACTTCTCACCTTTTTACTTTTATTTCTATTTCTTTAAGTTCTCTAGCAAATGGAAGTGTTTTTAAATTTTCTTTTAAAATTGTTTATTGTTACAAACTTCTCATCTTTTTGCTTTTATTCCTAAGTATTTCTTACTTTAAGTTCTCTAGCAAATGGAAGTGTTTTTAAATTTTCTTTTAAAATTGTTTATTGTTAATGTATGGAAATTCAGCTAATTTTTGGTGCTGATATTGTACTGTGCAGATACACTGAATCTGTTTATTACTTCCAGTAGTATTTTGGTTGAGTCTTTGTGATTTTCTACACAGAAGATCATGTCATCTACAAACACATATAATTTTACTTCTTTCTTTCTGATTTGGATGGGTTTGATTTCTTTTGCTATTTCATTGCTCTGGCTAGGACAGCCAGTATTTATTGAATAGAAGGGGTGAGAGCATTCTTCCATCATGTGAGATCCTACAGGAAAATCATTCCATGTTCCCTGCTTCGTTATCTACTCGTTGGTCATTTCATGGATGGCCTTTCTATTGTTGAGGTAAATTTCCTTTTCTGTCTATTTTGTTCAGAATTTCTATGATGAGTGGATTTTGAATTTTGTGAAATACTTTTTCTCCATCTATTGAGATGATGTGGTTTTCATCTTTCATTCTGTTCAAGTGGCATATCACATTGATTTGCTTGACTATGTTGAACCATCCTTGCATCCCAGAAATAAGTGGCACTTGAGTATCTACAGTCCTTTTTACATCCTCTTGAATACAGCTTTTTAGTACAAGGGGTCTTCAAGAAGTTCATGGAAAAATACATATTTTGCATATTATGAGAAAATTGTGTATGAATTTCCCAGTTTTTGCACCAAAATAAACTGGTACGAATCTGTTATGTCTGAACAGGTCCTAGTTTGAGGCACCCAGAAGGATAAGACATGAGTTTTAAAAGAGACTTTCTCTGCCGGGCGCAGTGGCTCATGCCTGTAATCCCAACACTTTGGGAGGCCAAGGTGGGTGGATCACCTGAGATCCAGAGTTCGAGACCAGCCTCACCAACATGGAGAAACAGCATCTCTACTAAAAATACAAAATTAGCCAGGCATGGTGGCAAATGCCTGTAATCCCAGATACTCTGGAGGCTGAGGCAGGAGAATGGCTTGAACCCGGGAGGCAGAGATTGCTGTGAGCCGAGATTGCACCATTGCACTCCAGCCTGGTCAACAAGAGCGAAACTCTGTCTCAAAAAAAAAAAAAAGAAAAGAAAAGAAAAGAGACTCTATCAAAGCAATATAAATCCTGCTAAAATTGAAACAAAAAGGAGCATCAAATTTACAGTGAGACCAGATGCAGTGGCTCAGGCCTGTAATCCCAGCACTTTCAGAGGCCAAGACAGGTGGGTCATGTAAGCCCAGGTATTCAAGACAAGCCTGGGCAACATGGTGAAACCCCCTTGTCTACAAAAAATACAAAAATTAGCTGGGCACGGTAGCACATGCATGCAGGGCCAGCTGCTGTGGAGTCTGTGGTAGGAGGATAGCTCGAGCCTGGGAGGTTGAGGCTGCAGTGAGCTATGATCATGCCACTGCATTCCAGCATGGGTGATGGAGCGAGATACTGGCTCAAAAAAAAAAATACTTCTTGTAAAGTTTGGGTAGAGGAATAATGAAATCATTGATGCTTTATGAAAAGATTATGGAGATGATGCCCAGAAGAAATAAACAGTTTGTAAATGGATAACTTAGTTTGAGTTGGGACAAGACAATGTTGAAGGTGATGCATGGAGTGGCAGGCACACCATCCACATCAGTTTTTTTGTTTGTTTTTGTTGTTGTTGTTTTTTTGAGATGGTGTCTCGCTCTGTCTCCCAGGCTGGAATGCAGTGGTGCAATCTCGGCTCACTGCAACCTCTGCCTCCCGGGTTCAAGTGATTCTCCTGTCTCTGCCTCCTTAGTAGCTGGGACTACAGGCGCGTGCCACCACATCAGCTAATTTTTGTATTTTTAGTAAGACGGGGTTTCACCATGTTGGCAAGGCTGGTCTTGAACTCCTGACCTCACGATCTGCCCACCTCAGCCTCCCAAAGTGTGGAGATTACAGGCATGAGCCACCATGCCCCTTGCACATCAGTTTTACAAAAAAATTTATCTTGTTTGTGCCACAATGAAGAGGACTGACAGGTAACAGCAGAAACAATAGTCAGGAGTTTGAGAACAGGCTGATTAACATGGTGAAACCCCGTCTCTACTAAAAATACAAAAATTAGCTGGGTGTGGTGGCGGGTGCTTGTAATCCCAGTTACTCAGGAGGCTGAGGCTGCATTATCGCTTTAACCTGGGGGGCGGAGGTTGCAGTGAGCCAAGATGGGGGCAATAAGAGCAAAACTTTGTCTCAAAAAAAAATAAATAAATAAAAAATAAAATATGTCAAGCCCCTTCTCTTCCTGTCTCCTCTCGTGGTGTGTACTTGACTCCCCTTCTCGCCAGATCTCACAGGACTTTCAGATTTAAGCAATACCTGGCCAAGAAACAAAAGCAAAATCATTCCATTCCCCCAGTGGATTCAGATCAAAACTGGTAATAAAATCAGGTACGACTCCAAAAGGAGACATTGGAGAAGAACGAAGCGGGGTCTATAAGGAATTGCACGTGAGATGGCACACATATTTATGCTGTGTGAGCATTACAATCGCGTTACCATATCAAGCTGAAAATGTCACCACTATCTGGAGTGTTGGAAATGTTTTATTGGGAATATGTTTTTTCTCTGAATCTGCTATGAACACGTCAGTTGGGTGGGTTCAGTAATAAATATGTGAGACTTTTCATTTCAAAATAAAAAAGGCAAATGATGTAATTGCATAGAGTACCTTAATTTCTGTTTTGCTTTTTTTTTTTTTTTTTTTTTTGAGATCAAGACTCCACTGGGTCAGCTGATCACACCTGTGGTCCTCGCACTTTGGGAGGCTGAGATGGGAGGATTGCTTGAGACCAGGAGTCTCCTGGGAATGTTCTCATCTCCCCTAACCCAATTCATGAGAGACCCTTGGACTTTACTGTTATGGAAAAATCTATATTAAGCAATATCAGTGTGTCAAAGCATTATGTCTGTCACAAGCTCGTGAAAGGAAAATAAAAATTACTAAGCCAAAGAGAAAAGTCAACCTGAGAACTGCATCAGACAAACCTGCCTCCCATTTTATTCCTAAATGAGATAGCCACAAAGACTAAAATAAAGCTACGTAGAGGCCATGCACGGTGGCTCATGCCTGTAATCCCAGCACTTTTGGAGGCCGAGGCGGGTGGATCACTTGAGGTTGGGACTTTGAGACTAGCCTGACGAACATGGAGATACCCTGTCTCTACTAAAAATACAAAAATTAGCGGGGTGCGGTGGTGCGCGCCTGTAATCCCAGCTACTTGAGAGGCTGAGGCAGGAGAATTGCTTGAACCCAGGAGGCAGAGGTTGCAGTGAGCCGAGATTGCGCCATTGCACTCCAGCCTGGGTGACAGAGTGAGACTCCCTCTCAAAAAAAAAAAACTTCCAGCAAACATCATATGTTATAATAATCCTTTGCCACAGAAGAGACTCAGGTATGATAAGTTCCTACGTGGAGAACAAAATATGAGTTTCTACTCGGTCCTCAGGTGCCTTCCCAGAGATGCCCCCACATTTTCCTACAGCAGTGGGGATGTAGGATGGACTGACCCTCCCCACCACACACACACACACACACACACACACACACACACACACACACACACCCTGGGGAAAAGCCCATATAAAGCAGTTCCCATTTCCCTCCACAAACTGCGGGCTCCCAGTGAAAACTACCTTAGACATTCTTGCAAATCCCATTCTTGTCTGGCCTTCTACGGGATGACAGGGGCCTAGAGAAGGCAGTACTGGGTGGAGTTACCTGGGTGCGCATTTGTCGGGATGTGGCATTTTATGGCTATTCTAAGGTCTGTTATCAGTTGTCTGTCTTGGGGAGAATGTGCAGTCGCCATGGTCCAATAATCCTCTATCCAAGGACCACACAGGTCACCGCAGGCGCTCAATCAGCGTGATCCACATGGTATGATGTGTGCTCTGGCAGGGCACAGACGGACACACTCAGCTCTGTCAATGTGTAAACAGGGAGTGTTGCAATGACATGGTTTATTCACAGTCACCATGGAATCTGATGTGGCATTTTAAAAAATGCGTAGATCTGTTGCAACTGGTATGAAAACATCACTTGTGGGGAAAAGAAAGAGAGATCAGACTGTTACTGTGTCTATGTAGAAAGAAGTAGACATAAGAGACTCCATTTTGTTCTGTACTAAGAGAAATTCTTCTGCCTTGAGATGCTGTGAATCTGTAACCCTAGCCCCAACCCTGTGCTGGCAGAGACGTGTGCTGTGTTGACTCAAGATTTAATGGATTTAGGGCTGTGCAGGATGTGCTTTGTTAAAAAGTGCTTGAAGGCAGTATGCTTGGTAAAAGTCATCACCATTCTCTAAACTCAAGTATCCAGGGACACAAACACTGCAGAAGGCCGCAGGGACCTCTGCCCAGAAAAGCCAGGTATTGTCCAAGGTTTCTCCCCATGTGATAGCCTGAGATATGGCCTCGTGGGAAGGGAAAGACCTGACCATCCCCCAGCCTGACACCCGTAAAGGGTCTGTGCTGAGGAGGATTAGTGAAAGAGGAAGGACTCTTTGCAGTTGAGATAAGAGGAAGGCATCTGTCTCCTGCTCCTCCTGGGAATAGACTGTCTTGGTGTAAAACCCAATTGTATATTATATTTACTGAGATAGGAGAAAACCGCCTTAGGGCTGGAGGTGAGACATGCTGGCAGCAATGCTGCTCTCTATTACACCGAGATGTTTGTGTGCGTACACATGAAGGCACAGCACCTTTCCTTAAACTTATTTATGACACAGAGACCTTTGCTCACATGTTTTCCTGCTGACCTTCTCCCCACTATTACCCTATTGTCCTGCCACATCCCCTCTCCCAGATGGTAGAGATAATGATCAATACTGAGGGAACTCAGAGACCAGTGCTGGCGGGTGCTCCATATGCTGAGCGCCGGTCCACTGGGCCCACTGTTCTTTCTCTATACTTTGTCTCCGTCTCTTATTTATTTTCTCAGTCTCTCGTCCCACCTGACAAGAAACACCCACAGGTGTGGAGGGGCAGGCCACCCCTTCATCACTGATTGGCCGGGCGCAGTGGCTCACGCCTGTAATCCCATCACTTTGGAAGATCGAGGAAGGCAGACCACCTGAAGTTGGGAGTTTGAGACCAGCCTGACCAACATGGTGAGACCCCATCTCTACTAAAAATACAATATCAGCTGGGCGTGGTTGCGCATGCTTGTAATCCCAGCTATTAGTGAGGCTGAGGCGGGAGAATCGCTCGAACCTGGGAGGCGGAGGTTGCGGTGAGCTGAGCTTGCGCCATTGCACTCCAGCTGGGCAACAAGAGTGAAACTCCATCTTAAAAAACAAAAAAACAAAAAAACAAAAAACCCCATCACTGATTGGTGAAAGCTATTGAATTAGAAATGTAACTCTGCAAATATATATTTAAATATTGAATAATGAATATCTGAATGGTGTGTATATACATATATATTTTGTATGTGATTTCAGATGCAATTTTAGATATTCTATGAAATTGATATTAGATATTCTATGATATAAATGGTTGCTTTTTATTTTAGTGTTTAAATGTTTTATCGTTACATTTGTTCAGATGTGTATTTTCTATTTATGAATTGCCACGGTTTAGCCAGCAGTTTACTACAGCACTCATTTATTTTCTCACAGTTCATAGATGAGAAATGTGTCAGGTTTTTCTGGGTACTCTGTCTGGTCTCACAAGGCCAAAATCAAAGTCAAAGCCATGGGTTCTATTCTAGAGACTGTGGGGGCAGAATTCACTTCTAAGCTCATTCAGATTGTTGTCAGAATTCATTTCTTTCTCCTGGTTCCCATATATTCAATATACAGCATGTGAAATCACTCTCGTGCTCCTGAGTCCTAACTTCCTCCACTATTGCATCTCTCTGACATATATTTCTTCTTTAAGGACACATAGGACCCACCCAGATAATCCAGGATAACTTTCTTTTATTTTTCTTTTCTTCTTCTTTTTTTTTTTTTTTTTTTTTGAGCCTGTCTTGCTCTGTCGACCAGGCTAGAGTGCTGTGGCAGGATCTCGGCTCACTGCTACATCCACCTCCAGGTTCGAGCGATTCTCGTGCCTCAGCCTCCAGAGTAGCTGGGATTACAGGCACTCCCCACCATGCCTGGCTAATTTTTGTATTTTTAGTAGAGATGGGGTTTCACCATGTCGGCCAGGCTGGTCTTGAGCTCCTGACCTCAAGTGATCCGCCTGCCTCGGCCTCCCAAAATGCTGGGATTACACACAGGTTTCTCTTTCAAAGTCAAATGAAGCTGGGCATGGTGGTGGGTGCCTATATCCCAGCTACTGAGGAGGCTGAGGTACGAGGAACGCTTGAACCTGAGAGGCGGAGGATGCAGTGAGCCGAGATCACGCCACTACACTCCAGCCTGGTCAATTGAGCGAAACTCAGTCTCAAAAAAAAAAAAAAAAAATTCAAATGACTGTTAGCCTTCATTAATCAGTAAATTACCAGCCAAACTTTTGGCAACATAACATAAACACAGGAGTAGCACCAGGAGTTGGAGACCTGGCTACAACATCATAGGACCAGTAAACTTTTTGGCACTGAGAAAATAATATGTCAATCTAGCTAGAAAATTATTATCATTTGGGATATTTCTGTTAAGAGAAACTGGTATACTATATATTACTAAACTATATTGGTGATACTGTATTTAACATAGTTATATAACTAAACATCAATATAATTATATAGTAATATGTATTTAAATATTGTTAAACAATGTTTCTATGAAATTTCTATATAATTTGGTATTCAGTTGTGCTCACAAGTCCATTTATTTATGTATTTATGTATTTATTTATTTATTTTCTGAGACCAAGTCTTGCTCTGTAGCCCAGGCTGGGCAGCAGTGTTGCGATCTTGGCTCACTGCAACCTCTGCCTCCCGGGTTCAAGCAATTCTCCTGTCTCAGCCTTCCAAGTAGCTGGGAATACAGTCGCATGCCACCACGCCCAACTAGTTTTGTATTTTTAGTAGAGACGGGATTTCAGCATCTTGGCCAGGCTGGTCTCAAACTCCTGAGCTCAGGTGATCCGCCTGCCTAGGCCTCCCAAAGTGCTAGCATTACAGGCGTCTGCCACCACACCCGGCCATATCTGGACTTCTTATATACCTCCTTCTACTGCGGACTCTACCTGTCAAACTGAAATAGAAAATACTCACCTGACCCACCCCTCTGTCTGGATGGTGAGCTCAGTGTGCTGGTCATGCCAGTCAGCATTATATGAGAGGGCAGCAGCCAGGCTGCTAGATATGGGCTTGTGATTCTGTGACCTCACCTGCTGTCACAACCGCAATGATCATTTTACCTGTCACAGCTGTGACAGTGCAGTCCTGGGAAGCTATTCTTTTTTAAAAACTTCATTTCCCTGTTGTAATTACCAAGAAAACGTTTACTAATTCCTAGATAGCATCTCCAAAGGGATTTTGGAGTGTCTGGGGAGATTCTTTCTTCTTGATCCCTGGAGGCAGAGAGGGTCTCACAAGAAGGAAGCAGGAAATACTGAGCTCTGGTACATCAGGGACTGAACGCACACCAGGTATGTCTCAGTGGATTCTCTGAATCCCTGAGAAGTCTTTCCACCCAAAGTAGATTTCCTTATAATATTTAGACCTTTGATCTTTTAAGTTATATGCAGATAAATGGAATCAGGCAAAGTACCTAAGAAGGATTTTGAGAGATAAAAAAAAAAAAGTAAAAGGAAGAACATGAAGCCATTAGTTCACATTAGAAATTTTGGAACTCACCACTCTGTCTTCCAGAAAATAGACCTAAAGACAGATATACCATTTGACCCAGCAATCCCATTACTGGATATATACCTAAAGGAATATAAATTGTTCTATTATAAAGACACATGCATGTGTATGTTCGTTGCAGCACTATTCACAATAGCAAACATGAAGTCAACCAAAATGCCCATCACTGGTGGACTGGGTAAAGAAAATGTGGTACCTATACACCATGGAATACTATGCAGCCACAAAAAAGAACGAGATCATGTCCTTTGCAGGGACACGGATGGAGCTGGAGGCCATTTTCCTTAGCAAAGTAACACAGGAACACAAACCCAAATGCCACGTTCTCATTTGTAAGTGGGAGGTAAATGATGAGAAGAGAGATGCATAGAGGGGAACAACACACACTAGGACCAATTGGAGGGTGCAGGGTGAAAGAAGGGAGAGGATCAGGGAATATGACTAATGGGTACTAGAATTAATACATGGGTGATTAAATGATCTATACAACAAACTCCCATGACACACGTTTACCTATGTAACCAACCTGCACATGTACCCCTGAATTTAAAAGTCTTTTAAAAATGAAGGAAATCTCACTTAATCTCCAAATCTACCATTTCAATTTATCAAATGCACAAGATCCCATGGCTTACAGATTTAATTTTCCATATATATTCTATATTAACACCTTTGACAAATCTCAACACTTACTATTTTAGTTAATTTATATACTCATTAATTTATGAGTATATGAACTGAAAAGAATGATAATTTCTACCCGACTCTATTTTATGATCCTTTAGTATGTCACATTACGTAGTTAGGACATGATATCAGATTGTCCATTAATTCCTGTGGTAGGTGCCATCGTACTTTCTTTCCTGGTGTAAAAAGAAGTAAGTCTCTGTGGCTATCCTGATATGGGGTCAATCTTTTTAAATCTAATTTAGTCGTGAGGCAGATTCCTATAATTTTATACTCCAATCAGTGTATCTACATTTTATCAAGGTCTTTAAAGATTTATTCATAATTGCTATCAGTCTATGGGCTAATATTTTATACATCAATGGAAACTGGTCAAAACCAAAATTATAAAATTAAATGTCACCTGCGTAAAATATAGAGACAAGGTATAAAATAGAAATTAAATATGTGGCCGGGCGCGGTGGCTCACGTCTGTAATCCCAGCACTTTGGGAGGCCGAGGCGGGCGGATCACGAGGTCAGGAGATCGAGACCATCCTGGATAACACGGTGAAACCCCGTCTCTACTAAAAATACAAAAAATTAGCCGGGCGAGGTGGCGGTCGCCTGTAGTCCCAGCTACGCGGGAGGCTGAGGCAGGAGAATGGCGTGAACCCGGGAGGCAGAGCTTGCAGTGAGCCGAGATCGCGCCACTGCACTCCAGCCTGGGCTACAGCGAGACTCCGCCTCAAAAAAAAAAAAAAAAAAAAAAAAAATTAAATATGTATGTTCATTATTGGAAGAACCCCGCTAACTGGCTTTGACAGTAGAGCATGGTGGTTAATGCACTCTGAAATCAGCCCAGACAAGATCAGTCCCTATTCTACTCCAAACACGGTGTGAATTTACACAAATCATGTCACCTCTCTGTGCTTGAGTCCTCTTTGTCTTTATAATGGTGGTACCTGGCTCATAGATTATGAAGAATATGGAGGTGAATACATGTCTGTTCTTCATAGCAAAGAGCAATTCATTGCAAATACACTTAAAATGGGACACATCCAAATATGGCAAACTCTTCATACTAGAAAGTAACTTTATTAAGTATTTCTATTGCATTTCAGCTGACTTTATTTTTTATTTTTATTTTTTATGTTTTGAGACAGGGTCTCACTTTGTCATCCAGCCTGGTGTGCAGTGGCGGGATCTCGGCTCGCTGCAGCCTCAATCTCCTGGGCTCAAGGGATCCTCCTACCTCAGCCCCCACCAAGTACCAGCTGCCTTTTAAATGTCGCTCATGCATCACGTTCCCTGCAGGATCCTGTGTCTCTGAAGATAAGTAGCAGCCTGTGGGAACTGACAGAATGGCTGCTGGGATGTGGCCATGGGAACGATCTTCTTATCGCAGACTGTACTTGGAATCCTGGGGATTTCTCTCTTATTTACCATTATCTGTCCTTTTACATCACTGGGTGCAGGTTAAGGTCCACAGATTTGATGATCAGACACCTAATTGTAGCCAACACCGTATTCCTCCTCCCTAGAGGAGTCCCACAGACAATGGCAGCTTTTGGGTTTAGGCATTTCCGGAGTGATTCTGGATGTAAATTTCTTTTTTGTGTCCACAGAGTTGTCAGGGGAGTGTCCATTGGCAGCACCTGCCTCCTGAGTGTCTCCCAGGCCATCACCATCAGCCCCAGGAGCTCAGGTGGGCAGAGCTTAAAGGGAACGCCCCCAAGCACGCTGGCTCCTGTGTGTTCCTCAGCTGGCTCCTCCCTGGTCAATATCATTGTTCTCATGCACGTGACCGGCAAGTGGAGCAACAAAAATACCACAAAGACAAAAGATCTGGGATACTGTTCTGCTGCTGATCACGAGGACACCAGAGAGTCGCTGACGCGGCACTGCTGTCCTTCCCTGATGTGATCTGCCTGGGGCTCATGCTCTGGGGCAGCAGCTCCATCGTTTGCATCCTGCACAGGCACAAGCGGCGGGTCCAGCACATTCATAGGACCAGCGTCTCCCCCACATCCTCCCCTGAGTCCGGAGCTACCAAAACCATCCTCCTGGTGAGCACGTTTGTGTCCTTTTACACTCTCTCTTCACCTTTCAAGTTTGTTTGGCTCTTTTGAATAATCCCAGTCAGCTGGTGGTGAACATCTCTGCAATGATCAGTGCAGGTTTCCCAGCTGTCAGCCCCTTTCTTCTCATGAGTGGGGACTCCTGTGTATCCAAGCTTTGCTTTGCTTAGATAAGTAACACAAAACCCCCTAATCTTATCAGAAATATGTGAATTGGACATGTTTGTACAATGTTTATGTTTCTTCATTGATCTCTAGAGACCCATAAACACGGTTATGAAACGAGGCTTGTTAGTGCTGTGCTTGCCAGCAGGGGCCACTGTTTTATTCTGTACCTCCTGATCCCCCCTCCACCCACACCGCCCTGGAGCAGCTCTGTGGAAAAAGTGGAATCAGCTTAGAGGTTTTCGGGAGGAAGACACTGAAACGTAAACGTTATAAGAAAGTGACGGTGCACAAACACACGTGCCTCATCTCTGTGTCCCTCGGAGTAGACGGGGGGAATGTGCGCAGATGCGAAGTTCTTGCTGTCATTTTCGTGATGAATAGTAAAATATATATTTTCTCAGATCCAGAAATCTCATGCCCTCAGTCAACATCCATAAACTGACAATCTTACTTGTTGGCTTGCAAGTAAGGTTAAAATTTAAAACCTTTTGCAATTTCTGATAGGTTTGGTGATGCTGGGACAGATGTGACTTTGTGTAAGAGGAAGGTAGAAAGGTTCTTCACCGGTGTGGTTAGCGGACAGAAAACGGCTTTCTGGAACAAGCAGCAAATTCTCTCACCCAAACTGGAGTGAAATGAGAGTAAAATTCCTCCACTCTCTAACCCTGGAATGGGGCTGTTGTGTGAGAGGGAGGATTGAAATGAACTGTCCGAATGTGATTTATTTGTTGCTCATTCTCCTCCTGGCAGGAGCAGGAAAGGACGAAGAGTCCCCGAAGCTGATGCTGAGTTCATGGGGTTGAGCTGACAGCGGCCAACAGGCTGTCATAAACTGTAAGCACACGAGGCTTGTTAGTGCTGTGCTTGCCAGGAGGGAGCAGTCTTTTTTTTCTGTACCTTCTGATCCCTCCCTCCACCCACACCGCACTACAGCAGGTCTGTGGAAAGAGTGGAATCAGCTTAGAGGTTTTTGGGAGGAAGACATTGAAACTCCGTTTTTTCATTTTGTTGTGTTTTTGTTTTTGTTTTTAGATGGAATCTCACTCTGTCCCCCAGGTTGGAGTGCAATGGTGCCATCTTGGCTCACTGCAACCTCCCCGCCCTGGGCTCCAGCCTCGTGCCATGTTTCCCAGGCTGGTCTCGAGCTCCTGGGCTCAAGTGATCTGCCCGCTTGTGCCTCCCAAAATGCTGGGATTACAGACGTGAGCCACCATACCTGGACTGAAACACTTTTAGTCCTGTTGCATGCAAGGATTTAAGTCACCAACGTACGTGGATTCCAGCAAGAAGGGTCAGTAGACGCAGGGGTGGGTAAAGGTGCTAAGGATGGTGGGGTGAAGTGTGGCTGCAAACAGGCAGAAAGAGACAAGCTTCTGGCCCTGAATAGTCACCAAATGCTGGATGGTGCAATGCTAAGAATGCAGCAGAGGCCGGGCGTGGTGGCTCACGCCTGTAATCCCAGCGCTTTGGAAGGCCAAGGTGGGTGGATCATGAGGTCAAGAGATCGAGACCATCCTGGCCAACATGGTGAAACCCCCTCTCTATTAAAAATACAAAAATTAGCTGGGCGTGGTGGTGGGCACCTGTAGTCCCAGCTACTCGGGTGGCTGGGGCAGGAGAATCACTTAAACATGGGAGGCGGAGGTCGCACTAGCCGAGATCGTGCCTCTGCACTCTGGCCTGGCGACAGAGCAAGACTCCATCTCAAAAAAAGAAAAAGAAAAGAAAAAAAGTGCAGCGCAGACCATGGTCTGAAAAGCTAAAAAAGAATCACACCGGCTGGGTGCAGTGGCTAGTGCCTGTAATCCCAGCACTTTGGGAGGCCGAGGCGGGTGGATCACGAGGTCAGGAGATCGAGACCATCCTGCCCAACATGGGGAAACCCTGTCTCTACTAAAAATACAAAAAATTAGCCGGGCGTGGTGGCGGGCGCCTGTAATCCCAGCTACTCGGGAGGCTGAGGCAGGAGAATGGCGTGAACCCGGGAGGCGGAGCTTGCAGTGAGCGGAGATCGCGCCACCGCACTCCAGCCTGGGCGACAGAGCGAGACTCCGTCTCAAAAAAAAAAAAAAAAAAGAAAAGAATCACACCTCCCCCATTGTCCTGGCCCCTACCACATACACACTCTCTCTCTCCTCTCTCTCTCTCTCTCTCTCTCTCTCTCTCTGTCTCTCTCTCTCTCTCTCTCTCTCTCTCTCTCTCTCTGTCTGTCTCTCTCTCTCTCTCTCTCTGTCTCTCTCTCTCTCTCACACACACTCCTATCCTAGCTTCCTCTGGTCTACTGGCCCTTCGCAGTCCCTTACCCATGCCATTGTATAGTGTATTATACTTATTAGTCTGTGATTACACGGAGAAAAAATACAAAACACAAAAACAAGAAACAAACTCAACAGACAGGGTTTAGGCAGGGTTCCCAGTGAGGGCGGAAAGAGGGTCTTTTGTGCTAATTCAATGTCCTGTTCGGTTTCTGCATCAGAATAGACAGTAGGAATTGATGTGTTGTGTGTTTTTGGGCTTCGTGTCCCTATGTACCAGAGGAAATTATTCCAGTCTGGGTTGGGTGCAGGTAGGGACGTGTGAGACTAACTCTCCTGCCATTTGCCACCCGTTGGGGGCGAGTCATTAGGATTCCTATGAGTGCCTCTAGCCTCTGATGTCCCAAATCCTCACTATGCAGATGATGTTGTGTGTCTCGGCAGGTGAGAGGAGTTGCTCTCAATCTTCCTGTGTGGGGTGTGATCCCCGCCCTGCCAGCAGAGGTAACTGACAGAACCCAAAGAAATGCAGCCTTCTGTTTTCCGGGGCAGGCTTATTGAAAGTATGTGAGCAGACTTACATTGCTCAATGATTTCAGTGGTCGACAAAAGTTGTAGATGACAAAATGATTTTGTCATCTGCAGCCTCTGGAAAAGGGAGGCAGCCTCCACCTAGAGGTGCCTGTGGGGTCCTAGTTGCCCTGACGCAATCCTGACACAATAATAGTCACGCTGATTTTGAACATTATCTGTTACTTTGCTGCTGAGCTCTCGTCATCACCAAATCCTGTCCCACAGACAGCTTGGGGCTCCCCACCTTGATATTCCAATTTTGAGATGGGTTAGTCCAAACTCTACAAAACCCCCCGAAAGCCTTGCTTATGACACAGAAATGGTGTATTCTGGGAGGAAAATGGACCGGCCCAGCAACATCTCAGCTCTAAAGGAAAAATCAAGATCTATCATCGGTGAAAATTTTATGCCCTTCTCCACGGTCTGAAGCAAAGCTATGGCATTATGGGGTCCCAAATTTACCATGTAACCCCTAAATGCCTGGTCCAGGTTCACTGATGGGTCAGGGAAGTAGATTCCTCACGGTGGCCACAGCAGAGGCTGTTCGGGCTCAGTGCCAGCCACGTGGAACCTGCAGCAGGGGCGTTTGTTCCGCTCAACGGTCAGACTTGGGGCCAGGTGTGGGGGCTCCAGCCTGTAATTCCAGCCTTTTGGGAGGCTGAGGTAGGCGGATGTCTTCAGGCCAGGAGTTCAAGACCAGCCTGGCCAACATAGGGAAATGCCATCTGTACTAAAAATACAAAAAATTAGCTGGACGTAGTGGCAGGCACCTGTGATCCCAGCTACTTCGGAGACTGAGGTGGGAGAATCGCTTGAACATGGAGGTTACAAAAAAAATCATCAAAACTCAGGGTTTTGGCCACTGCCCACATTCTAGCTGTTTGTTCATCCCCATTCAAACTAGAGACTGTCTGAGGAAGCATACCCTCTTTGAGGCTGCAAACTGGAAACAATCTCAGCTGCTGATCTAACAGTTGCATCCGTGATTTAGGAGTCCATGGTAAAGGACTGTTTTCTGAAGCACCTGACCAAAATCAAGCTCTGGACAGAGCCTGAATCTGTCTCATGCAGAGCTTGTCACTGCAGGCCGGGCTTGTGGTTCTTGGTGAAAGTTGATCTGTTTATCTGGCGGTTGGGGAGGCCCCTGACCATTCCTGGCAGAATGAGTGCATTGGACTTTTGACCCACTTCTGGAGGTTTCAATCATGTCACGCCAGCTGACTCCAGCCGCACCACGTGACCCTTGAAACTCATTCATGTCACCTTTTAGACTTTTGGGACCATTTTCACTCTGACATACTGAGTCTTTAATCACTAAATCTACTAAAAATGGGCCAACTGTCTGATTTTACTTCCTTGTTTCCCCTCTTGATCCATCAATGTTGTTTAGGGAATTTGTTGATTGAATGTGGCTGTCTCCAGAAGGAGACATCCTTTTGGATGTCTCTTCTTGACGTGATCTCTTCTTGACAGCCTCCAGGAATGATCTCTTCTTGACAGCCTCCAGGATCAGGATGAAATCACTGGGGGTTATGAATCTATTTCCAAAATATGAGATTTCTCTCTCTGACCATTCCAGGCACAATATGTCATTCTTTCTCTGAACAGGCCAGTCTACTTTGCCCACGATGAGTGGCAGCCCAGCTAAAAGCGAGTTATGGGACTCAAAGTTAGTTACAATTAAGTTTTATACAAAAATCTTTATCCCTGTTTCACCTTGCTCTTAGGGACAAAATGTCTTGGAGACAGTAGGGGATCATGAGAATAAAGATGAAATTATAGGTACCAGAATGGGACTGACTGATTCTGTGGAGGGAGAGGGAGAGTGACAACCTGAAACCTGGAGAGCAGTCAACTTAGGTCCTAGGAGCACTGAAGAATGGAGGGACATTCATCACCTTTTTTCCCTCATAATCACCTCCGTGAGTCCCAGAAAGAGTCTCCCTGGAAATGATGTTGGGCCAGGACTGTGTTAGTTTCAGTTAAGCCAGATGACAGGGCAGGTGCTGGGGGTTCCTGTGCGTTTGGTCTCCACGTCACCCAGAAGAATCCTTTGGGACTGTTCCCTCCCTCTGGGATTCTAGTGAGGAGTGTGCCCTTTCGGTACCCATCTGCCCTCCTTCCTCTGTGAGCTGCGTCTCCTCCTCCTGTTTTTCTTCCACGTAGAGATGAATGTATGTTTATTCCTATTTGGATAAACCAGAGAAACAAATCAAGTAATGGAACCCCAGACCCAGCCTCCAACATAGCCTGATTCTTTTCTGTTCCTCTTCCCACTGTACTAATTTCATCATGTCGGTGCAGAGATACCCTGAGGTGGGGTCTCTCAGAACAGATTGCAACACCATACGTGTAGAGAAGGTGGTTGGAGATGGCAGGAGTCCAATCCTGCCAATCCTGAGAATCAAAGCTTGTGTCTGATACTACAAGTGTATACACAGGAAGTAGATGGATCCAGGAAAGATCCTAGAGCCCAGGAAGAGATTATTTAGAGCAGGCAGGATCCCTGCAGGAGAGCAGAGTAGCAGGACACAGGTTCAGCAGCCACTTCCGAGGTCAGATTCTCACAGCTAAGCCTCTGTGGTAGGGCTGATCTGCAGAGCAATGCAGAGCCTGGGAAAGCTCTGATCACATGTGGAAGATGAAACTCTGGGCTTCTATTAGTCTGTTTTCCCCTAGCTACAAAGAACTACCTGAGCGGGTAATTTATACAGAAAAGAGACTTAACTGAATCACAGTTCCACATGGATGGGGAGGCCTCAGGAAACTTACAGTCATGGCAGAAGGGGAAGCAAGGTATGTCTTACCATTGTGAAAAGGAGAGACAGAGAGAGTGAAGAAAAGCACACACTTCTAAGCCATCAGATCTCGTGAGAACGCACTATCAGCAGAACAGCAAGGGGGAAATCCGCCCCCATGATACAATCACCTGCCACCAGGCCTGCCCCTGGCACGTGGGGATTACAATTAGACATGAGATTTGGGTGGGGACACAGAGTAAACCATGTTAGAGCTCATGGAGAAGTGTCCTATGTGATGGAACATCCTGCTTCTGTGGGCGTGACAGTCTTTGCTCTTTCTTGGCAGAGAAACACTTACAATAGTCACTTGAGGACCATGTATAGATAGGCTTTCTTTCTTCTGAGTTTCTTGAAAAAGGATTCAGAGGAAACATTTTACCCACTTTCAGTTCGAGTGATGGTGGGGAGTGACTTCAGTAAAAATGGCAGATTAGGGAACTCGGGGTAGGAGTGGGAGCTGTCCATCCCCAGAAATCTCAGAAGGCCCAGCACAACCTGCCAGAATTAACCTGATCGAAACTTGAACTTTTTTTTTTTTTTTTTTGCCATGTAGCTTTATTTTAAATCAGACCTTTATCTTACTATGTGTTGTAAAGAATCGATTTTGTCACTTTGTAATGTGTCTTATGCACTGCAGTCTATTTCTGAGTTGTGAGCTCCACCCATCTATCAGTCTGCCCATCAACCAACATGTCTTACAAGACTAGCTACCCTCATTTCGTTCTTTTTCAGAGTTTTCTTGATTATTCTTATTTGTGTTTTCACCTATGAGATTCTTGCAATAACATCCATAACTCCCAACTGAATGTATCTATATTTGAACCAAATTAAATTTATAAATTAGCTTATGAGCAATTGATTTTTATAATATTGATTTTTTTTACCCAAGTCCATGCTGTAACTTCTTATGTGTACATTTGTATATTTCAGAAATTTTCTATTTAATTCTTATATACATTTAACATATTTGTTAAAATTATTCCTAAGTATATTTTATTTTATTGTTATTTTGTAATTGCATCCCCACCCCAAATCTAACTTGTAAATTATTATCTCATATATATGTAAATACCTGCTGCGTGTAATTTAAGGCCATGTCATGGGTTCAAACTGATTCCTAACATCAACCATTCAATTTTCCCCATTCACTGGAATGACTACTATTCCATATCCACAACAAGAGCTGTTGGGTTGAGGGAAATCAGGGTGGAGATGAAGCAAAAGTGAAGAGAAAACATTATCTAACCCACGCATGCAGCAAAACAACCTCCCTATGGATCAATATGTAATTATCTAAAGTATAAAATACTTAGAAAATATTAATATTTATCTCATACTATACAATATGGAAATTATAAGGAAAAGACAAAAGAATACCCAATTACTTATATATTCCCTACATAAAAATATATACATTTATATGGTAAAAGATTGCATTATCGCAGTGTAAAATGAAAATAGGAAAACATATAACAATATGTAAAACAAGTGACAATATGTATGTTAGATTTAATATCCTATAGTAAAACAGGGTAAATTAAAACTATAAAATAGAAGAAAATTTAAATCCAAGTAAATCATATGAGCCAAAAACTAAATAAACTAAATAAATATAATCAATAAGCATTTAATACATCTTGACTCAGTTTAGATATAAAAGAAAGAAAAATCAAACAATAACATGGTGGTTTTGCCATGATGTCATCAAGCGTAAAAAGATAACCTTTCTCAATAGAGATGCGTCTCAGGTTTGTGGGTCTGAGTCCCTCATGGACTGCAGGTGAGAGAGTGAAGAGACACAGCCTTTTCTCAATTAAAGTAGAAGGATATAAATATATATATTTATTTTTGCTATACTTTATAATATACAAACACATATGGATGATTACACCCTAATATTTGCTGTGATTCTACAGAAATGCATGACTCTCAGGAGACATCCAAAAGACAGCAAATATCTCACACGAAACTGAATAGTGAACTTCATCCTCAATGAACCACAGAGTTCACCATTCTGAGTATATCGTTCAAGTTATTTTCCTATTTTCCTTCCGCAGGTTCTAGCATGTATTAACACCGTGTGTCTAAAGTCATCCCTGCTGGTCATCTGGAGGAATCTGAGAAGGGGCAGGTCTTTCTTCTGACTCTCAGAGCAGCACCCTCTGCTGGACAGGGCTGGGCACCTCATCTCAAGCCCAATCTGATCCACCAACAGGGTCTGTTATCTCCGGTCCGGGGAAGAGGTGGGCCTCTCTCCATCCTGGGAGGAGCGCTGAGCTTCTCCTTCATCCAGGGATGGGCCCCAGGGACGCGCCAGTGGGACTGGGAGAAGCCACCCTCAGCAGGGAAGACAGAGATGCCTGCGTGGCCGAGGCCTGGAAGGTCTGCACCATGGTGCACAGAGGCCCCGGAGCTGGGTGAGGCCAGAAAGCTGCTCTGGGGTCAGCGGGGAATGTGCCTGCTGAATCTGCAAGCACCTGAGCTACGTCTTCACAAATGGCCTCAGACCTAGAGTGCAGGGAGATCCCCTGGCTTTTCTGAAGTGGTGGCAGGTGGTCTCCTGGGTAGCAGGATCTGGGCTGCTTACTTCCCTTACCCAGTGAGGGCCCGCGGGGAGCTCTTAAGTTGGGCATCATGGGTCTGCGTGATGTGGCTGCTGTGCCCACATCAGAGGGTTTTTGTTTCTTTTCCAAAGTCAAGCTGCACTAATCTAGACCAGGGATCCCCACCCCTGGGCTGCGGACCGGTCCCCATGGGTGGCCTGTTAGGAACTGGACCGCACATCAGGAGGTGAGCAGTGGGTGAGGGCGCATGACCACCTGAGCTCTGCCTCCTGTGAGATCAGCAGCGCCACTGCATCTCAGAGGAGTGCCAACCCTACTGTGAACTGTGCATGCGAAGGATCTGGGTTGCATGCTCTTTATGAGATCAAACTAATGCCTGATGATCTCAGGTGGAACAGTTTAATCCTGAAACCATCCCCCCGTCTGTGGAAAAACTGCCTTCCACCAAACCAGTCCCTGGTGCCAAAAACGCTGGGAACCGCTAATCTAGACAGTTCTCTGCTAAGGAAGCACATGGTTGAGAAGCATCAGAATCGTTCCCACGGACCATGCTCCGGAGTCTCAGCAGGCTCCTGCAGGTGAGCCCCACTGGCCTCTCCTCTTCCTTCTGGACCTCCTCAGCTTTGGTAATGGAAAGCTGCATCCTCTTCTGTCCCCAGTTCCTCTCTGGGTGTCAGGATCTCTAAAACCCTCTCAGCCGCTGAGAAATCTGTCTGTCTGTCTCACAGTGTGTTTATCCGTGCATCATGAAGGACCCTCATACGGCTGACGTGCCTTGGCTGATGCGAATAACACTGCAGCAAGCGTGGGAGTGCAGATAGCTCTTGGAAATACCCATTTCCTTCAGACGCATACTCAGAGGTAGGATTGCTGGATTGTTTGGTCATTTTGATTTTTAAAATTAAAAAGAATTTTAATTCTCATATTGTTTTGAGTAAAATTAAATTATAACTTGTAAGGCAACTCCATGTTTTTTAGAATTTTTAAAAATATAATTGCTCTACCAATTGACTGTCCCAACAACAACGTACAGGGGTATTTTTTTTCCTCCGCATCCTCACCACTTGTTACCTTTTGTCTTTTTAATAATAGCAATCCTAAGACATGTGAAGTGATACCTCACTGTGATTTTGATTGGCATTTTCCAGATGATTAGTCTATTCAGGCCCTTTACTTTTTTTCGTTGTTGTTGTTGTTTTTGAGATGGATTCTCACTCTGTTGCCCAGGCTGGAGTGCGATGGCACGATCTCGGCTCACTGCAACCTCCGCCTTCCGGGGAGGCGTGATTAGCCGCCACACCTGGCTAATTTTTGTACTTTAGTAGAGATGAGGTTTCACCATGTTGGCCAGGCTGGTCTCAAACTCCTGACCTCAGGTGATCCACTATGCTTGGCCTTCCAAAGTGCTGGGATTACAGGTGTGAGCCACCACGCCCAGCCCCTTTGCTCATCTTTAATAGGGTTATTACTATTATCATATTTGCTTTTGAGTTGTGGGTGTTCCTTATATATTTTGGATATAAACTCCTTATCACGCATAGGGTATATATGGTTTAACATATTTTCTCCCATTATCATGCCCCAATATCACTAAGTTATATTTCACAGCTCCCTCTTGAACACCTGAAAAAATTCCTAATATATTTCCATGTGTCTGTATCCAGGTTATTGTGGTTTTTGCCTGAAAACACATTTATATATGCTGATATTCCCCAATAACTAATATATTTTTTCTCTGTTTTTTTTTGAGACGGAGTCCTGCTCTGTTGCCCAGGCTGGAGTGCAGTGGCACGATCTCAGCTCACTATAACCTCTGCCTCCCAGGTTCAAGTGATTCTCATGCCTCAGCCTCCCGAGTTGCTGGGATTACAGACACATGCCACCACACCCGGCAAATTTTTTTGTATTTTTAGTAGAGACGGGGTTTCACCATATCGGTCAGGCTGGTCTCAAACTCCTGACCTCAGGTGATCCACCCGCCTTGGCCTCCCGAAGTACTGGGATTACAGGCGTGAGCCACCGCGCCTAGCCCTAACTAATATATTTTAAATAACTTTTTGCTCTTGGCACATGGACTAAAACCACATCACTAGGCCTTCAATGACGTCCAATGTCTGCCATCTTATTTCCACTCCAGCTCCGCCCCAGGCATAGTTGCTTTTCTTTTTATTGAAGCCTTCTCCTTTTTTTTTTTTTTTTGAGACAGAGTTTCACACTGTCGCCCAGGCTGGAGTGCAGTGGCGCGATCTCGGCTCGCTGCAAGCTCCGCCTCCCGGGTTCACGCCATCCTCCTGCCTCAGCCTCCCGAGTAGCTGGGACTACAGAAGCCCGCCACCACGCCCGGCTAATTTTTTGTATTTTTAGTAGAGATGGGGTTTCACCATGTTAGCCAGGATGGTCTTGATCTCCTGACCTCCTGATTCACCCGCTTCGGCCTCCCAAAGTGCTGGATTACAGGCGGGAGCCATGGTGCCCCGCCAAAGCCTTCTCCTTGCCAAGTTAATTAAAGAGAATGTTTTCTTCATCAAATTAGAAATTACATCCTCAGAGAAGCTTTCCAGTATTTGTAGTTCTTACAGGCCACATTTATTACAAGTTTATAGACTCCAAACTTCTTCACTGAACAGTTAATAAAAAGGACACAGGCTTATTGTAAAATAATTCATTTAGTGCCTGCCATTCTGATTACACTAGAAATTTAGTTCTCCTGCTCCGCGTTCTGTTATGTGACTGTTCAATGCATTACTTAAAACTGCAAGATTGAATAGAGAGATCAGCTTCTAACATTGATGAATGCAAACCACAAGAAACCAAGTCTCCTCTGCAAAATGATGAAAACACTCGCAAAGTCACTAAAATCAATCATTTCAGACTTCTGAAATTTACCAAAGCCACAGAACAAAGTGAAAAGTATCTATCCCACAGAAAGTACCAAACTTCAGTAAGACAGCAGCATTTGTGTCATTTTAACATGGGCATTTCTGTCACCCTCCATCCTTCGTTCATTGTGGAGCACTGACTTTGTTTGGTTGGTTGTTTGTTTTTGAGACGGAGTTTCGTTCTTGTTGCCCAGGCTGGAGTGCAATGGCGCGATCTCGGCTCATTGCAACCTCCGCCTGCTGGGTTCAAGCAATTCTCCTGCCTCAGCCTCCTGAGTAGCTGGGATTACAGGCATGTGCCACCACGCCCGGCTAATTTTGTATTTTTAGTAGAGACGGGGTTTCTCTGTGTTGGTCAGGCTGGTCTCAAACTCCCGACCTCAGGTGATCCGCCTTCCTCGGCCTCCCAAAGTACTGGGATTACAGGCATGAGCCACTGTGCCTGGCTGCCCTGACTTCTTTCGAAGCTCCTTTTAAACCCTTTCTGTCTCCATCTTCATGTTCACCACAGTATTATTTGCTATGGCCAAGACACGGAAACAACCTAAATTTCCTTCAAAGGACAAATGGGTAAAGAAAATGTGATATATACACATTAAAATATTATTCAGCCATGAAAACACAGAAATTCTGCCATTTATGACAACAAGAAAAAAGCTGGTAGATGTTATGCCAAGAGAAATAAGGAAGACACAGAAAGAGAAATATTGCATGATATTCATTTCTTCATTTCTGGGGAGGCCTCAGAAACGAGGTCCTTACTAAGATGTGGCAGGCTAGTTTTGTATTTTAGACTGCTCATTAAAATATGTATTTATTGGGCCGGGCGTGGTGGCTCACACCCATAACGCCAGCACTTTGGGAGGCCGAGGTGGGCGGATCGCCTGAGGTCAGGAGTTCGAGACCAGCCTGGCTAACATGGTGAAACGCTGTCTCTACTAAAAATACAAAAATTAGCTGGGCATGGGGTGCGTGCCTTTAATCCCAGCTACTCAGGAGGCTGAGGCAGGAGAATCATTTGAACCCAGCAGGCAGAGGTTGCAGTGAGCCGAGATGGGCCACTGCACTCTGGCCTGGACAACAGAACGAGACTCCATCTCAAAAAAAAAAAAAAAAAGTATTAATTGCCTATGGTTTTAAAAAATGCAAGTAGTTTCTGAAGGATAAACTGAAGACTCTTAAACAGAGCACTTCTGTTTTCTGAGTCAACCTTTCTTGTTCAGAGAATGAAAAGATCCAGGATGCCTCACCTAACACCCAGGAGGGTCCCTGACTTCCTGATTCTAGGCCCTAAACCTATGTCCAAGAGAAAAGTTACATCTGTAGTCCAGAGCTTTTTAAATATAGTTATCCAGGCCCCTAAACAGCACAAGAAAATGGAAGCTAACTCCTTACAACTTGTGAAAGAGACAAAGTAGCTGCTGCTTTTTTGTTGCTTATTTTGGATTAATTAAAGTGACATCTTTTTTATTCTACTTTCTTATTTAAAAATTAAAAAACAGGTTGTGTTGACTTACACACTTCTCCATAAAAATACAATATATTGATTCAATATGAAATGTCTACTTTAGTGCCAGATAAATTGAGAATTTGTATACCAAATTTTAACAAATTTGATGTTCTCAAAAGAAACAGCATTATTCACTTTGTTTCAGATGAGACTGGGCTTATGTTCACAAGTACACACTCACAGAGATCTAATTCCACAGGCACACGTGGTAGAGTAGGCTAAGATCATCATGGACAGTAATGACTTGCAATGCCATTTGACAAATCCCCCAACAGAGCTCTGTAAAACCACTAGAAAACGCGCACAACAGCACAACCATCAAAATGAAAACACCTGATGTACAGAGTTGTATAGTAGTTGTATAGTTAGTAGTTGTATGGAGCACCCTTGACATAAGTAACTCCATCTTAGAAAAAGACTCCATCTTACATTTCATGGGGCACTTTGCCAACAGGGACAAGATGTTTTGCTTAGTAAATAAATAATAAGGACTGCATCCAAGCAGATAAGGACATAAACAAGCACATTCTTCCACTATCAGTCCTCCCCACAGGACTCTGGCCATAAAAGAAGCTGGGCTTCAGCAGCTCAAAACGGCCATCTTAACTGCCAACCATCCTGCTGTCATTTGTGATAAGCACTTGACATCTGCTGCCAAAGTTTCTACCCACATCAAAGATTCTTCTTTGCAAGATCAACAGACAACTCAGCCCAGACCAGGAGACTGTTTATGTCTTCATTACTCTCCCCACGCAGGTTCAAGTCTGCTGAGATTTGGTTTATCTCTGATTTATTAGGGAGAATTGGCTCACACGATCACAAGGCAAAGTCCCATGATAACCCATCTGCAAGCTGAGGAAGAAAGAAGCCAGTAGTGGCTCAGTCCAAGTCCAGAAGCCTCAGAAGCAAGGAAGCCAACAGTGCAGCCTTCAGCCTGTGGCCAAAGGCCCGAGAGCCCCCAGCAAACCACCAGTGGTCCAGAGATAACCAGGTCCACACACGTTTGTATCTTTCCACAGTGTCAGGCTTTGATTGATGCTATTTCAATCACAAAAGCCATGAGCCGCCTGGAGTTCCCAAAGAGGCTTGTGATGGTTAATATTAAGTGTCAACTTGATTGGATTGAAGGAAGCCTAGGCAGCTGGTAAAGGATTGTTTCTGGGTGTATCTGTGAGGGTGTTGCCAGAGGAGACTGATGTTTGAGTCAGTGGATGGAGAGAGGAAGACCCACCCTCGATGTAGGTGGACACCATGCAATTGGCTGCCAGCTCAGGTAGAACACAGAAGGCAGAAGAAGGTGGGATACCTTTGCTTGCTGAGTCTTCTGGCTTTCATCTTTCTCCCGTGCTGGATGCTTCCTTCTGCTTCTCCTGCCCTTGGACATCAGATTCCAGGTTCTTTGGTCTTTGGACTCTTAGACTTACACTGGTGGTTTGCCGGGGGCCCTGTGGCCTCTGGCCACAGGCTGACGACTGCACAGTTGGCTTCCTTGCTTCTGAGGCTTTTGGACTTGAACTGAGCCACTACTGGCTTCTTTTTTCCTCAGCTTGCAGATGGCCTATCATGGGACTGGGCCTTGTGATCGTCTAAGCCAATTCTCCCTAATAAACTTCCTTTCCTATAGACATATATCCTATTAGTTCTGTCTCTCTGGAGAACCCTGACTAATACAAGGCAATTCTCTTTGGTACTGCCCCTTCACTTGGTAGTCAGAGCCATAGACACGCAGGCTCAAGCCACTTCACAAGTCAGTCAATATTGCAAACCATACATAGTAGTGTACTTAATCAATATATATAAATGTTATAGATTAAACATTTCACAATAAACAAAGTAATGTTTAACATCAAGAGAAAAGAGATAGGAGAAAAGGGTTAACAAGTCAGTCCAAGGAGAGTAACAAAACCCTTGGTCAGGGCTGGGCAGGCCCATTGGTCTTGCAAGAAGTCTTTGAGGCTTCAGCAGCAGATGCCAAGTGCTCATCACAAATGACAGCAGGACGGTTGCAGTTAAGATGGTTATTTCAAGCCACTGAAGCCTTGCTCCTTTTATGGCCACAGAGTCCTCTGGGGAGGACAGATGGTGGAAGAATGTGCTTGTTTATATCCTTATCTGGTTGGATGCAGTCTTTATTATTTATTTATTAAGCAAAACATCTTGTCCCTGTTGGCAAAGTGCCCTGTGGAATGCAAGATGGAGTCTTTTTCTAAGATGGAGTTACTTATGTCAAGGGTACTCTATACAGTAGTCTTACCCACACGTTCATAGAAACATACAATCTCATCCATGTCATAATGAAGGCCAAAAACCTCACAGGCGCCCTCCCTTACCTGAGCTCCAGGAGGCTCCCTGATGAGTCCACACAATCACAAATCCAGTCACACCCACCAATGATTCTCTCCCAACAACAGCATATATTTTTTAGGGCAAAGCATCTCACACCCCAGTGTTTGTCTAAATTGCACCATTTCGGAAGCCCCCTGCTCTTTTGCAGACCTTGGTCAAAGTGAAACATTTCACAGGGGTTCAGGCAGTGAGAAATATCCTGCCTAACCACCTGACCACAAGGCGAACAAAGACCCAATTAAAGAAACATTCTCATCATGTCCTACTGGGCAAAGGCCCAACTACAAAAACCATCCCTATCATATCTTTCTTGGCAAAGGTCCAAGGAACATCCTGATGAGATCCCACCGGAAAAAGGGCCAAACCGCCTGATCATAAGAACATCTTGTCAATATCCTGCCGGGCAGCAAGCCATACAGCCCAGGCCTCTCCCGCCCATACCAAGGTAACACTCACAGAGACATCTGAAGAGCCAGGCAGTGCTCCCAAGTCTGGGACAGCATCAGAGAACGAAACGCAAAGTCCTGCCCTTACAGAGAGAGCCTTGGCACAGACCCAGTCAGGACCAGGTCACTCCCGTGGAACCTACTCAAGGTCCCTACACACATGCCTGGAGCTCCCCAATCTACTGGGGGGTGGGGGAAAGGGCAGTGCTGAAACGTCCCCAAAATCTCACATGTAAACACCCTACCTAACACTTTCTAGAGGCATTTCCAGCTCGGGGCTGTATTTCCAAGAACGCTCTGGAGGCACAGCTCTTTTCTAAGGAGGGCCATGTTGCATGCTGGGAAATTTTTGAACTTTTCCCAAATCACAGCTTTTAAGCTTTCCGGGCTTATTATTATTATTATTATTATTTTGAGACATTGTTTCACTCTTATCGCCCAGGCTGGAGTGCAGTGGTGTGATCTCGGCTCACTGCAACCTCTGCCTCCTGGGTTCAAGCGATTCTCTTCCCTCAGCCTCCCAAGTAGCTGGGATTACAGGCACACACCACCACGCCTGGCTAATTTTTGCATTTTTAGAGCGATGGGGTTTCACCATGTTGGGCAGGAGGGTCTCGAACTCCTGATCTCAGGTGATATACCCGCCTCGGCCTCCCAAAGTGCTGAGATTACAGGCGTGATTTCTGGTCGTTTCAGACTACATTTCCTTCCCAGAAGGACGCGGGGACACGCCTTCCCTATGGACGGATCCCAAATGCAAGTTGTAAGCAATTATAACTGTAGGCCCCTAGAGCCTGAACCACTTTTCCCAGGAATTTTTTGTGGTGCGCCTTAGGAGCAAGCAAAGTTTCAGGGCAGGAGAAGGCCGACAGGGCTTCCAGCATTTGAAGATTCTGCCAGTCTGAAATACGCTTTCCCAGAAGTCTATGGGGGGTGCAGCTGCTCTAACAGTGGGAGGAGACACCGACGAAAAGCATTCTGACGGCCGCGCTTCCAGCGCTAAGGATTCCCGCGTAGTGAGCATTTCCCAGAGGTCTCTGGGGCATGGCTCCATTAGGGCCGTGTGCAGTTGCCTGCAGGGAAACACTGATGGGCGCCCTTCCAGATACGTCGATTCCCGGGTTATGAGCTACATTTCCCAGAAGCCCTCAAGGCAGGACGCCCTTAGGGTCGCGTAGAGTTGCATGCTGGGAAATCCTGACAGCCGCTTCCAACTCTGTGGATTTCCGGGTTATGGACTACATTTCCCAGAGGCCTCTGGGTCACGGCTCCATTTGCGCCGTGTAGAGTTGCATGCTGGGAAACACTGACGGGCGCCCTTCCAGCTGCGTCGAAGCTTCTCTGGTTTCGCATTACATTTCCCAGAGGGCCTTGGGGCACAGTCCAATGAGGAGCGAGCCGGGTGGCCGGCTGAGGGGCGTGCTTCATGCTCGCGGGATTTTTAAAAATGGTTTCTCCTGGATCTTATCCCAACTGCGCCTGAGACCTTGTTTCACCTCCTGATGTGCTGGGTGTGGTTAGGCCTCGAGCCGGGAGCTATTTGCCTCCCAGGAGGAAGCCAGGGCAGGGTTCCGCGGGGAATGGCGGTGAGGGAGCCACTCGGGACGCGGAGGCCCTAAAATGAAGAAGCTTCGGCCTGAGGCTTCGGGAGCGGCGAGCAGGGAAGTGGGAGTGTGTGTGAGTGTGTGTGTGTGTGTGTGTGTGTGTGTGTGAATAAGCCAGAGGCTGCCTGGTGGGGCCCCGCCGTGGCCCAGTGACTGAGATAATTGTCTTCGTCTGTGGGGTAATGCGAACAAGCCCCGTTCCCCTAAGCCGTGATGCATGCGGGGTTGACGCGGCCGGGCTCTGTCCCCATAAACTGTGACACAGGTGTGTGTAGACGTCTATGAGGGCCATAGCGCCGGGCTGTAAGGGCATCTGTAGGGGTGACGCAGCCGGGCTGTGTCTCTGCACCTCCGTTCTGTGCGAGGTCAATGCTGGTGGGGTCTGCAGAGGTGGCACGGCCAGGACGGGTCTCCGTGTCTCTGAAATGTGCCTTTGCACTTCTGTCAGGTTGACAGGGACAGGCAGTGTCCCTCTGGTGTGAGCGTCTGTGGGTGTGAAAGGGCCAGCGAGTGTGCGGCTGTGACTGGTCGGGATCGGGCCTGGGTGCATGGCCTTTTGAGTGAGCACAGGTGTGTGCGACCATGTCACCTGTCTTTCTAGTGTCTCCGTTGCTTCCTGTGCCTTGGCCTTCCAGCCATGTGGTACCTGCTAGGGAGCAGTGGTCCCAAAGTGACGTGAGAGGCTCTACGCTATTGTGAAAATGACCAAGAAGAAGGCTTCACAAGTCACGAGATGGCAGTTTTGGAGCCAGAAGTGCTCTCCGTGCACACTACCTGGACGACAAGAGGAAGTAACCTCAAGAATAGAATTCCTTTTGGGGAAGAAAGAGGTACCTGACATGGGAGGCGGGGAGGTGGTGAGAGGGGCAGCTCCATGTTTCAGAACCCCAGTTCCTAGAGTTTTCCAGCATTTCTCTGAAAAACTCACATGCCTGTGCCCTCTTATTTCTGATTGATTTTAACTGTGGTCTGGGGACAAGTGTGCCCTATTTTCTTTCTTTGTTTTTTTTTTTTTTGAGACAGAGTCTTGCTCTGTCGCCCAGGGCTGGAGTGCAGTGGTGCGATCTCGGTTCCCAGGTTCAAGCGATTCTCCTGCCTCAGCCTCCCAAGTAGCTGGGACCACAGGCGCACGCCACCATGCCCAGCTAATTTTTGTATTTTTAGTAGAGACGGGATTTCACCATGTTGGCATAGGTGATCTCGATCTCTTGACTTCATGATCCGCCCCCGTCGGCTTCCCAAAGTTCTGGGATTACAGTTGTGAGCCACCGCGCCTGGACGTGTGCGCTATTTTCTAACGTAGCTTGTGATCCAGAAAGGTCCTGGTGCCTCATTCTTATCTTCCTTTTCCCCTCCGGCCAGCTGGCCTTCAGGAAAAGCATCCCGGAGGAGGAAGAAGAAGTGTTATATGTCCTAAAGTAAGGTTTCAGGTGAGTTAGCTTTTTGTTCATTCAATGATTTGTATTTATACAACTTAAGACTATTTACTTTCCTTGGGCCCATTTCTTCCCAAATAGTCATTTATCCCACTAATTCCTCCCCAAGGGATGTGACAGGGCGGTGCAGGTCATTCCTCCGTGTATACTCCATTGACCTACCCTCTTCTAAAATGTCTAAAAATTGTCTAAGAATCTGATGGTACAGAAGAGATTAATTCTAACACTTTATATTACAGTGTGGTTTGGTAAGGAAGGGATTTATTTTTGGGTGGAAGGAAACACCAGATATCTTTGGTCTTTTGTTTATTTTTTATTATTGTAGTTATTTTTTAACATGGTTAATTTTTTAAATTTTTATATAATTGGCAAATGACAAATTGTATTTATTGTGTATATGTTTTTATATATATGTATACATTATGAGATGATTAAATCAGGCTGATGAACATATCCATCACCTCACTAATTATTATTTTTGTCATGAGGACATTTAAACTCTACTCTCTTAGCAATTTTCAAATATACTATATTTTTTTTTTATTTTTTTTTTCTTTTGCCCTTGTCCCCCAGGCTGGAGTGCAATGGCATGATCTCAGCTCACTGGAACCTCTGCGTCCTGGGTTGCAGCGATTCTCCTGCCTCAGCCTCCCAAGTAGCTGGAATTATAGGCACCCACCACCATGCCTGGCTAATTTTTGTATTTTTAGTAGAGACGGGGTTTCATCATGTTGGCCAGGCTGGTCTCAAACTCCTGATTTCAAGTTATCTGCCCGCCTCAGCCTCCCAAAGTCCTGGGATTACAGGTGTGAGCCACCATGCCCTGCCTTTGTCCCAATTTTTAATCAAATTTTTTTTTCACACTCTTGAGTTGTGTGAGTTTCTTATATATCGTGAATATTAACTGCTTGTCAGATGTATGGTTTGCAAATATTTCCTTCTACTCCATAGGTTCTGTCTTCACTCTGTTGATTGCTCTGCTGTGCATAAGTTTTTTAATGATGCAATTCATTTGTCTGTTAGCCACCATGCCCAGCCTTGATTTCTTTTTCAAATAGTTGTTAGTCTATAGGGATACTATTTTTTTTTTATACTTTAAGTTCTAGGGTACATGTGCACAATATGCAGGTTTAATCCATAGGTATACATGTGCCATGTTGTTTTGCTGCACCCATCAACTCGTCATTTGCATTAGGTATTTCTCCTAATGCTATCCCTCCCCCAGCCCCCCAACTCCGACGGGCCCTGGTGTGTGATATTCACCACCCTGTGTCCAATTGATCTCATTGTTCAGTTCCCACCTATGAGTGAGAACATGCGGTGTTTGGTTTTCTGTCCTTGTGATAGTTTGCTCAGAATGATGGTTTCCAGCTTCTTCCATGTCCCTGCAAAGGGCATGAACTCATCCTTTTTTATGGCTGCATAGTAATCCATGGTGTATATGTGCCACATTTTCTTAATCCAGTCTGTCATTGATGGACATTTGGGTTGGTTCCAAGTCTTTGCTATTGTGAATAGTGCCACAGTAAACATATGTGTGAATGTGTCTTTATAGTACCATGATTTATAATCTTTTGGGTATATACCCAGTTATGGGATTGCTGGGTCAAATGGTATTTCTAGTTCTAGATTCTTGAGGAATCGCCACACTGTCTTCCACAATGGTTGAACTAATTTACACTCCCACCAACAGTGTAAAAGTGTTCCTGTTTCTCCACATCCTCTCTAGCATCTGTTGTTTCCTGACTTTTTAATGATTGCCATTCTAACTGGTGTGAGATGGTATCTCATTGTGGTTTTGATTTGCATTTCTCTGATGACCAGTGATGATGAGCATTTTTTCATGTGTCTGTTGGCTGCATAGATGTCTTCTTTTGAGAAGTGTCTGTTCATATCCTTGGCCCACTTTTTGATGGGGTTTTTTGTTTTTTTCTTGTAAATTTGTTTGAGTTCTTTGTAGATTCTGGATATTAGCCCTTTGTGAGATAGGTAGATTGCAAAAATTTTCTCCCATTCTGTAGGTTGTCTGTTCCTTCTGATAGTAGTTTCTTTTGCTGTTCAGAAGCTCTTTAGTTTAATTAGATCCCATTTGTCTATTTTGGCTTTTGGTGCCATTGCTTTTGGTGTTTTAGTCCTGAAGTCCTTGCCCATGCCTGTGTCCTGAATGGTATTGCCTAGGTTTTCTTCTAGGGTTTTTATGGTTTTAGGTCTAATATTTAAGTCTTTAATCCATCTTGAATTAATTTTTATATAAGATGTAAGGAAGGGATCCAGTTTCAGCTTTCTACATATGGCTAGCCAGTTTTCCCAGCACCATTTATTAAAAACGGAATCCTTTCCCCATTTCTTGTTTTTGTCAGGTTTGTCAAAGATCAGATGGTTGTAGATGTGTGGTGTTATTTCTGAGGCCTCTGTTCTGTTCCATTGGTCTATATCTCTGTTTTGGTACCATTACCATGCTGTTTTGGTTACTGTAGCCTTGTAGTATAGTTTGAAGTCAGGTAGTGTGATGCCTCCAGCTTTGTTCTTTTTGCCTAGGATTGTCTTAGCAATGCGGGCTCTTTTTTGGTTCCATATGAACTTTAAAGTAGTTTTTTCCAATTCTGTGAAGAAAGTCATTGGTAGCTTGATGGGGATGGCATTGAATCTATAAATTACCTTGGGCGGTATGGCCATTTTCACGATATTGATTCTTCCTGTCCATGATCATGGAATTCCATTTGTTTCCTCTTTTATTTTGTTGAGCAGTGGTTTGTAGTTCTCCTTGAAGAGGTCCTTCACATCCCTTGTAAATTGGATTCCTAGGTATTTTATTTTCTTTGTAGCAATTGTGAATGGGAGTTCACTCATGATTTGGCTCTCTGTTTGTCTGTTATTGGTGTATAGGAATGCTTGTGACTTTTGCACATTGATTTTGTAAGGGATACTATTGATTTTTTAATGTTGACGTTGCATACTACAACTTTACTGAATTCATTTATTATTTCTAGTCATTTTTTGATGGAGCTTTTAGGGTTTTTTATATGTATAAGATCATGTCATCTGCAAACAGGAACAGTATAACTTCTTCACTTCCTATTTGATTGGCTTTTCTTTTTGTTGCCTAATTGCTCTGCCTAAGGCTTCTAGTACTACATTGATTAGAAGTGGTAAGAGTGGGAATCCTCGTCTTGTTCCTGATATTTCAACTTTTCACCATTGATTATGATGTTAGCTATGTGCTTGTGTTATATCACCTATATTATATTGAGGTACATTCCTCAATACCTAATCTGTTGAGAGTTTTTGTTAGGAAAGCCTGTTGAATTTTGTCAGATGCTTTTTCTGGATCTATTGTGATGATCATATGGATTTTATCCTTCATTCTGTTAATGTGCTATATCAGATTTATAGATTTGTATATGTTGAACCATCCTTGCATTCCTGGGATAAATCCCGCTTGATCATGTTGAATGATCCTTTTTATATGCTACTGAGTTCAGTTTGCTAGTATCTTGCTGAGGATTTTTGCTTTTAGGTTTATCAAAGGTACTGGCCGGTGATTTTTCTTGTCTTGCAGTGTCCTTGTTGGGTTTGGTCATGCTGTTCTTATAAAATGGGCTTGGAGATAGTCCCTTCTCTTGGATTTTCTGGAAGAGTTTGAGAAGCATTGTATTAGGTCTTCGAATGTTTGGTAGAATTCAGCAGTGAGGGCATCAGGTTCTGGTCTTTCATGGGAGATATTTATTGCTTATTCAACCTCCTTACCTGTTGTTAGTGTGTTCAGATTTTGTATTTCTTCATGATTCAATCTTGATAGATTATATATTACTAGGAATTTATTCATTTCTTCTACATTATTCAATTTTTTGGCGTAGAAATTTTTTTTTTCTTTTTTTTTTGAGACGGAGTCTCGCCCTGTCACCAGGCTGGAGTGCAGTGGTGCGATCTTGGCTCACTGCAAGCTCCGCCTCCCAGGTTCACGCCATTCTCCTGCCTCAGCTTCCCGAGTAGCTGGGACTACAGGCGCCTGTCACTGTGCCTGGCTAGTTGTTTGTATTATTAGTAGAGACGGGGTTTCACCATATTAGCCAGGATGGTCTCGATCTCCTGACCTCGTGATCCGCCCACCTCGGCCTCCCAAAGTGCTGGGATTACAGGCGTGAGCCACCGCGCCTGGCCCGGGAACTAATTTTTTTTATACCAGGCCTGCATTGATTGCATTATAAGAAATATAACTTGCTGGGCGCAGTGCCTCATGCTTGTAATCCAGCACTTTAGGAGGCCAAGGCAGGCGGATCACGAGGTCAGGAGTTTGAGACCAGCCTGACCAACATGGTGAAACCCCGTCTCTACTAAAAATACAAAAATTAGCCAGGCATGGTGGCATGTGCCTGTAATCCCAGCTACCCAGGAGGCTGACACAGGAGAATCACTTGAACCCGGGAGTTGGAGGTTGCAGTGAGAGCCGAGATTGTGCCTGGGTGACAGAGCGAGACTCCATCTTAAAAAATAAAAAAAAGGAAATATAACTTAAGGAAGTCCTGAATTTAAAAAAATGATTACTCAAGGTAAAAAAATCAGAGTTATGAAGGTGCTGGTACCTTGTAGTTATTAATAAATGTTTGAATGGATAGGCTTGTGGGAAGCATAACAAGTGTATCTCAAAAATGTCCACACCCTAATTCATGAATGCAGGAATATGTGATGTTGCACGGCAAGGGAAATTTCAGTTGTAGATGGACTGAAGTTATTAATCAGCTAACCTTAAGATAGGGAGATTATCCTGAATTGTGCCAGTGGGCCCAATGTAATCACAGGGTATTAGAAGTAGATGAGGGGTGCCAGAAGAAGAGAAAGAGGTGAGGATTTACTGTTAACTGTATTTACTGTTAACATTTTGTTAACAGGTATGTGTCCTGTCTCCCACTCCCCCACTAAACACGTGTGTATGTTTGTTTCTGGAACATTAAATCCTGCTAATTGATCATGTAGATGAGTTAAAGACTCTTCAAATCTTAGTTTGTGAAAGAAATCCAACCCAGCCATGGGTCACATTACATTTGTGTACATGTGGAGAAGAGAGAGGCAGGCCAGTTATCTTTCTCTTGCTTTGAAAGGCTTCACGTTTACACCTTATAGAATTAGAGATACGCCATTTCAAACTAATCCCATGACAGCAGATTATCAAGAAAGCCTTTCAGAATTAGATTTTCTATGATTTTAATGTTTCTTTGACAGAGAATGATAATCAGTGATATCTGATGCCTTCCAAATATACACAAGTAACATTTCCATGATTATATGTACAAGTAACAAATCCAAGGTATATGAAATCCAAATATATGAAATGACTAAGATGGCAACAATTTGAAATAATTACACGAATCTCCCATATCACATAGAACACATGATTCAGTCTCTTGCTAATATTCTTGATTTGGTATCTCTTCTCAGATTAGATTCTTTAAACTTGATTTCTGATGCAGAATCATGTCTCTATTTCCCTAGTTGCTGGTAAAGAGGGAACATTTTCTTACGTGTCTTAGAATCGTTTTTGCTAATTCTGCTGATTCAAATAAATTCATGCTTAACATCAGGCTTGGAAAGTTATTTTTAGTTAGCATTCATGATATTGATAGCTGATTGAGAAGCACATATTTTAGCATAAGAAAACAGCAGCCTCATGTTTCTTTTCTAAAAATGGATTAAGGGATATGTAATGTCAGTGATCTTTAATAAAAACAGCTAACTTATGTAAAGTAATTGTTATGTATTACTATGTTTTATGTAGATTATCTTACTTGATAATTGAGATAGCCATATCTCATGGTATTTATATTCCAGTTTCACCAGTGAGGAAAAAGACACTGCGAGGTTAGTAACTGTCAGAGTTCAGAATCACACCCTGAAAGTTGTACTGCAGAGCCTGTGTTCTTAATTTCTCCAAAGTACCTCTGCCCAAATTACATGTACCTTTTTAAATCTACTTTCTTCATTTGGTAATACATCATAAATGCTTTCTCAATTATATGGATCAGTATCACTAGTAAATGTATTTTATGTCATGATATAGCAGATCATAATTTATTTAATCTGTCCTCTACTGTCAGATATTTCTTTTTTTTTTTCTGAGACAGAGTCTCGCTCTGTTGCCCAGGCTGGAGTGCAGTGGCGCAATCAGAGCCCACTGCAGCCTCCGCCTCCCAGGTTTGAGCGATTCTCCTGCCTCAGCCTCCCGAGTAGCTGGGACTACAGCTGCCTGTCCCCACGCCTGGATGATTTTTTTGTATTTTTAGTAGAGACGAGGTTTCACAATGTTGGCCAGGCTGCTCTCAAACAACTGACCTCAGGTGATCCGCCCACCTTGGCCTCCCAAGGTGCTGGGATTACAGGCATGAGCCACCGCACCCAACCTATTTTTTTGATTTTTTTAAAATTATTCTCTGAAGGCTGGGCGTGGTGGCTCACGCCTATAATCCCAGCGCTTTGGGAGCTGAGGCGGGTGGATCACGAGGTCAGGAGATCGAGACCATCCTGGCTAACACGGTGAAACCCCGTCTCTACTAAAAATACAAAAATTAGCCGGGCGTGGTGGTAGGCGCATGTAGTCGCAGCTACTCAGGAGGCTGAGGCAGGAGAATGGCGTGAACCCGGGAGGTGGAGCTTGCAGTGAGCCGAGATCATGCCACTGCACTCCAGCCTGGGCGACAGAGCAAGACTCTGTCTTTTAAAAAAAAAAAAAAAATTATTCTCTGGAGAAGTGGAATAATATCAATTGATTGCATCAATGACAGTGTCCTAGTTGTGGTATTACACTGTAGTTCAATCATCATTGGTATAAATCAGGTAAAAGGTAAACAGGATCTCTCTCGCTGTATTGTTTCTTACAACTGCATGTGAATCTTTATCTCCATTCTAAAGAAAATTCACAGAGAAAAAATTCCCTGAATATTCTTGCACAAACAATTGTGTATGACTATAGCTGTGTCCTTCAGATAAATTTTGAAAACCAGTATTTTGAGTCAAAATCAAGACTTGTTAAGTGTCTGCAGTACGCCAAACTCTGTGATATTAGCACGAAGAATGAGAGAATAACTAAAAGGACACAGCTGCTACCTGTATGTTGTCTATAACCCAGCAAGGAGGGGAAACTGAGTAGAAGCAGCTCAGGGCAGCCTGTGATCACGGACTGTGGGGAATTCCAGGTGATGTACCTTGAGAGGTGCTAGGAAGGGAACATCATTCTGACAGCACCCGCTCGGGTAGGCCATTCTTGCATTGCTATCAAGAAATCCCTGAGACTGGGTCATTTATAAAGATTATATTGGCTCATGCTTCTGAAGGCTGAAAAGGAAGCATGGTATCGACATCTGGCATCCACTTGGCTTCTAGGGAGGCCTCAGGAGCTTTTACTCCACTTTACTTGGAAGGTGAAGTGGGAGCAGGCACGTCACATGGCAAAAGGAGGGGTAAGGTTGGGACACAGCGCTGGCGGGAGGTGCGGGGGATGCCATGTACTTTTAAATGACCAGATTTTGCAAGAACTCACTCACCATGGCCAAGACATGAGGGATCTGCCTCCATAACCCAAACACCTCCCACCAGGCCGCACCTCCAGCACTGGGGATGACAGTTCACCTCCCACCAGGCCCCACCTCCAGCACTGGGGATGACAGTTCACCTCCCACCAGGCCCCACCTCCAGCACTGGGGATGACAGTTCAACTGGAGATTTAGACGGGGCAAGTATTCAAGCCATACCGCCCACGGATGTCGATTTATAACCAAATAATTCTGAATTCACAGGTTCCATGTGTAGGTAAATACAATTTGTTTTATAACTTGTATTTTTCTAATAATGTTTGATGCAAAGGGAAGACCAATAGGGTAAGGCGAATTAATGCTTGTCTGCTGGGCCATCATGGCTTGAAGGACAAGTTCAGAGGTAAAATTCACACTCCCCTCAGACGTAAAAGGAAGCAGCCTCAAAACAACTGTCGGTATGTACAGGGCATCACTTGGCATTTTGGCCATTTTTCCAGTCAGTGCTCCAGCACATGTGGAAATATGTGTCTGTGTGTGCATGTACATTGGCATCCGCAGGGGTAACCGGGACCTGATGTGTGAGTAGAAGACGCACTTGCGTGGGCGTGTGTGGGGTTGATGTGCCAGCTCTGTCCCCATAATTGTGACAGGTGTGCGAGTATCTTGGGGGCAATGGGACCCATGCAGGGTGACCATCCTTACAGAGGGAGGTCAGCTACACAGTCTATAACCCCAGTTAATACAATGTAGACCCCAGGAATCTCTGAAACACTCTGATCCCAGTGCCCTCTGACTTCTGATTGTCATAGATATGGCCTGAGGGCAGCTGTGCCTTATGAGGTATTTTCTAATGTAGGCTGCGCACCTAGAAAGACCCTAGCTTCTCAGTCTTATCCTCCTCTTTCCCCTAAACCAACATTCTTACGAAAAAGCACGCCTTGAGAGGAGGAATCATTTACCCATCTTAAAATCAAGGTTCAAGTGAGTTACGTTTTATTCATTAAATGATTAGCGTTTATAAGACAGGACTATTTACTTTCCTTGCCCCTAAATATTCTCACTATAACAACTTATCCCGGTCATCCTTTCCAAAGAGGTGTTGGGGGTTCATACAGGGATATCCCTCAATGTACTCCCCATTGACCAAGTCTCTCTTCTGAATGTTATTCATGTGCCTCTTTGGCAAACTGTGTAGCTTTTTCTGTGTGCTCTGCTCTTCTAAGAATCTGATGATATAGAAAAATATACCTCCTGGAGCTTAACATTAGTGCGTGATATTAGAATGTGGTTTGCTAAGGAAAAGATTCGTTTTTAAGTGGAATCAAACACCACCTATCTTTAGTCTTTTCCCTAAGCCTGATTTTCATATCACAGCCAGAAAGTAGATCGTTTGAGTACGTGACAAGGTTGTCAGCTTTGTGAGGCTTTTAAGAGTGGAGTTTGAGCAAACTTCTGTGTCATCAAAGGCATAAATGTTTTCCAAGTAATCAATAAATTGAAATTTTTTCTGTTTACTAGATTTTCTTTGAAGCTGACAGCCTCAGAGTTGTTTTTTTCCACTTGCTTTGTGTGCACAGTGAGAAGCAATGTGGTTTGATTTTGAGTATGAGTTCTGGATCTAGGACAGAGTTGGCAAATTTTTTTCTGTAAAACGTTCAGCAGTAAAGGGATTTATGGGCCACATATAGTTCTGTATTTTTCTTCTTTTTATTTATTTATTCGGATTATTGTTGTTTTGTTTATTAAAATGACATCCTTTATTTTTTATTTTTATTTGATAAATAACAAATTATGTGCTTATTATGTACAACATTATGTTTTGATATGTGTGTGCATTATGGAGTGATGAAACCAAAGTGAATAACATACCCTTCACCTTACTAGTTATCATTTTTGTGATTAGAACATTTAACATCTCTCAGCAATTTTCAAATATACATTGTTATTCATTATAGTCACCAGGTTATAAAATAGATACGCAGAATTTATTCCTCCTCTCTAGCCTTTGTAGCCATTCATCTCCCTATTCCCACCCCTGTCCCAGCCTCTGGTAACCATCATTCCACTCTTTGCTTCTATGAGTTCAGCTTTTTGACACTTAAATAGGTGAGATAATGCAGGTGGACCTTTCTATGCCTGGCTTATTTCACTTAATATGATGTCCTCTAGGTTCACCCATGTTATCACAAATGACTGGATTTTCCTGGTTTTTAAGGCGAATAGTATTTAATTGTGATATATGCCACATTTTCTTTACCCATTCCTCTACAGATTAACATGTAGGTTGATTTTTTTTTGTTTCCCCCTGGGGTATTGTGAATAATACTGCAGCAACTTGGGAGCATTCCTTCCTCTACAACTTTTTGGAAGAGTTTCAGAAGAATATTTTGTGAATATTTGGTAGAATACAGCAATGAAGCCATCATCAAGTCCTGGGCTGTTCTTTGATCAGAAATTCTGTATTATTTGTTCAATCTTTTTACTCATTACTGATGTGTTCAGATTTTTCTGTTTATTCATGATTCCATCTTGGTAGGTTGTGTGTTTCTAGGAATTAATCTTCTAGGTTATCCAACTTTTTTGGCATCTAATTGTTCATTGTAGTCTCTCACGATTCTTTGTATTTCTGTGGTATGAGTTGTAATGTCTCCATTTTCATTTCTGATTTTATTGATTTTTGAGTCTTCCCTTTTTTGTCTTTGAAAGTCTCATGGTTTTTCAATGTTGTTTATCTTTTCAAAAAATCAACTCTTAGTTTCATTAATCTTCCCATATTGTTTATTTAGTCTCCATTTATTTTTATTCCGACTTTTATTATTCCTTTCATTACTATGAGTGTCATTTGTTCTTTTTCGAGTTCCTTGAGAAGTAATGTTTGTTTAAGGTCTTTCTCCTTTCTTAATGTAGGTGTTTATTGCTATAAACTTCCCTCTTAGAACTGCTTTTCCTGCGTTTCTCAAGATTTGGTATGTTGTTTCCTTTTGCATTTATTTCAAAATATTTTTAAATTAAACTTTTAACTTCTTCCTTGACCTACTGGTACTTATCATGTTGTTTAATTTCCACATATTTGTGAATTTACCTAAATTCCTCCTGTTATTGATTTCTAGCTTAATACCACTGTGGTTGAAAAGATGCTTGATAGGATTTCAGTTGCCTTAAATTTCTTAAGACCTGTTATTTGGCCTAATATGTTATCTGTCCTGGAGAATCTTTCATGTGTGCTGGAGAAGAATATGTATTCTGCTGCTGTTGGGAGGGATGCTCTGTATACATCTGATAAGTCCATTTGGTCTAAAGTAAAATTCAATTCCAGTGTTTCCTTATTGATTTTCTGCTGAATAAGTTGTCCTTTGTCGAAAGTAGGATTTGAAGTCCCCTTCAATTATTGTATTGCAGTCTGTTTGTCCCTTCAGATCTTATAATGTGTGCTTTATATATTTACACGATCCAATGTTGGGTACATACATATGTACAATTGATACATCTTCTTCATGAATTGATCCCTTTATAATTCTATAATGACTTTCTTTCTCTTCTTATAGTTTTTGACTTAAATTCTATTTTGTCTGATATACGTACAGTTGACCCTTGAACAACATGGAGCTGGGGCGACAACTCACCATGCAGTCAAAACTCCACATTTAACTTTTGACTCCCTAAAAATGTAATAGCCTACTGTTGAATGGAAGCCTTATTGATTACATAAAGTAGATTAACACAAATATAGAATGGTATATGTGTTATATGCAATACTCCTACAATAAAGTAAGCTAGAGAAAAGAAAATGTTATTAGGAAAATATGCCAGGCATGGTGGCTCATGCCTGTAATAGCAGCTGTTATAGCAGCCAAAACGGACTAAGACAACTGTATTGCTGAGACACAGTGAAAGGTCATTCAAGATCAGGGGGTGACATCTTAAGTCCTAGAAGTCAAAAGTCTAAAGTGGGTCTCACTGGGCTAAAACCAACATGTTGAAGACTGTGTTGCTTTTTGGAGGCTCTAGGAGGCATTCTCTTTCATGGCCTTTCCCAGCTTCTAGAGGCTGCCCAGATTAGCTCATGACCCCATCCTACTTTTTTTTTTTGATACAGAGTCTCACTCTGTTGCCTGGGCTGGAGTGCAGTGGCACCATCTCAGCTCACTGCAAACTCCACCTCCCAGATTCAAGCGATTCTTCTGCCTCAGCATCCTGAGTAGCTGGGATTACAGGCATGCACCACCACACTCGGCTAATTTTTGTATTTTTTTAGTAGATGGGGTTTCACCAGTTGGCCAGGCTGGTCTCGAACTCTTGACCTCAAGTGATCCGCCCACCTCGGCCTCCCAAATGCTGGGATTACAGGTGTGAGCCACTGCGTCCAGCCCTATCCTACACCTTTAAACCCAGAAAAGACAAGTCAAGTTCTTCTTGTATCACCTCATTCCCCACCTGTTTCTGTCATCACATGTTTCTCTTCTTCAGAACTCCCTCACCTACTTTTAAGGAACTTTGTAATTGCACCAGGCCCACCTAGATAATTCAGGGTAATCTCCGTATCTGAAGGGTGGCTGGTTAGCAATTTAAGTCCATCTGCAACCTTCTTTATCTTGCCTTGTAACATAACATATTCCCAGGTTCCAGATGTAGGATGTGGATATATTCTGCCAGTAACAGGCCTGTCCATCAAACTTTCCTGAATAGCTAGAATGTACCCACTCCCCTATAACAATGGTCTGTTTTCCTTACTAATCTTTTTTTAAATTTGGGGCTCCCTATAATTATATACTTTATAATGGGATTAATGAAAGCCTGTAACCAAAAAAAAAAAAAAAAAAAAATTATTCCCCTAAGAAGCACACAAAGAGGAAACTAAAAATTACCCTTATTTATTTATTTATCTATTTATTTATTAAGACAGAGTCTTGCTTTTGTTGCCCAGGCTGGAGTGCAATGGTACAAGCTCGGCTCACTGCAACCTCTGCCTCCCGGGTTCAAGAGATCTGCCTCAGCCTCCTGAGTAGCTGGGATTACAGGTGTCTGCCACACATTCAGCTAATTTTTGTATTTTTAGTAGAGATGGGGTTTCGCCATGTTGGCCAAGGCTGGTCTCGAACTCCTGGCCTCCAGTGATCCACCTGCCTTGGCCTCTCAAAGTGCTGGGGTTACAGGTGTAAGCCACTGTCCGGCCGTAATTACCCATATTTATACCATCTAAAGATAATTACTGTTAACACTTAGTATGTATGTTTACTGTCTTCCCCTCCACCTCTAAGCATGTGTGTGTTTTGTTTCTGGAACATTGAATCCTATTAATCATGTAAATGAGGCAAAAACTCTCCAAATCATAGTTTGTAAAAGAAATCCAGCCCAACCACGGGTCACATTATGTCTGTGTGCATGTGGAGAGAAGAGAGATACCAGTCATGTTTCCTTGCTTTGAAAAATTAATCATTGATGAATATGAAAATAGTCACTGGATACCTTACAAATATGGACTTTGGAAATATTCCCAAGGTTATATGTGCAAGTAACGAATATTGACTGTAACATTTCAAAGGTATATGAAATAGAATGAGATAGCACTAGTTTAAAATGTTCACTTTTTTTTTTTTTTTCTTTTTTGAGATGAAGTCTTACTCTGTCACCCAGGCTGGAGTGCAGTGGCGCAATCTTGGCTCACTACAACCTCTGCCTCCCAGGTTCAAGCGAATCTCCTGACTCAGCCTCCTGAGAAACTGAGATTACAATCTCACCACCATGCCCGGCTAATTTTTGTATTTTCAGTAGAGACAGGGTTTCACCATGTTGCCCAGGTTGGTCTTGAACTTCTGACCTCAAGTGATCCGCTCACCTTGGCTTCCCAAAGTGCTGGGATTACAGGTGTGAGCCACTGCACCTAGCTGATAAGAATCTTTAAACTAGATTTTTTAAGGAACTATCATGTCTCTGTCTCCCTAGTTAAAAGGAAATAGCAGACTTGTTACTTTTATGAAAATGGATTGAGATATGTTACTGATTTTTTAGTAATAACAGCTACCTTATCTTAATTGTTATATATGACTGTGTGTTTCATGTGGATGATCCTGTTCAAACAGTCATACATTGTACTATCTTTCTTGTGGTTTTACCAGTGAGGAAACTTTACCACACTGTGAAGTTAATAACTATCAGAGCTCAGATTAACACCCTCAAATCAGACCACAGAGCCTGTGTTAATTTCACCAAAACATGTCTGCTCAAATTATATGTACCATTTTAACCTACCCTTTTCCCTTGTTGATTCTTCAGAAGTTTTCTTAATTAATGAGTCAGTATTATTAGGAAATGTACTCTATGTCATTGTATAACAGACCATGGTTTAATCTGATTTTCCTTTATCCTCCACTGCAAGATTTTCATTTTTAAAAATTATTCTCGACTGGGTGTGGTGGCTCACGCCTGTAATTCCTGCACTTTGTGAGGCCGAGGCAGGCGGATCACCTGAGGTCGGGAGTTCGAGTCCAGCCTGACCAACATAGAGAAACCCCGTCTCTTCTAAAAATACAAAAAAAATTAGCCGGGCGTGGTAGCGCATGCCTGTCATCCCAGCTACTGGGGAGGCTGACGCAGGAGAACCCCTTGAACCCAGGAGGCGGAGGTTGCAGTGAGCCGAGATCGCACCATTGCACTTGAGCCTGGGCAACAAGAGCGAAACTCCGTCTCAAAACAAACAAACAAACAAACAAAAAATTATTCTCTGGAAATTCTGGGTAACGTCAGTGGATTACATCAATGTTAATCTTCTGGTTGTGGTATTATATACTACAATCACCAGCTGAGGTAACCAGGTGAAAGGTACACAAGATCTCTCAATTTTATTTCTTGTAACTACATATGAATCTAAAGTCTATCTAATTAAAAGAGAAAAAGATTTTCAGAAAAAAAGCATTTTGTGAACATACTTCAACATTGTGTACAACTATAGCTACTTCCTTGGCATAAATACCAAAAAGTGGGATTTTGAGTCAAAATGAGACTGTGGTTAAGTACCTGCAACATCCTGTAGACCCTGTGACGTTAGTACTTGGAATGAGAGCGGGACTCACGGGGCATAACTGCTACCTGTACATTGTTTACAATGCAGCAAGCAAGGGACACCGAATAGCAGCTCCGGCAGCCTGTGCTAGCGGCCTGCAGAGAATTCCAGGTGACGCTCCAGAGGGGCTAGGAGAGGATACCCTTCTGAGGACAGCCATGGCTCGCCCGGCATCACCCCACTCAAGAGGCCAGACGGGGTCCCAGCTGGGGTGACACAGCTCCTTTCCCAGTCGGGAAGGGGCGTCTGCAGGGACCAGGAAGGGCTTAGCTTGGGGCTGCCCGCTCCGGCACCGACCTGGGACGCGCCCTGAGGCCCCTGCCTGGGACCGTCCCGGACTACATTTCCCAGAGACCATCCAGGAGTACGCCGTGCTGCATGCTGGAACACGGGGCTTGGGGCTCTGGTTTCCCCCGACGGCCCCGCGTCCTCTTCTAGCCTCACCCTCTCCCGAGGCCCCAGCGTTGGGGGACTACCGGGTGCGTCTGCGGCTTTGGGAGAGTGGGAGGAGGGAAAGGGATGGGAGGGGTGCACGCACACGTGTCAGTGTGTCCGCGTGTCAGCATCTGTGCAGGCGCACGTGTGTGTCGGGCTCTGTTGTGTCTGCACATGCGTGTCGGCATCTGTGCGTGCGCACACGCCCGTCAGGGTCTGTGTGCCCGCACAGGCACGTCAACAGCTGAGCACGCTATGTATCGGGGGTCTGTGTACGCTCACATACGTGTCGGGGTCTGGGTACGTGCACATACGTGTAGGGGTCTGTGTGCACATGCGTGTCGGGCTCTGCTGCTGTCTGCGCGCTGCGGCCGCTGGGTGCGCGTGCGCATGCGCGCTGGCCTCCAGGGGGTGGCGGGACCGAGTGTGTGACGCACTTGCGTGGGAGTACGAGGCTGACGCGGCGGCCCTGTCCCCGTAACTGTGACACGGGTGCACGCGAGCGTCATTGGGGGCGATGGGGGCCGTGCTGGGTGCGCGTTTGCACCAGTGACGCAGCCGCTGCATCTCCGCCAGTCCGCGCAGGTGAGATTGGTGCGCGTGGCTCCGAGGGGAGACGGGCACGGGGCTTCTGACGGTGACGCACTTGCTGGAGAGTGTGGGGTGACACAGCCGGGCTCTCCCCATAACTGGTGACCGGGGGTGCTCCAGAGGCTTTGGGTCAACGCAGCCCGTGCCTGTGAACCTCGGCGGTGCGTCCCTGGGACTCTGCTCCGTGAGGTGCGCTCTGGGGGTTGTGCGGGGGCAGCGGTCGGGACGGGTCTCCGTGGCCCACGGATGCACCTCTGCACCGTGTGGGGTGGTGGGGCCCGTAGCATGGCCGTGCTGGGCGTTAGTGGGTATGAGGGGCGCAGATGTGTCTCAGGACAGAGTGAGCTGTGGTGAGGCTGAGCTGTGCAGACTTGTGCTGGGATGGGTGATCGGGCCTTCTGGGTGACGCAGGTGTGTGTGACAACACAACCTGTAGCTTCAGCGTCTCTGTGCTGGGATGGATGATCGGGCCTTCTGAGTGATGCAGGTGTGTGTGACAGTGCAACTTGTAGCTCCAGCGTCTCTGCTGCTTCCCCTGCCTTCACCTCCTAACCAAGCGGTACCTGCCTGAGAACAAGGGCCGCGGAGGGACGTGAGCGCCTGAGCCTCGCCTGGAAATTCACCAGCAAGAAGGCAGAAACAGCCATGAGGTGACGCTTTCAGAGCCAGAAGTGCTGTGCATGCAGGCCACCTGAGTGACAGGGGACGGTGGCCTCAGGAGTAGAATTCCTCCTGTAGAGGGACAGGTCCCTGATGTGGGAGACAGGGAGGGGGGCAGCTCCACGCGTCATCATCTCAATCGCCACAGCGTGCTCTTCAGGAATCTCCCAGAAACTCCATCTCGGGGCCTCGTATTTCTCATTGGTTTTATTAGGTATGGCAGGTGTTACCCTTCCGGTTCTGTTTTCCCCAGGCCAGCATCCTTCAGAAAAAGCATCCCCGAGGAGGAAGACGAATCGTTAAACATCTGAAAGGGTCAGGTGAGTATCCTTTTTTTTTTATATTAAATGATATGTGTTTATAAGACTTAAGACCAAACATTAAAGGTAGATGACCAAGATTTGAGTCCTGTTTCTGCCTCTTAGCTTTTTGAGCCTTCTGAAGATAGGCTTGTGAGGAGGGTGAAATGCATTAACACGCATAAAACCCATAGACGCGCACCCCTGAGTGGGAGTGCACAGTGAGTGCTGCTGTTTTGTGCTAAGTCTGGATGTCTGTACATCAGGAGCAACGTACATATGAAGGTAACTGGGATGGGTGTTTGCAGGTTCACAAAATGAACCACAGCCTCAAATGGCCTAGAACTGTTATCCTTAACCTGAGGGCCTGCCTTTAACTCCACTTACAACTTTCCAAGGGACATTCTGTGTATATTTACTGTATGTGATTATCAGTGTTAGTGTATCTGTCCCCCACCACCACCACCCTAAGGAGATACTCTGTAATTTCATGGCATTAAGAAGGATGGACATGCCCCAAAGACATTTAGACCCATTGGTCTACAATCGAAGGCTGTGTACCTTGACCACAATTATTGTTCAGGATGGTGGAAATGGTTAAGTAATTATACCACGTTCATTTCATGGAATACTCTGCAGCTACAAAGAAGTAAGTTTAGTTATAACCGTAAGAAAGAAAAATGCACCTGACATAATATTAAACACTACTAATAGTTATTAACAATAGTAAATGAAGGAAATGCTTCAGTTGCCTACAAATTCCATTGAATAAGATTTTTGTAAATACCTTATCCAACATGACATTTTAGTATATTATTTAGGATTATTCATGAATCCTTCAAAAGAGAGGAGCCTGGCCACATTTATTGAGCGCATTTTTGTACCATACTCTATTGTGTTTTGCACACACTCCTTAATTTATTCTTACCTTAGTCTGTAACAAAGTACCATAGACCGGTGGCTGAAACCACAAACATTTATTGCTCACAGTTCTGGAGGCTGGAAGTCTGAGAAGAGGGTACCAGCATGGTCAGGTTCTGATGAGGGCCCTTTTCCAGGTTGGAGACTGTCACCATCTTGCTGTGTCCTCTCACGGAGGACATGTGTGTGCTTGGAGGCTCTTTGGCAGAGCTCTAGGAGGTGTGTGTGCTTGGAGGCTCTAGGAGATAGTCTTTTTTTTTCTGTAATTGAGATGGAGGCTTGCTCTGTTGCCCATGCTGGAGCGCAGTGGCACAATCTTGGCTCACTGCAACCTCCACCTCCCAGATTCAAGTGATTCTCCCGCCTCAGCCTCCCGAGTAGCTGGGATTACAGGCACATGTCACCATCCGCAGCTAATTTTTGTATTTTTAGTGGAAACAGGGTTTCTCCTTGTTGATCAGGCTGGTCTCGAACTCCTGACCTCAGGTGATTAATTAGCCGGCCTCAGCCTCCCAAAGTGCGGGATTACAGGTGTGAGCCACCGAGCCTGCCCTGTGGGAGGTATTTTATGTCCTTGCTTTTGCTGGCTTCTAGACACTGCCCCACATGCCTTGGTTTGTGACCCCTTCTTCCATCATCAAAGCTGCAAAGACAGGCCAAGTCCCTTTTCCATCACGTCACTCTGACCCTACTTCTTTCTGTTCATCTCACCCTCTTCTCATTTTGAGGACCCTGGTGATTACATTAGGCCCGCTGAGGTAACTCAGGATAATCTTCCCTATTTTAGTGTCAGCCCATTAGCAATTTTAGTCCGCCTGCAACCTTAATTCCCCTTTGCCATGTAAGGTAATATCATCATAGGTGCCAGCATTACCATATTGACATGTTTGAGAGAGGCAACGAGAGAACAATAATCATATTTCTTTTCTTTTTTTTTTTTTTGAGACAGAGTTTCGCTCTTGTTGCCCAGGCTGGAGTGCAATGGCGTGATCTCAGCTCGCCGTAACCTCTGCCTCCTGGGTTCAAGCAATTCCTGCCTCAGTCTCCTGAGTAGCTTGGATTACAGGCATGCGCCACCACACCCAGCTAATTTTGTATTTTTAGTAGAGACGGGGTTTCTCTTTTGTTGGTCAGGCTGGTCTCGAGCTCCCGACCTCAGGTGCTCTGCCTGCCTCGGCCTCCCAAAGTGCTGGGATTACAGGCGTGAGCCACCGTGCCCGGCCTATATTTCTTCTTTTATGTGTTTTTGTTTTGTTTTGTTTTGTTTTTTCCTTATAGACAAGGTTGTGTTCTGTTGCCCATGCTGGAGTGCAGTGGGTTGATAATAGTTCACAGCAGCCTCAATCTCCTGGGCTAAAGTGGTCTTCCCACCTCGGCCTCTCAAGTACCTGGGATTACAGGCACCAGCCACTGTACCCTGCTCCTATCTTGTTATATTTCTTATAATAGGATTAATGCAGGCCTGCTGGGGGCAAAGAAAGAAACAGTCCCTAAGGAGCCCTTAAAGAAGAATCTCCAAATTACCCATAATTGTACCATCCAGAGATAATCACTGATGAACATTTTAAATGGCCAGCACTTTGGGAGGCCAAAGCGGGATGATCACTTGAGGCCAGGAGTCTGAGACCAGCCTGGGCAACAGTGAGACTCCATCTCTACTAAAATAAAAAATTGAAAAAGATTAGCCAGGCATGGTGATGCATACCTATAGTTTCAGCTACTCAGAAGGCTGCTGTGGGAGGATCACTTGGGCTTAGGGGTTCCAGGCTGCAGTGAGCCATTGCACTCTAGCCTGGGCAACAAAGGGAGACAGTGTCTCAAAAAAAAAAACAAGAAAAAAACATCTGAAATGGTATTTATGTTTCTAGGCCTCTTCTTTGCCTCTAAGCATGTGTGTGTTTTGTTTTTGGAGTATTGAATCTTGCTAATTCATCATAAATGAGTCAGAGACTCCAAATCTTAATTTATAAAAGGAATCCAACCCAGCCATGAGTCGCATTACACCTGTGTGTGTGTTGGGAGGGGAAGGGCTATGCCAGTGATCTTTGCCTTGTTTTGAAATATCTCACATATTTCTACCTTGTAGGATTAGAAATCCATCATCTGAATCTAACCTATGGTAACAAATTTTCAAGAAAGACAGCCTTTTAGAATTAGATTATAGAATGTTAATGTTCCTTTCCCAGGACATCACAATAATCACCCATGAACACTAATCACTGGGTGCCTTGCAGATACGGACTTTCCATGTGACATTAGCAAGATTATTTGTACAAGTAACAAATATGGGCTGTATAAGTAACATTTCCAAGATAGAAAAAGAATTAGATGACAGTATCTCATATGTATCTCCCTTATCCCGTGGAACACAAAATTCAGCCTCTTGCTAATGTTCTCAACTTGGCATCTTCTCAGATTAGAGTCATTAAATTAGATTTTCTTATGCAGAACAATGTCTCTGTCCCCCTAGTTGCTGATGGAAAGGGAACATTTCCTCGTTATATTTCTTAGAATCTCTTTTGCTAATGTATTCATTTTGTTAAACAAAATGAATTTCATTCTTAACATCAGACTCTGAATGTTATTTTTGGTTAATATTGATTACGCAGACAGCGGGTTCAAGGAAGGCACTTTTGTTTTTCTTGAGACAGAGTTTCGCTCTGGTTGCCTAGGCTGGAGTGCAATGGCGCAATCGCGGCTCACCGCAACCTCTGCCTCCCGGGTTCAAGCGATTCTCCTGCTTCAGCCTCTTAAGTAGCTGAGATTACAGGCAAGTGCCACCACGCCCAGCTAATTTTGTATTTTTAGTAGAGACAGGGTTTTTCCATGTTGGTCAGGCTGGTCTTGAACTCCCGACCTCAGGTGATCCACCTGCCTCAGCCTCCGAAAGTGCTGGGATTACAGGCATGAGCCACCGCGCCCAGTGGCACATTTTACCATTAGAAAAAAAAGGAGGGGGCCAGGCATGGTGGCTCACACCTGTAATCCAAAGCACTTTGGCAGGCTGTGAGGCAGGAGGATCGCTTGAGCCCACAAGTTCAAGACCAACCTGGGCAACATGGTGAGACCCTGTCTCTATTATGAATTTTTTTATTTTTTTGAGACGGAGTCTCGCCCTGTCTCCCAGGCTGGAGTGTAATGGTGCAATCTTGGTTCACTGAACCTCCACCTTCCAGTTCAAGCAATCCTCCTGCCTCAACCTCCTGAGTAGCTGGGATTACAAGCGCGCACCACCATGCCCAGCTAGTTTTTTGTATCTTTAGTAGAGACGGGGTTTCACCACGTTGGCCAGGCTGGTCTCAAACTCCTGACCTCGTGATCCGATCCGCCTGCCTTGGCCTCCCAAAGTGCTGGGATTACAGGCATGAGCCACCACGCCCAGCCTTATTATGAATTTTTTAAAAATAAAAACTATAAAAAGAAAAACTTTTTTTAAAGAAAAAAAGCAAGGAGATTGGCCGACATGAGTTGGTCTTCAATAATAACAGGTAACTTCTATTACACAAATGTCACATATTATTGAGTGTTTTACATAGATTATCATACTTGCCAGTTGTAACAATCATACCATGTAGTACTTTTATTACATTTTATCAGTGACGAAACAGACACTATGAGGCTAACTGCCAGGGTTCAGATTCACATCTCTAAAGTCAGACCACACAACCTGTATTCTTAATTTCATCAAAACATCTCTGCCCAAATTATATACACCTTTTTAATCTACCTTCTTCACTTGGTAATTCATCATAAAAATTTTCTCAAGCCAGACGCGGTGGCTCATGGCTGTAATCCCAGCACTTTGGGAGGTCGAGGTGGGCAGATCACAAGGTCAGGAGATCGAGACCGTCCTGGCCACCATGGTGAAATCCCATCTCTACTAAAAATACAAAAATTGGCTGGGCGTGGTGGCATGCACCTGTAGTCCCAGCTACTCGGGAGGCTGAGGCAGGAGAATCGCTTGAACCCGGGAGGCGGAGGTTGCAGTGAGTTGAGATCACGCCACTGCACTCCAGCTTGGCCAGAGCAAGACTCCGTCTCAAAAAAAAAAAAAAATTCTCAATAAGAATCGATATTATTAGGCCGGGTGTGGTGGCTCATGCCTGTAATCCCAGCACTTTGGGAGGCCAAGGTGGGCGGATCACGAGGTCAGGAGATGGAGACCATCCTGGCTAACACGGTGAAACCCCATCTCTACTAAAAATACAAAAAATTAGCCGGGCGAGGTAGTGGGCACCTGTAGTCCCAGCTACTCGGGAGGCTGAGGCAGGAGAATGGCGTGAACCCAGGAGACAGAGCTTGCAGTGAGCCGAGATCACGCCACTGCACTCCAGCCTGGGCGACAGAGCAAGACTCCGTCTCAAAAAAAAAAAAAAAGAATCAATATTGTTAGTATTCCATGCCATCATATAGCAGACCATAATTTAACCCATCCTCTACTGTGAGATACTGCTATTTTTTTCGTTGTTGAAACTGTATTCTCTGGAAATCATAGATAAGATCAAGGAGGGAATCTGTGTCACTATCCTGGCTGTGATACTGTACTGCAGTTTTGTTTTTCTTTTTTTTGAGACGGAGTCTTTCTCTGTCACCCAGGCTGGAGTGCAGTGGCACAATCTCAGCTCACTGCAACCTCCACCTTCTGGGTTCAAGCAATTCTCCTGCCTCAGCCTCCTGAGTAGCGGGGATTACAGGCTCCCACCACCATAGCCAGCTAATTTTTGTATTTTTAGTAGAGACGGGGTTTCACCATGTTGGCCAGGCTGGTGTCGAATTTGTGATCTGCCTGCCTTGGCCTCCAAAAGTGCTGGGATTACAGGCATGAGCCACCATGCCCGGCCTGTACTGTAGTTTTATAAGGTATCACTACTGGTGTAAGTCAGGTTAAGGGTGCACTGGATCTCTCTGTATTATTATTTACAACTACATGTGAATCTACAGTTATCTCAGTTTTTTAGAAAAATAACTTACCTAGAAAAAAATTTTTCTTGATCGCTCTTTCACATACATTTATGTACTTCTGTTTTCTTGTCTTTCTAACTGTTTCCTCCTCCTGGACCCATAAATTCCACATGTGGAATTTTGAGTCAAAATTAGATGTTTGTTAAGGGCCCGCACTATGCCACACCCTGTGACGTTAGTACTTGGAATGAGAGCGTGACTAACGGGGCATAACTGCTGCCTGCACATTGTTTACAATCCAGCAAGCAAGGGGCACCGAACAGCAGCTCGGGCAGCCTGTGCTGTGGCCTGCAGAGAATTCCAGGTGACGCCCCAGAGGGCCTAGGAGAGGATACCCTTCTGAGAACAGCCGTGGCTCGCCCGGCATCACCCCACTCAAGAGGCCAGACGGGGTCCCAGCTGGGGTGACACAGCGCCAGTCACATCCACTCATGGACACTCAGTAGGCCACACTCCCGATCACCCAGCCACAGTCCTAGATCAGTCACTGACTCACAGTCTGCCACTTGTATTTCCATTGTCTCTGGGCTTCCTCTGCCTTCACCTTCCAACAGTGTGGTACCTGCCTGAGAGCAGCGGCCCCCAGTGGGACATGAGAGCCAGGACCCTGTCATTAACTGAACCAACACAAAGGGCACAGCCATTGTCATAGATAAGTGTTCAAGCCGGACGTGTTCTCCGTACCGGCTCCTGTGTCACAGTAACGGGAAGCCTCAGGAGTGGGAGTCCTTGTGGAGGGAGAGGTGACTAACTTGGTAGGTGAGTGTCGGGAGCATCACGTGTTCTAGAATCCAGTAAATACACGTTAGTCCCCAAGAACTCTGAAACTCACAAATGCCAGTGTCCTCTCCATTCGGATTGGTTTCGGCTGTGGCCTGGGGACAGGCGTGCCCTGGAGGGTATTTGCTAATGCAGCCTGTGCTCCAGAAAGACCCTAGGTTCTCATTCTTCCTTTCCCCTAGGCTGGCATCCTTCAGAAAAAGCATCCTGAGGGGGAAAAAAAAAAAAAAAAAAAAATTATTATTTAGGTTGGTGCAAAAGTAATTGCGGTTTTTGCCATTATGTCTAATGTCAATTGCTTTTGCACTGACCTAATATTATATATCTGAAAGTCGGCTCTCCACATGAGTTACCTTTTTTGTTCATTAAATGATTTGTGTTTATATGACTTAGGACTCTTTACTCTTTATGGCCCCAAATATCCTCCCTAATAGCAATTTATCCCAGTAATTCCTCCCCAGGGGATGTGGCAAGGGCCAGGCAGGTATATTCCTCTCTGTACCCCCTGGTTGACCAGCCCTCTCCTTTGAGTATCCACAAACCCATTTGTCAAATTGTTGACATCCTGCTGTGTGCTCTGGTTTTCTAAGATCTGATGGTATAGAAAAATCCCCCCTAAAAAAAAAAAAAACAACTCCCTCCTAGAGGTTCATGTTAGCGCGCTTTATTTTACAGTGTGCTTGGGTAAGGAGGGGATTCGTTTTTAGGTGGAGTCAAACACAGATATCTTTGGTCTTTTCCATGGGACTGATTTTTAGAGCACAAGAAAAGAGAAAGTTAGTTTGTTTAGTCTGTACCTGGCAAAGTTGTCAGTTTTGTGAGGCCTTTAAGAGCGGAGTTTGAGCTAATTTCTGTGTCATCAAAGGCAGAGATGTTTTTCAATATGCAGTAAATCGAAATTTGTTCTATTCACTTGGACTTCTTTGGGCGGACAGCTTCTGTTTTTCTTCAGTTCCCCGTTTGTGTGAACTGTGAGAAACCATATGGTTTAATGTTGAGTATGAGTTCTGGATCTAGGGCAGAGGTTGGCAGCTGTCTTCAATGGCAATTTGTGTATGTTTATGGTCTACAGAGGCTTTGATCTGTGTTTATACTGCAGATTAAATCAAGCTGATTAACATATCCCTCCCTCAACTCACTGATAATCATATTTGCAATGAGAACATTTAAATCTAGTCTCTTGGCATATTCAATATTATTCATTATATTTAGTCACCATGCTAGACAATAAATCTCCAGAAATTATTCCCACTTTATCTCCTTTAATCTTCTCATTCCCCATCACCCTCCCAGGCCCTGACGACCACCTCTCTTCTTCTGTGAGTTGGATTTTTTTTACACTCCACATGTAATGACATCATGCAGGATTTGTCTGTCTAGCTTATTTCACTTAGTACAATGTCCTCCAGATTTACCCATGTTGTCACAATAACAGGATTTCCTTCTTTATAAAGGCTGGATGGCATTGCATTGTGTTATCTCTACCACACTTTCTTTATTAATTCCTGATGAGTATGTAGGTTGATTCCTTATCTTGGCTACTGTGAATAATGCTACTGCAGTGAACACGGGAGCACAGGTATCGCCATGACATACTAATTTCATTTTCTTTGGATATATACCCAGAGTGGGATTGCTGCGTCATCTGATAGTTTTAGTTTTTTCAGGCATCTCCACGGTGTTTTCCATCATGGCTAATTTACATTCTAACCAACAGTGTATAAGGGTCCTCTTTTCCTCACAGCCTTGCCAACATGTTATTTTTTTTGTTTGTTTTTTAATAAAAGCCATTCTTACATGTATGAGGTGATATCTCATTGTGGTTTAACTTTTTGTTGCCCTGAATAATAGTAGTGATCCTGAGCAATTTTTCACAGACCTATAGCAATTTGTATGTGTTCTATCAAGAAATGGCTGTTCAAGTTTTCTGCCCATTTATTATCAGGGTTGTTTGGTTTTTTGCTGTTAAGTTGTTTGAGTTCTATGTTTTGTCATTTTTGTTTGTTTTTTTTTGTTTGTTTTCTAGACAGGGTCTTGCTCTGTCATCCAGGCTGGAGTGCAGTGGTGCAATGACAGTTCACTGCATCCTCCACCTCCTGGACCCAAGCAATCCTCCTACCTCAGCCTCCCAAGTAGCTGGGACTACAGGCACATGCCATCATGCCCGGCTAATTTTTCTTTTCTTTTCTTTTCTTTTTTTTTGAGATGGAGTCTCCCTCTGTCACCCAGGCTGGAGTGCAGTGGCGTGATCTCGGCTCACTGCAACCTCCGCCTCCCGGGTTCAAGCGATTCTCCTGCCTCAGCCTCCGAGTAGCTGGGATTACAGGCGCGTGCCACCACGCCCGGCTAATTTTTTTTTTGTATTTTTAGTAGAGACAGGGTTTCACCCTGTTAGCCAGGATGGTCTCGATCTCCTGACCTCATGATCCACTTGCCTCAGCCTCCCAAAGTGCTGGGATTACAGGTGTGAGCCACGGTGCCCGGCCAATGCCCGACTAATTTTTCAATTTTTTGTAGATATGGGGTCTCACCATGTTGCCCAGGCTGATCTTAAACTCCTGGGCTCAAGCAGTCCTCCCATCTCGGCCTTCCAAAGTTCTGGGATTACAGGTGTGAGCCACCATGCCAAGCCCTATTTTGGATATTAACCCCTTATCAGATATATGGTTTGAAATAGTCTCTCCCAATCCATAGGCTACCTTTTCATTTTGTTTCCTTTGCTGTGTGGGAGATTTTTAGTTTGATGTAGTCCCATTTGCTTATTTTTGCTTTTGTAGGATGATCTGGTGTGATAGCTAAAAACTCATTGCCAAGGGCGATGTGAAGGAGAATTTTCCCTATGTATTCTCCCAGTAGTTTTACAGTTTCTGGTCTTACTTTTTATGTCTTTAATCCATTTTGACTTCATTTTTCTTTTTTTCTTTTTCTTCTTTTTTTTTTTGAGACCAAGTCTCACTCTGTCACCCAGGCTGGAGTGCAGTGGCACGATCTCGGCTCACTGCAACCTCCACCTCCCAGGTTCAAGTGATTTCTCCTCCCTCAGCCTCCTCAGTAGCTGAGATTACAGGCTCCTGCCACCACACCTGGCTAATTTTTGTATTTTTAGTAGAGACGGAGTTTCCCCATGTTGGCCAGGCAGGTCTTAAACTCCTGACCTCAGGTGAGCCACCGCACCTGGCCTCATTTTTCTCTATGAAGTAAAATAAGGGTCCAGTTGCATTCTTCTGCATGCAAATATCCAGTTTTCCCAACAGCATTTATTTAAGAGATCGTCCTTTCCCCATTGTGTGATGTTGGCACCTTTGTCAAAGATCAGTTGACCATGAGTTTGGATTTGTTTCTGAGCTCTGTTCTTCCATTGTGTGTGTTTTCATGCCAGTATTATAACCGTAATAGGTCCGTTGCCCCATGAGCACAGCATGTCAATACAGCAGGTTGCAGCAAAGAAAGACGGTTTACTGTAAGGCTGCAGAACAAGGAGGTAGGATGAAAATGAAATCCGTCCTCCCAGGGAGTTTGGAGCTAGGGTTTTTAAGGGTTTTAAAGTGTGGAAATCACTGCTTAAAGAGTGCAGTGTGGAGTCATGAGACAGGAAGATGAAGAAACTATTCTCATGCTGATTCTGTTCCTCTGTGGTTGTCTTCAGACTGCTTGGCATCAGCTATTTCACTGGAATTTGGGACCTGAGAAACATCTTGTGCAATTCTTAAAAGCCTCATGATTCTAACGTTAGAAATCCTATGTATGGGAACAGTGGGGACTCTGTCTCAAAAAAAAAAAAAAAATTTTTTTTTAAAAATCTTTTCATATTGTTTTCCAGTCTGTATTTTATTTATTTTTTGCTCTAATCTTTATTATTTCCTTCCTTCCTATCTTTAGACTCCATTTGTTCATTTTCTGGTTCCTTGAAATGTTTGTTTGAGATCTTCCTTCTTTCGTGATATAAGTATTTACTGCTATAAACTTCCGGCTTAGAACTGCCTCTCTTGCCTTCTTTAAGATTTGAGGATGTTGTGTTTACATTTACGTTTGTCTCAAAATATTTTTACAGTTTCTTCCCTGGCCCATTGGTTGTTTAGCATCATGTCGATTAATATCCACATATTTTTTGATTTACCTAAATTTCTCCCGTTATTGATTTCCAGTTTTATGCCCTTGTGGTTGGAAAAGGTCATTCATATGATGTCAGTCATTGTAAATTTCTTAAGATTTGTATCATGTCCTAACATGATCTATCCTGGAGAATGTTTCCTGTGTACTTGAGAAGAATGTACATGCTGCCGCTATTAGAGAGATGGTGCAGAATACAACTGTTAGGTCCATTTGGTCTAAAGCGTAATTCAGGTCCAATGTTTACTTGTTGATTTTCTGTCCGAATGATCTTTCCTTTGTTGAAAGTAGGATTTGAAGTCCTCTTCTGTCATTGTATTAAAATCTAACCCTCCCTTGAGATTTCTTAATGTTTGCTTTATGTATTTAAGAGCTCCAATGCTGGATGCATACATATCTATAATTAATATATCATCTTGACTGATGGACTAATTTTATTATATAATGACATTCTTTGCCTCTCTTTACAGTTTTTGATTTAAAGTCTATTTTGTCTTTTTTTTTTTTTTTTTTTTTTTTTGAGTTAGAGTCTCGCTGTATCACCCATGCTGGAATGCATTGGCCCGATCTTGGCTCACTGCAACTTCCGCCTCCCAAGTTCAAGCGATTCTCCTGCCTCAGCCTCCCGAGTACCTGGGATTACAGGCTCCTGCCACCACGCCAGGCTAATTTTTGTGTTTTTAGTAGAGATGGGGTTTTGCCATGTTGGCCATACTGGTCTCAAACTCCTGACCTCAAGTGACCTGCCCACCTTGGCCTCCCAAAGTGCTAAGATTACAGGCGTGAGCCACCATGCCTGGCCGTTAATCTTTTTTTTTTTTTTTCTTTTTTTTTGAGACAGAGTCTTGCTCTGTCACCCAGTCTGGAGTGCAAGGTGCAATCTCGGCCCAACCTCCGCCTCCCGGGTTCAAGCTCTTCTCCTACCTCAGCCTCCTGAGTAGTGTGCACCACTATGCCTAGCTAATTATTGTATTTTTTAGTAGAGATGGGGTTTCACCATGTTGGTCAGGCTGGTGTCGAACTCCTGACTTCGTGATCCACCCACCTTGGCCTCCCAAAGTGCTGGGATTACAGGCTTGAGCCACTGCGCCTGGCCAATCATTTTTTAAAATTAGGACTCCCTTAACTTTCACTCCTTATAACGGGATTAATGCAGGCCAACTGCAAAAAAATTCAGTCCTCTAAGGAGTTCATAAAGAAGAATCTCAAAATTAATTACCCATAATTCCATCTAGAGATAATTACTGTTAATCATATTTGGTATATATGTTTATAGTCCTCCACTTCCCCTCTAAACATGTATGTGCTTTTGTTTCTGGAACATTAAATCCTTCTAATTGATAAAGTAAATGAATCAAAGACTTTCCAAATGGTAGTTTGTGAAAGGCATCCAGCCCAGCCACGGGTCACGTTATACCTGTGAGCATGTGGGGATGGGAGGGGTGTGCCAGTGATCTTTGTCTTGTTTTGGAAAACCTCTCATATATTTACACCTTATAGGAGTAGAGACACATCATCTGAAACTAATCCCATGGCAACAAATTATCAAAAAATATAGTGCACCCTTGGAATGAGTTCTGCATCTGTGGATTCAGCCACAGATCAAAAATATCCTTGGGAAAAAAAATAGGAGGTTTGCATCCTATTTTACAGATGCTAACATCTGTATTGAACATGTACAGACTTTTCTTCTCATTATTCTAAACCATACAGTATGAAAATTATTAGCATAGCATATAAGATAATTTATAAAGAATCTAGAATCTAAAATGTACAGGAGGATGTGGATAGGTTATATGCAGATACTATACCACTTTGTATAAGAGTCTGAAGCATTCGAGGATTTTGATATTCAGGGGGGTTCTGGAACAAATCTGGATACTGAGGGATGGCTCTACAGCCTTTCAGAATTAAATTTTCTATGATTTTAATGGTTCTTTCAAAGACCATGACAGTAATCACTGACGCCTGTTGCCTTACAAATCTGCTTGTACAAGTAACATTTCCATGATTATATGTACAAGTAAAAAATACCCACTATACAAATAACAAATCCAAGATCAGTGAAATTGAGTACGATGACAATTAAAATGGTTTGCATAAATGTCCTATAACACATGGAACACATGATTCATCCTCTTGCTAATGTTCCCAGTTTGGCATCTTCTAAGATCATATTATTTGAGCACAATTTTTGATGCAGAATCATCTCTCTGTTCCCCTACTCGCTTGTGAGAGGGAACATTTCCTCCTTATGTGTCTTAGAATATTTTTACCTAACATGCTTAAACAAAACAAATTTCATTCTTAACATCAGGCTCTGAAAGTTCCTTTTAGTTAGCATTTGCTATATTGACAGCTGGTTTGACAAGTACATATTTTAGCATAAGAAAAAAACAGCAGGCCGGGTGCAGTGGCCCTTGCTTGTAATCCCAGCACTTTGGGAGGCCAAGGAGGCAGATTGCTTGAGCTCAGGAGATCAAGGCCAGCCTGGGCAGCATAGCAAGACCCCGTCTCTACCAAAAAAAAAAGAAAAAAAATTACAAAAACTAGCCAGATGTGGTGGCGTGCACCTGTAGTCCCAGCTCTTGGGAGGCTAAGGTGGGAGGATGACTTGAGCCTAGGAGGCAGAGGTTGCAGTGTGGTTGAGATTGCACTACTGCTCTCCAGCCTGGGTGACAAAGCGAGACCCTGTTTCAAAAAAATTAAAAACAGCAGATGAGTTTCTTTTTTAAAACTGGATTCAGGATCAGTGTAATGTTACTGATCTTCAATAGTAACCACAAACTTAAAAAATCTTTACATATTGCCGTATGTATTAGATATTCTGATATTTAATAGCTGAGACAGTCATACCTTATAGTATTATTATCCCAATTTTACTAGTGAGGAAACAAGCAGTTAATAACTGTTAGAGCTCAGATTCACATTCTGAAAGTTATAGAAATTAAGAACATAGAGCCTATGTTCTTAATTTCACCAAAATATCTCCTCCCAAATTATACATACCCTTTCAAACCTACCTTCCTCTCTTAGTAATTAATGATACCGTCTTTCAATTTACATGAATCAGTATCACTATTAGTAAATGTATTTTATGCCATTATATAACAGACTAATTTATTTATTCTGTACTCTACTGTGATATTTTCCTCTATCTTCTGCAAGATTTTCATTTTTAAAAATTACTGTCTTGGCTGGGTGCAGTGGCTCATGCCTGTAATCCTGGCCTAGGCAACAAGAGTGAAACTCCATCTCAAAAAAAAAAAAAAAAAATTAGTGTCTTGAAATTTGCATAACATCAATGGATGATGTCATTGTGAATGTCCTGGCGGTGATATTATACTGTATACTATAATCACCAATTGGTGTAACCAGGTGAAAGATACATAGGCTTTCTCAGTATTATGTGTACAACTACCTAAGAATCTACGGTTGTATCAATTTAAAAGAAAAACTTTCCCACACAAGATAATCTCCAAACATCTTGGGCATACATGTGTGTACTACTCTAGCTATTTCCTTGGGATAAATTCTAAAAAGTGGGATTTTGAGTCAAAATGAGACTGTGGTTAAGTAGTACCTGCAACATCCTGTAGACCCTGTGACATTAGTACTTGGAATGAGAGCGGGACTAACTGGGCATAACTGCTGCCTGTACATTGTTTACAATCCAGCAAGCAAGGGACACCGAATAGCACCTCGGGCAGCCTGTGCTGGCGGCCTGCAGAGAATTCCAGGTGATGCTCCAGAGGGGCTAGGAGAGGATACCCTTCTGATGACAGCCATGGCTCACCCGGCATCACCCCACTCAGAGGCCAGACGGGCTCCCAGCTGGGGTGACACAGCCCCTCTCCCAGCCGGGAACGGGCGTCTGCAGGGAGCAAGATGGACTCAGTGTGGGGCTGCCTGCCTGGAACGCGCCCTGAGGCCCCTGCCTGGGACCGGCCCAGACTACGTTTCCCAGAGGCCCCCCAGGAACTTAAGGCGCTGCATGCTGGGACACGGGGCTTGGGGCTCTGGTTTCCCCAGACATCGCCCTCCTCAAGCCTCTCACCCCTTCCCGAAGCCCCTGTGTGTTTGGGCCTGAGTAGGGCATTCGCTTCCTAGGAGGAACCCAGGGGTGCGCGCCAAGCATGGGGGTAGGGGGACCGCCGAGTGCGCCTGTGGCTTCGGGAGAGGCCAAAGAAGGAAGGAGTGGGAAGGGCGCGCACGCGTGTCAGTGTGTGCATGTGTCAGCGTCTGTGCACGCGCACATGTGTGTCGGGGTCTGGTCGCACATGCGGATCAAGGTCTGGCCACACGCATGCGTTGGGGGTCTGTGTGCGCGTACACGTGCATGTCGCGGTCTGGGTGTACATGCGTGTCAGGATCTGTGTGCACGCACATGCGTGTCGGGCTCTGCTGCTGCCTGCGCGCTCCGGCCGCTGGGTGCGGGAGGCCCCTCCCGAGTCCGGGGTGCGCATGCGCGCTGGCCTCCATGGGTGGCGGGACCGACTGTGTGACGCACTTGCGTGGGAGTGCGAGGCTGACGCGGCGGCTCTATCTCCCGTAACTGTGACACGGGTGCACGCAAGCGTCATTGGGGGTGATGGGGGCCGTGCTCGGTGCGCTTCTGCACCGGTGACGCAACCGCTGTGTCTCCGCCAGTCCGCGCAGGTGAGATTGGCGCCCATGGCTCCAAGGGGAGACGGGCACGGAGCTTCTAGCGGTGACGCACTTGCTGGAGAGGGTGTGGGGTGACGCAGCCGGGCTCTCCCCATAACTAGGGCTGGGGTGCTCCCGAGGCTTTGGGGCGACGGAACCCGCACCTGTGAACCTCGGCAGTGCGTCCCCGGGACTCTGTTCTGTGAGGTGCGCTCTGGGGGATATGTGGGGGCGGCGATCAGGACGGGTCTCCGTGGCCCACGGATGTGCCTTTGCACTGTGTGGAGTGGCGGGGCCGGCAGCGTGGCCGTGCTGGGCGTTAGTGGGTATGAGGGGCGCAGATGTGTCTCAGGCCAGTGTGTGCTGTGGTGAGGCTGAGCCATCAGTGCAGGCTTGTGCTGGGATGGTTGGTCGGGCCTTCTGGGTGACGCAGGTGTGTGTGACAGCACAACCTGTAGCTCCAGCGTCTCTGTGCTGAGATGGGTGATCGGGCCTTCTGGGTGACGCAGGTGTGTGTGACAACACAACCTGTAGCTCCAGCTTCTGTGTGCTGGGATGGGTGATCGGGCCTTCTGGGTGACGCAGGTGTGTGTGACAGCACAACCTGTAGTTCCAGCGTCTCTGTGCTGAGATGGGTGATCGGGCCTTCTGGGTGACGCAGGTGTGTGTGACAACACAACCTGTAGCTCCAGCTTCTCTGTGCTGGGATGGATGATCGGGCCTTCTGGGTGACGCAGGTGTGTGTGACAGCACAACCTGTAGCTCCAGCGTCTCTGCTGCTTCCCCTGCCTTCACCTCCTAACCAAGCGGTACCTGCCTGAGAACAAGGGCCGCGGAAGGACGGGAGTGCCTGAGCCCTGCCAGGAAATTCACCAACAAGAAGGCAGAAACAGCCATGAGGTGACGCTTTCAGAGCTAGAAGTGCTCTCCACTCAGGGCGCCTGAGTGACAGGAGACGGTGGCCTCAGGAGTAGAATTCCTCCTGTAGAGGGACACGTCCCTGATGTGGGAGACAGGGAGAGGGGCAGCTCCACGCTTCATCATCTCAGTTACCACAGCGTGCTCTTCAGGAATCTCCCAGAAACTCCATCTCGGGGCCTCGTATTTCTCATTGGTTTTATTAGGTATGGCAGGTGTTACCCTTCTGGTTCTGTTTTCCCCAGGCCAGCATCCTTCAGAAAAAGCATCCCCGAGGAGGAAGACGAATCGTTAAACATCTTAGGTCAGGTGAGTATCTTTTTTTTTTTTTTAATTAAATCATATGTGTTTATGAGACTTAGTCGGCGGGCGCAGTGGCTCACGCCTGTAATCCCAGCACTTTGGGAGGCCGAGGTGGGCAAATCACAAGGTCTGGAGATCGAGACCATCCTGGCTAACACGGTGAAACCCCGTCTCTACTAAAAATACAAAAATTAGCCGGGAGTGGTGGTGGGCGCCTGTAGTCCCAGCTACTCGGGAGGCTGAGGCAGGAGAATGGCGGGAACCCGGGAGGCGGAGCTTGCAGTGAGCCGAGATCGCACCGCTTCACTCCAGCCTGGGCAACACAGCGAGACTCCATCTCAAAAAAAAAAAAAAAAAAAAGGAAATCCTATTGAATTAGACGTTTTGTAAATATCCTATCCAAGATGACGACTGATTATTCAGTGAAGGAAGAGAGGAGCCTGGTCACATTTATTAAGCACATATTCTCTGTACTAAACTGTCTCTTGTCTATTTTGCACACACCTCTTAATTCTTGTCTTAGTTGATTCAGTCTGTGATAACAAAGTACCATAGACTGTGTGACTAAAAGGGCAAACTTTTTTTTTTTAATTTTTTTTTTTTTTAGAGACAGGGTCTCACTATGTTACCCAGGCTGGTCTTGATCTCATGAGCTCAAGCTTTCCTCCCACCTTGGCCTCAAAAAGTGCTTGGATTACAGATGTGAGCCACCATGTTGGGCCTTTTTTATTGTTTTTGTTTTGTTTTGTTTTTGAGACAGGGTCTTACTCTGTCATCAAGGCTGGAGTGCGGTGGTGTGATCATAGCTCACTGCAACCTCAGCCCCCTGGGCTCAAGCAATCTTCCCACCCCAGCCTCCCAAGTAGCTGGGGCTACTGGTGTGTGCCACCACATGTGGCTGTATATTTTTATTTTTATTTTGAGACGGGGTCTCGCTTTGTCATCCAGGTTGGAGTGCAGTGGCACAATCTTGGCTCACTTCAACCTCTGCTTTCTGGGCTCAAGCAATCCTCCCACCTCAGCCTTCTGAGTAGCTGGGACTACAGGTGTGAGCCACCACACCTGGCTCTTTTTTTTTTTTTTTTTTTTTTTTTTTTGGTAGATACAATGTTTCACCATGTTGCCCAGGCTGGTCGTGAACTCCTGAGCTCAAGCAATCTGCTGCCTGCCTCGGCCTCCCAAAGTGCTGGGATTACAGGCGTGAGGCGCCACACCCAGCCAATTTTTTAATATTTTATAGAGACAGGGTCTTGCCATGTTGCCCAGGCTGGTATCAAACTCCTGAGCTCAAGCAATCCTCCCATTTCCACCTCCCAAAGTGCTGGGGTTACAGGCATCACCCACCGTGTCCGGCCACAGCAAGCATTTATTTCTTACAGTTCTGGGGGCTGGAAGCCTGAGACCAGGGTGCCAGTGCAAGCAGCTTCCGGTGAGGCCTTCTTCAAGGTTGCAGGCGACCACCCTCGTGCCATGGCCACACATGGTGAAAGGGAGCTGAGAGCTCTCTGGGATCGTTTTTATAAGACACTAATCCTATTCCTGAGCACTCCTCCCTCATGTCCTAATCACCTTCCAAAGGCCTCACGTCTTAATACCATCACATTGGGGAACAGAATTTCAATATAGGAATCTGGGGAGGAATAAAATACTTAGTTTTGTCAGGTATCTTCAGAGGCTATTTAGGTACAGTATTGTGCTCAGGGTCAGTGTGTACAAAACCAACTCATTTTTCTTCTCTCACACCACAACGATAATCAACACAGAAAACTTTGTGACTTGGCCGGGTGCGGTGGCCCACACTTGTAATCCCAGGACTTTAGGAGGCCGAGGCGGATAGATCACTTTGAGGCCAGGAGTTTGAAACCAGCCTGGCCAGCATGGCGTAACCCTGTCTCTACTAAAAATACAAAAATTAGCTGGGTGTGGTGGCGCATGCCTGTAATCCCAGCTACTCAGGAGGCTGAGGCAGGAGAATCGCTTGAACCTGGGAGGCTGTGAACCTGTGATGAGCTGAGATCACGCCACCACACTCCAGCCTAGGTGACAGAGCGAGACTCTGTCTCAGAAAAAAATAAGCTTTGTGACTAAATGTGTGGGGAGAAGCAAGCTGTAGTGGACATCAGCCGGATGTCCTGCAGTTCAGTTCTGACACCATCTACCTGGAGATGGCATCAGATTCCACAGGTTGTGAGCAAGACTGTCCCACTCTGCCCCACTAGCCACAAGACCAGGCCTCTGGGACATCTTGCCAACCCTCTACAGGTTGGGGTTCTTATACTCTTTGGCTTCTATTAGTGTATTTGATTGACTCAGAATTCAGGGAAACACATATACCAGTTTATTACAAAGGATATTTTAAAGGATACTAATGAACAGCCAGATGAAGAGATATGTAGGACTAGGGTTGGAAGAGTCCCAAGCACAGGAGCTTCTGTTCCCGTGGAATTGGGGTGCGCCACCTTTTCAGAGTTCTTTTGTACCTTCCTAGCAGCCACCTCCTGTTCAGCTGTCCAGAAGCTCTCCTCACCCTGTCTTCTTAGGCCTTTTATGGAGACTTCATTGGATAGGTGTGACTGAAGCATGCACGAATGTGTTGAAACGTGATTGGACAAATAAGAGTTGATTTAATGCTAATTGATTGAGTGGGGAAACTCAAGGCCCGTCTGTTCAGATTCTTCTTGGCCTCTCAGTGCAGCATTCCTTCCTACAGGTACAGGGCAGGACCCTCTCTGGAGTGAGAGTCCTGCTTTGGGCAGGTGAAAGGAGGGCAAGAGAAGATGAGAGAGAGATTCTGCTTCCCGAGGCCTGCTTCTGAGGCTGAAAGTGCCCTAATATTAAGATTTTACCAAGGGTTATGGAATTATGAGCCAGGAACCATGGACAAGAACATACAGACACACTCATACCCCATATATACACACATATAGGCACCTACATATATACACACCATACACACATATACACACACATACCCCATATATACACACATATACACACCTATACACACCTACATATATACACACACATACACACCATACACACATATACACATACCATATACACACCATACACACATATACACACACATACCCCATATATACACACATATACATACCTACATATAGAGACACATATATACACACCATACATATACAAACACACCCCGTATACACACATATACACACCTACATATAGAGACACATATATACACACCATACATACACACACACCCCATGTACACACACATATACACACCTACATATATACACACCATACATATACAAACACACCCCATGTACACACCTACATATAGAGACACATATATACACACCATACATACACACACCCCATGTACACACACATATACACAACTACATATATACATACCATACGTATACAAACACACCCCATGTACACACCTACATATAGAGACACACACATATACACACCATACACACATATACACACACACCCCATATATACACATACACACCTACATATATACACACATACACATCGTACACACACACCATATATACATATATACACACATATATACACACCATACACACATGCACACACCATATATATGCATATATACACACCTACATATATACACACATATACACACACGCCATATATACACACATATACACACCTACATATATACACACATATATACACATTCATACATGTACATACACACCCCATATATACACACATATACACACACATCCCATATATACACAGCTACATATATACACACATATAAAAACCATACACACATATACACACCCCATATATACACAGATATACACACCTACATATATACACATATACACCATACGCACATGCACACACATACCCATATATACATATATATATACACACACGTATATACATATATACACACCATAACACACGTATATACATATATACATATACACATATACATACCATACACACACGAGCATATACACACACATGCCATACACACACATATGTACACATACATACCCACACCATACACACATACATACACACCACACACACACATATACACCCCGTACACATATATACACACACCATATATACACACACATATACGCACACACACCCCATACACATGCATACCTCATATATACATATACACACCTACATATACATACCATACACACACATATATACACACATATACCCACACCATACACACACATATATACACACACCATATATATACACACATATATACACATCCACACCATATATACACACACCATACACACACATATATACACACACCATATATATACACACATATATACACATCCACACCATATATACACACACCATGCACCCACATATATACACACACCATATATATGCACATATATATATACACCCACACCATATACACACACATACACATATATAAACACCATATATATACAGACACATATACACACCCACAGATAGACACACATATACACAAACATACACACAATTATATCACAAGGTCTGATTGTATTACTGAGACACAGTGAAAGGATGTTCCATAACAGGAAGGTTATGCCTGATTCAGTGACACTACTTTTTCAATATTAGGCCTTATATCAGTTTATTTTTGCTGTTTTAACAAATTACTGTAGATTATTGGCGTCATACAACACAAATGTATTATCTTACTGTCATAGAGGTCAGAAGTCTGAAGTGGGTCTCACCGGGCTAAAACCAGGTTGTTGGAGGCTGTAGGAGATATTCTGTGTCCTTGCTTTTGCTGGCTTCTAGACGCCGCCCACACTCCTTAGTTCGTGACCCCTTCTTCCATCAGCAAAGCCTGAAAAGACAAGTCCTTTTTCCGTCACACCACTCTGACCCTCCTCCTCTAAGTTTAAGGACTCTGGTCATTACATTGCGCTTGCTTCTATAACTCAAGAGAATCTTCCGTATGTTAGAGGCAGCCGATTAGCCATTTTAAGTCCATCTGCAGCCTTAATTTTCCTTTGCCATACAAGGTAACATATTTGAAAGTACTGGAATTACCATAGAGACACATTTGAGAGGTGGGCAAAGTGGCAAGATCCCACCTCTACAAAAATACAAAAGTTAGCCAGGCGTGGTAATGTGCAACTGTGGTCCCAGCTACTAGGGACGCTGAGGTGGGAGGATCACTTGAACCCAGGAGATCGAAGCTGCAGTAAGCTGGGTTCACACCACTGTACTCCAGTGGCGACAGAGTGAGACCCTGTCGCAAAATATATGTGCACACATACACACATTTGAGAGGCAGGCCTATCCATTCAGAGTTTCCTTAATGACTACAGTGTGCCTGCTCCCCCATAACTATGTTTGTGTTTGGCATTTTCTTTTAATTTGGGACTATCTCAGTAAATTTCTTATATTATAATGGGATTAATGCAGGCCTGCTGGCCAAAAAAAAAAAAAAAAAACAAATTAGTCCCTGAGGAGCTCTTAGAGAAAACTCTCTAAATTACCCGTAATTGTGCGATCCACAGGTCATTACTGTTTCTGGTCCTCGTTTTTGTAATTAATGTTTCTAGTCCTCCTCTTTGCCCTTAAGCAGGTATGTGTTTTCTTTCTGGAGCTGGAATTTTGCTAATTAATCATGTGACTACTCCAGAGACTCTTTAAATCTAGTTTTAAATCTAATCTGTAGCAGCAAATTATCAAGAAAGCCTTTAAAATTAAAGATTCTAAGGTGGAATGATTGCTTGAGGCCAGGAGTTTGAGACCAACCTGAGCAACATAGTGAGACCTCATCTCTCCAAAAATTTAAAAAATTAGCCAGGCATGGTGGTGTGTGCCTATGGTCCTAGCTACTTAGGAAGCTGAAGTGGGAGGATCCCTTCAGCCCAAGAGGTTAAGGCTGCAATGAGCCGTGATCCCACCACTGCCCTCCAGCCTGGGTGAAAGAGTGAGACCATCTCAAAAAAAAACTAGAAGGCCGGGTGCAATGGCTTGTGCCTGTCATCCCAGCTCTTTGGGAGGCTGAGGCAGGTAGATCACCTGAGGTCAGGAGTTCGAAACCAGCCTGGCCAACATGGTGAAACGCCGTCTCTACAAAAAATACAAAAATTAGGCAGGCGTGGTGGCGCGCGCCTGTAATCCCAGGTACTTGGGAGGCTGAGGCAGGAGAATTGCTTGAACCTGGGAGGTGGAGGTTGCAGTGAGCCGAGATTGTGCCACAGCATTCCAGCCTGGATGGTAGAACAAGACTCTGTCTCAAAAAATAAGATAAAATAGCTAGAGATTCTAGAATTGTAATGTTTCTTTCCCAGAACATGACAGTAATCACTGATAAATTCTAAGTAATCATCAGGTGCCTTACAAATATGGACTTTCTGGGTAACATTAGCAAGGTTATAGATACAAGTAACAAAGACTGTGTAAGTAACATTTGCAAGATAAAATAATGAGGTGATAAGATGGCAATAGTTAAAAATGTTCACATGTATCTTCCATTTCACATAGAACACAAGATTCACGCCGGGTGCAGTGGCTTATGCCTGTCACCCCAGCACTTTGGGAGGCCAAAGCGGGTGGATCACCTGAGGTCAGGAGTTCGAGACCAGCCTGGCTAACATGGTGAAACCCCATCTCTACTAAAAATACAAAAACTAGCCAAGCATGGTGGCAAGCGCCTATAATCCCAGCTTCTTGGGAGGCTGAGGTAGGAGAATCACTTGAACCTGGGAGGTTGAGGTTGCAGTGAGCCAAGATCGCTCCACTGTACTCCAGCCTGGGCAACAAGAGCAAAATCCCATCTCAAAAAGAAAAAAAAAAACTCCGGGCACTGTGGCTCATGCCTGTAATCCCAACACTTTGGAAGGCCGAGGTGGGCAGATCACGAAGTCAGGAGTTCGAGACCATACTGGCCAACATGGTGAAACCCCATCTCTACTAAAAATACAAAAAATAGCCGGGCATGGTGACGCATGCCTGTAATCCCAGCTACTCAGGAGACTGAGGCAGGAGAATCGCTTGAACTCGGGAGGCAGAGGTTGCAGTGAGTCGAGATTGCGCCACTGCACTCCAGCCTCAGCAACAGAGTGAGACTGTCTCTTAAAAAAACAAAAAACAAAAAACCAGATTCACCCTCTTGCTAATGTTTGCAAGTTGGCATCTTCTCGAAATAGGTTCTGTAAGCTGGCTGGATTCCACACCCCCCCACCCCCCGTCCCCGAGAAGGAGTCTTGCTATGTCATCCAGGCTGGAGTGCAAGGGCGTGATCTCAGCTCACTGCAATCTCCGCCTCCCGGGTTCAAGCGATTCTCCTGCCTCAGCCTCCCAAGAAGCTGGTATTACAGGCTTGTACCACCACACTCAGCTAATTTTTGTATTTTTAGTAGAGATGGGGTTTCACCATGTTGGGCAGGCTGGTCTTGAACTCCTGACCTCGTAATCCACCCACCTCAGCCTCCCAAAGTACTGGGATTACAGGTGTGAGCCACCGCACCCAGCCAAGCTGGATTTTTTAATGCAGAATCATGTCTCTTTTCTCTACTTACTGGTGGAGAGGCAACATTTCCCTAAATGTGTCTTAGAATCTTTATTGCTAGTTTTGCTAATGAACAGAATTTCATTCTTCACACATTAAGCTCTGAAAATTGTTTTTAGTTTGCATTCATTATATTGGCAACTGGCTTGAGAAATATATTTTAATGTAAGTAAAAAAAAAAGCAGACTTGATTATTTTATAAAATTTGAGATGTGTAATGTTGATCTTCAATAATAACAGCTAATTTACATTAAATAATTGTTGTGTATTACTGCATGTTGTAGATAGATTATCTTAGTTAATAGTTCATGCAGTCATACCTTGTGGTATTTTTATTCCAGCTTTACCAGTGAGGAAACCGACACTGTGAGGTTAGTAATCATCAGAGCTCAGGTTTGCATCCTGAAAGACCACAGAGCTGCCAGGTGCGGTGGCAAAACCCATCTCTACTAAAAATACAAAAATTAGCCGGGCGTGGGCGCGCACCTGTAGTCCCAGCTACTCAGGAGGCTGAGGCAGGAGAATGGCTTGAACCCGGGAGGGAGAGGTTGCAGTGACCCGAGATCACACCGTTGCACTCCAGCCTGGCGACAGAGCGAGACTTCATCTCAAAAAAAAAAAAAAAAAAAAAAAAGAGCACAGAGCCTGCATTCTTTTTTTTTTTTTTTTTTTTTGAGACAGAGTCTCACTCTGTTGCCCAGGCTGCAATACAGTGGCTATTCACAGGTACCATCCCACTACTGATCAGCACAGGAGTTTTGACTGCCTCTATTTCTGACCTGGGCCAGTTCATCCAAGCCTGTGTCCTTAATTTCAGCAAAACATCTCTGTCCAGATTATACGTACCTTTTTATTTTATTTTATTTTATTTTTTTTGAGATGGAGTCTTCCCCTGTTGCCAAGACTGGAGTACAGTAGTGCGATCTCGGCTCACTGCAGCCTCTGCCTCCCGGGTCCCAGCGATTCTCCCGCCTCAGCCTCCCAAGAAGCTGGGATTACAGGCATGTGCCACCATGCCCGGCTAATTTTTGTGTTTTTAGTAGAGACAGGGTTTTGCTATGTTGGCCAGGCTGGTTTTGGAACTCCTGACCTCAAGTGATCCACCCGCCTTGGCCTCCCAAAGCGCTGGGATTACAGGCATGAGCCACTGTGCCCGGACTATACATAATTTTTTAAATCTACCTTCTTCCCTTGGTAATTCATCAGAAATTTTTTCTCAATTAATCTGCATCAATATCATTAGTAAATGTATTCCATATCATTATATAACATTATTTATATATGTGTTCTCTACTATGAGATATTTCAGTTGTTTTCATTTTTAAACATTATCTGCTGGAAAATCTGGATAAGATCCATGGGTTGTTATTGTCCTGGTTGTGATATTTTACTGTTATTTTGCAAGGTGTCACAGTTGGCATAAATCAGGTCAAGGGTACAAAAGACCACTGTCTAGTATTTCTTATAACTACATGTGTATCTACATTTATCTCAGTTTAAAAGACAATCTTTCCTAGAAAAAACTGATTTTTTGAACATTCTTAGGCATGCATTCATATACTACTATAGCTATTTCCTTGTCATAAATTCCAGAATGTGGAATTTTTAGTCAAAATTAGACATTTGTTCAGTGCCTGCAATATGCCAGATGCTGTGGCTATTCGTACTTGGAATGAGAGTCTGATTCAGTGGACTCAGCTGCTGCCTGTACAGTGTTTATAATCCAGCAAGGGAAACTAAATAGAAGAAGCTCAAGGCAGCCTGTGGTCAAGGCCGGTGGAGAATTCCAGGTCACACACTCAGAGAGGTGCCAGGAAGGGGACATCATTCTGTGGACAGCCACTGATAATTCATGACCAGGTGATTCTGAATATACTGACTCTTTGTTGGGATAAATGGAATTTATTTTCTAGGCTTTATACCTTAGGTAATTTTTTTCCTTTTTAAATTTTTTGTAGAGATGGGGTCTTGCTATGTTGCCCAGGCTGGTCTCAGACTCCTGGCTTCAAGCAGTCCTCCCACTGTGGCCCCACAAAGCGCAGTGTTGGCATTACAAGTGTGAACCACTATGTCTGGCCTTTTTTGTCCTTTATCCTTTTTTATTTTTATTTTTTTTTCTTTTTGAGACAGAGTCTCAGTCTGTCACCCAGGCTGGAGTGCAGTGGCACGATCTGGGCTCACTGGAAACTCCACCTCCTGGGTTCAAGCAATTCTTGTGCCTCAGCTTCCCGAGTAGCTGGGATTACAGGCACGCACCACCACACCTAGCTAATATTTGTATTTTTCTAGTAGGGACGGGGTTTCACCATGTTGGCCAGGCTGGTCTCAAACTCCTGACCTCAGGTGATCCGCCCGCCTCAGCCTCCCAAAGTGCTGGGATTACAGGAGTGAGCCACCATGGCTAGGAGTAGACTTTTTAAGAAAAAAAAAGAAACCTTCTTTGTCTTTGGAGAGTCTAATTGCCTCTGACTACATTTCAAATCAGTACACATTTATATTTGATAAGGGAATGCATGCCTTTTGTTGCAACAAATAGGTGCACTGAAATGAAGACACTCAAGATCACGGGGTGTGTCAGGAGCTGTCAGGACCACCACCAGGTTCCTTGTTTCTCTAGATGGACTCAACAGGACTCACCATCTAGACCTACTCGTGACCGATTTATTCCAGTGAAGGGATACAAAGCAAAACCAGCTGAGGGAGAGGTTGCATAGGACAGGTTAGCAGGGCACCAGGCTCCCTCTTCCTCAGTCCTCTCCCAGGGGCATCACACCGGATGTGCCTGGCTCATCCAGCATCACATTGTGACAACACCTGTTCCATGTTATCGACCAGGGAAGCTCACCAGAGTCTGCTGGTGCAAGGTTTGGTTTGGTTTGGTTTGGTTTTGGGTCAGAGTTTTGCTCTTTCGTCCAGGCTGGAGTGAAGTGGCATGATCTCGGCTCGCTGCAACCTCTGCCCCCTGGGTGCAAGTGATTCTCCTGCCTCAGCCTCCCAAGTAGCTGGGTTTACAGGCACCCGCCACCAGGCCCAGCTAATTTTTGTATGGTAGTGCAAGGTTTTGATCAGGGTTCATGCACACACTGCCTCGCACAATCTGAATCTTCTGGACTCCCGGAGGAAACCAAGGGTTCCGTGTAAACCACATTGTTTATACTGATTATTCCAGCGAAGGGATACAAAGCAAAATCAGAAGAGGGAGAGGTTGCATAGGACAGGTTAGCAGGGAACCAGGCTCAGTTTAGGCACAGCGAGCCACTCTTACACGTGAAAGAAGAGTGAGAACACTCGGGTGTGGTTTTCAGACGCCATGGGCCAGTGTTGCGAGCAGCCTAAGCATGGCAGTTTCCAGTTCAGTGTGTTAACTGTTTTGCATAAGGGGTCGTAGAACTTCCCGGATTTTTTCTTTCTGTTTCTCTGTTTTTATATCTCTATTTTATTTATTTTTCTACTGATATCTTAGGGTTGGTTTGTCAGCGTGTATGGTTCTGCATTCCCTCCTTCCCTCTCTCCTCCTCTCCCTCTCTCTCCATATATATACATGTGTATGTGTATGTGTATATATAGACAGATGCGTGTGTGTGTGTATTTTTATATATGGAATTTTACAAATGTTATTGTGTCATTCTGTTTTGGTAACCTAACTTTACTGAGAGTATGTCTGAAATATCTCTCATGTCTTTAAATATCTTTCTAACTTAACATTCAGTAATCATTTACTATTTTACTTTGATATTCTGTGTGTAATTATGCTGTCAGCTTTTCTGGACTCAAAAGTGCTCTCAGATGTCACCTCTGGTATACAAAAAAAACAGTTCTGTATATTACCTGAGCAGTTTCTTGTCCACCTGCCATGTTGTGAGTAACATCACCCAATCTAGAGGCCAGAAGAGGCCCAAGTTTGGATAATACAGCCCCTGTTCACCCTGGAAGCTTGTCTGGAGGGGCCAGGGTAGGCTCAGAATGAGACTGAATACTCTGAGCACCCACTGTCTGATCCTAGATCACAATCCCCCCATCCAGAGTTAGCTAATCTATGAGGCTCATGGGTATGGTCTGCATAGAAGACCACCCTCACTTCTGACACCACTGCAAGCTTGGTGGGGATTCCTCAAACCGCCCTCAGGTTCAACAGTTCACTAGAGCCAGGCATGGTGACTCATGCCTATAATCCCAGCACCTTGGGAAGCTAAGGTGGGAAGCTCACTTGAGGCCAGGAGTTCAAGACCAGCCTGGGAAATATAGTGAGACGCAATCTCTACAAAAAAAAAAATTAGCCAAGTGCAGTGGTGCAACCTGTAATCCCACCTACTCGGGAGGCTGAGGTGGGAGGATTGCTCGAGCCCAGGAAGTCAAGGCTGCAGTGAGCTGAGATTGTACCACTGCACTCCAGCCTGGATGAGAGTGAGACCCTGTCTTAAAAAAAAAAAACAAAAAACTATTCACTAAAAGGACCCACAGAATTCACTGAGAGATGTTATGCTCATGGTTACAGTTTATTACAAGGAAAGGATACAGATTGTCATCACCCAAGGAAAGAAGTACGTGGCCAGGTGTGGTGGCTCATGCCTGTAATCCCAACGCTTTGGGAGGACAAGGAGGGCAGATCACGAGGTCGGGAGTTTGAGACCAGCCTGGCCAACATGGTGAAACCCCATCTCTACTAAAAATACAAAAATTAGCTGGACATGGTGGCATGTGCCTATAGTCCCAGCTACTCAGGAGGCTGAGGAGAATCGCTTGAACCCGGGAGGCAGAGGTTGTGGTAGGCCGAGATCGTGCCACTGCACTCCAGCCTGGGCAACAGAGTGAGACTCCGTTCAAAAAAAAAAAAAAAAAGTACGTAAGTTGAAGTCCAGGAGGGTTCCAGACACAGAGCTTCTGGTGTCTTCTCCCTGTGGAGTCAGGACTCATTACTCTGCTGTCTTTGATGTGTGACAACAGGCACCAACTATCGCCAACTAGAGAAGCTCACCAGAGCTCTGATGTTGGAAGTTTTTATTGGGGCCTCAGCATGTAGACATGATTGACTGGTTGGTGGATTAACTGTCTACATGGTTAATCTTAGTGTCCAGGTCAGCTGATACTGCGTGACCAAAAGCTCCTACCCCGAATCCCTTGATTAGTATTTCTGGCATAGCAAGCCCCCATCAGAAACAAAGACATTCCTCTTAGAGGTAATATAGATTACCTTTCAGCACCAGAGGGCAAAGGCCAGACTACTTTTTAGGCAAGTACACATTCTTTACTACATCCCACCCATCCGTCCCCGACAGGGAGCTGGCCAGAAATGGAGCCCTCCTGTTAAATTGTCTGGGCCTGTCTTTGAGGCGCAAAAAAAAAAAAAAGTAAAGCCTCCTCTGCTGTGTGCAGCTAGGTTTCCTGAGGTTTCATTGAGAGCTTGGTTTAGGTTTGATCCATGATACTCTTTTTTTTTTTTTTTTTTTTTTTTGAGACAGAATCTTGCTCTGTCACCAGAGGCTGGAGTGCAGTGACGCAATCTCAGCTCACTGCAACCTCCGCCTCCCGGGTTCAAGCGATTCCCCTGCCTCAACCTCCCAAGTAGCTGGGACTACAGGCACGTGCCACCACATCCGGCTAATTTTTTGTATTTTTAGTAGAGGCAGGGTTTCACCGTGTTAGCCAAGATGGTCTCGATCTCCTAACCTTGTGATCCACCCACCTCGGCCTCCCAAAGTGCTGGGATTACAGGCGTGAGCCACCGCACCTGGCCTGATCCATGATACTCTTCACCTTTCCCAGATATGTCACGGTTATGTGTTTGTGTTGGGAAGCCAAGACAGAGGAGCCAAAAGGTCATATTACATCACTATGGGGACCCCAGATGCACCTCGTTTTAATCTCTTTTTTTCCACCCCTAGCTCTAGCCTCTCGGAATTTGTCTTCTTCAGTGGAAACCCCGAGAAGACTGATCAGTTCTTCAGTTCTAAAACAATGGCCCAGGTAAGTGTATATTTCTCTTTCCTTCTTGAGCTATGATATTTGCGTTCTGTGCATCTGCTTGTGAATTATCTGAAGCCTTTTATCTAGTCAAGCTCTTTATAATTACCTGTTTCCCAGCTCTTTCTATTCCAGTGAATGATAATGCCACGTAGCTCCGTGTCTGCCTTTTTGGGAAATCACTGAGCAGGTGATTAAGTATCTCCTGTTTGCTCCCTTTTTTGGCAAGGGTAATTTTGGAGCAGTGAAGTAGCAAAGTCCTTTGAGGGAAATATTTAAGTCAAGTCTGTGGTTTGATGAGTTAGATATGTTGGTCCCATCTGACCACATGAGAAACAGATCCTCCACTGATCATGTTTTCTGCGTAGATAAGAGGGAATGCTCATATTCGCCGGTCTGTCTTAGTATGTGCTCAGATCCCAAGCTTTATGGGACTTTTGGAAAGGGATGGGGCTGTGATTAGGACCTTTGAACAGAGGTCATGTTCCTGCCGGGAAACTGGAGGATAAATTTTATTATTGAATGGATCTCTCAGACCACAAGATGATTCTAAGTCATCTGACATCCTTATCCTCTAAATCAGAAACAGGGGGCCGGGTGTGGTGGCTCACACCTGTAATCCCAGCACTTTGGGAGGCCCAGGTGGGTGGATCACTTGTGGTCAGGAGTTCAAAACCAACCTGACCAACATGGTAAAACCTCATCTGTACTAAAAATACCAAAATTAGCAGGCTATGGTGGCATGTGTCCATAATCCCAGCTACTTGGTAGGCTGAGGCAGGAGAATTGCTTGAACCCAGGAGATGGAGGTTGCAGTGAGCCAAGATCATGCCACTGCACTCCAGCCTGGGCAACAGAGCAAGACTCTGTCTCAAAAAAAAAAAAAAAAAAAAATCAGGAACGGGGGAAAGGCAGGGTTATGGATGGTAATAAATATGAAGATCTTCCAGTATGGAAGTAGGAGATGATCACATACCCCAGAATCGGAGAAAGCCTTAGGTGTTTTGGGCAACCTAAGTGAATAACTGTAATAAACAGTCTGACTTACCTGTGTGGGAATTTTTTAAATGCTTAAAAGGAAGACTGCTTAAAATGTAGTTTGGCATGATGAACTGGAGGCTTGAAAACATTCAAACATGCAAACCGTATTTTCTTTTTTTTTTTCTTGGGACGGAGTTTCACTCTTGTTGCCCAGGCTGGAGTGCAGTGGTGCCATCTTGGCTCACCTCAACCTCTGCCTCGCGGGTTCAAGTAATTCTCCTGCCTCAGCCTCCTGAGTAGCTGGGATTACAGGGATGCGCCGCCACACCCAGCTAATTTTGTATTTTAAGTAGAGACGAGGTTTCTGCATGTTGGTCAACCTGGTCTCGAACCCCCAACCTCAGGTGATCCGCCTGCCTCAGCCTCCCAAAGTGCTGGGATTACAGGCATGAGCCACCACACCCAGCAAACCCTATCTTCTTTTCTTTTCTTTTCTTTTCTTTTTTTTTTTGAGACAGAGTCTCGCTCTGTCGCCCAGGCTGGAGTGCAGTGCCACAATCTCCGCTCACTGCAAGCTCTGACCACCCCGGGTTCATGCCATTCTCCTGCCTCAGCCTCCCGAGTAGCTGGGACTACAGGCGCCCACCATCACGCCCGGCTAATTTTTTTGTATTTTTAGTAGAGATGGGGTTTCACCATGTTTGCCAGGATGGTCTCGATCTCCTGACCTCGTGATCCGCCTGCCTTGTTCTCGTGATCCGCCTGCCTTGGCCTCCCAAAGTGTTGGGATTACAGGCGTGAGCCCCCCGCCCAGCCCCAGCAAACCCTATTTTCTAAAATAAAAGTTCTTAAACAGAAATCTTGATTTTTCTTCCCCCCTTAAAAGAAAAAATGCTGTAGGAATCCACACTTGTTGAGAACTTATAAGGCAGGCACGTAGCAGACACTGCTTGTAAGCAAGAAGAAAACTTGGATTGTTTTATCCACTTCCTGGCAGGTTTGACTAACTGAGGATTCTGCACAGTAAAGTCATTTTCTCTGCAGCGGTAGAGCTCTTCAGTGACATGCAGGCATTCTGCTTCCGTCACAGTTACAGTGATGTCCTTACCGCCCCTTGCCGATGTCACGGGTGTTCAGTCTGCTCACGGTGTTCACCCTACCCAGAGGGTGGCCTCCTGTCTCCTTCATCTGGAAGCTGTTTCCTTTCATTTCATCATGCACGTGTGGGTTTCTGTTTCAGGGTTTGGTGACGTTCGCCGACGTAGCCATAGACTTTTCTCAGGAGGAGTGGGCCTGTCTGAACTCTGCTCAGAGGGACCTGTACTGGGACGTGATGCTGGAGAACTACAGTAACTTGGTCTCACTGGGTGAGTTGCACGCCTCAGATAACTTAGACTGCCTCCTGGAATATCCGCTCTCCCCTGTGAATTTCAGGACCGCCTTTCAAGAAACTAGTTGAATTTCTTCTTCCTGTCCCCAAGGAATGTATTGAGCCTTATTGATGTGGCCGTGAGCACCACAACCTTCCCCTCCCATCCATCGGTTACCTTCCCACCTTTGTCGACTCCCCCGTAATCATCTCACTTCCTTAATGTCCGTGGAATGAGTGGGAATTCTGGGATATTTATTTCATGACCATCTTCAAAGGAGCCAGTTTGTCCTGTGAGAGTATGTTTATACCCAAATTGCTATTGGTGGTCGGTGTTACTCTAGGGACCCACGTCTAGGGAAAACATGTGGACACAGTGCCCTGAATTGTTCTAGTAAACCAGCCTATGTGTTTGAAGTACAGTAGATCAGACAAACAGAATTTGTGTAAAACCAAAGTGGGCGTATTTCATTTCTTACATACCATACCTGAAGTGAGGTTGAAAGTTACAATCCCCGAACTGTGAGTTAAACATTGAATGACAATATCTTGCAAACATCCCTGGAAACTTATTTTTCTTCTAGCAAAAATAACAACAATGATATTAATGGCTAAGCTGTCTGTGGTGACCCTGCCTGTAATCCCAGCTACTCGGGAGACTGAGGCAGGAGGATCACTTGAGCCCAGGAGTTGAAGGCTATAGTTAGCTATGATCATACCACTGTACTCCAGGCTGGGTAACAGATCAAGACCCCATCGCTAAAACAATAAACAAATAGGAATATATATATTTTATATATATACACACACATATATATTATATATACACACACATATATATTATATATACACATATATATTATATATACACATATATATTATATATACACATATATACATATACAATATATACATATATAGTATATATTATATATATAAACTGCTTACTGTGTGCCATGCACTGTGCTAAGCACTGTGTGTGTAAGTACATTGCATTTCGTTCTCACAGGCAGATGAGACAGGCACAATCATTGTCTATTTTGGAGATGAGGATACTGAAACACAGTGATGCAGTCAGACGGAGGGAGCAGGAGCTAGAATCAGATTTAACAGTTTTGGTCCCCAGATTCCTTGCTGCCAGCCACCATGTTCCACTTGCCTCCAGGCATAATGCCTACAGAAATTTAAAATATGACCTTTTCTCGGCCAGGCGCAGTGGCTCACGCCTGTAATCCCAGCACTTTGGGAGGCTGAGGTGGGCGGATCACTGGAGGTCAGGAGTTAGAGACCAGCCTGGCCAACATGGTGAAACCCTGTCTCTACTAAAAATATAAAAATTAGCCGGGCATGGTGGCGCACGCCTGTGATCTCAGCTACTCCGGAGGCTGGTGCAGGAGAATCATTTGAACCTGGGAAGCAGAGGTTGCAGTGAGCCAAGATCACGCTACTGTGCTGCAGCCTGGGCAACAAAGCGAGACTCTGTCTCAAAAATAATAAAAAATAAGGCCGGGTGCGGTGGCTCACTCCTGTGATCACAAGACTGGCAGGCCAAGGCAGACGGATCACGAAGATAGGAGTTCGAGACCAGCTTGGCCAACAGAGTGAAACCCCATCTCTCCTGAAAATACAAAAATTTGCCGGGTGTGGTGGCGCATGCCTGTAATTCCAGCTACTTGGGAGGCTGAGGCAGGAGAATCACTTGAACCCGGGAGGTAGAGGTATAGCATTTCTTTTTTTTTTTAAGTTGAGATTTTTTTCTTTTTTTCACTCTGTTACTCAGGCTGGAGTGCAGTGGCGCGATCACAGCTCACAGCAGCCTCAACCTCCTGGGCTCAAGCAATCTTCCTGCCTCATCTCCCTGAGTAGCAGGGACCACAGGTGCACACCACGACACCCGGCTAATTGTTGTGTTTTTTCTTAGAGATGGGATTTCGCCATGTTGTCCAAGCTGATCTTGAACTCCTGGGCTAAAGGAATCCACCCACCTCAGCCTTCCAAAGAGGCTGGATTACAGGCGTGAGCCACTGCACCTGGCTCAATAGCATTTTGACTTCTGGTTGTTATAAATTTGATTAATACTCAATCAAAAAAAATTTAAGGCCAGGCATGGTGGTTCACGCCTATAATCCCAGCACTTTGGGAGTCCAAGGCGGGCAGATCACCTGAAGTCAGGACTTCAAGACCAGCCTGGCCAACATGGTGAAAACCCGTCTCTACTAAAAACACAAAAATTAGCCGGTGTGCTGGTGTGCGCCTGTAATCCCAGCTACCCAGGAGACTGAGTGAGGCAGGAGAATTGCTGGGACCTGGGAGGCAGAGGCTGCAGTGAGTCAAGATCATGCCACTGCACTCCAGCCTGGGCAACAGAGCAAGACTCCCTCTCAAAAAATAAAAATAATTTTTAAAGAATTTTTGAAGTTTTGAGCTTGAAATTTTTCCTCAAGTTCTATGTCCTCTAGCATTTCGTTTTTTTAAAGGAGGGCATATAATTTCTAAGCCAGAGGTACTGTCTTATAGAATTAAGGGAAAGAGCCTTGATGGTTGTGAGGGAAGAGACAAGACAACAATACGGAGGAAAGTGGGAGCCAGTCAGCCACCCGTACAAAGAGCATCCCCACAGGGCAGGGAACAGGCACACCCTGAGGTGTTGGAGAGCTTTCTCCAAGAGCTCAGGCCCAAAGCCTCTAGGAAAGAAAGATCTTACCACGAACTTGATCTTCACCCCATTTCCCTGTCACCTTGTTTTTCCTGTCATATTTAACCCCATTTTATGTGCTGCTGGTGCTGCTGGTCTGTGGGCCACGCCTTTAGTAGCGGGTAGAGGTGACAGGGTCCTCTGCCCTTTATCATTCCTGAAAGTGGGTTAGCCTCGCTTTAAGTGCCCGTTTTCTTTTTCTCATATCTAGGTGTTGGCAGTACTGCTTCCCGGGTGTTGTTAATGTGTCACCACCATGAAGCACCTGGTGTCTGGTTGTAGCTCCTCTTTGCCATTGGCAGTCATTGGCACTGCTTACATTCATCACACTGGGGGCTCAAATGGTGCGCGCCTATCACTGCCCCTTCATTTATCAGCTGTTATAATTTAAAGAGAAACTTTGTTTCATCTGCTAATTGCTCATGCAGTGGCACTGTTCATATTGGATAAGAAGGATAAAAACTTTGTTCTTTTTCTTTGTCAGTTTTTATGTTGTATTTTTTTCTTTTCTTTTTTTTTTTTTTTTTTGAGGCAGGGTCTTACTCTGATTCCCAGGCTGGAGTGCAGTAGTGCAGTCTGGGCTCACTGCAGCCTTGACTTCCGGGCTCAAGCCATCCTCCCACCTCAGCCTCCCAAGTAGCTGGGACTATAGGTGTACACCACCACACCTGGCTAATTTTTGTATTTTTTTTGTAGAGACAGGGTTTTGCTATGTTTCCCAGGCTGGTTTTGAACTCCTGAGCTCAAGTAATCCACCCACCTCGGTCTCCCAAAGTGCTGGGATTACAGGCGTGAGCCACTGCACCTAGCCAATTGCCAGTTTTTATAATAAAGGTCTGGTTTCCTAGCGTGTTCCAGAGCTGGCCATTTAACATTTTGTAGTATCATTATGAACTTATAGATTTAAACGTTTGCTGTTTCTCAGTCCTTTGCAGTTAGCCTCCTTATTGATGCTCAAGTTCTAAACTTTTCCTTATTGTTCTTCTAAACTTTTTCACATTTTTTATTAAATTTAGTCTCGTAAATTATCTTTTTTGTTGCTTTTGAATGTTGTATTCTTTTACCCAGTTGCTTTTTTTTTTTTTTTTTTTTTTGAGACGGAGTCTTATTCAGTCGGCTCACTGCAACCTCCACCTCCCGGGTTCAAGCGATTCTCCTGCCTCAGCCTCCCAAGTAGCTGGGATTATAGGCTCACACCACCATGCCTGGCTAATTTTTGCGTTTTTAGTACAGACAGGGTTTGTTTGTTTTTGTTTTTTGTTTTTTGTTTTTTTGATATGGAGTCTAGCTCTGTCACCCAGGCTGGAGTGCAGTGGCACAATCTCGGCTCACCGCAACTTCTGCCTCCCGGGTTCAAGCGATTCTCCTGCCTCAGCCTCCGGAGTAGCTGGGATTACAGGCACCCACCACCATGCCCAGCTAATGTTTGTATTTTTAGTAGAGACAGGATTTCACCGTGTTGGCCAGGCTGGTCTCGAACTCCTGACTTCATGATCTGCCCACCTCGGCCTCCCAAAGTGCTGGGATTACAAGCGTGAGCCACCGTGCCCAGTCTGTTTTTTTGTTTTTGTTTTGAGACAGAGTTTCATGCTTGTTGCCCAGGCTACAGTGCAATGGCATGATCTCGGCTCACTGCAACCTCTGCTTCCCAGGTTCAAGCAATTTCCCTGCCTCAGCCTCCCGAGTAGCTGGGATTACAGTCATGCGCCACCATGTCCGGCTAATTTTGTATTTTTAGTAGAGACAAGGTTTCTCCATGTTGGTCAAGCTGGTCTCGGACTCCCGACCTCAGGTGATCTGCCTGCCTTGGCCTCCCAAAGTGCTGGGATTACAGGCGTGATGAGCCACCACTCCCGGCCCTTTACCAGTTACTTTTAATAATACTACTGACATATACGTGTATCAGTTTCAGAATGCTTTACACACAGCCATCCAACTGCATATTGTTTTGTTACAGTACTTCTATATTTGGTTTTCCAAGTATATCATCACATCATCTACAAATACTTGTTTTCATCTTCAAAATAGGAAATAATAGGACTAATTGTCGGGACCTTTTTCATGTCTGACTTTAAAATAGATGTCTCCAATGAATTCTCAGTTAGTATTGTACCAGAAGTAGAATCTACATTTTAACAAGAGCCCTGGGTGATTCACATTTATTCTACTGGATAATTTTTATTTCTATTAGACGAGTTTTTGGTTTGTGGTTAGGTTCGTTTGTACTTGTGTCCCTCTAAAGGAAAGAAAATATGTTCTTTTTTCCCAGATTTGGAGTCAGCATATGAAAATAAGAGTTTACCTACAGAAAAAAACATTCATGAAATAAGGGCTTCCAAAAGGAATTCAGATAGAAGAAGTAAATCCCTTGGCCGTAACTGGATATGTGAAGGTACGCTTGAAAGACCACAGCGCTCCAGAGGGAGGTATGTCAATCAGATGATCATCAATTATGTCAAAAGACCTGCTACTAGAGAAGGCACCCCTCCTAGAACACATCAGAGACATCATAAGGAGAATTCCTTTGAATGTAAGGACTGTGGGAAGGCCTTTAGTCGTGGCTATCAACTTAGTCAACATCAGAAAATCCATACTGGTGAGAAACCTTATGAATGTAAAGAATGTAAGAAGGCCTTCCGTTGGGGCAATCAGCTTACTCAACATCAAAAAATTCATACTGGGGAGAAGCCCTACGAATGTAAAGACTGTGGGAAGGCTTTTCGATGGGGCTCAAGCCTCGTTATTCATAAGAGGATTCATACTGGTGAAAAACCCTATGAATGTAAAGACTGTGGAAAGGCCTTTCGGCGTGGTGATGAGCTCACTCAGCACCAGAGATTCCACACTGGGGAGAAAGACTACGAATGCAAAGACTGTGGGAAGACCTTTAGCCGTGTGTATAAACTTATTCAGCACAAGAGAATTCATAGTGGGGAGAAGCCTTACGAGTGTAAAGACTGTGGGAAGGCTTTTATTTGTGGTTCAAGCCTCATTCAGCATAAAAGAATTCACACAGGTGAGAAACCCTATGAATGTCAAGAATGTGGGAAGGCCTTTACTCGAGTCAATTACCTTACTCAGCATCAGAAGATCCACACCGGTGAGAAGCCTCACGAATGTAAGGAGTGTGGGAAGGCCTTTCGCTGGGGTTCGAGCCTCGTTAAGCACGAGAGGATACATACGGGCGAGAAGCCGTACAAGTGCACAGAATGTGGGAAGGCCTTCAATTGTGGCTATCACCTCACTCAGCACGAGAGAATCCACACAGGCGAAACCCCGTATAAATGTAAGGAGTGTGGGAAGGCTTTCATTTATGGATCGAGCCTCGTGAAACATGAGAGAATTCATACCGGGGTGAAACCCTATGGGTGTACAGAATGTGGGAAGAGCTTTAGTCACGGCCATCAGCTTACACAACATCAGAAAACGCACAGTGGGGCGAAATCCTACGAATGTAAGGAGTGCGGGAAGGCATGTAACCACCTAAACCATCTCCGAGAACATCAGAGGATCCACAACAGTTGAAGAGCCTTTTGAACGCAGTAGCCCGCTCGTATCTATGGTTTCGCTTTCCACAGTTTGTTACCTGCAGTCAACTGCAGTTCAAAAATATTAAATGGAAAATTCCAGAAATAAAGAATTTTAAGTCTCAAATGGTGTGCCCTTCTGAGTAGCGTGATGAAATCTCTCGCTGTCCGGCTCCAGCCGGCCGGGGATGTGAGTCATCCCTTGGTCCAGCACATCCACGCTGTATACGCCACCCACCCTGCTAGTGACTTAGTAGCCGTCTTGGTGATCAGATCAACTATCCCAGCATCACAGTGCCTGTGCCCAAGCAGTCCTCACTTTGCTTAACAGTGGCCCCAGAGAGCAGGAGTAGTGATGCTGGTGATTCGGATATGCCAAAGAGAAGCCACAAAGTGCTTCCTTTTAAATGAAAAGGTGAAAGTTCTCAACTTAAAAAAGAAAAGAAAAAAATCATATACTGAGGTTGCTAAGATCTACATGACAATAAGATATTTTGGGAGAGAGATACGTTCACATAATTTTATTACATATATTGTTACAATTGTTCTATTTTGTTAGTTACTGTTGGTAATCTCTTACTGTGCCTAATTTATAAATTAAACTTTAGATATGTATGTACAGGAAAAAATGTAGTATATAGTATCGTATATATGTACAGGAAAAAAACGTACTATCTGTGGTTTCAGGTGTCCACTGCGGGTCTTCAAACGTACCCCCCTCAGGTGAGAGGGGACTGCTGTACAAAGAATATAGGAAGGCCTCTAGACTACATCCATTCCTTCCTCAACAGGAGGAAAATTCCTGGTACAGTTTAACGTAAGGCTTCACTGATCACTGTTGTTTTTGTTTTTGTTTTTGTTTTTTTGAGACAGAGTCTCACTCTTGCCCAGGCTGGAGTGCAGTGGCACGGTCTTGGCTCACTGCAACCTCCACCTCCCAGGTTCCAGCAATTCTCCTGCCTCAGCCTCCCCAGTAGCTGGGATTACAGACATGCACCACCACACCTGGCTAATTTTTGTATTTTTAGTAGAGACAGTTTTCACCATGTTGTCCAGGCTGGTCTCAACTCCTGACCTCAGGTGATCCACCCACCTTGCCCTCCCAAAGTGCTAGGATTACAGGCGTGAGCCACTGCACCTAGCCCACTGATCACTCTTCTGCTTACAGAATATCAGAAGTCATTCTAGAGGCAAATTTGAAGAGTGGAAAAATCACTTTTTCTGAATGATCTTGTTTTTGGTGTAGATGTTTTTATTGTGTGGGTTAGTTTAATGAATACATAAAGACTACCAGTACCATTCTGTCTTTACTCCGTGGCATCTGTGGAATAACCCTGCTAATGTAACACGTGAGAAAGCCTTTGGTCATGCCACCCACTCTACCAGTTGTCCCCACCATCCCCCGCCCTCCTCCCTGTGAGACACTGGGCCAAAGGCTCACTACCCCTGTGCGTTGTCCAGCACACAGACACTATGTGCATTATTTGTACATAAGGATAATCACATCTACCTGAGACTGCTATCATGGAAATTAAATGTTTGGTACATGTAAAGTCTTTGAAAGTGTAACTGGAATATTGTGTAATTTTAATAAATAATAACTATTGTTGTTTTTATGATCATTACTACCATTTGTGTTGCCATTAGTGAATTTTTACAAGAAAACTCCCTGTGGGTGCAATGAGTCTGGAAAAGACCATTGAGTCTTCTAGAAGAAAACATTAAGAGATTATTGGCACAGCCGTGGGTTACGCAATGATTTCTTAGTACACAAAACACAGCAAACATAAAAAGTTGTTACACTTCATCAAAAGTACAAAGTTCTGTTCATCAAATGATGCTGTTAAGATAGGGAAAAGACAAGAAACAGGACTGGAAGAAGATGTTTGCTCTAAGGTACACCTGACAAAGGAACTCTCATAGAAAATATAAAGAATCCCTCAAGTTGAAAAAAAAATCAATTTAAAGGGGAGAAAACTTCAGCACGTCTCAACAGAAGACCACCAAATGGCCAATAAGTAAGTGAAAATGTATTCAATGTCATTGCTCCTCAAGGAACTGTAGAGTAAAACCACAATGTGCTGTCACTCTAGACAGTCACCAGGATGATTAAATTTAAATCACAATAACAAGGCTGATTTCAGATGTCTCACCACAAAGAAGGAGGATAAGGGAGCGAGGTGATGGATATGTTAATTAGCTTGATTTAATCCTTCCACATTGTATACATGTATCAGAACATCACATTGTACTCCATCAATATAATACAATTATTATTTGTCAATCAAATATTAATAAAATCAAAGATGAGCAGGTCTCTTTGTTGGATATTCAAACACGACCTATTCAAGAAGGAACCCCGCCAGCAGACTGGACCTCTGCTAAACCCTAGCGGTGCCCACAGCAGGGACAGCGCGGGAGGGAGGTGAGCGGACTGGTCCTGGGGACGGGGTCAGGGCCCAGAGTAGAGTTGTTACAGGAAAGGGGTGCCAATCCAGACCCCAGGAGAGAGTTCTTGGATCTCACACAAGAAAGAATTCAGGACAAGTCCTCAGTGCAAAGCAAAAGCAACTTTATTAAGAAAGTAAAGTGGTGGGACCAGGTGCGGTGGCTCACGCCTGTAATCCCAGCACTTTGGGAGGCCGAGGTGGGTAGATCACCTGAGGTCGGGAGTTCAAGACCAGCCTGGCCAACATGGCAAGACCCCATCTCTACTATAAATACAAAATTAGCCAGGTGTGTGGGCACACATCTGCAGTCCAGCTACTCGAGAGGCTGAGCCAGGAGAATCACTTGAACCCGGGAGGCAGAGGTTGCAGTGAGCTGAGATCACACCACTGCACTCCAGCCTGGGCGACAGAGGGAGGCTCCATCTCAAAAACAGAAAAAGTGGCGAAAGGACAGCTACTCCACAGACAGTGTTGGACGCTCCTGACGTTAGGAGGAACGCATCCACCCTAGGTCCAATGCTCACATATATGGGGAGACGTGCTCTGCTACAAGGGTTTGTGATGAAGGATTCATTCTCTTCATTATTTTGCAAGAATTGATATTATCTTTAAAGCAAAACTAGGAATGCCTTTGTTCTCCAGATATCAGGATATCTGGACACTCCCAAGTGTGGGTCTGTTTAGTAACTGTTAATAATTTGTTCCCTTAACCGTAAACATCTGGAGGCTCGGAATTGCCTACATTTCTCAGAATGCAGCCCAGCAAGTCTCAGCCTCATTTTCCTAGCCCGCACTCAAAATGGAGTCGCTCTGGTTCAAACACCTCTGACAGAGTCCTGGGGGAGGTGCGGACACAGACTCAGGGGAGAGACCTGAACTATCTTAAGATGGTCCTAGGCTGAGGGTAGGATTACCTTAGGGAAAGGACCAGAGCCCATAGTAGGAATCGGAGAATATGGATTGGGGAGGACTCTAGACCCCATGGGAGTGAGTTTGACGGGGCAGAGGAGTGGCTAATGGGCATGGGAGGGCCTGGCTAGAGCTCAGGGATGAATTCTGGGAGAGAAGGGATAGAGGCCTGGAGAGAGGCCTTGGGGCTGGGAGAGGACTGGAGTGCTCCTGAGAGCAGCTGCGGAGATGGAGGGCGGACGCTACATCCTGCAGGAGAGCCTTAGGCACGGGGGATGGTGGTGTGGTTAGAGCTCAGGGGTGTCCTATAAAGGTTGGCAAAGGATCCAGAATATAGGGTTGAAGTCCTGCTTGTTTGATTTACCTCAAGGGTAGGGTTACGTTTCAATCAAAGCTGCTTAGTTCTCGGATTACAAATACCTCAGCATTAGGTTAAGGATTCAGATTCTCCAGGGGTGGTGGGGAAGTGAGGGAGCATGTTTGGGGAAGGGGTTCCAGACCCAGGTTTCAGAGCTGGGTATCTTTCTGGTCTAGGCTTCAGTACCCTTAGGAATCAACCTCATAGGCGGCACCGTCCTGCTTAGTGCCCCTTTCCCCTGTGGACCCTACGCCAGCCTCAGCAGAAGGGGCCCAGGGTCCCTTCCTTGCCACCAAGAGCAACACGCATGGTGGGGCCACTGCTCTTCCCAGCATTCCCGCATAAACAGAGGAGGAGCTGGGTGGGGTAAGGAGAAGGGCAGGGGAAGGAGTGTGAAGAGGAGAAGCAGGTGGAAGACAGTGAGAGGAGGCTGGAGGAATGTGGGAGTAGGGGTAGGGAGAATACTGAGAAACGAGGAGGCTGTGCAGAAAGGCAGCACTGGCCTGGCCTTACAGGACACAGCCAAGGCACAGGAAGACAGCCTGGGTGGACAGGGTTAGTTCCCAGAAGGAAATATGGGAAGAATGTGTGTCAGGCAGGACTCTTGGCTCAAGGAGCAAAATCCAAAGTTTATATAAAAAGCCCAGAGGTGGGCCAACGCGGTGGCTCACGCCTGTAATCTCAGCACTTCGGGAGGCTGAGGCGAGTGGATCACTTGAGGTCGGGAGTTTGAGACCAGCCTGGCCAACACAGTGAAAACCTGTCTCTACTAAAAATGCAAAAATTAGCCCGGCACAATGGTGCACACCTGCAATCTCAGCTACTCGGGAGGCTGAGGCAGGAGAATCACTTGAACCGGGCAGGCGGAGGTTGCGGTGAGCTGAGATCCAGCCAGTGCACTTTTTTGAGACAGAGCAAGACTCCATCTCAAAAAAAAAAAAAAAAAAAAATCCCGGAGGTGGCCAGGCGCAGTGGCCCATGCCTGTAATCCCAGCACTTTGGGAGGCCTAGGCAGGCAGATCAACTGAGGTCAGCAGTTAAAAACCAGCATGGCCAACTTAGTGAAACCCTGTCTCTACTAAAAATACAAAAATTAGCCAGGCGTGGTGACCCACGCCTGTAATCCCAGCTACTCAGGAGGCTGAGGCAGGAGAATGGCTTGAACCCAGGAGGCTACGGTGAGCTGAGATCGCCTCGCTGCACTCCAACCTGAGCTACAGAGTGGCTAATTTTTGTATTTTTAGTGGAGACGGTACAGTGGTTCATGCCTATACTCCTAGTACTTTAGGAAGCCGAGGTGGGCAGATCACCTGAGGTCAGGAGTTCAAGACCAGCATGGCCAACATGGTGAAACTCCGTCTCCACTAAAAATACAAAAATTAGCCAGGTGTGATAGCGCATGCCTGTAATCTCAGCTACTCAGGAGGCTGAGACAGGAGAATCGCTGGAACCCAGGAGGCAGAGGTTGCAGTGAGCCAATATCGCTCCACTGCACTCCAGCCTAGCCGGCAGAGCAAGACTCCGTCTCATAAAAAAAAAAAAATAATAATAATAATAAAGTTTACCCTAGCTTGGGCAACATAGTGGGATTCTGTCTCTACAAAAAATAAAAATATTAGCCAGGTGTGGTGGTGCTCACTTGTAGTCCCAACTACTCAAGAGGCTGAGGCAGGAGGATTGCTTGAGCCCAGGAGGTGGAGGCTACAGTGAGTGATGATTGCATCACTGGATTCCAGCCTGGATAATGACAAAAAAACAAACAAAACAAACAAAAACCCTACAAAGAGCAGTAACAACAACAACAAAAAAAAAACAGGGCGGGTACAGTGGCTCACACCTGTAATCCTAGCACTTGGGGAGGCTGAGGTGGACGGATCACCTCAGGTCAGGAGTTTGAGACCAGCCTGACCAACATGGTGAAACCCCGTCTCTACTAAAAATACAAAAATTAGCCGGGCAAGGTGGCGCATGCCTGTGATCCCAGCTACTCAAGAGGCTAAGGCAGGAGAATCGCTTGAACTCAGGAGGCGGAGGTTGCTGTGAGCCGAGGGTGTACCACTTCACTCCAGCCCGGGCGACAGAGTGAGACTCTCTCAAAAAAAAAAAAAAAAAAAACTACAAAGAGCAGTAAAAGCCATGGGGTAAAGGGTAACCATGAAGTCAAAGAGCTTTACTAAAGTAAGTCATTATTGAGCCGGGCTTGGTGGCTTACGCCTGTAATCCCAGCACTTTGCGGGGCTGAGGCAGGCAGATCACCTGAAGTCTGGAGTTCAAGACCAACCAGGCCAACATGGGGAAACCTCATCTCTATTAAAAATACAAAATTAGCTGGGTGTGGTGGCAGATGCCTGTAATCCCAGCTACTTGGGAGGCTGAGGCAGGAGAATTGCTTGAATCCGGGAGGCGGAGGTTGCAGTGAACCGAGAATACGCCCCATTGCACTCCAGCCTGGACAACAAGAGTGAAACTCTGTCTCAAAAAAAAAAAAAAAAAAGGAGGTACATGAGTTGTACGCAAAAGCTACAAAACAGTTGAAGTTGTAGAATAATTTTTTTAAAAAACCTAAATAAATGGAAGGGTTTTTTTTTGTTTTTGAGACGGAGTCTCACTCTGTCGCCCAGGCTGGAGTGCAGTGGTGCACTCTCAGTTCACCGCAACCTCCACCTCCCCGGTTCAAGAGACTCCTGCCTTAGCCTCCTGAGTAGCTGGGACTACAGGCACCTGCCACCATGCCCAGCTAATTTTTGTATTTTTAGTAGAGCCAGGGTTTCGCCATGTTGACCAGGCTGGTCTTGAACTCCTGACCTCAGGTGATTCACCCGCCTTGGCCTCCCAAAGTGCTGGGAATGAAAGGATATTTCATGGTCCTGAATTGGAAGATTTAATATTGTTAAGATGATGGCTGGGCACGGTGGCTCATGCTTGTAATCCTAGCACTTGGGGAGGCTGAGGGAGGAGGTTTGCTTGAGCCCAGGAGTTCCAGACCAGCCTTGGCAACATGGCAAGATCCCATCTCTGTATTATTTTTTTAAATAAAATTTCAAAGATAACAATATTACCCAAAGCAATATATACATATTCAATGCAATATCAATAAAATACTCAATGACAATTTTTTGCAGAAATGGAGAAACCAACTCTTAGAGTTGTATGGAATTTCAAGACACCCCAAATAGCCAAAATAAAGAACAGTGGAGGACTCACACTTCTGGATTTCAATTTTTTTTTTTTTTTGAGACGGAGTCTCACTCTGTCACCCAGGTTGGAGTGCAGTGGCATGATCTCGGCTCACCACAACCTCCACTTCCCAGGTTCAAGCAATTCTCCTGCTCAGCCTCCCGAGTAGCTGGGATTACAGGTGCCCACCACCATGCCTGGCTAATTTTTGTATTTTTAGTAGAGATGGGGTTTTGCTATGTTGGCCAGGCTGGTCTCAAACTCCTGACCTCGGATGATCTACCTGCCTCGGCCTCCCAAAGTGCTGGGATTACAGATGGAGCCACTGCACCCGGCCTGGATTTCAAAAAAATTTTAAAAAGCAATAGTAATTAAAACAGTGTGGTATACGATAATGGCAAAAGGATATACATACATGGCTGGCGTGGTGTTGTGCACCTGTAATTCCAGCTACTCAGGAGGCTGAGGCAGGAGAATCGCTTGAACCCAGGAGGTGAAGGTTGCAATGAGCCGAGATTGTGCCACTACAGTCCAGCCTGTGCAACAGAGTGACTTTCTGTCTCCAAAAAAAATTTTTTTACTTAAAAAAATTACATAAATATTATATGTATAATATCTAAAAAACAAAATACAAAAATAGCCAGATGTGGTGGCACCCACCTGTAGTCCCAGCTACTCAGGAGGCTGAGGCGGGAGGATCACCTGAGCCCATGAGCCCAGGAGGTCGAGGCTGCAGTGAGCTGTAATTGCGCCACTGCACTCCAGCCTGGGCAACAGAGTGAGACCCTGTCTCTAAAATAAATAAATAGGCCGGGCGCGGTGGCTCACGCCTGTAATCCCAGCATTTTGGGAGGCTGAGGCAGGGGGATCATGAGGTCAGGAGATCGAGACCATCCTGGCTGACACTGAAACCCCGTCTCTACTAAAAATACAAAAAAAAAAAAAAATTAGGTGGGCATGGTGGCGGGCACCTGTAGTCCCAGCTACTCGGGAGGCTGAGACAGGAGAATGGTGTGAACCCAGGAGGCAGAGCTTGCAGTGAGCCGAGATCACGCCAGTGCACTCCAGCCTGGGTGATAGAGTGAGACTCCATCTCAAAAAAAATAAAAAATAAATAAATAAATACAAGCTAGAAGGGTTTTGAATGTTCACAATACAAATAATAAATGTTTGAGGTGATGGATATGCTAATTACCCTGATTTGATCATTACACATTGTGTACAGAAATCAAATTATCACTCCATATCCCATAAACACATGTAATTATTATGTGTAAAATAAGAAATAAAGAATTTATGAGAAATTATTTGCTACAGAGCAGACATCATTGTCTGGAGAGGCAGTAATTACACAAAGTTATAGAAGCCGAGGAGCAATTGGGAAGGTTCTGATCTCTTTTAGGCACCTGTGGCTGAGTGAAACTCATCACCAAAACAAGCCCCATCTGAACCCATGCACGCAGCAAGATCAACAGAATAACTCTGCGCACATTTCACAGGCTCTTTGGACAAATGTATGGGGTGTCCTCACCTGAGTTTGCACTAAACCTGGAGTCATTTATTTCACAAGTTTTCACAACACCAAGGGTCAGCAAACTCTCTGTTAAGGGCCGGTTAGTAAATATTTTACTAGACACATATTTTGCAGGGCGCATATGTTCTCTGTCATGTAGTCCTCTTTATTTTTACAAGCTTTAAAAAATGTGAAAACTGGTAGGGTATGGTGAGTCACGCTTGTAATCCTAGCATTTTGGGAGGCCAAGGCGGGAGAATCTCTTGAGTTCAAGAGACTAGCATGGGCAGCATTGAGAGACCTCATCTCTACAAAAAATGGAAAACTTAGAAGGGGGTGATGGCGCTCACCTGTAGTCTCAGCTACTCAAGAGGCTCAGGTGGGAGGATCCCTTGAGCCTGAGAGGTCAAGGCTGCAGTGAGCTGTGATTTCAGAACTGCACTCCAGCCTGGGAGTCAGAGTAAGACCCTGTCTCAAAAAAAATAAAAAGAAAAAGAAAAGAAAAAAAGAAAAATGTGAAAACCACTCTTACCCCTAGAATGTACAAAAAGATCCTGGAACAGTGGTGCACACCTGTAATCCCAGCACTTTAGAAGCCAAGGCAGGACGCCCCGTCCGGGAGGGAGGTGGGGGGGTCAGCCCCCCGCCAGGCCAGCCGCCCCGTCCGGGAGGTGAGGGGCGCCTCTGCCCGGCCGCCCCTACTGGGAAGTGAGGAGCCCCTCTGCCCGGCCACCACCCCGTCTGGGAGGTGTACCCAACAGCTCATTGAGAACGGGCCATGATGACAATGGCGGTTTTGTGGAATAGAAAGGGGGGAAAGGTGGGGAAAAGATTGAGAAATCGGATGGTTGCCGTGTCTGTGTAGAAAGAAGTAGACATGGGAGACTTTTTATTTTGTTCTGTACTAAGAAAAATTCTTATCCTGTTGATCTGTGACCTTACCCCCAACCCCGTGCTCTCTGAAACATGTGCTGTGTCCACTCAGGGTTAAATGGATTAAGGGCGGTGCAAGGTGTGCTTTGTTGAACAGATGCTTGAAGGCAGCATGCTCGTTAAGAGTCATCACCACTCCCTAATCTCAGGTACCCAGGGACACAAACACTGCGGAAGGCCGCAGGGTCCTCTGCCTAGGAAAGCCAGAGACCTTTGTTCACTTGTTTATCTGCTGACCTTCCCTCCACTATTGTCCTATGACCCTGCCAAATCCTCCTCTGCGAGAAACACCCAAGAGTGATCAATAAAAAAAAAAAAAAAATTAAAAAAACAAAACAAAACAAAACAAAAAAAAGAAGCCAAGGCAGGAGAATCACTAGAGGACAGGAGTTTGAGACCAGCCTGGGCAACAGAGCAAGACTCTGGCCTGGGTGCAGTGGCTCATGCCTGTAATCCCAGCACTTTGGGAGGCCGAGGTGGGCGGATCACCTGAGGTCGGGAGTTTGAGACCAGCCTGACCAACATGACGAAACCCCGTCTCTATTAAAAATATAAAAATTAGCCAGTCGTGGTGGCGGGTGCCTGTAATCCCAGCCACTCAGGAGGCTGGGGCAGGAGAATTGCTTGAACCAGAGAGGCAGAGGTTGCAGTGAGCTGAGATCGCACCACTGCACTTCAGCCTGGGAGAAAGAGTGAGACTCCCAGTTACCGGGGAGGCTGAGGCAAGAGAATTGCTTGAACCTGGGAAGCAGAGGTTGCAGTGAACTGAACTAGGAAAGAAAAAAAAAAGATGGGGTTTTGCTATGTTTCCCAGGCTGCTCTTGGACTCCTGGGCTCAAGTGATTCTCCCACACTGGCCTCCTGACCTCAGGTGATCCGCCCACCTTGGCCTCCCAGAGTGCTGGGATTACAGGCTTGAGCCACTGTACCCAGCCCCCTCCAGGATTTTTACAGTTGGACATCTCACATTTAAATCTTTAGTCTTGAGTCAATTTTTCAATATGGTGAAAGGTAGGAGTCCAGTTTCATTCTTTTTTCTTTTTTTTTTTTTTTTTTTTTTTTAGAAAATCCTAGGCCAGGTGCAGTGGCTCACACCTGTAATCCCAGCACTTTGGGAGGCCCAGGTGGGTGGATCACTTGAGGTTAGGAGTTCGAGACCAGACTGGCCAACATGGTGAAACCCTGTCTCTACTAAAAATACAAAAATTAGTCGGTTGTGGTGATGGGCACCTGTAATCACAGCTACTCAGGAGGCTGAGGCAGGGGAATTGCTTGAACCCAGGAGGCAGAGGCTGCAGTGAGCTGAGACTGCGCCACTGCACTCCAGCCTCGGTGACAGAGGGAGACCCTGTCTCAAAAAGAAAAGAAAATCCCGTTAATTATTCTACCAAAAAGACATGTGTACTCATATGTTGATTGCAGCGCTATGAGTGCTGACAGTCTCACTCTGTCATCCAGGCTGGAGTACAGTGGCGTGATCTTGGCTCACTGCAGCCTCTGCCCACCAGACTCAAGCAATCCTCCCACCTCAGCCTCCCGAGTATCTGGGACTGCAGACACGTAACACCACTCTCAGTTAATTTTTCTTTAATTTTTGCAGAGACAGGGTCTGGCCATGTTGCCCAGGTCAGTTTTTTTTTTTTTTTTTTTTTTTTGAGGCAGAGTTTCACTCTTGTTACCCAGGCTGGAGTGCAGTGGCGCGATCTCGGCTCACCGCAACCTCCGCCTCCTGGTTTCAAGCAATTCTCTTGCCTCAGCCTCCTGAGTAGCTGGGATTACAGGCATGTGCCACGACGCCTGGCTAATTTTTGTATTTTTAGTAGAGACAGAGTTTCACCATGTTGGTCAGGCTGGTCTCAAACTCCCGATCTCAGGTGATCCGCCCATCTCGGCCTCCCAAAGTGCTGGGATTACAGGCATGAGCCACCGTGCCCAGCCCGCCCAGGTCAGTTTTGAACTCTTGGACTGAAAGTATCTCATCTTGCCCTCTGAAAGTGCTGGGATTACAGACATGAGCCACACTACACCCTGCCCAGTGTCAACCTTCTGCATATGGCTAGCCGGTTATCCCAGTGGCATTTATTGAATAGGAAGTCCTTTCCCCATTGCTTGTTTTTGTCAGTTTTGTTGGCCATCAGAAGGTTGTAGGTGTGTGGCTTCATTTCTGGGTTCTCCATGCTGTTCCATTACTCTATGTGCCTCTTTATTTTTATTTTATTTTATTTTATTTTTTTGAGAGACAGTCTCACCCTGTCACCCAGGCTGGAGTGCAATGGCGCAATATCAGCTCACTGTAACCTCTGCCTCCCGGGTTCAAGCAATTCTCCTGCCTCAGCCTGCCAAATAGCTGGGATTACAGGCATGCACCATCACGCCCAGGTAATTTTTGTGCTTTTAGTAGAGATGGGGTTTCACCATGTTGGCCAGGCTGGTCTGAAACTCCTGACCTCCAATGATCTGCCCACTTTGGCCTCCCAAAGTGCTGGGATCACAGGCGTGAGCCACTGTGCCTGGCCTATGTGTCTTTTTGTACCAGTAACATGGTGTTTTGGTTACTGTATACTTCTTTTGTTTTACATTTACTGGCTTATTATAAAGGACATTACAAAGGACACAGACGAAGAGATGCATAGGACGAGGTATGGGAGAAGGGGTGAGGAGTTTCCGCGCCCTCCCTCGGCACACTACCCTCCAGGAGGCATCCAAGTCTTCAGCTATCAGGAAGCTCCTAGTTACTGTTTCCTTGTACAGTTTGAAGCTGGAATGTCATGCCTCCAGTTTTGTTCTTTTGGCTTAAGATTGCTTTGGCCATTGGGCTCATTTTAGGCTCCATATGACTTTTACAATAGTTTTTTTTTTTTTTTTTTTGGGACAGTCTCACTCTGTCACCCAGGCCGGAGTGCAGTGGCGTAATGTCAGTTTACTGCAACCTCTGCCTCCCAGGTTCAGGCAATTCCCCTGCCTTAGGCTCTCGAGTAGCTGAGATTACAAGCACGTACCACCACACCTGGCTAATTTTTGTATTTTTAGTGGAGAAGGGGTTTCGCCACGTTGGCTACGCTGGTCTCAAACTCCTGGCCTAAGGTGATCCGCCCGCCTCGGCCTCCCAAAGTGCTGGGATTACAGGCATGAGCCACCGCGCCTGGCCTACAATCATTTTTTATAATTCTGTGAAAAATAATATTGGTAGTTTGATGATTCTAGATTGCTTTGGGTAATATGGCCACTTAAAAATTATTTTAATTATTAAAATTGGGGGTACATAGTAGGTGTATGTATTTACGGGTTACATGAAATATTTTGAAACAGACACACAATGTACAATAATCACATCAGTGTAATGGGATATTCATCACCTCAAGCATTTATCCTAATATGGCCTTTTGTTTTGGAGATGGAGTCTCACTCTGTCGCCCAGGCTGGAGTGCAAGGGCACGATCTCAGCTCACTGCAACCTCCGCCTCCCAGGTTCAAGTGATTCTCCTGCCTCAGCCTCCCAAGTAGCTGGGATTACAGGCGCCTGCTACCACGCCCGGCTAATTTTTGTATTTTTAGTAGAGACAAGGTTTCACCATGTTGGTCAGGCTGGTCTCCAACTCCTGATCTCGTGATCCACCCGCCTCGGCCTCCCAAAGTGCTGGGATTACAGGCGTGAGCCACCTTGCCTGGCAATGTGGTCTTTTTAACAATATTGATTCTGCCAATCCATGAGCAAGGAAAGTTTTTTCATTTGTTTGTGTCAAGGATTTCTTTCAGCAGTGTTTTGTTTGTTTTTTGAGACAGAGTCTCACTATGTCACCCAGGCTGGAGTGCAGTGGTGCAATCTCAGTTCATTGCAACCTCCGCCTCACAGGTTCAAGTGATTCTCCTGCCTCAGCTTCCCGAGCAGCTGGGACTACAGGTGCACAGCACCACGCCGAGCTAATTTTTGTATTTTTAGTAGAGACAGCGTTTCACCATGTTAGCCAGGCTGGTCTCGAACTCCTGACCTCAAGTGATCCACCTGCCTCAGCCTCCCAAAGTCCTGGGGTTACAGGCATGAGCCACTGCACCTGGCCTCTTTCAGCAGTGTTTTGTAGTTCTCCTTGTAGAGACCTTCCAGTTCCTTGGTTAGATCTGTTCCTAGGTATTTGTGTGTGTTTGTGTGTGTGTGTGTGGCTATTGTAAATGGGATTCCGTTCTTGATTTGACTCTCAGCTTGAACATTATTGGTGTATAGAAATACTACTGATTTTCATACATTGATTTCATATCCTGAAATTTTACTGAAGTTGATCAGTTCTAGGAGCCATTTGGCAGAGTCTTCAGAGTTTTCTAGGTATAGAATTATATCATCCGTGAAGAGGGATAACTTGACTTCTTCATTCCATTCCCTTTTGGGATGCCTTTTCTTCCTTTCTCTTGCCTGATTGCTCCGACTAGGACTTCCAGTACTATGGGGAACAAAAGTGGTGTGAGTGGGCAGCTTTGTCTTTTGCCTGTTCTTAAGGGGAATGCTTCCAGCTTTTGCCCATTCAGTACGATGTTGGCTGTGTGTTTGCTATAGACGGCTCTTACTATTTTGAGGTATGTTCCTTCAATGCCAAGTTTGTTGAGGGTTTTTATCATAAAGGGATGTTGGGTTTTTTTTTTTTTTTAAGATGGAGTCTCGCTCTGTCGCCCAGACTGTGGCACAATCTCAGCTCACTGCAACTTCAACCTCCCGGATTCAAGCAATTCTCCTGCCTTAGCCTCCCAAGTAGCTGGGATTACAGGTGCCTGCCACCATGCTTGGCTTATTTTTGTATTTTTAGTAGAGACAGGGTTTCACCATGTTGGCCAGGCTGGTCTCGAACTCCTGATCTCAGGTGATCCACCCACCTCGGCCTCCCAAAGTGCTGGGATTATGGGAGTGAGCCACTGCAGCCGGCCAGGTGCCAGAATTCTTAACACTGGTTCCTTCTCATCTAGAAACTCTGGCCCTTCTAATTTCTGTAATTATTTTCATGTGGATAGAAACTTTTTCTTTTTCTTTCCCTACATTATTATTGTCCGCCTCCCCTTTCCCCTACTCCCTAGGGAGTGTGATTGCATAGAATGTTGGGTAGGCTTTTTGGCCTTGTTTCTATAGGCTTATGCAGTTTTTTTTTGGCAGGTTTTATTTATTTATTTATTTAGAGATGAAGTCTTGCTCCCATCGCACACGCTGGAGTACAATGGCACCATCTCGGCTCACTGCAACCTCCACGTCCCGGGTTCAAGCGATTCTCCTGCCTCAGCCTCCCGAGTAGCTGGGATTACAGGCGTGCACCACCATGCCTGGCTAATTTTTGTATTTTTAGTAGAGACAGGGTTTCACCATGTTGGCCAGGCTGGTCTCAAACTCCTGACCTCAAGTGATCTGCCTGCCTCAGCCTACCAAAGTGCAAAGATTACAGGCGTGAGCCACTGTGCCTGGTCTTTGGCAGGTTTTGTTTTGTTTTGTTTTGTTTTGTTTTGTTTTGTTTTGAGACAGAGTCTCGCTCTGCCACCCAGGCTGGAGTGCAGTGGCATGATCTCAGCTTACTGCAAGCTCCACCTCCCGGGTTCACGCCATTCTCCTGCCTCAGCCTCCTGAGTAGCTGGGACTACAGGCGCCCGCCACCATGCCCGGTTAATTTTTTGTATTTTTAGTAGAGACGGGATTTCACCGTGTTAGCCAGGATGGTCTAGATCTCCTGACCTGGTGATCCGCCCGCCTCGGCCTCCCAAAGTGCTGGGATTACAGGCGTGAGCCACCGCGCCCGGCCTGGCAGGTTTTATATTGGACTGTGCAGTTCAACCTACAGGCCAGGAGATGGCACTTCGGGCTGAAAGTTGCCGGCAGCAGAAGCAGGTGGGCATGTACCTGATCTTGGTTTCCTGGGAGGTACTGTCTGTTGTTTCAGGTCATGGGCTGGAGCATGGAGTGCCCGGTGCCATGAGCTTCCTGTTCCCTGGGGTGGGGGACACGGCTGGGCAGAGCTGGAGCCCATAGCTTGCACAGGAATACCCCAATGATGAAGGCAGGCACCAGGCCGATGAGGGTGGCTGAGAGGAGCTCCAGGTGAAATGCGCTGAGGCCTCTGTGTAGGGCTGAGGGGTGAGGATATTGCACCGGCTCCTCATCTAGATTGGCAGGAACGTGAATCGTGTCCCTGTCACACCCCTATCGTGGGGTTCGTGGCTCCTAGTTCAGATGCACACTGTACTCCTTTCTTCTTTTTTTTTGAGATAGTCTTCTCCTGTCGCCCAGGCTGGAGTGCAGTGGCATGATCTCAGCTCACTGCAACCTCCGCCTCCCAGGTTCAATCAATTTTCGTGCCTCGGCCTCCCAAGTAGCTGGGATTACAGGTGCCAACCACCACGCCCGGCTAATTTTTGTATTTTTAGTAGAGACAGGGTTTCAGCCAGGCTGGTCTTGAACTCCTGACCTCAGGTGATCCACTCGCCTCGGCCTTCCAAAGTCCTGCGATTACAGGCGTGAGCCACCAAGCCTGGCCACTGTACTGCTTTTTTTTTTTTTTTTTTTTTTTTTTTTGAGATGGAGTCTCGCTCCGTCACCCAGACTTGAGTACGGTGGCACGACTTCGGCTCACTGCAACCTCCGCCTTCGGGATTCAAGTGATTATCCTGCCTCAGCCTCCCGAGCAGCTGGGATTACAGGTACATACCACCACACCTGGCTAATTTTTGTATTTTTAGTCGAGACAGGGTTTCACCATGTTGGCCAGGCTGGTCTCGAACTTCTGACCTCAAGTGATCCACCCACCTTGTGGCTCCCAAAGGGCTAGGATTACAGGCATGGGCCACATCACCCAGCCAGCACACTGCACTGTTTCCCAGGACCACAGTGTGGTGGAGAGCCTCGGGAAACGCCTGTTTCGTGGCTCTCTATGGAGTGGTTTTGGAGCTGCACATGGTCACTCAGCCTGGTCCAGGGAGATTTAGGGCTCACCTGGCCTCTCATATGGTGGCACTGCTGCTTCATGTAAGAGGGGCACCACCTCTGGGGCTGTGCAGGTGTGTGTTGTGGTGGTGGCCAGCTGGCTGGGCCCAACCTCAGGCCCTGAGGGAAGTGGTCGGGTACCAGCAGTGCTGGAATGGGGTGGGCAGTACCCCAATTCCCTGAGCCCTAGATGGCCCACTGGAATGCATGGATGAGTGAGTCCCATTGGGACTGGAATGGAGGTGGGGCTAGAGCAGCGTCCAGTGCTGACTCTGATGGTGGGGTACGGGCTGGTCCCCTGCTCACTGGCCAACTCTCCAGCGGGTGCAGGCAGAGTACTCCGGCGGTGGGAGCCTGGGGGGTGATCCCAGGCCTGTCGGATAGGGTTGGCAGACGGGCACTCTCTGGGTCACAGCTGAAACACCTGGGGAGTGTGGGGGTGGGCACCGGAAGCCAGGAGGTGGCAAGCCCCTCTGGGCAGGGAGCCTGTGGTAGACAGTCTGGAGCCATGGGAAAGTTGGGGCCCCAGCCTGAGGGCAGCAGTGGCAGGACCGCAGTGGCAGCCACCACGGAGGGCCTGTCAGTTACCTCTGGGAGTTTCCTGCCAGAGGAATGTGGAGGCCACCGACCAGGGTGCTGAGGCCAGGGTGGGTCAGCTGTGCTGGGGGCCCAAGCCGGTCAGCCTGGCCTGGCAAGGAGCAGCGGAGGCAAGGCCTGAAGCCCATCCATCCCCTCCTCAGTGCGATCCTAGTGTAACTTCGCCAGGGGTCCTTTCCACCCTCTGCATAAAGACAGACCAGGGCATGGCAGGAGAGAAAGAGTTTGACAGACACGAGGCCGGTCATGCCACGTGGGAGATGGAGTTCATACTCAAACCATCCAAGGCTCACAGGTTAGGTTTTCAAAGGCAGTTTGGAGGAAGTAAAATCAAAGGCAACTTGGAAGGGGTTGGGGGGGGGGTCCCCAGGTTACAGATGCTTGCTACTGATTGGTTGGGGCAGAGATGAACTCCTAGGCCTCCTGGGGGCCAATTCGCATTTAAGTGGGGCCACCGGAGCGGCATTGTTGGTCCAGGTGCAGCCGAGGGTGTCAGACATGCAAAAAACCTGGAAAGGTATCTCAAAAACCAACTGGGGAAGCTGTTTATCTTACAACTTCTGGAACGTCAGCGCCTTAGCTGGATTCAGGTTCCTTTCACTGCCTCAGCCTGATGGGCTCCTATTAGCTTTACAAAAGCAGTTGAGTTTGCAGTAAAGCCTATTATCATTTAAACTGTAGCCTAAATGTCTTCCAAAATTAGCTTGGCCCAACAGCCCAGGATTAATTGAGGGTGAGTTAGCTTAGTTTACTATTCGCATTTTCTCACTGACAGAACTTTCGTACAGGCGGCTTCACTAGCAGGCGGACAAAGAGCCTGGCCTTCCTTGTTGCTGGGGCTGTGGCAGCTGACAACAGGGTGCTCATGGGGTGTGCAGGGATCCAAGGCCTGTGGGGCTCCGCACGGGCTTGAACGGTGCTCTGCGGAGACTCCAGGCTGCCTCCATGTTGCTCTGGAAGCTCAGGGGGTCAGGGGGGCTCTTCTCCGCCCAGGATTGCAAAGGATTGTGTTAGAAGTGTGGGTCCCTGGCCGGGCATGGTGGCTCACATCTGCAATCCCAGCACTTTGGGAGGCCAAGGCAGGTGGATCACCCGAGGTCAGGAGTTCAAGACCATCCTGGCCAACGTGGCGAAACCCCCTTCACTAAAAATACAAAAGATTACCCGGGCGTGGTGGCGAGCGCCTGTAATCTCAGCTACTCGGGAGGCTGAGGCAGGAGAATCGCTTGAATCCGGGAGGCAGAGGCTGCTGTGAGCCAAGATCACACCACTGCACTCCAGCCTGGACGACAAGAGTGAGACTCCATTTCAAAGGAAAAAAAAGTGTGGGACCCCCAGGGACTCTCACTCTTACCCTTTCTCTGCATCAGGGAGCTTCCCCCAACTCCGCTGCAATCCCAGGAGGGCAGCTGCCCAACCTTGCCTGTTCTCCAAGTCCCACCGCAGCCCTGGTGAATCCCAGCATGGTGTTCTGGTCTATGCCCTTGAAGACCGGGCAGTTACCCTGTTTCCTCTCCATGAAAGCAGCGCACTGGGGGGAGGGGGGAGGGATAGCATTGGGAGAGATACCTAATGCTAGATGACGAGTTAGTGGGTGCAGCGCACCAGTATGGCACATGTATACATATGTAACTAACCTGCACATTGTGCACATGTACCCTAAAACTTAAAGTATAATAATAATAATAATAAAAAAGCAGCGCACACTAGCTGCGTCCACCAGCCATCATGAACTGCAACCCACAATCACATTTGTTAATAGTAAAATATTTTCATACTTTATTTTATTTGTATATTTTATATTAAGTTAATATTTTATTTTTATAATGATTATATGTTAATGTTTTCTATTGATTAATGTTAATATTTTGGGTATTAGAATGTGGGTATTTTGGGTTAGAATTTCAAGTTATTTTTGCTTTTTTTTTGAGAAGAGTCTCACTCTGTCACCCAGGCTGGAGTGCAGTGGCGCGATCTCGGCTCACTGCAAGTTCTGCCTCCTGGGTTCACGCCATTCTCCCGCCTCAGCCTCTGGAGTAGCTGGGACTACAGGTGCCTGCCACCATGCCCGGCTAATTTTGTTTTTGTATTTTAGTTTCACCGTGTTAGCCAGGATGGTCTTGATCTCCTGAACTCGTGATTCGCCCGCCTCGGCCTCCCAAAGTGCTTGGATTACAGGCGTGAGCCACCGCGCCCGGCCTATCTTTGCTTTTTTAATGTGGCTACTAGAAATATTAAAATTACATACTTGGCCGGGCGCGGTGGCTCAGGCCTGTAATTCCAGCACTTTAGGAAGCTGAGGCGGGCAGGTCGCCTGAGGGCAACCTGGCCAACATGTTGAAACTAAAAAATACAAAAATTAGCCGGGCGTGGTGGTGCATGCCTGTAATTCCAGCTATTCCGGAGGCTGAGCCAGGAGACCCCTTTGAGCCCAGGAGGCAGAGGTTGCAGTGAGCCAAGATTGCGCCACTGCATTCCAGCCTGGGCAAGAGCAAGACTGTCTCAAAAAAAAAAAAAAAAAAAGAAATTACATACTTGCTCTCATTGTATTTGTTTGGACAGCACCAGTTCTAGATACAAATGTGGCAGTATTTTTCAAAATCTTTTATTCTTGAGACAGAGTCTCGCTCTGTCACCCAAGCTGGAGTACAGTGGTGCAATCTCGGCTCAATGCAACCTCTACCTCCTGGGTTTAAGCGATTCTCCTGTCTCAGCCTCCTGAGTAGCTGGGATTACAGGCGTGTACCACCATGCCCAACTAATTTTTGTGATTTTAGTAGAGACGGATTTTCGCCATGTTGGCCAGGCTGGTCTGCAACTCCTGACTTCAGGTGATCCGCCCGCCTCGGCCTCCAGGGCTGGAACTATAGGCGTGAGCCACCGTGCCAGGCCAAAAATCTCTTAATGTCTATTCTTTGAGTCAACATTTCCACTTATTACACTGCTTTTTGTTTTTTGTTTTTTGTTTTTGAGACAGAATCTAGCTCTGTCACCCAGGCTGGAGTGCAGTGGTGCAATTTCAGCTCACTGCAACCTCCACCTCCTGGGTTCAAGCAATTCTCTGCCTCAGCCTCCTGAGTAGCTGGGATTACAGGCGCCTGCCATCATGCCAGACTAATTTTTGTATTTTTAGTACAGACGGGGTTTCACCATCTTAGCCAGGCTGGTCTTGAACTCCTGACCTCATGATTCACCCACCTCAGTCTCCCAAAGTGCTGGGATTACAGGTGTGAGCCACCGTGCCCGGCCACACCATTTTTATAGCATTAATTTAACTTTCTTCCATGATGTAGATACATGGACATTGTCATTTACCCAAGGAACTTCCTGTTATATCCTCAGGATCTCCTTAGTAAAAATTACACTGATCAGACTTTCTATGCAGTATGTGGCAAAACTCATGAGGATATCGGAGGAACAATCTACCTTCTCTCTTTTGCCAGACTGGACTGACAGTCATTCAGCTATAATGTAGCAAGTGAACTAGACAACTGAAACTTTAAATAAGGACACAAAATGAGAGAGTTAAGTATTTTGACAAAAGTCTTAGGTGAAATCAAGCCAACTGCTCTGCAGGCAGGGACTTTAATGGTAAGACACATCCTGAGTAAACAGGTAGAATGCCGTTGCGCTTCAAGCCATGCCGGGAAACAGAAGAGGAGCCGAGGTCAGGAAAGATTGAGGGCATCTGTGGAATTCGCAATTTTACTCAGGATGTAAGGTTAAGTCTTGCTAAGAATGTGACTTTCAGTAAAGATCAGATACAAGTGTCCTAGAAGACGCCAGAGAAAATCTGTTTGAAGTAAACATGATGGCCGGGCACGCTGGCTCACGCCTGGAATCCCAGCACTTTTAGAGGCCAGAGGCAGGAGGATGGCTTCAGCTCAGGAGTTCAAGACCAGCCTCGGCAACAAGGTGAAACTCCATCTCTACTGTAAATACAAAAATTACCCTGGTGTGGTAGCGCATGCCTGTATTCCCAGCTACTCGGGAGGCTGAGGCAAGAGGATCACTTGAGGCCGGGAGTTCCAGACCGCACCTGGCTATTTTTTTTTTTTTTTGAGATGAATTTCACTCTTGTTGCCCAAGCTGGAGTGCAATGGTGCAATCTCAGCTCACTGCAACCTCTGCCTCTGGGTTCAAGCCTCAGTCTCCCGAGTAGCTGGGATTACAGGCACCTGCCACTGCGCCCCAGCTAATTTTTTGTATTTTTAGTAGAGACAGGGTTTCGCCACGTTGGCCAGACTGGTCTTGAACTCCTGACCTCAGATGATCCACCTGCCTTGGCCTCCCAAAGTGCTGGGATTACAGGCATGAGCCACCGCACCCGGCCATTTTAAATGTTTTTACCACAAAAAAAAAAAAAAATGGCACGTAAGGCTGGGTGTGGTGGCTCACGCCTGTAATCCCAGCACTTTGGGAGGCCGAGGCGGGCAGATCATGAGGTCAGGCATTCGAGACCAGCCTGACCGACATGGTGAAACCCCGTCTCTACTAAAAACACAAAAATTAGCCGGGAATGGTGGGGCACACCTGTAATCCCAGCTACTCAGGAGGCTGAGGCAGGAGAATTGCTTGAACCTGGGAGGCGGAGGTTGCAGTGAGCTGAGATCACACTACTGCACTCCAGTCTGGGCGACAGAGGGAGACTCCATCTCAAAAAAAAAAAAGGTATGTAAGGTAATGAATACGTTAATCAACCTGATTTAGCAATTCCACAATGTATACATATTTCCAAGCTTCATGTATACCATAAACATACACAATTTTAATACATATAATATATGCAATTGTACACCATAAACATAGACAACTTTTATTTGTCAATTTTTAAAAATGTAAGTTTTTAAAGTTATTTTGGCTGGGCACGGTGGCTCAGGCCTGTAATCTCAGCACTTTGGGAGGCCGAGGCAGGTGGATCACTTGAGGTCAGGAGTTCAAGACCAGCCTGGCCAACATGGTGAAACCTGGTCTCTACTAATAAAGAAAAATTAGCTGGGCACAGTGTCATGTGCCTGTAATTCCAGCTACTCTGGAGGCTCACACAGGGGAATCACTTGAACCCGGGAGGCGGAGGTTGCAGTGAGCCAAGATCATGCCACTGCACTCCAGACTGGGCAATAGAGCGAGACTCTGTCTCAAAAAGAAAAAAAATCAAATCAAATAAAGATATTTTGTTAAGCTGGGTATGATGGGGTACCTGTAGTCCCAGCTGCTTGGAAGACTGAGGCAGGAGGATCACTTGAGCCCAGGAGTTCAAGTTCCGCCTGGGCAACAGAGCAAGTCCTCACCTCTATAACAAACAAACAAACAAACAAACAAACAAACAACAAAATAAAGTTTTTTAAAAAGTGTTTGCTCACTGGCAATGCACAAGGGGCTTTAAGTGTATCCCACCTTCATGCTCCACAGAGCTTCACACTTTCCCTTCATCCAGAGGACACCTCCAGTGGACTGGACCATCCCTTTTCCGTGGTTAAACTAATTCAGCAAGGGACTAGGGATGTTTTCATGAGGAGTTTGGGAGCTTGACGCTGGTGGCTGTTGATTGTTCTCCAAGCTGTGTGGGATCCCATATCCAAAATACATAGCAAATCCTAGCAGGGAAATGAGACAATGAAAGGAAATGTAGTCACCCCTTCCCTTATAAATGCCCTATAGCGATTATACTGTGGTTTGTTTATTTGGAGGTTTTCTTGTTTCTTTTATTTAGAAATAGAGCTTCGCTCCATTGCCCAGGCTGGAGTGCAGTGGCATGATCATGGCTCACTGCAGCCTCGACCTCCTGGGTTCAAGCGATCCTCCCACCTCAGCCTTCAGAATAGATGTGACTACAGGCAGGTGCCACCGTGCCTGGCTAATTTTTTTTTTTTTTTTTTTTTTTTTTTGAGACAGCATCTCACTCTGTCACCCAGGCTGGAGTGCAGTGGCACAATCTCAGCTCCTGTCGCCTGCGCTGGAGTGCAATGGCATGATCTCGGCTCACCGCAAACTCTGCCTCCTGGGTTCAAGCAATTCTCATGCCTCAGCCTCCTGAGTAGGTGGGATTACAGGCGCCCGCCACCACGCCCGGCTACTTTTTTGTATTTTTAGTAGAGATGGGGTTTCACCATGTTGGCCAGGCTGTTCTTGAGCTCCTGATCTTAGGTGACCCACCTGCCTTGGCCCCCTGAAGTGCTGGGATTATAGGTGCGAGCCACTGCGTGCGGCCAGTTTTTTATTTTGGTAGAGGTGGAGTCTCGCCATGTTGCCCAGGCTGGTCTGGAGCTCCTGGTCTCAAGCGATGCTCCTGCCTTCATCTCCTGAGTAGCTGGGACTACAGGCACACCCCACACTGTTAGCCTGAGACAGCTATAGGGAAAGGTCGCAGGAAGAGTGTTGGGCTCAGACACCCAAGAGGCCTCTTTTTTTCCAGGAAGCCACTCACCAATCAACATCCAGACTCCACATTGGGCCCAGGTCTCAGTGGTCATCTGCATCATCAGGTAAACATGTGCAGAGATGCTGACCAGAGGAGAACAGGCAACAGGGGGACCTGCAGGCAAAGCGTTAACCGTGAGCACACCACGAACGTCTGCAAGGGACCCTTATTCCAAGGGGTGGGAAGGCCTCAGCTCTGTTGCAGTCGCATATTCAATGCCTATTCTTTTTTTTTTTTTTTTGAGACAGAGTCTTGCTGTGTCACCCAGGCTGGAGTGCAGTGGCGCGATCTCAGCTGAATGCAACATCCGCCTCCTGGGTTCAAGCGATTCTCCTGCCTCAGCCTCCTGAGTAGCTGGGATTACCGGCACACACCACCATGCCCGGCTAATTTTTGTATTTTTAGTAGAACCGGAATTTCACCATGTTGGTCAGGCTGGTCCCGAACTCCTCGCCTCAAGTGATCCACCCGCCTTGGCCTCCCAAAGTGCTGGGATTACAGGTGTGAGCCACCTCACCTGGCTCAATGCCTGTTCTGAGTAGGTATTCCATTGGGTGTTCTGGAAGAGACAGGTTTTGGGAAGTACTGATATGTGGGGGCTGGAGGGGGTGTCCATGAACAGTCCATTGGTTTTTCGCAACTGCCCTTTTTACCCCTGGTCCCGTAGAGTATTTAGAGCTTGAGGCATGCAGAGTCCACTGACTCAGGAGGGTGGTGTGGGGACATAAGGCCACCTACCTTGAAGTAAAGAGGAGTGTTGCTCTGGGGCTGTCTCCAGACGGTGAAAGTGAATCCCACAATGAGCACCAGCAGCAACACAGCCGCTGCGATGTAGATCAGCTCTCCAGAGAACAGGCGTTTGGGCCAATGGGCCAATACCAGGCATAGCATGGACAGCAGGACAACTGGAAAAGGGTCAAGGTTGGGGAGAACAGGTTCAACTTCAGAAGCTAAATAAGTGAAGATCTCGGGCCACATCCTATCCCCCAAACCATATATATGGGTATGGGTGTGTGTGTGTGTGTGTGTGTGTGTGTGTGTGTGTGTGTGTGTGCCAGCCTCCCAAGTAGGGACTACAGGCACGTGTCAGCACACCCAAATACTTTTTTTTTTTTTTTGAGATGCAGTTTCACTCTTGTTGCCCAGGATGGAGTGCAGTGGCACAATCTTGGCTCACTGCAACCTCTGCCTCCTGGGTTCAAGTGATTCTCCTGCCTCAGCCTCCCAAGTAGCTGGGATTACAGGTAACTGCCACCACACCCAGCTAATTTTTTGTATTTTTTTTTTTTTTTTGAGAAAAAGTCTTTCTCTGTTGCCCAGGCTGAAGTGCAGTGGCGTGATCTTGGCTCACTGGAAACTCGGCCTCTCCGGTTCAAATAATTCTCCTGCCTCAGTCTCCCCGAGTAGCTGGGATTACAGGCGTCTGCCACCGTGCTCGGCTAATTTTTGTATTTTTAGTAGAGATGGGGTTTCACCATGTTGGCCAGGCTGATCTCGAACTCCTGACCTTGTGATCCACTCCCCCCCGGCACCCGGCCTCCCAGAGTGCTGGGATTACAGGCGTGAGCCACTGTGCCTGACCTAATTTTTTGTATTTTTAGTAGAGATGGGGTTTCACCATGTTGGCCAGGCTGGTCTCAACTCCTCACCTCAAGTGATCCACTTGCCTCAGCCTTCTAAAGTGAGCCACCACACCCAGCCTAAACTTTTAATTTTATATATATATATTTGTGTGTGTATATGTATGTGTGTGTGTGTGTATATATGTGTGTGTGTGTGTATATATATATATGGCTTTTTGTTTGTTTTTTGAGATGGGATCTCGCCCCATTGCCCAGACTACAGTGCAGTGGTGTGGTCTTGATTCACTGAAGCCTCGACTGCCCAGGCTCAAGCAGTTGTCCCGCCTCAGCCTCCCAAAGTGCTGGGATTCCATGTGTAATCCACTGTGCCCGGCCAAAAGTGCGCCTACTAAGAAGGGCCACCACATCTTCACAACTCCTCTCAACTACCAAAGCCCCACACTCCCTACTCGGCCCCCTGCCGCATGCTATCAGGTTCAAAACACCCCGCGGAGAAACGCCACTGCTCACCAAGCAGAAAGGCACATCCATAGACGATGCGGCCCCATCTCGGGGTGGGGATGGTGCTGACAGGGCTCCACAGACTCGCCGGAGTGCTGGACGCTTCAGGAACACATGCTGGGGATTCTGCTTTGGGTACAGAATTCATCTCAACTACTTCCTCCTTCGGCTTCTCGTTCTTGCTGAAATTCTCGTCTGGCTGGTACCTGAATTAGAGAGAGTAGGGCAAGATTAACCCAGGTCCCTGTTCATCCAACATCAGAGAGCCTAATACACCCACGGTAGCTCCCACGTATCTGAGGTTTCATCTACCCGTATCCACTACAGTCCAAAAATAGTAAATGGAAAAGTCCAGCAGTAATTTGTAAGTTTTCTTTCTTTTTTTCCTTTTTTTCTTTTCTTTCTTTTTTTTTTTTTTTGAGACGGAGTCTCACTCTGTCACCCAGGCTGGATTGCAGTGGCACAATCTCAGCTCACTGCAACCACCCCCGCCTCCCAGGTTCAAGCAATCTCCTGCCTCGGCCTCCTGAGTAGCTGGGATTACAGGAGACCACCACCACGCCCAGCTAATTTTTCTATTTTTAGGACATACCAGGTTTCACCATGTTGGCCAGGCTGGTCTCAAACTCCTGACCTCAAGTGAGCCACCTGTCTCGGCCTCCCAAAGTTCTGGGATTACAGGCGTGAGCCACCGCGCCCCGCCGTAATTGATAAGTTTTCAATTGTGTGCAGCTTCAAGTAGCGGCATTCCACGCTGCCCATGCCCAGGATGTAAATCATCCTTTTGTCCAGTGTGTCCATGCTGTGAACGCTACCGGCCGTGTTAAGTCACATTAGGCAACTGAGTTATGGATGGGAAAATGATCATGTATAGGGACTGGTACTATCCGCGGTTTCGGGCATGTACTGGGGGTCTTGGAACGTGTCCCCCGTGGATAAGCAGGGGCTGTTGTACTCCTCCCACTCCTGTATGTGTAGCAATGCACCGAGGGGCCAGGAGGCAGGCAGAAGAGGGCTGGGAACCCCATCAATCCTCACGTGTCTAGGACCCCAGTCTCACCTGAGGACAAGAACAGAAAAAGCCACCAAGGAGTAAGCAAGCATAGTCCCGATGGACAAGAGGCTCACAAGGTCACTGAACTCAAACAGGAAAGCCATGATTGCTATAGTCAGGGCTCAAAACAGGGTGAGTTCCAATGTTCCACAGCACTAGAGGGTGACTGTCGTTAACAACTTATAAGAGCTGGAAAAGCACTTTGGAAGGCTAAGGTGAGCGGATCACCTGAGGTCAGGAGTTCAAGACCACCCTGGCCAACATGGTGAAACGTCATCTCTACTAAAAATACAAAAATTAGCTGGGTGTGGTAGCACATGCCTGTAATCCCAGCTACTCCGGAGGCTGAGGCAGGAGAATCGCGTGGACCTGGGAGGCGGAGGTTGCAGTGAGCTGAGATCGTGCCACTGCACTGCAGCCTGGGCTACAGAGCGAGACTCTGTCTCCAAAAAAAAAAAAAAAGAGCTGGAAAAATAGGTTTTCAGTGTTCCCAATGCAAGGAAATAATCAATGTTTGAAGTGATGGTTATGATATTACCTTGATTTGATTATTACATCTTGTATACATGTATGGAAATATCACACTGTACCCCACGAATATGTACAATTATTGTGTTAATTAATAATAGGAATGTGGCCAGGTGCAGGGGCTCATGCCTGTAATCTCAGCACTTAGGGAGGCCGAGGCAGGCGGACTGCTTGAGCCCAGAGGTTCCACATCAGCCTGGGCAACACAGACCCCCGCCTCTACAAAATTTGAATATTAGCCAGGTGTGGTGCCACTGTACACTGGCATGGGTAAGAGTGAGATCCTGTCTCAACAACAACAAAAGTCAGATTATGTACATTTTCTTTAATTTTTTTTTTTTAAACAGGAATCATCATACCTCCCTGCAGCCCTAACCTGCTGCGCTCAAGCCATCCTCCCACCTCAGCCTCCCGAGTAGCTGGGACTACAGGTGTACCACCACACCCAGCTAATTTTTTTTTTTTTTTTTGAGACGGAGTCTCGCTCTGTCGCTCAGGCTGGAGGGCAGTGGCGCGATCTTAGCTCACAGCAAGCTCCGCCTCCCACAGCCAACTAATTGTTAAAAATTTTTTTGCAGAGACAAAAAAATGATCTCAGGGTCTGGCTATGTTGCCCAGGCTGGTCTCAAACTCCTGGGCTCAAGTGATTCTGCCTTGGCCTCCCAAAGTACGGGGGTTACAGGCATCAGGCACTGCACCCCGCCCCATTTTCTATATTGTATTGTATTGTATTTATTTTAATTATTTTATTTTATTTTGAGACAGGGTCTTGCTTTGTCACCCAGGCTGGCGTGCAGTGGTGTGACCTCAGCTCACTGAAGCCTCAACCTCCTGGGCTCAAGCAATCCTCCCACTTGAGCCTCCCCAGTAGCTGGGACTACAGGCACGTTCCAGCATGCCTGGCTAACTTTTTTTTTAATTTTTGTTGAGATGGAAGTCTCCCTGTGTTGCCCAGGGTGGTCTTGAACTCCTGGGATCAAGCAATCCTCCCACCTCAGCCTCCCAAAGTGCTGGGGTTATAGGCGTGAGCCACTGAGCCTAGTCCCATTTTCCTGTTAAACTTTTTATTAAATAAACTTTTGTAATAGCCAACTTTTTAAAAAAATTGATGAATAATAATAAAAGCAAAAATGGATGGGCTGTGGGGGAGGATGAGGAACTAACTCATAGAAAATGGATGAAAGAAAGCCTGGATTCTGGGCCTTTACCTGCAAGGGTCCCAGCAACGACAGTGGCCACCACAGGGGTGCTGGTGTGGGCGTGGATCCGGGCGAGTCCGCAGAAAAGGAGCCTGTCCTCAGCCATTGACTAGAGCACGCGAGGCGTGGGGAACGTGGCACCCAGGAGGCTGCATGCAGGAGAAAACGGGAACACGCATGGGGACTCAGGAAGCAAGAGGGACTGGGGCTTCTGCTCTGTCGCCTCCGTGGGTGAAACGTCTCCTCCCTTTACCAAGGCCCAGGACACCCGAGAACCAGACAGCAGACAGGGAGAGAGCATCCAGCACTGACCTGGAGGAAAGGGCACAGAGGGTGCCGACGGCCACAGCATATCTGATGGGGGCCCATCCAATGTGGACAAAAGCCTCCGGCAAGGGGTTCTCGGGACATATCAGGTAGTAGGGGCACTATGAGGGTGAGCGCCGCTGAGACACCAAAATAGGCCAAGAAGCAGATGAAGATCGAGGTCACAGTGCCCAAGGGGATGGAGCGGTGAGGGTGGAGGCGGTGAGGGTGGAGGGCTTCTTCTCCTGCGGGACAGGTATATGCACCGGGCGGTGAGGGTGGAGGGCTTCTTCTCCTGCGGGACAGGTATATGCACCGGGCGGTGAGGGTGGAGGGCTTCTTCTCCTGCAGGACAGGTATACGCACTGGGCCAGGAAAATGCACGGAAGTGAAGGTACAAAACCCTCTTCCCTCTTCCCCATCTGAGAACAGGGTAGCCTTTAATGAAACCTGTGCCCAGCGGCAGCCCAAACAGTGCCCAAACCCCCGATGAGACAGAATGACCGTGTTACCTGTGGTGGCAATGCCATCAAAACCCACAAATGCAAAGAAACACGTGGCCGCTCCATGGAGAATCACGCCAAAGCCAAAAGGCACAAACCCTCCAGAGCCCAGGGAGCCCGAGCTACGGGGACAGAAGGAACAAGAAACATTGGTAAGGTGTGCAGCCGTCTTTCTGGGACGACTCAGTTAACTCCAACTGCTCAGTTAATTCCACAAGCCCGGGGCCCCCACTGCCATCCCCACTCCCCATCATCTGGCTCCGTCAACCCAGATTCCCCCTATTCCCACAATAGTCCAGGTTCTGCACCCCAGGCCCCACTCCTGTGTCCAAGAGGGCACCTCTGGCCAGTTGCAATGGCTCACGCCTATAATCCCAGCACTTTGGGAGGCTGAGTCAGGTGGATCACTTGAGCCCAGAGGTTGAGACCAGCCTGGGCAACATGGCAAAACCCCATCTCTACAAAAATTTAAAAACTTAGCTAGGTGTGGTGGTGCACACCTCTAGTCCTAGCTACTCTAGATGATTGCTTGAGCCTGGGAGGTAGAGGCTGCAGTGAGCCATGATCGTGCTACTGCACTCCAGCCTGAGGGACAGAGCAAGACCCTGTTTCAAAAAATAAAAATAAGTTTTAGGCTGGGAGCAGTGAGTGGTTCACACCTGTAATCCCAGCACTTTGAGAGGCCAAGGTGGGCAGATCACCTGAGGTCAGGAGTTTGAGACCAGCCTGGCCAACATGGTGAAACCCCGTCTCTACCAAAAAAAAAAAAAAACCAAATTGGCCGGGTGTGGTGGCACGCACCTGTAATCCCAGGTGGCTGAAGCAGGAGAATCGCTTGAACCCGGGAGGCAGAGGTTGCAGTGAGCTGAAATTGTGCGACCGAAATTTGGCCTGGGCGACAGAGTGAGACTCCATCTCAAAAAATAAAAATAAAGGTAAATTTGAAAATAAAAAAACAGGCCAGGCACAGTGGGTCACACCTGAAATCCTAGCACTTTGGGAGTCAGAGGTGGACAGATCAATGGAGGTCAGGAGTTCGAGACCAGCCTGGCCAACGTGGTAAAACCCCATCTCTATTAAAAATACAAAAATTAGCCGAGCATGGTGGCAGGTACCTGTAATCCCAGCTACTCGGAGGCTGAGGCAGGAGAATCGCTTGAACCCGGGAGGCAGAGGTTGCATGAGCCGAGATCGTGCCACTGCACTCCAGCCTGGGTGACAGAGTGAGACTCCATCTCAAAAAAAAAAAGTAAATAAATAAATAAATAAAAATAAATAAAAATTAAAATTAAAATTAAAAAATAAAAAAAAATAAAATAAACCTGTGCCCTCACCTGTGGGTGTCGTTGGACCACCCCAGCTCGGCCCATTTGTAGTCGGCGTCTGTGAGCTGCCAGTTGTGCAGATCTCCCTTGATGAAGCCGGAGAAGATGACGCAGCTCAGAACCAAAAGGTTCACACCTGTGAAGACTTTGGAACCCCAGGCTGACTCCCGAGCTCCCAGAGCCAGCAGTCCTGTGGGAAACATGGAATATCCAGAATAAATAAACCCACAGAGACAGAAGGCAGATCCGTGGTTGCCAGGAGCCAAAGGGAATGGGGAACGACCGCCTAAAGGGTGCAGGGTTTCCCGCAGGGGTGATGAAAACGTTTCCCAATTAGATGGAAGTGGCAGCTGCACAATGCCGTGGATGTACTAAATGCCACTGAACTGCATGCTTTCAAATGGTTCATTTCAGGCCAGGCGCAGTGGCTCACGCCTGTAATCCCAGCACTCTGGGAGGCTGAGGCGGGCGGATCACGAGGTAAGGAGATTGAGACCATCCTGGCTAACATGGTGAAACCCTGTATCTACTAAAAATACACAGAAAAATTAGCCGGGCATGGTGGCGGGCGCCTGTAGTCCCAGCTACTCGGGAGGCTGAGGCAGGAGAATGGTGTGAAGCTGGGAGGCAGAGGTTGCAGTGAGCCAAGATCGCGCCACTGCACTCCAGCCTGGGCGGACAGAGTGAGACTCCGTCAAAAAAAAAAAAAAAAAAAAAGGAAAGAAAAGAAAGAAAGAGAAAGAAAGAAAGAAAGCGAGAAAGAAAAGAAAGACCTTACAATTCATTTGGAAACAAAAAGAGCTCAAATAGCAAAAGGAATCCTGAACAAAAAGAATAAAGCTGGAGACATCATGTTACCTGACTTCAAAACATATCAGAAGGCTCTGGTAACCAAAACAACATGGTATTGGTATAAAAACAGACATATGGCTGGGTATTGTGGCTCACACCTGTAATCCCAGCACTTTGGGAGGCCAAGAGGGGCAGATCCCTTGAGCTCAGGAGTTCAAGACCAGCCTGGGCAACATGGTGAAACCCCATCTCTACAAAAAATACAAAAATTAGCTGCGCATGGTGGCAGGCGCCTATAATCGGAGCTACCCAGGAGGCTGAGGCAGGAGAAGCGCTTGAACCTGAAGACTGAGGCTGCTGTGAGCCAAGACCACACCACTGTACTTTAGCCTGGGCGACAGAGCGAGACTCGGTCTCAAAAAAAAAAAAAAAAAAAAAAAAAAAAAAACAACCAAACCAGAAACAAAAAAAACCCCAAACATATAGAGCAATGGTACAGTATAGAAAATCCAGAAATAAATCCACGTGTGTACCGGCTGGCCACCGTGGCTCACTCCTGTAATCCCAGCACTTTGAAAGGCCGAAGTGGGCAGATCACCTGAGATCAGGGGTTCTAGACCAGCCTGACCAACATGGCAAAACCCCGTCTCTACTAAAAATCCAAAAATTGGCTGGGCATAATCCCAGCACTTTGGGAGGCCAAGGCGGGCAGGTCACCTGAAGTCAGGAGTTTGGGACCAGCCTGGCCAACATGGTGAAACCCTGTCTCTACTAAAAATACAAAAATTAGCTGGACGTGGTGGCACACACCTATAGTCCCAGGTACTTGGGAGGCTGAGGAAGGAGAATTGCTTGAACCCGGGAGGTGGAGGTTGTGGTGGGCTGACATCATGCCACTGCACTCCAGCCTGGGCAACAGAGCAAGACTCCATCTCAAAAAATAAAAATAAAAATAAGCCAGGGGTGGTGCCCACACCTGTAATCCCAGCTACTTGGGAGGCTGAGTGAGGAGAATCACTTGAACCTGGGAGGCAGAGGTTGCCGTGAGCCGAGATTGGGCCACTGCACTCCAGCCTGGGTGACAAGAGCAAAACTGTGTCTCAAAAAAAAAAAAAAAAATTAGGCGGGTGTGGTGGCATTTATGCCTGTAATCCCAGCTACTCAGGAGGCTGAGCCAGGAGAATTGCTTGAAACTGGGTGGCAGAGGTTGCAGTGAGCAGAGATCACACCATTGCACTCCAGCCTGGGCGACAGAGCAAGACTCTGTCTCGAAAAAAGAAAAAAGAAGAAGGAAAAAGAAATGATCCATGGGTGAGGGGTTGGATATCCTAGATGCCGTGACATGATGATCATTACCTACTCCATTCATGTATCAAAATATCACGTGCCCCATTAATATGTACAATTATTATGTATCAAATAAGAAAAAAGTTCCCTTCATTGGCTGTTTTAATTTTATACCACCCTAAGTGAAATATTGCCACTTAGAAAGCTTAGCTGCAGGTTTAGTAAATTATAGTGAAGAAACACACCTGAAGCTGGAGCTCTGCCGGGGGCAGGTGCAAGGGCTGATGTGGAGTCCCAGCTTGTCCAACCAGCGGCCCATAGGCTGCCTGCAGCTCAGGATGGCTTTGAATGTGGTCCCACACAAATTCAGAAACTTTCTTAAAACATTACGAGTTTGTTTGTGATTCTGGGTTTTTTTCAGCCCATCAGCTATCGTTAGTGTATTTTATGTGTACCCGGAGACAATTCTTCTTCTTCCAATGTGGCCCAGGGAAGCCAAAAGATTGGACACCACTGATTGTAGACAAATAAGGAGGCCACCTTCAGACAGAGCACTGTACGCTGTTTTGTTCTTGTTTTTCTTTGAGATGGAGTCTCGCTCTGTCTCCCAGGCTGGAGTGCAGTGGGACCATCTCGGCTCAATGAAACCTCCGCCTCCCAGGTTCAAACGATTCTCCTCCCTCAGCCTCCAAGTAGCTGGGATTACAGGCAACCAACACCATGCCTGACCAATTTTTGTATTTTTAGTAGAGACAAGGTTTCACCATGTTGGCCAGGCTGGTCTCAAACTCCTGACCTCAGGTGATCCAACTGCCTCGGCCTCTGAAAGCACTGGGATTACAGGCGCGAGCCACAGAGCCCAGCCACAAAGTGACCTTCTAAAAAAAACAAAAAATCCTTTTTGCAAGACAAAAAGTGCTCTCATGATAATTTTTTTAAATTTTTTTTTGAGACATGGTCTCGCTGTGTCACTCAGGCTGGAGTGCAGCAGGCTCAAGGCATCCTCCCACTTGAGCCTCCTGAGTAGCTGGGACTATAGTCCCACATTACCACACCCAGATAATTTTTGTATTTTTGGTACAGATGGGGTTTTGCCATGTTGCCTACACTGGTCTTGGACTCCTGGGCTGAAGTGATCCACCCGCCTCAGCCTCCCAAAGTTCTGGGATTATAGGCACGAGCCTCCGCGCCTGGCCCTAATATTTATGGTGGAAATAAGGAGATGATTGCGGTACGATTTCATGCCTTCCACAGTTTATTGACATAAAAAGAGATTTTTAAAAAAAACATTGACAATGCTTAAGGAGGAGAAGAATAACACGAACACACTTCATAGAATGCACTCTGTAGGCAAAGTACGTTAACCGAATAGTGAGTGAGTTCCAAATTTTTAAAGTCCTGTTGCTCACAGGATGGAGGAAGGACTATGTGAAAAGTAAAGTCTAATTCAAATTTGAGGTGAACTGGCTGGGCGCAGTGGCTCACGCCTGGAATCCCAGCACTCTGGAAGGCCGAGGCAGGTGGATCACCTGAGGTCAGGAGTTTGAGACCAGCCTGACCAATATGGTGAAAACCCGTCTCTGTTAAAAATACAAAAATTAGCCGGGCATGGTGGTGGGCGCCTGTAATCCCAGCTACTCGGGAGGCTGAGACAGGAGAATTGCTTGAATCCGGGAGGTGGAGGTTGCCGTGAGCCGAGATCGTGCCACTGCACTCTAGCCTGGGTGACAGAGCGAGACTCCACCTCAAAAAAAAAAGTAAGCTGGGTGGTGCAGTGGCTCACGCCTGTAAAACACTAACACATTGGGGGGCCAAGGCAGGAGAATCGCTTGAGCCCAGGAATTCAAGACCAGCCTGAGAAACATAGGAAGACCCCATCTCTACAAAAAATTTAAAAATGAGTGGGCATGGTGGCATACACCTGTAGTCCCAGCTAGTTAGGAGGCTGAGACAGGAGGGTGGCTTGAACCCAGGAGGTTGAGGTTGCAGTGAGCTATGATCCTACCACTGCCTGGACAACAGAGTGAAACCGGTCTCAAAAACAAAACACAAAAAAGCAGACAGCAGCATAGAAATAGGATTGGACGTGGCCGGGTGCAGTGGCTCACGCCTGTAATCCCAGCTCTTTGGGAGGCCGAGGCAGGTGGATCACTTGAGGTCAGGCGTTCGAGACCAGCCTGGCCAACATGGTGAAACCTCGTCTCTATGAAAAATACAAAAATTAGCCGGCCATGCTGGCAGGCGCCTGTAATCCTAGCTAATTGGGAGGCCGGGACAGGAGAATGGCTTGAACCCGGGAGGCGGAGGTTGCAGTGAGCTGAGATTGTGCCACGGCATTCCAGCCTGGGCAACAGAGTGAGACTCGGTCTCAAAAAGAAAAAAAGAAAAAAAAGACCCCCTCTCTATGTTAAAGAATATTTTTAAAAAAGGAAGAAAGAAAAGAAATAGGATTGGACAAAATGGATCTGATCTAAAGGTCATAGACTGCAGGGGTCGGGCGGACGGGGAACCCAGCAAACCTGTCTCTCTGCATTCCTCCTGGCCTCTCTGAGCAGCCTTCCCTCCTGCTGGGCAGAGGGCAGAAGCCTCTCTGGAATGAGGGTCATAGACCTAAAACCAAACAAGATAGGACAGGAATTCCTTTATGGTCAGTGTTTACAGGGAAGATGGAGGGAAAATTAGAGTCAGAGATTTTAGGTTTTATGGCAGGATTTGGGGAAAAGGGATTCTGGTGTCTATGGCTCACTTTGGGAAAGACAGTTTCTAGTTTCTATGGCTAGCCTTGGGGGAGAAGGAGGGTCAGGAAGAAACTTCCGCTTCTGAAGCTGCTTCGGAAGCCTTTGTTTTGAGGTTATCGGTTTCTGAGCCCCAATATTAGCCTGCCACAGTCTAAGCTTTCAAAGCGCCTGTCAAACTCTTGTGGATCTATGTATTTCAAAGACCAAAATCAACAGCTCACATATGGGGTCCAAGAGGAGGGGGGAGGTCACTGCACGTTGTCACGTGTGAGATCTTTGTTGTTGTTGTTGAGATGGAATCTCGCTCTGTCACCCAGGCTGGAGTGCAGTGGCACCATCTCAGCTCGACTGTAACCTTCACCTCCCAGGTTCTAGCAATTATCCTGCCTCAGCCTCCCAAGTATCTGGAATTACGGGTGCGTGCCATCATGCCCCGCTAATTTTTTTTTTTTTTTTGTATTTTTAGTAGAGACGGGGGTTTCACCATGTTGGCCAGGCCAGTCTCAAACTCCTGACCCCAAGGGATCTGCCCACCTCGGCCTCCCAAAGTGCTGGGACTACAGGCATGAGCCACCGCGCCTGGCCTCTTGTGAGATCTGATAAGAAGTCACGCACTAGAAGGAAGGGAAGAGTGTACTCCACAACCCCAAACGATGCGTTTGGAATCATTTCAAACCCACATAACAAGAGTTTCATACGGAATTGGGACAGAACATGGCCCCTAATGAGCCCCCCTAAATAATTCTCAAGGACCACTTCTCCAATGACGAAGGAGATTGAGGATTTTTTTTTCCTACGTTTATTGGCCGTGTGGATATTTTGCCTTTGTAAAATATGTGTCCAAGCCTTTTGCCCATTTCTCCAGTGGGTAGTATTTCCTTTGTTTTTTTTTTTTGAGACAAAGTCTCACTCTGTTGCCCAGGCTGGAGTGCAGTGGCCTGATCTCGGCTCACTGCAAACCCTGCCTCCTGGGTTCATGCCAGTCTTCTGCCTCAGCCTCCCAAGTGCTGGGACTACAGGTGCACACCACCACGCCCTGCTAATTTTTTGTATTTTTAGTAGAGATGGGGTTTCACCATGTTAGCTAGGATGGTCTCAATTTCCTGACCTCGTAATCTGCCCGCCTCGGCCTCCCAAAGTGCTGGGATTACAGGCGTGAGCCACTGCACCTGGCCTAAAAGAATCTTTAAATTGTCCATGAGCGATGGTGCGTGCCTGTGGTCCCAGCTACTTGGAGGCTGAGAAGGAAGGATCCCTTGAGCCTGGGAGTTTGAGGCAGCAATGAGCTATGCTCTTACCACTGCACTCCAGCCTGGGTGAAAGAGGAAGAAGACCCTTAATAGGCGGACCACGGTGGCTCACGCCTGTAATCTCAATACTTTCAGAGGCCTAGGTGGAAGAATTACTTGAGACCAGGAGTTCAAGACCAACCTGGGCAACATAGCGAGACCCTCATCTCTCCAAAAGTTTGAAAAAGAAAAAAAAAATTTTTAATGAAACAGAAGTCGTTAATTTTATTTTATTTTCTAAGACATCTTGTTATAGCAAAAAGTCCTTAATTTTAATATAGTCTAATTTATATATTTTCTTCATTGTAAAAATTTTTGGGTCCTATCTAGCAAATGTTAGCTTACCTCTATGTAATAAAGACATTCTTCTGTGTTGTCTTCTAAAACAAAACATTGTTTTATTTTCTGATTTTAGGTCTGCAGTTCATTTGTAGATTTTTGTGTCTAGGATTAGGTAGGGTTAAGATCATTTGTGGCCAGGCATGGTGGCTCACACCAGTAATCCTAACACTTTGGGAGGCTAAGGCAGGAGGATCTCTTGAGCCCAGGAGTTTCAGACCAGCCTGGGGAACATAGAAAGACCCTGTCTCTCTATTTTTTTTTTCAGTTAAATATATACTTTTAAAAAGATCATTTGTGGTGCTATAGTTGTGGGTGTTTAATTTGTAATTTACTTTGTTCTGTTGATCTATCTAATTTTTTTTTTAGACGGATTCTTCCTCTGTCACCCAGGCTGGAGTGCTTCAGCCTCTCAATGCCATCATGCCCAGCTAATTTTTTGGACTTGTAGTAGAGACAGAGTTTCACCATATTGACCAGGCTGGTCTCGAACTCCTGGCCTTAGGTGACCCGCCCACCTCAGCCTCCCAAAATGCTGGGATTATAGGCATGAGCTACTGTGTCCAGCCAGATCTGTCTAATTTTTTTTTTTCTTTGAGACGCAGTCTCACTCTGTCACTCAGGCTGGAGTGCAGTGGCGTGATCTTGGCTCAATGTAACCTCCACCTCCTGGGTTCAAGTGATTTTCCTACCTCAGCCTCCTGAGTAGCTGGGATTACAGGTGCGTGCCACCACGCCTGGCTAATTTTTGTATTTTTAGCAGAGACGGGGTTTTGCCATGTTGGCCAGGCTGGTCTCAAACTCCTGACTTCCAGTGATCCGCCCACCTTGGCCTCCCAAAATGCTAGGATTACAGGTGCGAGCCACTGTGCCTGGCCCAGAGCTGTCTAATTTTAAAGAATGTATGAAGATTCAGATTTAGGTTCCTGCTATTATGTTATGGGAAATCTTTTCCTAGTTTCTTCTGATTAATATAAATCCTTAATTTTATTTTTATTTATTTTTTTACTACAGTCCTCTTTTATTACTTTTTATTTTTCTTAATTTTAATATAATGAAAAGTTCGATTTTTCCTGTTATGGTTAGCATTTTTTTCTTCTGTTTAAGAGGTGTTTCCTGGCTGGGTGTGGTGGCTCACACCTGCAATCCTAGCACTTTGGGAGGCCAAGGTGGGAGGATCACTTGAACCCAGGAGTTCAAGACCAGCTTGGGCAACATAGTGAAACCCTTGTCTCCAATTTTTTTAAATTAAAAATTAAAAAAGGCGGGGCTGGGTGTGGTGGCTCACCCCTGTAATCCCAGCACTTTGGGACGCCGAGGCGGGTGGATCACCTAAGGTCAGCAGTTCGAGACCAGCCTGACCAACATGGAGAAACCCTGTCTCTACTAAAAGTACAAAATTAGCTGGGCGTGGTGGTGCATGTCTGTAATCCCAGCTATTCGGGAGGCTGAGGCAGGAGAATCGCTTGAATCCAGGAGGCGGAGGTTGCAGTGACCCGAGATTGCGCCATTGCACTCCAGCCTGGGCAACAAGAGTGAAACTCTGTCTCAAAAAAAATAAATAAATAAAAAATAAAATAAAAAAGAAGTGTTTCCCTAGCGTGAAGACATGAAGCTCTTCTGTAAACTTCATTGTTCTGCCTTTACAATTCAATCTACAACCCACTAGAATTAATCTTCCGTATATATAGCATGGGGTGGAGGTCAAACACCTTTTTTCCATATGGATGTTCAGCTGTCCCAGTGTCATTTATTTAAAAGACTGTACTGGACCTGGCATGGTGGCTCACGCCTGTAATCCCAGCACTTTGGGAGGCTGAGGCGGGTGGATCACTTGAGGTCAGGAGTTCGAGACCAGCCTAACCAACATGGCAAAACCCCATCTCTGCTAAAAATACAAAATTAGCCAGGTTTGGTGGTGCATGCCTGTAATTCCGGCTACTTGGGAAACTGAGGCGGGAGAATCCCTTGAACCTCATAGGCAGAGGTTGCAATGAGCCAAGATCGCACCATTGCATTCCAGCCTGGGCAACAAGAGCGAAACTCTGTCTCAAAAAATAAGAAAAAATAGAGGCCGAGAATGGCCCTTGCTGCCACCAACATGGAGACTTTGTACCGTGTCCCGTTCTTAGCGCTTGAATGTCCCAACCTGAAGCTGAAGAAGCCGCCCTGGCTGCACATGCCGTTGGCCATGACTATGTATGCTCTGGTGGTGGTGTCTTACTTCCTCATCACCAGAGGAATCGTTTATGATGTTACGGTTGAACCGCCAGGTGTTGGCTCTATGACTGATGAACAAGGGCATCAGAGGCCAGTAGCTTTCTTGGCCTACAGAGTAAGTGGACAATATTATTATGGAAGGACTTGGATCCAGCTTCCTGTTTACAATGGGAGGTTTAGGTTTCATAATCCTGGACCGATCGAATGCACCAAATATCCCAAAACTCAATAGATTTCTTCTTCTATTCGTTGGATTCGTCTGTGTCCTATTGAGTTTTTTTCACGGCTAGAGTATTCGTGAGAATGAAACTACCGGGCTCTCTGATGGGTTAGAGTGCCTTTAAGAAGAAATCAGGCTGGGTGCAGTGGCTCACGCCTGTAATCCCAGCACTTTGGGAGGCCGAGGCGAGCGGATTATCTGAGGTCAGGAGTTCGAGATCAGCCTGGGCAACATGGTAAAACCCCATCCCTACTACAAATACAAAATTAGCCAGGCGTGGTGACACATGTCTGTAATCCCAGCTACTCGGGAGGCTGAGGCAGGAGAATTGCTTGAACCCGGGAGGCAGAGGATGCGGTGAGCCGAGATCGCACCATTGCACTCCAGCCTGGACAACAAGAGTAAATCTCCGTCTCACCAAAAAAAAAAAAAAGAAAAAAAAAAAGAAATCAGTGCATACTGGATTTGCTCCTGTCAATGAAGTTTTAAAGGCTGTCCAATCCTCTAATATGAGATGTAGAAAAGAAGGAAGAGCAGCAGTAAAAGAAATATCTAGTGAAAAACCAGGAAGTGTATTGAAGCTTGGACTAGAATTTCTTCTTTATTAAAGAGACAAATTTATCACAGTATTTTCTTTTCCTGCTGACCACATTGCTATACCAATGATGATGAGTGGCATTTTCTTCTTAGTTTTTTATTTCTTTAAGAAAATACAAGCCAGGCGCGGTGGCTCACTTCTGTAGTCCCAGCACTTTGGGAGGCCAAGGTGGGCAGATCACGAGGTCAGGAGTTCCAGACCAGCCTGGCCACCATGTTGAAACCCCATCTCTACTAAAAATACAAAAATTAGCCGGGCGTGGTGGTGGCGGGGCACCTGTAATCCCAGCTACTTGGAAGGCTGAGGCAGGAGAATCACGTGAACCTGGGAGGCGGAGGCTGCAGTGAGCCTAGATCGCTGCCACTGCACTCCAGCCTGGGCGACAGAGCGAGACTCTGTTTCAAAAAAAAAAAAAGAAAGAAAGAAAGAAAAGAAAATATACTGCATACCTACAACTATAATAGCAAATATAGTGATTATTTTTTACAACCCCCTTAACACTTTTTGGAGATGACATTTCTGACTTTCAGAAATTAACATAAAATCAAGAAGCAAGATTCCATGAGCTGAGAACTCTGGACAGCTGGTCAGCTTTACCTACGGAGCTTTGGCTTTAACTAGAGTGTGTGATGGTAGATTATTTCAGATAGGTATGTAAGACTGCTGCCTGAACAATAACATGTATGAAAGGAACAGAAATAAATACTAATTAAAAAACAAAATAAGAAAAAATAAAAAATAAACACTACTATGGACATGGTAGCTCATGCCTGTAATCCTAGCACTTTGGGATGCCAAGGTGGGTGGATCGCTTGAACCAAGGAGTTCAAGGAGTTGGGAGACCAGTCTGGGCAACATAGCAAGACCCCATCTCTAAAAAAAAAAAAAAAAAAAGAGTACTAAAGACTCAGAGATAGAAAAATGGAAATTATTCATATTGTCTCCAGATTTTTTTTTTTTTGGACGGAGACTTGCTCTGTCACCCAGGCTGGAGTGCAGTGGCACTATCTTGGCTCACTGCAACCTCCACCTCCCAGGTTCAAGCAATTCTCCTGCCTCAGCCTCCCAAGTAGCTGGGATTACAGGCATACGCCACCAAACCCGGCTAATTTTGTACTTTTAGCAGAGACAGGGTTTTGCCATGTTTGTCAGGCTGGTCTTGAACCCCTGACCTCAGGTGATCCACCCGCCTCGGCCTCCCAAAGTGCTGGGATTACAGGTGTGAGCCACCGCGCCCAGCCAGTAGTCTTTTATCCTTGTAACAGATTAATCTTTTCTAGGGAAATGGAGACCTTTCATTTTCATGTCCTTTTTACATCCCTGTTGATTGTATCTCTGCCTCCATTCTGTTGATCGGAATGACACTAACTTAATTTGGGTTCTCTAAAGCAGACACTGATACAAAGGCTTCAGTTCCAGAGGTTTATTTAGAATGTGATCCTAAACCAAGAGGGAGGTAGCAGGGAGAGTAAGACAGGAAAGGATGGGGAGCCAACACCTTATCTAAGGACATGTTGAGGCCAGGCGTGGTGGCTCATGCCTGTAATCCCAGCACTTTGGGAATCCGAGGCGAGCAGATCACAAGGTCGGGAGTTTGAGACCAGCCTGGCCAACATAGTGAAACTCTGTCTCTACTAAAAATGCAGAAAACAGGCCGGGTGCGGTGGCTCACGCCTGTAATCCTAGCACTTTGTGAGGCCGAGACGGGCGGATCACCTGAGGTTGGGAGTTAGAGACCAGCCTGAGCAACATGGAGAAACCCTGTCTCTACTAAAAATACAAAAATTAGCCTTGCGTGGTGGTGCATGCTTGTAATCCCAGCTACTTGGGAGGCTGAGGCAGGAGAATCACTTGAACCTGGGAGGCGGAGGTTGCGATGAGCCGAGATCGTGCCATTGCACTCCAGCCTGGGCGACAAGAGTGAAACTTCATCTCAAAAAAAAAAAAAACAAAAAACAGAAAAAATTAGCTGGGCCTGGTGGCAGACGCCTGTGGTCCTAGCTACTCAGGAGGCAAAGGCAGGAGAATTGCTTGAACCTGGGAGGTGGAGATTGCAGTGAGCCGAGATCATGCCACTGCACTCCAGCCTGGGTGACAGAGTGAGACTCTATCTCAAAAAAAAAAAAAAAAAAGGATAAGTTGCTGAAGTCTGTGAAGTGGACAATGAGGGCTTGATTCCTTTGAAGCCTGTTGAAGACTGTTTACGCTTCCTCTTATCATCCCCTGCCTCATCCCCTGTCACAGAGATGAAAGACTGGGACATTTCTGTGCCAAATTTCATCCCACATTGGGTGAGGCTTTCCCTGAGACATGTTGACTTCCTGCAGTTCAAAGCTACTTTCTTCTTTAGACAGGGTCTCGCTCTGTCCCCCAGGCTAGAGTGCTATAGCGTGATCTCGCCTCACTGCAAGCTCCGCCTCCCGGGTTCAAGCCATTCTCCTGCCTCAGCCTCCCCAGTAGCTGGGACTACAGGCACCTGCCACCTTGCCCGGCTGTTTTTTTGTATTTTTAGTAGAGACAGGGTTTCACCATGTTAGCCAGGATGGTCTCGATCTCCTGACCTCATGATCCGCCCACCTTGGCCTCCCAAAGTGCTGACATTACAGGTGTGAGCCACCGTACCCGGCCTATTTTCTTCTTTAGACAGGGTCTTCCTCTGTCCCCTAGGCTGGAGTGCAGTGGTGTGATCTTGGCTCACTGCAACCTCTGCCCCCTGGGTTCAAGAGATTCTCCTGCCTCAGCCTCCTGAGCAGCTGGGATTACAGACATGCGTCACTATGCCCGGCTAATTTTTTGCATTTTTTGGTAGAGATGGGGTTTCACCATGTTGGTCAGGCTGGTCTCGAACTCCTGGCCTCAAGTGATCTGTCTGCCTTGGCCTCCCAAAGTGCTGGGATTACAGGTGTGAGCCACCCCGCCCGGGGCAAAGCTATTTTCCATTTTAAATTTTTTGTTATTGTTGTTTTGAGACCAAGTCTCACTCTGTTGCCCAGGCTGGAGTGCAGTGGCATGATCTCTAAATTTTGTATTTTTAGTAGAGACGGGTTTTCACCTTGTTGCCCAGGCTGGTCTCGAATTCCTGACCTCAGGTGATCCACTTGCCTCAGCCGCCCAAAGTGCTGGGATTACAGGCGTGGGCCACCATGCCCAGCCTGCCAAAGCTATTTTCTATGGGATAAATGACAGCAGAAAGGACCCCAGAGCAAAATACTACAAAGATGTATGGCACGTGCATGAGGTGAGAGTATGGTAGAATCAAGTGAGTCTCTGCTTTCATGAGACTGAACAGTGAGGCTCAGGTTAAAATTAGAGGTGTACAAGAGAGTATGATATGGACATCTGCTACTGAACAATCCTTGTGCTTCTTGAAAATGCTCATTTCCATATTTTTTATTTTTTATTTTTTTTCAGATACAAGGTCTCACTGTGTCACCCAGGCTAGATTGCAGGGGCACAATTAAGGTTCACTAAAGTCCCAACCCCCCGGGTTCAAGCAATCCTCCTGCCTCAGCCTCTGGAGTAGCTGGGACTGCAGTTGCATGCCACAGTGCCCGGCTAATTTTTTTATTTTTTGTAGAGGCAAGGGCTTGCTCTGTTGCCCAGATTGGTCTTGAACTCCTGGCCTCAAATGATCCTCCCACCCGTGCCTCCCAAAGTGCTGGGATTACAGGCATAAGCCACTGCACCCAGCCTCATTTCTATATGTAAGTTCATTTAGTCATTAAGTCTTGAAGCAAAGATCCAGCCACGATCTATATAAAATTTTCAATACAGGCCAGGCATGGTGGCTCACGTCTATAATCCCGGCACTTTGGGAGGCTGAGGCAGACTGATCACTTTAGGTCAGGAGTTCCAGACCAGCCTGGCCAACATGGTGAAACGCTAATACAAAAAATTAGCTGGGCATGGTGGTCAGCACCTGTAATCCCAGCTGCTAGGGAGGTTGAGGCAGGAGAATCGGTTGAACCTGGAGGTAGAGGTTGCAGTAAGTCAAGATCACGCCACTGCACTCCACCCTGGGAAACAGAGCAAGACTCTGTTCCAAAAAAAAACAAAAGGCAATCTTTCCTAGAAAAAAATAGTTTCTGCACATTCTTAGGCACGCATTTGTAGGCTGCTATAGCTATTTAAAATTTTCAATACAATATGTTTACCAGAGCAAACTACAATCCTCATTGTTATGTGGGCCCCAAACCATTACTGATACTCATCTGTTTCCCCCACGTCGTCTACATTTCCTCATGGTGGGCCAGTACTTCATTTTTTGTAACTCATTTGCCTGCTAGGGTGACTCAGGCCTTTGTTTCTGAGAGATCTGAGTCTGGTGTTGCTAGGAAGGAAAAGGTTAACTAGTCTATAATCCATTCTTTCTCCCAACCTGGTGATGTCTGAGGAGGCATCCCTTGGTCAAACTTCTTTGTAAACATGCTAATCAGATCTCATGGTATTTATTAGAGGAAAACAACCAGAGATTCTTATCTGTGAGATGCTTTCAGCAGGACATACTTGTTCTTTCTTGATGTCTTGCAGTAAACAAGGAATTTAGGGGTTTATGGGCATGAGCCACTGGAAAATGTCAGCGTCACATATTTAGTTAAGAGAGAGAGAGAGAGGGGCTGGGCGTGGTGGTTCATGCCTACAATCCCAGCATTTTGGGAGACTGAGGCAGGAAGATCACTTGAGCCCAGAAGCGTAAGATCAGCCTAGGTAACATAATGAGACCTCGTCTTATTAAGAGTCTGATTCTACCCTCCCTTGGTGTTATCTCAGTTACTGTACTTTTACAGGGCTGTGGTTGTGCAACTTCCTGCTGGGCATGGGGAATTCTCTGAGTTCCAGACAAGAACCTTCCTGCCCAATATGCAGCAGCAACCCAGTCTCTTCATAATGCTCGTGGTTGATTATCCATGCCCGCCAACTACCTCATTTCTCTGCCCAGTGCTTTATCAGCCTGAAGAGCCCACAGTCACCAGGCAGAAAACCTTACTGTGCTTCTTGGTGAAAGTGTTCCCTCTTCAAAAATGAAGACATCACGCCAGATAAGGTTTGGGGACTAGAAGCACAATTTCTTCAAGTGGGTCCCTAGACAGGATATTGATAAATGCCAATTCTGTTTCACTCCCTGGTAGCTACACCTGTATATTCTAACTACTAGGGTCACAGCCCCTTATATTGACTGTTGGTTATATGCAGATATTGCATCTTAGAGGACAGCACCCCAAACCCATGGGATGTTATACCTGGGCTGACACTTTAGTTGAGCCCTTTAAAAAGCCATTCCTGGGCCAAGCCCGGTGGCTCACACCTGTAATCCCAGCACTTTGGGAGGCTGAGGCGGGCGGATCACGAGGTCAGGAGATCGAGACCATCCTGGCTAACATGGTGGAACCCTGTATCTACCAAAAATACAAAAAAAATTAGCTGGGCCTGGTGGCAGGCGCCTGTAGTCCCAGCTATTCAGAAGGCTGAGGCAGGAGAATGGCGTGAACCCAGGAGGTGGAGGTTGCAGTGAGCTGAGACTGTGCCACTGCACTCCAGCCTGGGCGACAGAGTGAGACTCTGTCTCAAAAAAATAAATAAATAAATAAATAAATAAATAAATAAAAGGCCATTCCTGGCTGGGCATGGTGGCTCACGCCTGTAATCCCAGCACTTTGGGAGGCCGAGGAGGGCGGATCACCTGAGGTTGGGAGTTTGAGACCAGCCTGACCAACATGGAGAAACCCTATTTCTACTAAAAATACAAAATTAGCCTGGCATGGTGGCACATGCCTATAATCCCAGCTACTTGGGAGGCTGAGGAAGGAGAATCGCTTGAATCCGGGAGGCAGAGGTTGCAGTGAGCAGAGATTGCACCATTGCACTCCAACCTGGGCAACGAGAGTGAAACTCCATCTCAAAAAAAACAAAAAGCCATTCCTGGCCTGGCGCAATGGCTCACGCCTGTAATCCCAACACTTTGGGATTACGCTTGCCAAAGTAAGTGAATTACCTGAGGTCAGGAGTTTGACACCAGCCTGGCCAACATGGTGAAACCCCGTCTCTACTAAAAATACACAATTAGCTGGACATGATGGCAGGCGCCTGTAATCCCAGTTACTCAGGAGGCTGAGGGAGGAGAACCTCTTGAACCCAGGAGGCAGGGGTTGCAGTGAGCCAAGATTGCGCCATTGCACTCCAGCCAGGGCAACAAGAGTGAAACTCCGTCTCAAAAAATAAATAAATAAATAAATAAATAATAACCATTATGTTATCCCATGATGGCAGCTCTTTCTGTATAAGGTAATAAATATGCGATGTAAAGAGTGTATTTCATATTAATGCACTGATTGTTGTACCTTTTTTTTTTTTTTTTTTTTTTTTTTGAGACAGGGTCTTGCTCTGTCACCCAGGCTGGAGTGCAGTGGCGCAATCTCGACTCACTTCAACCTCTGCCTCCCAGGTTCAAGCAATCCTTCTGCCTCAGCCTCCTGAGTAGCTGGGATCACAGGTGCCCGCCACCACGCCCAGCTAATTTTTGTACTTTTTTAGTAGAGACGGGGTTTTGCCTGTTGCCCAGGCTGGTCTCAAACTCCTGACCTCAGGTGATCTGCCCTCCCTGGCCTCCCAAAGGGCTGGGATTACAGGCACAGGGAGCCACCATGCCCAGCTGTTTTTTTGTTTTGTTTTTTGTTTTTTTTGAGACAGAGTCTCACTCTGTCGCCCAGGCTAGAGTGCAGTGGCTTGATCTTGGCTCACTGCAACCTCGGTTCACTGAAGCCTCCCAGTTTCAAGCCGTACTCTTACCTCAGCCTTCTGAGTAGTTGGGATTACAGGCGTGAGCCACTGTGCCCAGCCTTTTGTTTTGTATTTTTAGTAGAGATGGGGTTTCACCATGTTGGCCAGGCTGGTCTTGAACTCCTGGCCACAAGTGATCCACCTGCCTTGGCCTCCCAAAGTGCTGGGATTACAAGGATGTTAGAAAATGGCTGGGCCTGGTGGCTTACACCTACTCGGGAAACTGAGGCACGAGAATCGCTTGAACCCGGGAGACGGGCATTGCAGTGAGCTGAGATCAGGCCATTGCACTCCAGCCTGGGCGACAGTCACAAAAAAAAAAAAAAAGAAAGAAAGAAAGAAAGAAAACACATCAATTCCAGGAAATACAAATCAGATGAGATCGGGCGTGTTCCCGGTGGTATGGTCACAGAAACAGGAAGCACAAATCAATCACCTCCACCACTGCCCTCTCCGGGGGAAAGGATGAAATGTAATCAACTTACCACTAACTAGTCAGTCATTCCCCTTAAAGGACAATAGCAGATCAAGGTGTCATCATGGGCTTTTTTTTTTTTTTTTTTGAGACAGGGTCTCGCTCTGTCGCCCAGCCTAGAGTGCAGTGGCACCACCATAGCTCAACCTTCTGGGCTCAAGCGATCCTCCTGCCTTAGCCTCTGGAGTACTAGGACTATAGGTGCATGCCTCCATGCCTGGCTAATTGAAAAATTTTTTTTGTAGAGACAGGATTTGGCTTTTTTACCCAGACTCATCTCAAACTCCTGGCCTCAAGCGATCCTCCCGCCTCGGCCTCTCACTGGTACTCTTATCACAGGCATGAGCCAGCGTGTCTGGCCCTGATCACAGCCAGAAACTCCCAGGCTGTGATAATGAGCTCAGCTTTCATGAGAGACAGCTCATGCTATTAGGCACATCCTTCGTCTCTTCTCCTGCTACCCTGCTACCGCGTCTCTGTTCATGGGTGCATTATACAAGCAGTGGTCTGAGGATAGAGCCTCAGTGATGCCCACTGCACAAGGCACCCTCTCTTCCTGGTTGCTCAGGATCTTCTCTGTGGTGAGCACTCCCTGGAGAACATTAACATGAGACACAGAGATCTCATGCCTCTGCCTCTTCTCATAATTCCTTTTTTTTTTTTGAGAGGGAGTCTCACCGTGTTGCCCAGGCTGGAGGGCAATGGTGTGATCTCAGCTCACTGCAACCTTCACCTTCCAGGTTCAAGTGATTCTCCTGCCTCAGCCTCCCAGGTAGCTGGGGCTACAAGTGTGTGTCACCGCACCCGGCTAATTTTTGTGTCTTTAGTAGAGACGGGGTTTCACCATGTTGGCCAGGCTGGTCTGGAACTCCTGACCTCAGGTGATCTGCCTGCCTCAGCCTCCCATAGTGCTGGGATTACAGGTGTGAGCCACTGTGCCCAGTGCCCCCCCTTTTTTGTGTGTGTCAGGGTCTCACTCTGTCACCCAGGCTAGAGTGCAGGGGCATAATCTCGGCTCACTGCAACATCTGCCTCCAAGGCTCAAGTGGTCCTCCCACCTCAGCCTCCTGAGTAACAGGGACTACAGGCACGTGCCACCAAACCCAGCTAATTTTTTGTATTTTTGGTACAGACGAGACTTCACCATGTTGCCCAGGCTGGTCACAAACTCCTGACCTCAAGCGATCCACCAGCCTTGGCTTCCCAAAATGCTGGGAATACAGACGTGAGCCACCGTGACTGGCCCCAGCTAATTTTTGTATTTTTAGTAGAGATGGGTTTTCACCATGTTGGCTAGGCTGGTCTCACACTCCTCACCTCAGGTGATCCACCTGCCTCTGCCTCCCACAGTGCTGGGATTACAGGCATAAGCCACCACGCCCCACCGTGAGACCCCCATCTCTACAAAAAAAGTTTTAATTAGCTGTGCATGGTGGCAGGCACCCTAGTCCCAGCTACCTACTGAGGAGGCTGATCGCTTGAGCCCAGGAGGTCAAGGCTGCAGTGAGCTGGGATCACAGCACTGCACTCCAGCCTGGGAGACAGAGGGAGACTCTATCTCCAAAAAGAAAAAAAGACTAGAGATTGTGCCCCAGGCACAGATCATATTAATCCCAGTGATATTCTGGGAGTGGTGGCCAGACTCCTTCCCAGGACTGGTCTTCCGGTTTGGCAATGAGTGTTAGTCAAGGCGTGAGGTTCTCATGGGCCGTCTCAAGCACTCTGTTCGACATCTTTTTACTCTCTCCCAGGCTGGGGTGCAGTGGCGTCATCTTGGCTTACTGTAGCCTCCGCCTCCAGGGTTCAAGCAATTCTGGTGCCTCAGCCTCCCGAGTAGCTGGGATTATAGGCGCCTGCCATCACGCCTGGCTAATTTTTTTTGTATTTCTAGTAGAGTCAGGGTTTCACTATGTTGCCCAGGCTGGTCTTGAACTCCTGACCTCAGGTGATCTGCCTGCCTCGACCTCCCAAAGTGCTGGGGTTGACTGCTCGTGGCCCCTCTGTTGCACATCTTGACTTCTCAGCCTCCAAGGTGATTCTTTAGGACACCAATTTAATCCCTCTAAACATGGCAACAGAGCCAGCGGTTTCCAGCCCTATTTGCGCAGTAGAAGGATTATTTACAAATCCTCGTACTTAGACTCCACCCGCAGAGATTCAAGTGGACTGAGCCTGGAGTGAAGCCGAAGGCATTTTCTTATAATCCTGAGAATGATAATATACAGCTGTCTTTGAAAACCACCACTAAGACTTGTAAACTTTGTTCATTCAAGTCTTCTTTTCTCCCCTTAAAAGCAGGCTTATCCTTGAGGTGTGCTTTTTCAGACTCCAGTAAGCATCACTGAGAACACTTAATTAATATACTGAGGCCTCTCACAAGAGGGAAGGAGTGGAAGAACTCCTGGAGAAGGACTTGGAAGGGAGAGATGTTTTTCTTTCTTTCTTTCTTTTTTTTTTTTTTGGAGACAGAGTTCACTCTTATTGCCCAGGCTGGAGTGCAATGGCGTGATCTTGGCTCACTGCAACCTCTGCCTCCCAGGTTCAAGCAATTCTCCTGCCTCAGCCTCCCCAGTAGCTGGGATCACAGGCGCCTACCACCATGCCCAGCTAATTTTTGTACTTTTTTAGCAGAGACGGGCTGTCGCCACGTTGGCCTGGCTGGTCTCGAACTCCTGACCTCAGGTGATCCGCCCACCTCGGCCTCCCAAAGTGCTGGGAGTACAGACATGAGCCACCGTGCCCAGCCAAGATGTTTTTCTTAACACAAAAAGTTTTTGTCTGGGTGTGGTGGCTCACGCCTGTACTCCCAGCACTTTGGGAGGCCGAGGCGGGGAGATCACTTGCAATCAGGAGTTCGAGACCAGCCTGGCCAACGTGGCAAATACAAAAATTACCTGGGCATGGTGGCGCTTGCCTGTAATCCCAGTTATTTAGGAGGCTGAGGCAGGAGAATTGCTTGAATCCGGGAGGCGGAGGTTGCAGTGAGCTGAGATCAAGCCACTGAACTCCAGCCTGGGCGACAGAGTAAGACTCCATCTCAAAAATAAAAAAAAATTTCTAAAGCAAGCGCTTGGGCTGTTCTGATGTCAACATACAGTAGCTGGCCCTACCTTTAACCCAGGATAAGGGGCAAAAGTATACCCAAAGATACATGTAATCAAAGTTGCTGGGTGCAGTGGCCCACGCCTATAATCCCAGTGATTTGGGAGGCTGAGGTGGGAGGATTACTTGATCCTGGAGGTTGAGACCAGCCTGGGTAACACAGTGAGACCTTGTCTCTGAAACCTAAAATAAAATAAAATAAAATACCACTGTGCTCTATCCTGAGCAACAGAGCAAGACCCTGTCTCAAATATAATAAAAATAAAAATAATCAGTCCTTGGGTTTAGCATCTTTGGACTAATGGTACCAGCATGAGGGAAAGCAGGTCTTTGTAGCTCTGATAAGTGAACTTTGACACTTCTTAGTGTTTTTCTCTAACTGTGGTGACATACGAATAACATATAATTAACCATTTAAAAATAAGCGGTTCGGTGGCATTTAGTACATCACAGTGTTGTGCAACCACCACCTCTAGGTAGTTCCAAAACTTTTTCTTTCTGTTTTTTTTTTTGAGACAGAGTTTCGCTCTTCTTGCCCGGGCAGGAGGGCAATGACACGATCTCCACTCACCGCCACCTCTGCCTCCCAGGTTCAAATGATTGTCCTGCCTCAGCTTCCCGAGTAGCTGGGATTACAGGCATGTGCCACCGCACCCGGCTAATTTTGTATTTTTAGTAGAGATGAGGTTTCTCCATGTTGGCCAGGCTGGTCTCAAATTCCTGACCTCAGGTGATCCACCCGCCTCGGCCTCTCAAGTGCTGGGATTACAGATGTGAGCCACCATGCCTGGCCCCAAAACACTTTCCTAACTCTAAAATAAAGTCCCATAAGCAGGTATTCCCCACTCCCTCCTCCTCCCGGCCTGTCCATCCACAAATGAATGGATTAAACAATATGGTTTATCCATACAATGGAGTATAATTCAGCTGTAAAAGGGGCTTGGCGCAGTGGCTCACACCAGTAATCTCAGCACTTTGGGAGGCCGAGGCGGGCAGATCACTTGAGGCCAGGAGTTTGAGACCAGCCTGGCCAACATGGTGAAACCAGGTCTCTACTAAAAATACGAAAATTAGCCAGGCGTGTTAGTGCACACCTGTAATCCCACCTACTCAGGAGACTGAGGCATGAGAATCACTTGAATTTAGGAGGCAGAGAAGTTGCAGTGAGCTGAGATCCTGCCACTGCACTCCAGCCTGGGCAACAGAGCAAGACTCTGTCTCAAAAAAAAAAAAAAAAAAGAGGAATGAGATACCGACACATTATACCATGAGGATAAACCTTGAAAACAACATGCTCAGTAAAAGAAGCCAGCACACAAAAGGTTACATATTATATAATGTAATTTTATTTTAGTTTTTGAAAAGCTGGTCTCCTGGGCTCAAGCGATCCTCCCTTCTTGGCCTCCCAAACTGCTGGGATTACAGGTGTGAGCCACTGTGTCCGGCCTATGATTTTTTTTTTTTAATGAAATACCTGGAAAAGATAAATCCAGAGAAACAGACGGCAGATTACAGGCTCTTTTTAAATTGGTTTCTGACACTATCACAAGATAAAAATGTGGTTTAAAATTGTTGCTTGGTATGTCTTATTCACCTCTAAAGATATACTGTTCATCAGGCCGGGTGCAGTGGCTCACACCTGTAATCCCAGCACTTTGGGAGGCTGAGGCGGGAGGATGGCTTGAACCCAGGAGTTCTAGGCTGTAATGTGCTCTGCCAATTGGGCATCCACACTAAGTTCGGCATCAATATGGTGACCTCCCACCAGGTTGCCTAAGAAGTGGGGAAATGGTCTAGGTTGAAAATGGAGCAGGTCAAAATTTTCATGCTGGCTGGGCACAGTGGCTCACACATGTAATCCCAGCACTTTGGGAGGCCAAGGCAGATGGATCACCTGAGGTCAGGAGTTTGAGACCAGTCTGGCCAACATGGTGAAACCCTGTCTCTACTAAAAATACAAAAAAAAAAATTAGCTGGGCATGGTGGCATGTGCCTATAATCCCAGCTATTTGGGAGGCTGAGGCAGGAGAGTTGCTTGAACCCAGGAGGCAGAGGTTGCAGTGAGCCGGGATCACGCCACTGCACTCTAACCTGGGCGACAGAGTGAGACTCCATCTCAAAAAAAAAAAAAAAAACTTTCATGCTGATCAGTAGTGGAATCAGCTTGTGAATTGCCCTCCAGCCTGAGCAACACAGACTGCCTCTTACTAATCCCAGCACTTTGGGAGGCTGAGGTGGGAGGATGGCTTGTGCCTAAGACTTTGAGACTAGCCTAGCCAAAATCCCTTCTCTACAAAAAATGCAAAAATTAGCTGGGTATGGTAGTGTGCACCTGTAGTCCCAGTTACTCAGGAGGCTTAGGTGAGAGGCTCACCTAGGCCCAGGAGGTTAAGGCTGCATTGAGCTATGATTTTGCCACTGCACTCCAGGCTGGGCCTAGGCCTTTGTAGTCACAGCTACTTGGGGGCAAATGTAGGAGGATCACTTGAGCCCAGTAGGTCGAGGCTGCAGTCAGCTGTGTTTTTTGAGACATAGCAAGACCCTGTCTCAAAAAGAAAAAAAAAAGTAGCTACAAGCTCATTTATGCAAAGGCTAACCACTGTCACAAGTAGAGATGTGCAGAACTGAGATTCAAATGGATGGAATGGCAAGAAAAACTGCCACTTCTGTGAACCTGAAGTCAAACTGCCCTTGTCGTCAAGATAAAAGGTATACATGGTGTGAGCCTGGGCATCTGAAAGGTGTTGCAGCTTTTTCTTTTATTTTTTTGAGATGGAGTCTCACTCCTGTCACCCAGGCTGGAGTGCAGTGGTGCGATCTCAGCTCACTGCAACCTCTGCCTCCTGGGTTCAAGCAATTCTCCTGCCTCAGCCTCCTGAGTAGCTGGGATTACAGGTGCCCACCACCACACCCAGCTAATTTTCGTATTTTTAGTAGAGATGGGGTTTCGCCATGTTGGCCAGGCTGGTCTCGAACTCCTGACCTCAGGTGATCCGCCTGCCTCAGCCTCCCAAAGTGCTGGGATTACAGGTGTGAGCCACCTGTAATTAGCCAGGCTTGGTGGTGGGTGCCTGTAATCCCAGCTACTGGGAAGGCTGAGGCAGGAGAATTGCTTGAACCTGAGAGGCGGAGGTTGCTGTGAGCCGAGATCGTGCCACTGCACTCCAGCCTGGGTGACAGAGTGAGACTCCATCTCTAAATAAATAAATAAATAAATAAAATGAGATGATTTCTGAGTGAGTTAACTAAATCAGGATATGCAGAACAATGCCAAGCATATATTAGCCACTAAAGAATATATAAGTTGCCTGAAAGCCCCTTTAGGGTTTAAACCTGGACTTCATTATTCACAATCACATTCCCGGTCCCCATTACGGAGCCTGGTCACCTGGGTGCTTGTTAGATATGGAAATCATCAGATCCCACCCCAGACCGAGTCAGAAACGTTGAGGGCAGGAGTTCAAGACCAGCCTGGCCAACATGGCGGAAACTCCGTCTCTACTAAAAATACAAAAATTAGTCAGGAGTGGTGGCACAGGCCTGTGATCTCAGCTACTCGGGAGGCTGAGACATGAGAATCCCTTGAACCTGGGAGGCAGAGGCTGCAGTGAGCCAAGATGGTGTCATTGCGCTCCAGCCTGGGTGACAGAGTGGGACTCTGTCTCAAAGAAAAAGAAAAAAAGAAAAGAAATTGCAGCTTCTGCTCAGGAAGTCTGGAGTGGGCCAGGATTCTGCATTTTAACAACTCCCAGGAGTGTTAGTGGGGCTGGTTTGTGGACTCGCCTTTGAGTCGTTGGTCTCCGCTCAATCAATATTAGATAAAATGACAGTATTGGGAGAAATCCAGGGGGCTCTGGAGGACCGAGGGATCATATTGGAGGCAGATAGGGCAGAGAAAGGTGGAGGAGGTGGGAGTCGGGTGTGGCTGTGGAGGAAGCTACTTAAATCCGGATTTGATCTTTGCTAGTTCTTATCCCTGGACCTGAACCCAGGCGCACATCTGGATTAGAAGATGCCAGGCTCAGAGGATCTTCGTAAAGGTAAGCCAGAAAAAATGAGAACCGAAGCAAAGACACGTGAAGAAGTGGAAAGCAGCTGGCGGCGGGAAAAGGCAGAGGGACCAGGCGGCCGAAGCTGGTGCTTCGTCCACGTGGGTGGCAGGGACTTCCCACAGAGGCTGTCATCGTTTTTGTTGTTGTTGTTTTGTTTTGTTTTGTTTGTCTTTTGAGACAGTCTCACTCTGTCGCTCAGGCTGGAGTGCAGTGGCACGATTTCGGCTCACTGCAACCTCCACCTCCCAGGTTCAAGCAATTCTCCTGCCTCAGCCTCCCGAGTAGCTGGGATGACAGGCACACGCCACCACACCTGGCTAATTTTTTTTTTTTTTGTATTTTTAGTAGAGCCGGGGGTTTCACCATATTGACCAGGCTGGTCTCGAACTCCTGACCTTGTGATCCGTCTGGCTCAGCCTCCCAAAGTGCTGGGGTGACAGGCGTGAGCCACTGCACCCGGCCCAAGTTTTGTATCTTTATAGAGATGGGGTTTCACCATGTTAGCTAGGTTGGTCTCAAGCCCCTGACCTCATGTGATTGGCTGGCCTCGGCCTCCCAAAGTGCTGGGATTACAGGCATGAGCCTCGGTGCCCGGCCGCGGCTGTCATCTGACAGCACAGGCAAATGCAGGGAAGCCTGTTTCTGCCTTCAAATCCGAAATCTTCTCCCTCGTAGTTGTGTCCTAATTCTTCCCACCCCGATGCTTGTTCTTGAGCACAGGGGAATCTGATTCCTATGAGGATGATTAGGTCCTAGATAGAATATAGGCTTAGCCAAGCTGGAAATCTCATGTTCATGAGCACTTACTAGACTCTGGAGCTGCTGCCAAACCATTTTCAGGCATGATGCGATTCAGATCTTTTAGAGCGAGGCATGCGGTGGCTCATGCCTGTAATCCCAGCACTTTGGGAGGCCGAGGTGGGCAGATCGCTTCAGCCCAGGAGTTCAAGACCAGCCTGGGCAACAAAACAAGACGTTGTCTCTACAAAAAATACAAAAATTAGCCGGGCATGTCAGTGTTGTGTAGTTCCAGCTACTCGGGAGGCTGAGGTGAGAGGATCGCTTGAGCCTGGGGAGGTTGAGGCTGAAGTGAGCTGTGATCATGCCACTGGGCAACACAGCAGTACACTGTCTCAAGAAAAAGAAAGTAAAAGGTGACATCCGTGACAGCAGTGATGTTATTTTTCTGCTTATTTCCTTGCTATATTCCTAAAAGAATATACTTAATGAACATTGAATAAATGATAAGAATAAAACCATGTCCATCCATTTCACCTTGGATTGAGTTGCCTATTTCTACACAAAGAAAATAGAACCCAAGAGGTAAGGCACAAGCGATCCCTTATTTACGTATTTATTTATTTATTTATTTATTATTTTCTTGAGACAGGGTCTCCCTCTGTCTCAGGCTGGAGTGCAGTGGCATAATCTCGGCTCACCACAGCCTCTGCCTCTGAGGTTCAAGCGATTCTCCTGCCTCAGCCTCCCGAGTAGCTGGGACTACAGGCGTGCACCATCACGCCCAGCTAATTTTTGTACTTTTAGTAGAGACAGGGTTTCACCATGTTAGCCAGAATGGTCTTGATCTCTTGACCTCATGATCCGCCCGCCTTGGCCTCCCAAAGTGCTGGGATTACAGGCATGAGCCACTGTGCCCGGCCAAATTTTTGTGTTTTTAATAGAGATGGGGTTTCACCATGCTGGCCAGGCTGGTCTCAAACTCATGACCTGATATGATCTGCCCGCCCTGGCCTCCCAAAGTGCTGGGATTACAGGCGTGAGCAAGGGATCCCATATTTAAATGATAACAGAAAAAAAGGATGGAGGAACCAAGGGGGAAAGGAACAACCTTTTCCTATGAAAATGACAAATGAGGCTTGGAAAAACAAGGACAAAAGGCAGATCAAGTTGTCCTCCCGCTTCAGCCTCCCACAGTACTGGGACTGCAGCCTGAGGCACGACCCCGGCCAGCAGTGTCTCCATATCTAAGAACCTCAGTCACGGCCGGGCACAGTGGCTCACGCATGTAATCCCAACACTTTGGGAGGCCGAGGCGGGTGGATCACCTGAGGTCAGGAGTTCGAGACCAGCCTAGCCAACATGGTGAAACCCTGTCTCTGCTAGAAATACAAAAATTATCCGGGCATGGTGGCGTGCGCCTGTAATCCCAGCTACTCGGGAGGCTGAGGCAGGAGAATCGCTTGAACTCAGGAGGTGGAGGTTGCAGTGAGCTGAGATTGTGCCACTGCACTCCAGCCTCGGTGACAGAACCTCAGTCACTTGATCATCACGTTGTACCTCAGTGGAAAGGAAAGGAAAGCTCAGGCTTTTGAGAATGGAGTTGTTAGCATTTCCCATTTGTGTCTTTTTCCTCCTCTTTCAAGGCAAGGACCAGATGCATTCACACAGGAAACGAACCATGTTCACTAAGAAGCAACTGGAAGATCTGAACATCTTGTTCAATGAGAACCCATACCCAAACCCCAGCCTTCAGAAAGAAATGGCCTCGAAAATAGACATACACCCAACAGTACTGCAGGTTGGAAAATGATCCCTCTTCTCACTAAACTGCCTTCCTGATCTAATCTAAATTCAGAGTCCCTCTAGGATAATTCCTGAGGTCTCATTCCAATCGCCAATATTCCCCAAACCCACACTCTCCTACTCACGTCCCCGTAAACCTTTCTTCAACCCCCTAGAGCAAGAATGGGAAAATTTTTCCAGTAAAGGACCAGGTAGTAAATAATTGAAGCTTTGTGGGCCATACCGTCTCTCTAGCAACTATTTTAACTATGCCACCACAGTGCGAAGGCAGCCACAGACAACGTAAACAAGAGGCCCATCTGTGTTCCCAGAAACTCTTTTACTCAGGTTGGAGCACGGTGGTGCAATCACAGCTCACTGCAGCCTCGACCTCCCGGGCTCAAGCAATCCTACCACCTCAGCACCCCAAGTAGCTGGGACTACAGGTCTACAGGTGCACACTACGCCTCCCAAAGTGTTGGGATTACAAGCATGAGCCCGGCTGTATTTTATTTTTTGTAGAGATGGGGTTTCGCTATATTGCCCAGGAGGCTGATCTTGAACTCCTGGTCTCAAGTGATTCACCTGCCTTGGCCTCCCAAAGTGTCAGGATTATAGGCATAAGCCACTGCGCCTGGCCTGAAGTTTATACAATTTTCACATTACAAAATAGTGTTGTTTTGTTTTGTTTTAAGACAGGGTGTTGCTCTTGCCCACATTGGAGTGCAGTGGCACGATCATAGCTCACTGCAGCTTTGAATTCCTGGGCTGAAGCCATCCTCCCACTCAGATTCCCAAGTAGGTGGGACTACAGGTGTGTGGTACTACAGCCTCCCGAGCAGCTGATACTACTGGTGTGTACCACCAGGCCCAGCCAATTTGTGTGTTTTTTGTAGAGATGGGGTTTCGTCATGTTGCCCAGGCTGGACTCAAACTCCTGAAATCAAGTGATCCACCCACCTCAGCCTCCCAGAGTCCTGGGATTATAGGCATGAGCCACTGTGCCTGGCCAGTAGTATTCTTTTATTTTCTCTCTTTTTTCTTTCAGTCCCAACACACATACAACACAAAATAGTACTCTTATTGTGTTTGTTTTTTCTCAACCATTTTAAAACGTAAAGCCTATTCTTAGTGCATGGGTGATACAAAGACAGGGGGTGGTCAGATTTGGCCACCAGCCTTAGCTGGCTGGCCTGAGCCCCAGAGCAGCCCCTGCGACTGATCCCCTTGCTCTCCTATCCCCTGCTCTGGGTTTTCTGACCCCTGTCTCAATTTCTGTCCCCAAAATCTCTCATTTCTGCTCCTTCCTGGGAGTAGATTGAGTAGGGTTCCACAAAGAGGATGTAAGTGGCCAAGCTGTGGCACTAGCTGTTCTCACCTAGAAGTACTCATATTATCAACTAAAAGGAAAACTTGGGTTGGGTATGGTGGCTCATGCCTGTAATCCCAGCAGTTTGGGAGGCCGAGGTGGGCGGATCATGAGGTCAGGAGTTCGAGACCAGCCTGGCCAATATGGTGAAACCCTGTCTGTACTAAAAATACAAAAATTAGCCAGGCATAGTGGTGTGAGCCTGTAGTCCCCGCTACTCAGGAGGCTGAGGCAGAAGCATCGCTTGAACCTGGGAGGCGGAGGTTGCAGTGAGCCGAGATGGTGCCACTGAACTCCAGCCTGGGCGACAAGGTGAGACTCCATCTCAAAAATAAAATAAAATAAAATAAAAATAAATAAATAAATAAATATTAGGAGAGTTTAAGGGCCAAAAAAAGGAAAAAAAAAGAAAAGTTAAAAACTTAAAGGTTAAAAAAAAGAATATAAATAAATAAAATACGTTTAACAAAATAAAAATTAAAAAGTAAAAATTTTTTAAAAATAGAATGACAAGTCATCTGAATTCCACCCCATTCTCTTCTCTCTCTTCCCTTCAGGTCTGGTTCAAGAATCACAGAGCAAAACTCAAGAAAGCGAAATGCAAGCATATTCATCAAAAACAAGAAACTCCACAACCGCCAATACCAGAGGGTGGGGTCTCCACCAGTGTCGGCCTGAGAAATGCAGACACACTACCCAGATTGCCCAACGCTGCTCACCCGATCGGCCTGGTGTACACGGGTCATCGAGTCCCCTCATTCCAGCTCATCCTGTACCCCAACCTCAAGGTCCCTGCAAATGACTTCATTGGCCACAGAATAGTCCATTTTGGCTGCTGCCGAGATCCTAATATATACTGCCTCTACCCCATTTTGGAATCCCAAGTTTGCGCTCCAAGCTTCCATTCTGGCTCTCCTGCCTGTTCATCTAACCAAAGTCGAGAGAGATGATAAATACAAAAAGTCACATGTTGTAATGATGTGTGTGTGGTACTGTGACATTTGCGTTTGGTCTTCGTGCCTGTTTCCTGGAAAGCAGCTCCAGAGTTCCATGGAGTCTCCAAAGTGCCATCTTTTTGTATTTTGTGTGCTAATGTTGACCGATAGCTTCAGGATGGGGACTGGTCTCTGGAAAGACCCCAGTAGGATTAGAGGGCAAACTTCTGGGAGGGGAAGGAAGCTGAGGGTGAGGCTGATCACCATTGGCCAGTGGTTTCATCAGTCATGTCTGGGTAAGGAAGCATCCATCAAAACCCAGGAGGACAGGGTTTGAAGAGATCCCTGACAGCTAAGCATGCGGACGTACCTGGAGGGTGGCATATCCGGGGAGGGCATGGAAGCTCCGGGCCCCTCGTCATACGCCTCATCCTAGCAGGGTGCGGTGGCTCATGCCTCTAATCCCAGCACGTTGGGAGGCCAAGGCAGGCGGATCACCTGAGGTCAGGAGTTTGGGACCAGCCTGGCCAGCATGGCGAAGCCCATCTCTACTAAAAGTACAAAAATTAGCCGGGCGTGGTGGCTTGTGCCTGTAATCCCAGCTACTCGGGAGGCTGAGGCAGGAGGATGGCGTGAACCCGGGAGGCAGAGGTTGCAGTGAGCTGAGGGGATTGTGCCACTGCATTCCAGCCTGGGTGACAGAGCAAGAATCTGTCTCAAAAAAAAGAAACAAGAAAGCACAGAGGACCAGCTGGAATATTTGGAAGACCAGAAAATGTCCTTAAAACTCAAAATGCCTGGGCATATAGGTCAGGTCCACCTAGCCTTTTGAATCAATGCGAACCCTTCCTCAAGGCCTGGAGGTTGGCAACACAAAATCACCCTGTGGAGAACCTAAAGCATTCCCTCTCTGAGAGTTGAGTCAATTGGGATTCCACCCCCAAAATTCCTAAAAATCTCAAGTTCCTAGAAAATTCTCAGAAAAAGCAAGCTCTCCTATACCTCCCTGGCTGTACTCTGATGCAACTTGGCAACCATCAGAGAATCTCCATCCCCTTGAACCTTGGTCCTCTGCCAATGTTCCTCACGCCTGTAATCCCAGCACTTTGGGAGGCTGAGGCGGGCGGATGGCTTGAGCCCAGGAGTTCGAGACCAGCCTGGCCAGCATGGTAAAACCTCATCTCTACCAAAAACATCAAAATTAGCCAGTCTCATATACTGGTCTCAAAATAAATAAATAGATTAAAATTTAAACATAAAATAAACATGAGTGTGTTAGAAAGAACCTACTGGCCCGGCGTGGTGGCTCACACCTGTAATCCCAGCACTTTGGGAGGCAGAGGCAGGCGGATCATCTGAGGTTGGGAGTTCGAGACCAGCCCGACCAACATGGAGAAACCCCGTCTTTACTAAAAATACAAAATTAGCCAGGCATGGTGGCGCATGCCTGTAATCCCAGCTACTGGGGAGGCTGAGGCAGGAGAATTGCTTGAACCCGGGAAGGGGAGGTTGCCATGAGCCGAGATTGCGCCATTGCACTCCAAGCCTCCTGGGCAAGAAGAGCAAAACTCCATCTCAAAAAAAAAAAAAAAAAAAAGGAACCTACTGTAGGATTTGGAGTTGAGTAATTTCAGATAGAATCAAAGGAAGAGAAAGGTCTGGATTGGGTGGTGCCAGCGGCAGCTTCTATGACTGAGTATCTCAATACATCTTATCTATAGGACGGCTGACTAGAAAGAGGACAAACCTATAATAGATAAATGGGCGGCAGCCATTGCTTAGCCATAGGCGAATATTTGATGGGTTGGGGCTCAGGACAAATGTTAAAAACAATCTTAATAACAGCATGCCGGCCCGGCGGCCCACACCTGTAATCCCAGGGGATTTCAGAGGTGGAGGGGGAGGCGGAAGGATTGCTTGAGCCCAGGAGGTTGAGGCTGCAGTGAGCTGTGATTGCACCGCTGCACTCCAGCCTGGGTGGCAGAGCGAGCCCCTATATCAAAACAAACATTATCAAGAAAAATTATTAAATGAATAACAAAAACAGGCTGGGCACGGTGGCTCACGCCTGTAATCCAAGTACTTTGGGAGGCTGAGGCAGGTGGATTGCTTCAACTCAGGAGTTTGAGACCAGCCTAGGCAACACGGTGAAACCCTGTCCCTACAAAAACACAAAGAAGGAGTCTCGCTTTGTCGCCCAGGCTGGAGTACAGTGGTGTGATCTCGGCTCACTGCAACCTCCTCCATCTCCTGGGTTCAAGTGATTCTCCTGCCTCAGCCTCCCAAGTAGCTGGGACTACAGGCATGCACCAGCACACCTGGCTAATTTTTGTATTTTTAGTAGAGATGGGGTTTCATCATGTTGGCCAGGCTGGTCTCAAACTCCTGACCTCAGGTGATCCACCTGCTTCAGCCTCCCAAAGTGCTGGAATTACAGGCTTGAGCCACCATGCCCAGCCTCTACAATTAATTAAAAAAGAACCATAACCCCAAAACTTGTACAACCACCAGTCCAAGAAACCAAGTCACAATTTCTGCAGCAATCAGCCCCAAATGCCCAGGGCTTGATCCATCACTCGTAGCTTCCCTAGTTTTTGTGCCCATCCCCCAACCTTGATTTCAATTTAGGACCAACCAGAGAAACCCAATGTTTGGCTAAACAATCCCACAGGATCCTACTTCTGGTTAGCTCCCTGGCGGCCTCCCAACGTCAGCAGCCTTTGGTCAGGACATATCTGAAGACTTCGTTTTTTTTCTGCTATAAAGCTTTCTTTCCTTTTTTTTTTTTCTCCTGAGGTGAAGTCTAACTCTGTCTCCCAGGCTGGAATGTAGTGGCATGATCTCGGCTCACTGCAACCTCCGCCTCCCTGGTTCAAGCGAGTCTCACACCTCAGCCTCCTGAGTAGCTGAGATTACAGGCATGCACCACCACACCTGGCTAATTTTTATGGTGTTTTTTTTTGTTTGTTTTTTTGTTTCTTTTTGTAGAGACGGGGTTTCACCATGTTGCCCAGGCTGGTCTCGAACTCCTAACCTCAAATGTTCTGCCCAACTCGGCCTCCCAAAGTGCTGGGATAACAGGCGTGAGCCACTGCGCCTGGCCATGGAACCTCACTCTTTAAAGTGTGCAGGGACCCCAGTCATTCCCCACTGTGTCGCGGTTCCCATAACAGTGCCTGTCACCAAGTATGTTTTCAAAATACATTTTTGGAAGAGAGAGAGAAACAGAAGGGGAGGGGGTAGGAAGAGAAAGTAGGGGAAGAGGAAAGTGAGAGAGGGAGACAGGAAGGGAGAGGGAAGGGAGACACAGAGATGAAGACAAAGGGAAAGAGACAGAGGCCGGGTACAGTGGCTCATGCCTGTAATCCCAGCACTTTGGGAGGCCGAGGTGGCGGATCACCTGAGGTCAGCAGTTCCAGACCAGCCTGGCCAACATGGTGAAACCCCCGTCTCTACCAAAAATACAAAAATTATCTGGGAGTGATGGTGTGTGCCTGTAATCCCAGCTACTCGGGAGGCTGAGGCAAGAGAATCACTTGAACCTGGGAGGTGGAGGTTGTGGTGAGCCGAGATCGCACCCTTGAACTCCATCCTGGGCAACAGAACGAGGCTCTATCTCAAAAAAAAAAAAAAAAACAGAAAGAAAAGAAAAGAAAAGGAACAGCTTCCAAGCATCTTTGGAGAAGGGCTTCACTAACATCAAATCCTGTCTTCCTCTCATCACCTTCTAGCCCAGTATTTCCCCAACGTGAGAATAATAAGAATCATCTGGGGAGCTGTTAAAACCCAGACTCTGAGACCAGACAGGGGCATGCTTCCCAGGTGTGGGCATGATTTTTCCCTGGGGTTGTATTTAACAAAGTTCAAAACCCAGGAGGTACAATCAAAACCTGAGCCGTCTGGAGACTCAAGACTTCTTAGGGAAGACGAAAAAGAGAAATTCCGGCCAGGTGCAGTGGCTCTCGCCCGTAATCCCAGCACTTTGGGAGTCCAAGGCAGGAGGATCGCGTGATCCCAGGAGTTGGAGACCAGCCTGGCCAACATGGTGAGACCCTCATCTCTACAAAAAAAAAAAAAAAAAAAGAGAGAGAGAGAGAAAGAAGTTCCCAGAGAAAGTTCCCAGAGGAAACAGGAGGGAAAAGGGCGAGGACTGCACCCAGCCAGCTAGGGTATGAGTGTGAACCATAGTCTAGGGGGCTGGGTGTGAATTCCCAGTCCAGGGGCTGTGAATACGTGGAGACACCGATGCTGGCCCTGCACCCAGCCTCCTCCCTGGGCGAACTATTGACTGAAGCCACCCCTCGTGTCCCCACTGTTCCTGGTCTCAACTTCCTCACCTGATGAATGGGCGGGGAGGGTAATTCCCCTACGGTGGGGCTTTTCTCACTCTGTTATGTGTTCTTACAAAATGTGCTCTCTGATATCATCTATATCTCCCTAGAAGGAATCATTAGTTTATCTTTTTTTTTTTTTGTGGGACAGGGTTTCACTCTGGTCGCCCAGGCCGGAGTGCAGTGGTGCGATCTCGGCTCACTGTAACCTCCACCTCCTGGGTTCAAGCGATTCTCCCACCTCAGTCTCCCAAGGCCTGGTGCGGTGGCTTACGCCTGTAATCCCAGCACTTTGGGAGGCCAAGGTGGGCGGATCACTTGGGGTCAGGAGTTTGAGACCAGCCTGGCCAATATGGTGAAACTCCCTCTTTACTAATAATACAAAAATTGGCCAGGCGTGGTGGCGGGCAGGTGTAATCCCAGCTACTCGGAAGGCTGAGGCAGGAGAATTGCTTGAACCCAGAAGGCGGAGGTTGCAGTGAGCCGAGATCGTGCCACTGCACTCCAGCCTGGGGACAGAGTGAAACTGTGTCTCAAATAATAATAATAATAATAATAATAATAATTTAGGCCAGGTGCAGTGGCTCACGCCTGTAAACCCAGCACTTTGGGAGGCCGAGGCGGGTGGATCACGAGGTCAGGAGTTCAAGACCAGCCTGGCTAACATGGTGAAACCCCATCTCAACTAAATATACAAAAAAATTAGCCGGGCGTGGTGGCACATGCCTGTAATCCCAGCTACTTGGGAGGCTGAAGCAGGAGAATCGCTTGAACCCAGGAGGGGGAGGTTGCAGTGAGCCAAGACCGTGCTACTGCACTCCAGCCTGGCAACAGAGCAAGACTCCGTCTCAAATAATAATAATAATAATAATTTAAAAAAAAAATAAAAAATAAGAAATAAAAGAATGAACCACAATGTCCCTTTGTTCTACAGGCCACTCTTGTGCTATCCACAGTTGCCAAAAACCCCCACCTGCCTTGTCTATGGACGCCCATCGGGTGATACCACAAACACCTTTGATCCTACAGATACCAGGGTAAATTCAGCATCCAAGTCCTTGAATTCTTCCCGTGAGTATAAGCTGCCCTGGCTCAGCCCTCTTCTTTGCCAGGAACCCAATCCTTCAAACTTCCCTCAAAGACTGGGTACTTTTAGCATGACTGCTCTAGAGATTCTGGGTGGGGCTCAAAGTTTAACCTTCAGGGTCAGCAACATTTTATGGAAAGAGCCACAGAGTAAATATTTGAAACATTCTCGTACACTGACACTCAGCTGGACTGGCAAAGCAGAATATCTGTGTGTCAGTGTGCGTTTTATTCAGCCGTTGTTTGGGTCAGGGTCTGTGGGCGGCCCCTGGCAGCTAATGCCCTCCTGTGAGGAACAATACCTCACCATCAAGCACAGTCCGTCACATATTCTTGCCCTGGTCGCTCGCTCTTTCTTTCTTTTCTTTCTCTTCTTTCTTTCCTTTCTTTCTCATTTTCGTTTCTTTCTTTCTTTCCTTCTTTTCTTTTTCTTTCTGTCTCTCTTTATCTATTTCTGTTTCTTTCTCTCTCTCTCACCTTTCTTTCTTTCCTTCCTTCCTTCTTTCTCTTCCTTTCTTTCTCTATCTCTCTTTCTTTCTTTCCTTCCTTCTTTCCTTGTTTCCTTCTTTCTTTTCTTTTCTTTCTTTTTCTTTCTTTCTTTTCTTTCTTTCTCTCTCTCTCTTTCCTTTTCTTTCTCTCTCTCTCTCTCTCTTTCTCTCTTTCTTTCTTTCTGACAGGGTCTTGCTGTGTCACCCAGGCTGGAATGCCAAGATGCACTCATAGGTCACTGCAGCCCAAATAAATTTCCCCAGGCTCAGGTGATCCTCCCACCTCACCCTTCCAAGTAGCTAGGACCAACAGGTACATGCCACCATGCACGTCTAATTTTTATTTTTATTTTTTGAGACTGGTCTTGCTCTGTCACCCAGGCTGGAATGCAGTGGCACGATCACAGCTCACTGCAGCCTCGACAACCCGGCCCCTCCAAGCAATCTCCCCCCTCACCCTCCCAAGTAGCTGGGACCTCAGGCATGTACCACCATGCCCTGCTAATTTTTTATTGTTTGTAGAGGCGGGGTCTCCCTATGTTGCGCAGGGTGGTCTTGAACACCTGGCCTCAAGCAATCCTCCTGCCTTGGCCACCCAAAATGCTGGGATCATGGGCGTGAGCCACTGTGCCTGGTCTGGTCTTCCTCCTTTCATCCTCTTAGTCCTTGACCTGTCCCTCTTCTAGAGTCCTCCCTCTTCATGACCCTCTCCCCCTTGTTGGGGCTCAGAAACTGATACCTCTAAATACAGCATGTTAAAGGTGCCTCAAGGGCCGGGTGCAGTGGCTCATGCCTGTAATCCCAGCACTTTGGGAGGCCGAGGCAGGCAGATCACTTGAGGTCAGGAGTTCAAGGCCAGACCGACCAACATGCAAAACCCTGTCTCTACTAAAAATATGGAAAAAGAAAATTAGTTGGGTGCTGTGACACACGCCTGTAATCCCAGCTACTTGGGAGGCTGAGGCAGGAGAATCTGGGAGGCGGAGGTTGCAGTGAGCCGAGGTCACACCACTGCACTCCAGCCTGGGCAACAGAGCGAGACTCTGTCTCAAAAAATAATAAGAAATAAATAAATGAGCCTCAAGGTCTCTGACCTCCCCCGATCATCTCTTCCAAAGCACAGGCCTTTATCTGTGTAAGATCCAGACCTGCCAAGAGGAATAATTGTTTTTTCTTCTCCTCCCTGTGAGACAAAGAATGTAACCACACCTGAACAGATCCCATCACTGTCAATAGGAATGATTTCCAGGACCCATTCATGCTCTCTAGTAATCCTTTATTGCCCTCAATGGAATTCCTCTAGCCCCCTCCCATAATCAGTTTGCCAGGAGAACATATAAGCTTCTGAACCCCCTTGGGGGATGGGCGATCACTGGCTCTCCCCATGCTCAGGTTAAAGACATTTGTAAGCCTTTTCTCCTGCTAATCTGCTTCCTATCAGTTCTTTTCAGCCAACCTTCAGAGAGCCAAAGGCAGCCTTCACCTTGGCCTCAACACCTTCCATGCCTTTTGCTTCTCCTCCTCCCCTGCAAAGCATTCCCCACTCCTTGGGTTCCCCACTTTCAAGCATCCCACCCTCCCTGTTATATGTCATCCTCCTCATTCTCTGCTTTTATAACCCTTTTAAAATTATGGGCCCAGCCAGGTGCAGTGATGCATGCCTGTAATCCCAGCTCTTTGGGAGGCTGAGGCAGGCAGTTCACTTGAGCTCAGGAGTCCTACACAGCTGGGGCAACATGGTGAGACCCCCATCTCTACCAAATTGCAAATATTAGCCGGGTGTGGTGGTGTGAGCCTGTATTCCCAGCTACTCAGGAGGCTGAGGTAGGAGAATGGTTTGACCCCAGGAGATGGAAGATGTAGTGAGCCAAGATCACGACACTGCACTCCAGCCTGGGCAACAGAGCAAGATCGAGCCTAAAAAAAAAAAAATTAGGTGGGGTGCGGTGGCTCACACCTGTAATCCCAGCACTTTGGGAGGTCGAGGCAGGTGGAACACCTGAGGTCAGGAGTTTGAGACCAGCCTGGCCAACATGGCAAAACCCCATCTCTACTAAAAATACAAAAAAATTAGCTGAGTGTGGTGGCGGGTGCCTGTAATCCTGGCTACTTGGGAGGCTGAGGCAGGAGAATCACTTCAACCTGGGAGCCAGAAGTTGCAGTGATCTGAGATAATGCCATTGCACTCCAGCCTGGGTGATAGAGTGAGACTCTATGTCAAAAAAAAAATACATAAAAAAATTAAAAATTAAAAATCAATTTAAAAAATGCCAGCTAGTATACTTTTCCTCTCTCCCTTCCTTTTTCTATCTCTCTCTCTTTTTTTTTTTTTTTTTTTTTTTTTTTTTTTTTTTGAGACAGTTTCACTCTTGTCGCCCAGGCTGGAGTGCAATGGCGTGGGGATCTTGGCTCACTGCAACCTCCACCTCCTACACTCAAATGATCCTTCTGCCTTAGCCTCCTAAGTAGCTGGGATTACAGATACAAGCAACAAATCCTAATTCTTGTATTTTTCGTAGAGGCAGGGTTTTGCCATGTTCTCCAGGCTGGTCTCAAAGCGAATGCTGGCCAGGCTCATTTTTTTAATTTGAATTGTGGGAAAACTGAGGCTGGATCGAATGGTCCTGGACATGCCCTGGAACAAACAACATTTAGCTGTGCAAGGCACAGTGTCAGTGTCTGGTATTGGGGTGCCCCAGTCTCAAGTCCCAAGAAAAAGACAAGGCAGACCATGAATTTTGTGTGGCTCCAACTCAGTTTTCTTCATCTGTTGCTTCACTTGCAGTGCCAGACCAGAATCACTTTGACCTAAAACTAGCTACGATAATTAACATTCAGTATGACTCATTACCTAACAAATTCAAAATGTAAGGAACTGTCTTTAGAACTTGTTCTATATAAACATGTTATTAAGGTCTGCTGCGGCTGTTCTATGCAGCTCTTTTTTTTTTTTTTCTGGCGATAGGATCTCACTCTATCGCCCAAGCTGGAGAGCAGTGGCATGATCACAGCTCACTGCAGCCTCAACCTCCTGGGCTCAAGCAATCCTCCCACCTCAGCCTCCCAAAGTGCTGGGACTACAGGCGTGCACCCCTGCACCCAACTAGTTTTGTATTTTTTGTAGAGATGGAGTGTCACTATGTTGCCCAGGCTGGTCTCCAACTCCTGGCCTCAAGCAATCCACCAACTCGGCCTCCCAAGTGCTGGGATTACAGGCGGACGCCACTGCTCCCAGCCCCAGATTTTTTTCTCATTTATATTTCCGCAAACCTCAAAAAAACCCCCAAAGGTCCCTAGGTCAGTCACTTCCCACTAGTAAATAAGTCAGCATCTTTGCAAAGATCAAAGGAAAAGCAATTTTCCTTACCACAGAGCCTCTTACAGGAAAGAGAGCTCTGATTTTCCATATGTTCCCCAACCATGCTAGGATGTTCCTGTGCCCTGATGGCATTCTTACTAACCCATTGTTCCATTCCTTTCCAGCCCTCCTTCCTGTAACGTAAGTGCAGGTGGGAGTTGGGGATTGGTCCGCTAACTGGGTATAGAGAAAACAGATGGGTATGCTATTCTCAGTAAGGGAGCTTCTGTCCTGGGAAAAATGTGGCCTCTCCTAAGGAACCCTATCCCATTGAATCACCCTGATTCACTTTTTTTTTTTTTTTTTTTTTTTTTTTTTGAGATGGAGTCTTGCTCTGTTGCCTAGGCTGGAGTGCAATGGTGTGATCTCGGCTCACTGCAACCTCTGTCTCCCGGTTCTAGTGATTCTCCTGCCTCAGCCTCCCAAGTAGCTGGGACTATAGGCATACACCACCAAGCCTGGCTAATTTTTTTTTTTTTTTTTTTTTTTTTTGAGACGGAGTCTTACTCTGTGCCAGGCTGGAGTATAGTGGCGTGATCCCGGCCCGCTGGCTCACTGTAACCTCCGCCTCCTGGATTCAAGTGATTTTCTTGCCTCAGCCTCTTGAATAGCTGGGACTATAGGCGCCCACCACCACACCCAGCTAATTTTTGTATTTTTAGTAGAAACAGGTTTTCACCATGTTGGCCAGGATGGTCTCGATCTCTTGACCTCGTGATCCACACGCCTTGGCCTCCCAAAGTTCTGGGATTACAGGCGTGAGCCACTGCGCCCGGCCCTAATTTTTGTGTTTTTAGTAGAGATGGGGTTTTGCCATGTTGGCCAGGCTGGTCTGGAACTCCTGGCCTTAGGTGATCTGCCCACATTGGTCTTCCAAAGTGGCGAGATTACAGGCAAGAGCCACTGTGCCCTGCCTCTCACATTTTCTCTCTTCCCAGATTTGGTTCAAGAACTTAAGAGCTAGGCCATGTGCGGTGGCTCACGCCTGTAATCCTAGCACTTTGAGAGGCCAAGGCAGGCAGATCGCTTGAACTCAAGAGTTCCAGACCACCCTGGGCAACATGGTGAGATCCCTGACTACAAAAATTCGCCAGGTGTGGTGGCATGTGTCTGTAGTCCCTGCTATTCAGGAAGCTGAGGCAGGCGGATCGCTTCAGCCTGGGAGGTCAAGACTGCAGTGAGCTGAGATGGAGACACAGCACTCCAGCCTGAGCGACAGAGCCAGACCCTGCCTCAAGAAAACAAAACAAAACGATAACACTGGAGAGCCAGAGCAGGAACCAGTCTCCTCTCCAATCTCCAAACCTGAGAGAGACATGAGTCACACTGACGGCTTTGCCTGCCTGCGATCTCTCTATGTGTGTTGATTCTTGCGGAACAAGGCGCTTCGAGCATCTCCTCTGCCCCTACGCCCGTGACCCTGTCCCTCTTCTTGTCTCCATTGCCCCCCAAGCGGGTACATTTGCCCACCTTCTCACCTGGGACACCCTGGGCGTGGATCTCCTCACCTGCAGCGCTAGGTGTGCTCCCAGGGTCTCCACATCCCTAACCCCCGCAAGGCTGGCCTCTTTACCTGCAAAGCCCCCCGCCGCGGCCTCCTCCCTCTACCATACCCCAATGCCAGGCTCACTTCCTGCCGCCTGCCTGGAACGGGGCTGCTCATGCATCCCCCACGCCCTCTGAAGCCCCCCCGGCGCACTCCACGCCCTCTCGCCTGACCCCTGTTTCCGCTGCCGGCGTCTCCACACCCCCTGACGCCGCCACGCCCTGGACCGAGGTCTCTAGAGCTGCGCGCCGGCTGCACGTCCCTTAGGAGTTTCCGTGCGCCACGAGGCGCTGGCGCGCGTCTCCCGGCCCATCCACCCCGGGCCCGGCGACACCTTTCTTTGCCACCTGGAACCAACATCTTGGTTCCCTTTTGAGGGATCAGAACTTGTTTAATTGGAATACGGCAAAATTCTGAATTTTTCTGCCGTCTCTATTCCAACTTCAGAGTTCTGCCGTCCAGCCCTGCGACAATCTTCCGGTGCCAACGCGGCAGGTCAGTATGTATCCCCCACGATGCCCCCCGGGCCACGGGCCCCTAGTTAACAGGTTTCCCTTTCGCCCGCTGCCTGGAAGTATCGCCACCTCGCCCCGCCCAACCCCCCACCAGACAGCTCTGCAGCCACAGCCCCTCATCCAACCAGGAAGTCCAGGGCCCATCTGGCCCGCTAGACCTCGGGAAACCACGGCGTCAGAGCACCCATTAAGAGGGGTCCAGGCCGGGCGCGGTGGTTCGCATCAGGGCGCCCATTAAGAGGGGTCCAGGCTGGGCACGGTGGTTCCCATCAGGGCGCCCATTAAGAGGGGTCCAGGCCGGGCGCGGTGGTTCGCATCAGGGCGCCCATTAAGAGGGGTCCAGGCTGGGCACGGTGGTTCCCATCAGGGCGCCCATTAAGAGGGGTCCAGGCTGGGCACGGTGGTTCCCATCAGGGCACCCATTAAGAGGGGTCCAGGCCGGGCGCGGTCGTTCGCATTAGAGCACCCATTAAGAGGGGTCCAGGCTGGGCACGGTGGTTCCCATCAGGGCGCCCATTAAGAGGGGTCCAGGCCGGGCGCGGTGGTTCGCATCAGGGCGCCCATTAAGAGGGGTCCAGGCTGGGCACGGTGGTTCCCATCAGGGCGCCCATTAAGAGGGGTCCAGGCTGGGCACGGTGGTTCCCATCAGGGCACCCATTAAGAGGGGTCCAGGCCGGGCGCGGTCGTTCGCATTAGAGCACCCATTAAGAGGGGTCCAGGCTGGGCACGGTGGTTCCCATCAGGGCGCCCATTAAGAGGGGTCCAGGCTGGGCACGGTGGTTCGCATCAGAGCACCCGTTAAGAGGGGTCCAGGCTGGGCACGGTAGTTCGCATCGGAGCACCAGTTAAGAGGGATGCAGGCCGGGCACGGTGGCTCTAATCCGAGCACTTTGGGAGGATCACCCGAGGTGAGGAGTTCGAGAACAGCCTGGCCAACGTGGTGAAACCCCGTCTTTACGGAAAAATACAAAATTTATCAGGGCGTGGTGGCGGGCGCCTGTAATCCCAGCTATTCGGGAGGCTGAGGTGGGAGAATCGGTTGAACGCGGGAGGCGGAGGTTGCAGTGAGCCAGTGAGCCGAGATTGTGCCGCTGCACTTCCAGCCTGGGCGGCAGAGTGGGACTCCGTCTTGGGGAAAAAAAGGGTAGTCCAGGCCGGGCGTGGTGGCTCAGGCCTGCAATTCCAGCACTGGAGGAGGCCGCGGCAGGAGGATCGCTTGAGACCAGGAGTTAAGAGACCTGCCTGGGCAATATAGTGAGACCCCTGTGTTTGTTTGTTTGTTGAGACCCTTGTGTTAAAGCAAACTAAATATGGCCTGAGAAGGACTCCGTAATTCTATATTTGAGTCCTTGTGGATGAACTGCAACCTAACTTAATAGGTACAAAAGATTGAAAACCTAAGTTAGGCCCTGCGTGGTGGCTCACGCCTGTAATCCCAGCACTTTGGGAGGCCGAGGCGCGCGAATCACCTGAGGTCGGGACTTTGAGACTAGCCTGACCAACATGGAGAAACCCCGTCTCTTCTAAAAATACGAAATTAGCCAGACGTGGTGACTCATGCCTGTAATCCCAGCTACTCGGGAGGCCGAGGCGGGAGGATAGCTTGAACCCGGAAGGCGGAGGTTGCAATGAGCCGAGATTGCGCCATTGCACACTCTAGCCTGGTCAACAAGAGCGGGAAACTCCATATCAAAAAAAAAAAAAAGGAAGCCTAACTTACGTTTTATGCGCCTGTAACCGCCACTGAGTGTTGGCCAATCCCAGCAGCCCAGCAGCTGTACTTCATCCACTCACAGGCTGCTGAGCATTCAAACTGTGTTCAAATAAGGCAAACGCTGAGCGGTAACCAATCCAGCTCTTTCTGTACCTCACTTCCGATTTCTGTATGTCACTTTCCTTTTCTTGTCCATAAATTTGTTCTGACCACGAGGCACCCCTGGAGTCCGTCTGAATCTGCCGTGACTTTCGGAGCTGCCCGATTTGCAAGAGGTTCATTGTTCAGTTGAACTCCTTTACATTTATTTATTTTATGTATTTTATTTTATTTATTTTATGTATTTTATTTTATTTTATGTATTTTGTTATTTTATTTTATTTTATTTATTTTATTTTTATTTTGTTTCATTTTTATTTTTATTTTATTTTATTTTTATTTTCATTTTTTTGAGACGGAGTCTCGCTCTGTGGCCCAGGCGGGAGTGCAATGGCACCATCTCTGCGCACTGCAACCTCCGCCTCCTAATTCAAGTGATTCTCCCGCCTCAGCCTTACGAGTAGCTGGTATTACAGGTGCCCACCACCACACCTGGTTAATTTTTTCTGTTTTTAGTAGAGATGGGGATTCACCACGTTGGCCCGGCTGGTCTTGAACTCCTGACCTCAAGTGATCTGCCCACCTCAGCCTCCCAAAGTGCTGGGATTACAGGTGTGAGCCACTGTACCTGGCCCCCTTTAAATTTAATTCGGCTGAAGTTTTTCTTTTAACAGATGGTGTCAGAAGCGGAGTCCAGAGTAGAGCTTCTAGGAACCTTCGGGAGTGCTGAGTGAACACGCAAGGTGCCTGCGGAACCCACTTGTGTCCATTGACCTCTCCGAGTGGCCGGGGATCGTGGGTAAGTTCCCTCTCGGATTTCAGAGCTCCACAGATTTGTGTTTTGAGCTCTCCGAGTTTCATTGAGCAAATATCTGATCCAAACTGGGTTTGGAAGCTGTGACAGAAACTGGACTGGTTCTGGGAATGGATCTGATGTGGTAATTAGCTGGCTTGGACCCAGTTAGAGGCCTCTTACATGTGACTGGGTCAGAAAGAAACTGGTAGCAAATGGTAATATTGCAGGAGGTGTAAAATTTGGCTTTTAAAAATTAACAGGGATGTTTGTGTTCTACCCCTTTGTTTCATTTTTCTTGTGCACTTAGGTATTAAAAAAAAAATTACTGGGTAAGTTAATCAAGGGAACCTGAGAGTAATGAATGCCAATATTTTAGGTAAAAATGGGATCTTTTTTTTTTTTTTTTTGAGATGAAGTCTCGTTTGGTCGCCCAGGCTAGAGTGCAGTGGCGCGATCTCGGCTCACTGCAAGCTCCACCTCCCAGGTTCACGCCATTCTACTGCCTCAGCCTCCCCAGTAGCTGGGACTACAGGCGCCCGCCACCACGCCCGGCTAATTTTTTTTTTTTGTATTTTCAGTAGAGACGGGGTTTCACTGTGATGGCCAGGATGGTCTTGATCTCCTGACCTCGTGATCTGCCCGCCTCGGCCTCCCAAAGTGCTGGGATTACAGGCATGAGCCACCACGCCCTGCCAAAAATGGGATCCTTAAATTCTGAAAAACTGAGTTCCTTCTGGCTTATACATTAGGCACGGGAAGGAGCAAAGACTTACAGAAATGGCAAAATCTGCCTGAGCGTGGTGGCTCACGCCTGTAATCCCAGCACTTTGGGAGGCTAAGGTGGGTGGATCACCTGAGCTCAGGAGTTCGAAACCAGCCTGGCCAACATGGTGAAACCCATCTCTACTAAAAAGACAAAAATTAGTGGGGCGTGGTAGCTTGTGCCTGTAGTCCCAGCTACTTATGAGGCTGAGGCACGAGAATTGCTTGAACCCAGGAGGCGGAGTTTGCAGTGAGTGGAGATTGCACCACTGTACTCCAACCTGGGTGACAGAGCGAGACTCTGTCTCAAAAAATAAAAATGGCTGGGCGCAGTGGCTCACGCCTATAATCCCAGCACTTTAGAAGGCCAAGGCAGGTGGATCACCTGAGGTCGGGAGTTTGAGACCAGCCTGGCCAACATGGTGAAACTCTGTCTCTACTAAAAATACAAAAAATTAGCCAGGTGTGGTGGCATGCACCTGTAATCCCAGCTACTTGGGAGGCTGAGGCGGGAGAATCTTGAACCCAGGAGGCTGAGGTTGCAGTGAGCCAAGGTTGCTCCATTGCACTCCAGCCTGGGCAACAGGAGCGAAACACTGTCTCGAAAATAAATAAATAAATAAATAAAAATTAAAAAATTAAAATGAGGGCTCCCGAAAGTTAAATCTGCTAATCTTTCAGCTTCGTTACTATCCTGATCCAAAGGAAGCAGACTGCAGCACCAGTTGGCTGACTTTGGATAAGTAATGGGGTCCATTTTACCTGAGTAAAGTATGGGATGGGGTCAGAGGCCCTCCCCTCAGTAAAGTCCCCCTTGGTTAAAAATGGGTTAAAGATGACAGGGCCCAGCTGGGGTCAAGTTTGAGCCTTGCGAGTTCAGTATTGGGTGCTAAGCACAGTGGCCAGTGTCTGTGTTTTGTCACGTATTTTGCTTTGGCGCCATGATGAAAAAATGTTAATTGGCTTACCCCACGCAACCCCTTCGGCCACACTTGCAAAACTAAGAGGCTTTTGCTTAAGGTTCCATAAAACAGAAAAAGAATTTCCTTTGTGATGCCGCAGGCTTGGCCCTCAGGACTATAGTGTGGCAAGCAGAGTCACTAGGACCACCTGGGCAAAGGGAACCTAGAAGCCTGGCATGCTGGCAAAAGGTAAAGTATTTCTTACCAATTAGACTGTGGCCCCTCTGTGCAAACTGGTTAGATGAACGGTAAAAATCACTGTTTATCTCCTCTGTAATGCTTTGATTAATACAAAAAAGAATTCTGAGGTTGGTCTTAGGAAGCTGTAATAAATCTGGTATGCTTTGTGTCTTTCTGTATTCTGTCACGAAGAGGGGTACCTTCGGATGAAATGCGTGCCCAGGGCCGCATAAGCCCGCTGTTCAAGACGGCCCAGCAAACTGGTCAATCATGTCCTTGGAAGCTTAACCTCCTAATACCATGTGGCCCTGCTTTCTCTTTTCACAACGGCAGGCCAGGTTCAGGGTTCCATTCCCGGCTTACTCAGCGAGTACTTTCTGGTGTCACCTTTACCATGTGTTGATTCTCTTCCCTCTGTTTCTTATAGAACACAGAAATATTAGCTGTTTGGCCTAGCCAAGGTTGGGTAATAAAAGATTTAAAAGGACTTTTTAAAACAAGCGCTATAGTTAAAACTCAGGTACATTAAAAGTGGATATTTGGCCAGGCATCGTGGCTCATGCTTGTAATCCCAGTACTTGGGGAGGCTGAGGCAGGTGGATCACTTGAGGTCAGGAATTCAAGACAAGCCTGGGCAACATGGCATAACTCTATCTCTACTAAAAAAAAAAAATTAGCTGGGCATGTTGGTGCACGCCTGTAATCCCAGCTATTCAGGAAGGCGGGAAAATTGCTTGAACCCGGCAGGCGGAGCTTGCAGTGAGCCAAGATTTCACCACTGCGCTCCGGCCTGGGTGACAGAGCGAGACTCCGTCTCAAAAAATAAAAATAAAATAAAAATAAAATAAAATAAAATAAATAAAATAAAAGTGTAGTGCTCGCTTCAGCAGCACATATACTAAAATTGGAATGCTACAGAGAAGATTAGCATGGCCCCTGCACAAGGATGACATGCAAATTCATGAAGCGTTCCATATTTTGTGCATCCTGGCAAGATCATTTCTGTATCTGCTAACTAGCACTAAAGAAATAGTGTGAATCTAAGCAAAAATGAGTGGCACCCAAAAACAAAATTGTGGTTTTCATTAAAAAATATAAATATTTATATAATAAAATATATATGATATATAAAAAATAAAATATGTATAATAAAATATACATAATATATATAAAATAAAAAAGTATATAAAAAATATATATGTGTGTGTATATTCAAATTCTTTTTTTTTTTTTTGAGACGGAGTTTCACTCTTGTCACCCAGGCTGGAGTCCAATGGCACGATCTCGGCTTACCGCAACCTCCACCTCCTGGGTTCAAGTGACTCTCCTGCCTCAGCCTCCCGAGTAGTTGGGATTACAGGCACCTGCCACCACGCCCAGCTAATTTTTGTATCCTTAGTAGAGACAGGGTCTCGCCATGTAGGCCAGGCTGGTCTGAACTCCTGACCTTGGGTGATCCACCCGCCTCGGCCTCCCAAAGTGCTGGGATTACAGGTATGAGCCACCGTGCCCGGCAATGTATATATTCAAATTCTAACAGCCTGGGACTCCTTGGGAAAAACAGGAGGCACCAGAGACGCCATTTTGGAAAAAAACCTGTTTTCCTCATGGAACCACAGGAATTGGAAATGGATAGATTCCCCTTCAGAAATCTAAGGCTCTGTTCTTTTTGGGATTCAGGATCTGGTATAAAAATGGGACCCTTAATTTTTGGAGACCTGTGTTGCTTTCTGCTGTGCCCACTTATTATATTGGGCCCTAGAAACTGCATGCTTTCCTGGTCCTTTTTGTCCAAGGACTCCACCCTAAAGCCAGTAATCTCAAATAAATAAATAAACACCTAAATCAAATATTTTGAAAGAACAATAAAAACTAATGCCTTTTAGTTCACATAACTTTAGTAATCTTTGGGAAATAAAAAGTTTTAAAGATTATTGGGAAAAATGAAGACATTTAGTCTAAATTAGGCAGGTCAGATATTAGGTTTGTTCGATGCTTTAAGGTCATCAACTGCTTCTTAGGCTTTTGAAAATTGTTCAGTTTACCTACTTGGGAGCATTAGATTCTAGATAAGGCCTGGGAACATGTGGAATTAGCCATGCACTCTATCTATGCAAAGGTTATAAAGAAAAGAGATTTTTTTTTTAATTAACAAAAACCACAGGTGGTTGTGCTCCGCCTACCCAGCACAGCAGGTGAGATGGTGCACCCTCAGTGGACTGAAGAGGCCATGGGATCCCACCTCAGCCGGATAGCACGCTGGCCTTCACCTTCATTGTGCCATGGCAGCTTTCGTGTGAGCCACTGACTCGTGTACATGTTAGACTCCTTGGTCTATAAGAAAGCATCTTGTATGGTAAATTGTTGTTCTAAAGTAAAATAACTGGTTTGTTCAAAAAGGGGATGCTAAGGAGAAGTCAGAAAGTCAAAGCATGTTGTAGATGGTCTGGGAAAGTCGTGAAAGGGTTCGTGAAAGGAAATTTAAGCCACCAAAAGTAAAAGTTGCTAGTTACCATTATAACATATGATTGAAACTACTGAAAAAATAGTTTTACATGGAAAGTGTGTGAGAAGAGTGAAACATGTTTTTGGTAAAATATTTTTAAAAGGCAGGAGAATGTCAAATTTCACCTAGTTGAGAGGGTTATGTGATTTTTAAATTAGATAAGAATAAGCTCACGGTTTGAACAAGTTGTGGAAGGTTTGTAAAAACTAATCTTGCAAAAAAAATTCTGTGTGCAAACACGTTGACTAAATTTAAAGGGGTATTTTCCAGTTTTCCATAAATTAAACATTGAAATGAAAGGACAAACAGGGTTTCTTTTTTTGTTTTTTTGTTGCCCAGGCTATGGGCAACTATGTAGCTAGGCATGTTGGTGCATGCCTGTAATCCCAGCTACTCAGGAAGCTGAGGCAGGAAAATTGCTTGAACCCAAGAGGCAGAGGTTGCAGTGAGCCAAGATCGCACCACTGCATTCCAGCCTGGGTGACAGAGCAAGACCCTATCTCGAAAAAAAAGAAAAAAGAAAAGCAATAGCTCCCTGGGTGTCAGGTATCAGTGAGAATGGGAAGTCAGGTCTTCTCTGACTCCTAGGACATTCCTCTCTCTGTCTTTGGGGGTTGAATTCCTTGTTAGAACTCCATCTTGTTAAAGGGGCCTCGCACCTGCCCTTGCCTTCTGCAGCAGCCCTCCTTAATCCTCTCCAAACTTCCATCTCCAGACCACCGGATTCTCCTCATGAGTGCCCTGGGTGGACATTGGTGAAAGGTCACTGCCTTCAGGACACACCATAGGTACAGTCACCGAGGTAACCCAGTTCAAAGAAGAGCAGGATGTTCAGTATTTACAAAGGGATCTAGCAATTGGTCCAAACCAGTCAGTGCTGGCATGCACCGTTCATCGTGCCATCAGTGGCAAGATGGAGATCTGGCAATGCATGGCTCACAGTAAGATACACGCCCTGTGCCATTCCACCCTATCATTAGAAAAGGAGTCTTCTTTTTCTTTCTTTCTTTCTTTTTTTTTTTTTTTTGGAGACAGGGTCTCACTCTGTTGCCCAGGTTGTAGTGTAATGGTGCAATCTTGGCTCACTGCAGCCTCTGCCTCCTGGGGTCAAGTGATCCTCTCACCTCAGCCTCCTGAGTGGCTGAGATCACAGATGCCAGCCACCACGCCTGGCTAATATTTTTGTTTGTTTGTGTTATGTTTTTTGAGACTGAGTCTTGCTCTGTTGCACAGGCTGGAGTGCAATGGCGCAATCTCGGCTCACTGCAACCTCCACCTCCCTGGTACAAGCAATTCTCCTGTCTCAGCCTCTCAAGTAGCTGGGATTACAGGCGCCTGCCACTACGCCCGCCTAATTTTTGTATTTTTAGTAGAGACGAGGTTTTGCCATGTTGGCCAGGAATGGCCAGACCTCAAATGATCTGCCCGCCTAGGCTTCCCAAAGCGCTGGGATTACAGGTGTGAGCCACTGCACCCAGCCAATTTTTGTATTTTTTTTTTTTTTTTTTTTTGTAGAGACAGGGTTTTGCCGTGTTGCCCAGGCTGATCTCGAACTCCTGACCTCAGGTGATCACCTTCCTTGGCCTCCCAAAGTGTTGGGATTACAGGTGGGAGCCACCATGTCCAGCCGCTTTTTCTTTTTAAAAAAAATTTTTTTTGACATAACAGACAACACCACTCTCTTTTATTTTTTTATAGAGACGGGGTCTCATTATGTTGACCAGTCTGGTCTTTTTAAATTTTATTTTTTTGAGATGGAGTCTCACTCTGTTGCCCAGGCTGGAGTGTAGTGGCGGGATCTTGGCTCACTGCAACGTCTGTACCCCAGATTCAAGTGAGTCTCCTGCCTCAGGCTTCCAAGTAGCTGGGATTACAGGCTCATGCCACATCGCTGGCTAATTTTTTTTTTTTGTATGTTTTTAAATTTTATCTTTTAAGTAGAGACAGGGTTTCCCCATGTTGGCCAGGCTGGTCCTGAACTCCTGACTTCAGGTGATCCACCCTCCTCAACCTCCCAAAGTGCTGGGATTACAGGCATGAGCCACCATACCCAGCCTTCCTGCTATTTTTGAACTACCTGTACCAGGCTGGTTTCTCTGGGTGAGGGGAGTGGTCAGGCAGAGGCAGGCCCCGTCATGGTAAGCAGCTAGGAGACTGCTAGAGATTGACAGGGCACTCATGAGTGCCCTGGGTGGACACTGGTGAAAGGTCACTGCCTTCAGGACACACCATAGGTACAGTCACCAAGGTAACCCAGTTCAAAGTAGAGCAGGATGTTGGGTATTTACAAAGGAGATCTAGCAATTGGTCCAAACCAGTCAGTGCTGGCATGTACCGTTCATCGTGCCATCAGTGGCAAGATGGAGATCTGGCAATGCATGGGCTCACAGTAAGATACACGCCCTGTGCCATTCCGTAGACGTAGATCAAGCGATTATTACTGCAGAAATCTCCGTGGACGTAGAGCAAGCAATTATTACTGCAGAAATTGCAGGAGCAGGTTCTGCAGCATGTCACATCCAAAGAAGCTTCCCTTGCAAGTTGGTAACCTTGAGGGCTTCAATACCACACAGAGTTGGTCTAGGTGATGGCTGACCATCCAGGCATAATAATTTGGGGAACAATTCCAGGATGGAGGTTATGTTGCTAGACTTGTTTGTCCGGGAAAGTGGTAGACAGGAAGTTCCTGTCTGCACACGTCTCCTGGCTCCAGCCCTTTCCCCTGTCCATCTGTCCTACAGACTCCGCCTCAGGCATGTTGTCTTGGAGGACGTGCAGAAAGGCAGCCATGCACTTTCTAGGTTTCGATGCCGTCTTAGAGTCACTGGTCACCAGGTCTGGGTCAAACGGGAGTCTCTGGCTGTCAAGACTGGACTGGGAGGAATCACATCGCTTCTTCACCATCAGCTTTATCTGCTTTGCCTTTTCCGACTTCAGCTTTCTCTGCAGGGGGTATCAGTGGGGTTGACAAAGATTGACATCTTTTTGTTATCCTCATCCCTAATCTTGCCACTGACATTCTTCAGTGCCTAGGCGATGCTGGCATTCTCCACAAAGATGTGGGCCTGCATTTTCTCATAGCGAAACTGAATCAGGAGGAAGGGGCATTGCATTGACTCTGAATCAAATTCAGCAGCCACTTCTCATTTTATGCAGATCTTGAACTAGCAGCTCCCTAAGGTCCGATCTGGCCTGTTTCCCTCTGTTCTTTTCTCTGGAGGTTTTTGGCGCTTTCTCTGTGTTAACATGGGTTTGGTCTTGTTTATGGCAAGTGCCTCTCCATGGCTGGGTGCGGTGGCTCACGCCTGTAATCGCAGCACTTTGGGAGGCCAAGGCTGGCGAATCACCAGAGGTCAGTTCGAGACCAGCCTAGCCAACATGGCGAAACCCCGTCTCTACTAAAAATATAAAAAAATTAGCCAGGTATGGTGGCGGGCGCCTGTGGTCCCAGCTACTCAGGAGGCTGAGGCAGGAGAATCGCTTGAACCCGGGAGGCGGAGGTTGCAGTGAGCTGAAATTGTGCCATTGCACTCCAGCTTGGGTGACAGAGTGAGACTCTGTTTAAAAAAAAAAAAAGTAAGTAAATAAATAAATGTTGATATTATGTAGCCATGTTATGTAGTTTTGCATAGCCTTTCTCTGTCTTATAGCTATGAAAGACAATTTCCAAAACATAGCCTAGAATGGAGAATTGAAGATAAAGTGAGAACTGTTGGGCATAGTAACCTAAAAAGGGATCCCCTCTGGTGTGGAAAGATTGTTCCAACGCAAAAGGGACTGAGATCCAGAGATGGCAGTTGTTTGAGATCTGGAATCTTCAGAAGAGGTAGATCAGACTTGCTCAGGAAATAATGGGTCCTACCATCACAGCGGGTACGGATGGGGCTACAAGATGAGAGAGGCTGGATAGGAGAGTATTTAAGGAAAAAAAAAAGACAGAAAAGGACCAAAGGACAGTCTGTGAGACCCCAGAGAATGCATTAAACCTGAAGAATTTCTGAACAATGACGTCTGATATTCAGGCTTCCGTTGTTTCTTTTTGTGCTGTAATCTTCCGTGTTTTCTCTGCACATAGCTCAGTAAAGCTCTATTCACCAGTTAACCTAGAGTCTGTCTTGAGATAAGCAGGGAGGGCTGTGACGGCTGCACAAGGGCGGAGTGGTTTGTAGACCTGAAAAGGAACTTGTAAGAGCTGGCAGATCTTAACCAGGAGAGGGAGCCCCTTTCCACAGCCTAGAAGCTTCTGAAGTCATTTAAATGGAACTGAATTATATGAAGTCAAATGTCAGTTGGGGAAAAAGTCAAACTTTATTATTTATTTATTTATTTGTAATTGTGCGTATACATATATATATATATATATATATATATATATATATATATATATATAATTTTTTTTAAATTATGATCTCCGTGATAGTACCAAATCAAACTTTTTTTGGAGACAGAGTCTTGCTCTGTCACCCAGGCTGGAGTGCAGTGGCGTGATCTCGGCTCACTGCAACCTCCGCCTCCCAGGTTCAAGCAATTCTCCTGCCTCAGCCTCCTGAAGAGCTGGGATTACAGGCGCGTGCCACCATGCCCGGCTAATTTTTGTATTTTTAGTAGAGATAGGGTTTCACCATGTTGGCCAGGCTGGTCTTGAACTCCTGACCTCAGGTGATCCACCCGCCTTGGCCTCCTAAAGTGTTGGAATTACTGGCATGAGCGACCACGCTGGCCCAAACCCTGCTTTTTACTGGAGAGACGAGGTAGCCCTAAGTTAAAAAAAAAAAAAAAAAGACCCTGTTTCACTTCTTTTGGATATACCCGGGGTGACATTGCTAGATCATTCTGCAATTCCTCCTTTTTTTTTTTTTTTTTTTTGCTGGGGGTGGGATAGAGTCTCACTCCCAGGCTGGAGTGCAATGGTGTGATCTTGGCTCACTGCAACCTCCGCCTCCTGGGCTCAAACGACTCTCCTGCAGTGAGGAGCTGGGATTACAGGTGCCTGCCACCACAACCTGCTAATTTTTTTTTTATTTTTTGTATTTTTAGTACAGACGGGGTTTCACTATGTTGGCCAGGCTGGTCTTGAACTCCTGACCCCGTGATCCGCCCGCCACAGCCTCTCAAAGTGCTGGGATGACAGGCATGAGCCTCCGCGCCCAGTAGATCATTCTGTAATTCTGTGTTTAACTTTTTCCCCCCTAAACTTAACTGAAGTGATATTTAACTTTCTGAGGAATCACCAAATCAAAGGTGACTTTTGAGACAAATACAGGAAGTGGAGGTGGTTTTCCTCATGTAGATGAAGACATTCTAAACCCAGAACTGAAAACACACATGGAATCCTTTTAAGTATCAGGATGCCTTGGTGGACAAAATGGATACATCCAACTTCTCAAGGAGCTTAATATTCAGTATTAAAGCTGAGGTGAGCTCAGGTGATTCACGCCTGTAATCCCAACATTTTGGGAGGCCAAGGCAGGCGGATCACTTGAGCCCAGGAGTTTAAGACCAGCCTGGGCAACATAGTGAGACCCCTCCCCCCTGCCCCCGTCTCTACAAAAAATAAAAAAATTACAGACGCATGGTGTAGTCCCAGCTACTTGGCAGTCAAAGGTAGAAGGACTGTTTGAACCCAGGAGTGGGTTGAAGCTGCAGTGAGCCTTGATTGTACCAGTAAACTTTAGCTTGGGAGGCAGTTGAGACCCTGTCTCAAAAAAAAAAAGAAAGGAAGAATTTCTCTCTCCCAACTTCCCTTGGTTTCTCCTCGCCCCCCGGCTAAAAAGTGATTGGGGACCTTTTAAAAAACTTCCTGCTCTCCACAGAATGGGATTACAGCCCCGAGATGATCCATAAAAGATTTTCAGGAAGAATGAAGAGTTTAGGGAGTGAAGGTTCTAAAACAGTAAATAGAGTGTCACAAAGAAATCCATTCATCTCTTTGAAGGCTGGGTATTTGGAAAAAGAGAGAAAGAAAGCTTCATTCAGAGAGCGCTCGCCTGTATTTAGGGGTGTTTGGAGGGGGCGGGGTGACTATAGAATTAGGGTAAAGTTCAGTGTCTTGCAAATCAGCCCTGAAATAGCCCTGATCCCTGCAGGCCTGTCTGGTTTCCCAAACCCTCCACTAGCTTTCAAATTTGCATTAAAAAGCTTTTGGCTTGTTCATTCTGTTCTTTCTTTCTTTTCTTTCTTTTATTTATTTATTTTTTTTGAGACGGAGTCTGGCACTGTCACCCAGACTGGAGTGCAATGGCGCGATCTCCGCTCACTGCAGCCTCTACCTCCCGGGTTCAAGCAATTCTCCTGCCTCAGCCTCCCGAGTAGCTGGGATTACAGGCGCCCACCGCCACACCTGGCTTATTTTTTTAATTTTTAATAGAGATGGGGTTTCTCCATGTTGGCCAAGCTGTTCTCAAACTTCTGACCTGGTGATCCACCTGCCTCAGCCTCCCAAAGTGCTGGGATTACAGGCGTGAGCCACTGCGCCAGGCCCTCATTCTGTTACTTCTTTCTTTCTTTTTTCATTAATTTAAGTTCTGGGATACACATGCGGGATGTGCAGGTTTGCTACATAGGTAAATGCGTGCCGTGGTGGTTTGCTGAACCTATTGACCTAGGTATTAAGCCTCACAGCCATTAGCTATTTGTCCTGATGCCCTTCTGCCTCCTGCCCATTCTTTGTTATTTCTTCATATTCCAATTAATGTTCATTTTGAGGACCTGGCTCTGGCCAGGCAAGGTTCCAGTCTGGAGTCAAACTGAGGAAAGTATTACCTTTCACAAACACTTAGACCACGTTGGGAGGGGAGAATGATTGTCCTCCACATGCGTATGGGTGTGTTATAAACCCCAGGAAGGTAAATACTAAGCAAAGGCGTGCACAGATAATTATTGCAACTGATGATTCCACGTCAATTGTACTGTACTGTGAGTAGGTTTATAGGCTGCCGTGACAGGGGCCATCACCTGGGTACGAGGGTGCTGGCTTCCTCTTGAAGACGTGACTTTAAAATTGTGAGTTGAATAGATGCAAGGATATTGGCCCAGTGGAGGAACTTTGAGGGGAGGGGGCAGGGTATCCTGGTTGGGAGGAAATTACATACAGAAATTGGGGAGTGGTGACAACATTGACTCTTCCAGTAATTGTCTGGGTGTGGTAACTCAGGACTGTAATCCCAGCACTTTGGGAGGCTGAGATGGGAGGATTGCTTGAGCTTGGGAGTTCCAGATCAGCCTAGGTAACACGAGGAGATCTAAAATTGAAAAAAAACGTAGCTGGGTGTGGTGGCTCATTCCTATAATCCCAACAACTTTGACTCAGGAGGCTGAAGTGGGAGGATCCCTTAAGGTCAGGAGGTTGAGGCTGAAGTGAGCTAGCACTTTGGGAGGCCGAGGTATGTGGATTACTTGAGGCCAGGAGTTCGAGACCAGGCTGGCTAACATGGTGAAACCCCATCTCTACTAAAAATAAAAAAATTAGCCAGGCATGGTGGTGCGCGCCTGTAATCCCAGTGACTCGGGAGGCTGAGGCAGGTGAATCACTTGACCCCTGGAGGCAGAGGCTGCAGTGAGCCAAGATCATACCACTGCACTCTAGCCTGGACAACCAGAGTGAAACTCTGTCTCAAAAAAACAATAATAATTTTAAAAAAATTTTTTAAATAAAAAAATTAACAAATGACCCGCACATCTGGGGTGAAGTAAGACGAGGCTGGCAGCATAGCTCTGTCACCTGTGGTTAGGATTAATTAAGCTCAGCTTTAAAGGCTGGATCTTGGCCTCCTGGGTTTTAATTTTGACTTCTCCACTTCTCAGCCATGTTTTGTTTTGTTTTGTTTGCTTGAGGAGGGACAAATCAGGCCAGCATTGAGCCTCTTTCCCCCGTGTGTCAACTGAGATTGATAATTACAAGATTAAATGATGCTTGTCTGTGATTTTAGCATCTGTTCAGCCCATCATTCATTTCAAGAGTATTGACTGGGCTTCAGGGTAGGTTCCATGTTAGTACTGGGGACGCCGTGGGTGGGAGGGAGACTGGGTCTCCACCCTCCTAGAGTTATAGTCTAGGCCTGCGGTTAAGCAGATTTTTGTGCAGGAATCAAACCCACTACACTACCTGTCAGAAATCAAGCCCTGTTCCAGGCACTGGGAAACTCAGAATTTAAAGGGGATGTACCAGGTCTCTGTCCTTGCGGAGCATTATCGATCAGTAGAAGAGAGAAAATAAACAAGCAAACACCTGAGACAATTGTAATAGCAATAATGTGATATCAATAAAATGAAACAGAGCAACAGAAATAGGGTAGATGGGCCGGGCGCGGTGGCTCACCCCTGTAATCCCAGCACTTTGGGAGGCCGAGGTGGGCGGATCACGAGGTCAGGAGATCGAGACCATCCTGGCTAACACGGTGAAACCCCGTCTCTACTAAAAATACAAAACATTAGCCGGGCGTGGTGGCGGGCGCCCGTAGTCCCAGCTACTCGGGAGGCTGAGGCAGGAGAATGGCGTGAAGCCGGGAGGCGGAGCTTGCAGTGAGCCGAGATGGCGCCACTGCACTCAAGCCTGGGCAACAGAGTGAGACTGTCTCAACAAAAAAAGAAAAGAAAAGAAACAGAGTAGATGGTCTTAGAAATGACAAGGAATCCCAATGAGAGGTTCTACCTGGGACAAAATAGAAAAATGGGAAATCATAATAAGCTCTGGAATTGGGGCAGTGGTATTGTTTATTTCCTAGTTGTGGCAAATCTAATGTAAAATATGGACATTAAAGAAAACTGGGTGGAGAACATAGAGAACTTTCTGTACTTTTTGCAACTTTTCTGTAAGTCTAAATTTATTCGAAGGCCGGGCGCAGAGGCTCCTGCCTGTAATCCCAAAACGTTAGGAGGCTGAAGCAGGTAGATCACTTGAGCTTGGTAGTTTGAGACCAGCCTGGGCAAAAAAGTGAGACTTCATCTCCATTAAAAATTTAAAAAATTAGCTGGCTTTGCTGGTGAGCACCTGCACCAGACTGGTTAGCCTGGGCAGCATAGTGAGACCCCGTTTCTATAAATAAGATAAAAATCAGCTGGGTGCCAGGCGTGATGGCTCATGCCTGTAATCCCAGTGCTTCGGGAGGCCGAGGGGGGCGGATCACCTGAGGTCGAGAGTTTGAGACCAGCCTGACCAACATGGAGAAACCCCGTCTCTACTAAAAGTACAAAAATTAGCTGGGCGTGGTGGCACGCGCCTGTAATTCCAGGTACTAGGGAGGCTGAGGCAGGAGAATCACTTGAACCTGGGAGGCGGAGGTTGCAGTGAGCTGAGATCACTCCACTGCCCCCCAGCATGGCTACAGAGCAAGACTCCGTAGCGGGATATTGCATGCATGTAATCCCAGCTACTCTGGAGACTGAGGCAGGAGAATCATTTGAACCTGGGGGGCGGAGGTCACAGTGAGCCAAGATCATGCTATTCCAGCCTGGGTGACAGAGTGAGACTACCTCTCAAAAAAAAAAAAAAGAAAAAGAAAAAGAAAAAGAAATGCATTTACAGAAGCTAGGAAAATCAAATTCAGGGAGGAGGCTGGAGGGCAAAGAGTGGGTGTGGCCAGACTTTAATCCATTCTCCATCTGTGGGGTGGTCCCTAGGGTATAAAAGAGCTCCAGGGCCCCTGCCCTGCCTTTCATCCTCAGGATGGGAAGTCCTCACAGAGTTCAGTAAGTATTGGCTTCCCATGGTGTTTCTGCACTTCCCCCGGGGTCATATGAGCCTCACATTTAGGTTGTAAGACTCCCCCTAAAATCTCCAACACTGAGTCCTCTCTATTTGTAGTCATGACTCCGACACCTTGATTCTCTGCCCCTAATACTCTTTTTTTTTTTTTGAGACGGAGTTTCACTCTTGTTGCCCAGGCTGCAGTGCAGTGGTGTGATCTTGGCTCACTGCAACCTCTGCCTCCCGGATTCAAGCAATTCTCCTGCCTCAGCCTCCCGAGTAGCTGGGATTACAGGCATGCACCACCATGCCCAGTTGATTGTTTTTGTATTTTTAGTAGAGGTGGGGTTTCACCATGTTGGCCAGGTCTCAGACTCCAAGCCTCGAGTCATCCGCCCTCTTCAGCCTCCCAAAGTGCTGGGTTTACAGGTGTGAGCCACCATTCCTGGACCGCATTATTGATTTTTTAAAATTTTTGGATTTTGTTCAATTAGTGATTGAGTCTCACTGTGTTGCCCAGATGGGCTTGTCTCCCAGGCTGGAGTGCAGTGGTGAGATCGTGACTCACAGTAGCCTCAACCTCCCTCACCCCAGCGTCCCGTGTAGTTGGGATGGCAGGCATACAGGACCATGCTTAGCTAATTTTTTTTTTTTTTTGTAGGGTTGGGGTCTCCCACCATTGTCTAGGCTGGTCATCAACACCTGGGCACAAACATCCTCTCACCCCGGCCTCTGAGCCACTGCACCCAGTAGGTTTTAGGTTCATTTTATTTTTTATTTAGGTGTCCACAAAGGCAGCTTTTTCCTTTTCTTTATTTTTTAAAGAGACAGGGTCTCACTCTGTTGCCCAGGGTGGAGTGCAGTGGCCAGATCTTGGCTCTCTGCAACCTCTGCCTTCCAGACTCAAGTGATCCACCTTCGTCTCCAGAGTAGCTGGGACTATAGGTGTGCACAAACACACCCAGCTGAGTTTTAAATCTTTTGTAGAGAAGGGGGCCTCAGTATGTTTCCCAGGCTGGTTTTGAAGTCCTGTGCTCAAGCAATCCTTCTGCCTTGGCTTCCCAAACTGCTAGGATTACAGGTGAGCCACCACACCGGGCCTGTCCACGTAATTTAAAAGGTGCTGGACGTGTGCGGTGGCTCACGTCTGTAATCCCAGCACTTTGGGAGGCTGAGGTGGGCGGATCACGAGGTCAGGAGTTCGAGACCAGCCTGGCCAATATGGTGAAACCCTGTCTCTACTAAAAATACAAAAATTAGCCAGGTGTGGTGGCAGGCGCCTGTAATCCCAGCTTCTCAGGAGGCTGAGGCAGGAGAATTGCTTGAACCCAGGAGGCGGAGGCTGCAGTGAGCTGATGATCGCTCCATGGCACTCCAGCCTGGGCAACAGAGCAAGACTAAGAAAAAAAAAGAAAGAAAAAGAAAAAGAAAACAAAGTAATGTAAAAGGTGTTATTCAGGCTGGGGACCCCCAAAGTGCTGGGATTACAGGCATGAGCCCCAGGGCAGGCCTAGGATTTGCATTACAAGGCTCTGCATTGTTCCTGAGAACTGGAGAGAGTGCTCAATCTACCTTTCGCTATTGAGCAACATTCAGAAGTCAGTTTTAAATCTCTTATCTTCTGCATAGAGGATGTGCCTGCAGTTTCCAGGTACTGGACAATACAGGGAGGGTACTTCTCAGTCTGTGGCACTCAGCCTTGAGGGCACTTTCTGGTGCCAGAATGAAAGTGCTGTCATAGCTGAGGTCCAATGACTGAGGCGAGCACCGAAGAAACACCATGGGGGGGAGGGGGGGCGGGGGGCTCCAGGAGCCACTGCAGGTAAAAGCTAAACCGTGGTGCTTGTTCTGCGCCATAAACTGGACTTCAGCCCAGCTTTAAGGAAATGACCACGGTCTCTGGGTTGTGAGGCTGGGTTCCGTAGCAGCTATAATGCTTGGATTCAGGGATAGCCTGGGTCACACCATTGCCAGAGAAGAGGCAACCAATCCAGACCCCAAAAGCGGGTTCTTGGATCTCTTGCTGGAAAGAATTTCGAGGCAAGTCACAACACAGCGAAAGAAGCAAGCTGAGGCCTGGGCTCAATCCTCCTGCTTCGTCCTCCCAAAGTGCTGGGATTACACGCATGATCCCCTGTGCCCTGCCAATATTTGGTAATTATAACTGGTGGTCAGCTTACAATGTGGCTATTTCCAGACCATAAGTACCAACTCTATAGGTGCCTTGTGAGTGAGTGCCTTGCTACTTCAAGCAGTTACTTTCGTGTGTTATTAAACCAGAGGCCTGCTAAGCCTCTGTGCCTAGTAAAGATTACAATTTGGAATGTCAGCCCCCAGCTGTCCTGTGTGATTGGCAGGTTAGGTCCTTGTTGAACCAGAAGCAACTGGCCAGTCGTACAGATGCAACTTTCGGACCAGTAGAAAATTTCTATGTCAACCTGGAGACATAGGGATTGTACCTTTCTGATACCCTATTAGTAAATAAATAGTATTTATTTATAAATTATGTATAATAGTATTTATCTGAATATATCCCAAGCAGCCCAAGTGTGTTCCAGACATAACATTTTTATTTACATTTAAATATCACTAAGATTAGAGATACACATCTAACTCAGGTTTTCAACTAGTCTTACCATTGAAAGAACTATTGTGGCAGGACGCAGTGGCGCACGCCTATTATCCTAGCACTTTGGGAGGCCGAGGAGGGCGGATCACAAGGCCAGGAGTTCGAGACCAGCCTGGCCAGCATGGTGAAACCCCATCTCTACTAAAAATACAAAAAAATTAGCTGGGCATGATGGCACAGGCTTGCAGTCCCAGCTACTCGGTAGGCTGAGGCAGGAGAACTGCTTGAACCCGGCAGACGGAGGTTGCAGTGAGCCGAGATCGCGCCACCGAACTCCAGTCTGGGCAACAGAGCAAGACGCTTGTCTTAAAAAAGAGAGAGAAAGAACTACTTGTTCTCTGTAAGCCATGCTGGTTTAGCCAAAATGCTGCAGTTGTGTATGGCCAGGGACGTTGAGGCTGCAGTGAGCCGACGGCTGTGTTGCCGCTCTGCAGTCTGGGGGACAGAGCAAGAACCTGTCTCAAAAAAACAAGAAGTTAGTGAGACAGACATGCCGTTCTGTTACTTTTCCCCTTGCTGGTTCAAAGCTAGGTAGTTGCCAATTAAATGTAATCTTGTAGAGCAAAAATGTTTTTCATTTTTTGAGACAGGATCTCACTCTATTGCCCAGCCTGGAGTGCAGTTGTGGGAACTCACAGCAACCTCCACCTCCTGGGTTTAGGCAGTTCTTCTGCATCAGTCTCCCGAGTAGCTGAGACTACACCGGTGCCCAGAGGGCAGTGGCCAGATCTTGGCTCTCTGCAACCTCTGCCTTCCAGATTCAAGTGAGCCACCTCCGCCTCCTGAGTAGCTGGGACTATAAGTACGTACCACCATACCCAGTTAATTTTTGCATTTTTTGTAGATAAGGGGGCTAAGTATGTTTCCCAGGCTGGTTTCGAAGTCCTGTGCTCAAGCAATCCTTCTGCCTTGGCTTCCCAAACTGCTAGGATTACAGGTGAGCCACCACACCGGGCCTGTCCACGTAATTTAAAAGGTGCTGGACGTGTGCGGTGGCTCACGTCTGTAATCCCAGCACTTTGGGAGGCTGAGGTGGGCGGATCATGAGGTCGGGAGTTCGAGACCAGCCTGGCCAATATGGTGAAACCCTGTCTCTACTAAAAATACAAAAATTAGCCAGGTGTGGTGGCAGGCGCCTGTAATCCCAGTTTCTCAGGAGGCTGAGGCAGGAGAATTGCTTGAACCCAGGAGGCGGAGGCTGCAGTGAGCTGATGATCGCGCCATGGCACTCCAGCCTGGGCAACAGAGCAAGACTAAGAAAAAAAAAAGAGAAAAAGAAAAAGAAAACAAAGTAATTTAAAAGGTGTTATTCAGGCTGGGGATCCCCAAAGTGCTGGGATTACAGGCATGAGCCCCAGGGCAGGCCTAGGATTTGCATTACAAGGCTCTGCATTGTTCCTGAGAACTGGAGAGAATGCTCAATCTACCTTTCACTATTGAGCAACATTCAGAAGTCAGTTTTAAATCTCTTATCTTCTGCATAGAGGATGTGCCTGCAGTTTCCAGGTACTGGACAATACAGGGAGGGTACTTCTCAGTCTGTGGCACTCAGCCTTGAGGGCACTTTCTGGTGCCAGAATGAAAGTGCTGTCATAGCTGAGGTCCAATGACTGAGGCGAGCACCGAAAAAACACCATGGGGGGGAGGGGGGGCGGGGGGCTCCAGGAGCCACTGCAGGTAAAAGCTAAACCGTGGTGCTTGTTCTGCGCCATAAACTGGACTTCAGCCCAGCTTTAAGGAAATGACCAGGGTCTCTGGGTTGTGAGGCTGGGTTCCGTAGCAGCTATAATGCTTGGATTCAGGGATAGCCTGGGTCACACCATTGCCAGAGAAGAGGCAACCAATCCAGACCCCAAAAGCGGGTTCTTGGATCTCTTGCTGGAAAGAATTTCGAGGCAAGTCACAACACAATGAAAGAAGCAAGCTGAGGCCGGGCGCGGTGGCTCACGCCTGTAATCCCAGCACTTTGGGAGGCTGAGGTGGATGGATCACCTGAGATCACTATTTTTCTTTTTATTTTCTGAGATGGAGTTTCACTCTTGTTGCCCAGGCTAGAGTGCAATGGCACGATCTCGGCTCACAGCAACCTCTGCCTCCCGGGTTCAAGCCATTCTCCTGCCTCAGCCTCCGGAGTAGCTGGGATTACTGGCATGCGCCACCACGCCCAGCTAATTTTGTATTTTTAGTAGAGACGGGGTTTCTCCATGTTGGTCAGACTGGTCTCCAACTCCCAACCTCAGGTGATCCGCCCGTCTCGGCCTCACAAAGTGCTAGGATTACAGGCGTGAGCCACCGCACCCAGCCTGTTTTCTGCATTTTTAGTAGAGACAGAGTTTCACTATGTTGGCCAGGCTGGTCTCAAACTCCCGACCTTGTGATCTGCCCGCCTCGGATTCCCAAAGTGCTGGGATTACAGGCGTGAGCCACCGCGCCCGGCCTTATTTTTCTTTTTTTTTTTTTGAGACAGGATCCCACTCTATTGCCCAGCCTGGAGTGCAGTGCAGTGATCTCAGCTCACTGCAACCTCTGCCTCCCGGGTTCAAGCAATTCTCCTGCATCAGCCGCCCAAGTAGCTGAGATTACAGCCGTGCCTGGCTTATGTTTTGTGTTTTTAGTGGAGATGGGGTGCCACCATGCTGGCCAGGCTGGTCTTAAACTCCTGACCTCAGTTGATCCTCCCACCTCAGTCTCCCAAAGTGCTGGGATTACAGGTGTGAGCCACCGCGCCCAGCAAGCATAAGATTTTTTGACACATGGAGGATCACTTGCTGGATGTGCACTGAGAAGTAATGTGCCCATTTCCCAGCCACACTCTCCCAAAGGCTTTTACAGGCGCTGTCCCCGTGAGGTGGTAGAACAGAATGTCAGAATTCAACACATTCCAACACTGTCTTCTGTTGAGCTGTAGGAGGACTGCCTGTGGAGGGACATGGGTTCTATGCTACCTTGCAGGTTTTCCCTGGGGCTTGTGATCACTGTCTCCTTGGTGACATGCAATCTGGGAGTGCTTTCTGGAGTCTGATAAGAACATACTGGCACATTGCCTGTGACGTGTGGGACCCAGGCATTTTCAGTGCTGAGGTGAGTCCTTGATTGTAACTGATGGGGACTGGTATCTTAACTCCAGGTTACTGAAGACTAGGAATTTCTTGCCTTACAGTAAAATTGCAAAGAAGAGTAGCATAAGAGGTAGATCAGAAGACTGCAGAATAGATTAACAAATGAATGCCCAAATGAGGATGCTAAACTTGGATTTGCATCAAGAAGACAGATATTGGTCGGGCGTGGTGGCTCACGCCTGTAATCCCAGCACTTTGGGAGGCTGAGGCGGGTGGATCATCCTGGCTAACACGGTGAAACCCCGTCTCTACTAAAAAAATACAAAAAAATTAGCCGGGCGTGGTGGCAGGCGCCTGTAGTCCCAGCTGCTGGGGAGGCTGAGGCAGGAGAATGGCATGAACCCAGGAGGCGGAGCTTGTAGTGAGCCGAGATCGTGCCACTGCACTTCACCCTGGGCGACAGAGCGAGACTCTGTCTCAAAAAAAAAAAGGACAGGTATTAGGATAGTTTTGAAGCCCACTTGCTCCTATCATGGCATTGAAGCATCAGTTTGCTGCCAATCACTCCTTCTTCTGTGTTCATAGACAGGACTGTGGAAATGTACACTTGGATTCTTTCACAGGTAATGCTGAGAAATTTAAAACCAAAAACGGCCGGGTGCCGTGGCTCCTGCCTGTAATTCTAGCACTTTGGGAGGCTGAGGCGGGCGGATCACAAGGTCAGGAGTTCGAGAGCAGCCTGGCCAATATGGTGAAACCCCATCTCCACTAAAAATACAAAAATTAGCCTGGCATAGTGGCGGGCCCCTGAAGTCCCAGCTACTCAGGAGACTGAGTAGACGAGGAGAATGGCTTGAACATGGGGTGCAGAGGTTGCAGTGAGCTGAGATCGCACCGCTGCACTCCAGCCTGGGCAACAAGAGTGAAACTCTGTCTCAAAAAAAAAAAAAAATTTGAAATTAAAGTGTATGATTAGAGTGCATGATTGGTTCTGACTGGATGTGTAACATGTGCATAGCCTTCTCATAAATCAAAGGTTTTTATGTGAAACCTACCACTAGTGATGTAACTGAATTTGTGTAAATGCTGGTGTGTCTGCCTTTTCCTAGCAACTCCCTGGGCAGCCTGAGGATTCTTTGAGGTTATTTTTTTTCAAGATCTGGCTGGGAGCTTCTGCATGAGTGCTGTGTGAACGTCCTCCATCTGCAGTGTGAGGACAGCGAACCCTAGTGTGAGTTAACCACGTAGGAAGAGTTTGAAGTCAGACATGACATTCAGACTGAGGTCCTCAAAACTGAGGGGCATTTTCTGTGGTTTGAAAGGAAAGTGCACCCAGTTTTGGGGATGTCAATTGTGAATCCTCATCATAACCCATCCCCAGTCCCCCATCGCATTGCACCACATGGATGCACCCAGTGGACTGGCCTTTGCTTTTCTATTGTTTCTTTTTCTCTCCACTGCAATCAGCTTTCTCACGTTGAATGCATTCCATTTTCTAAGCGCTCTCCTAGGCAAAAATCCCTCTAATGCAAAGCAAAAATGTCTGTTATGCAACATTGTTCTGAGACCCCAGGAATTGCAGTTAACTTGGCTCCTTAGTATGTGCTTCCTAAGGCGGGTGGGGTGGCTCGCGCCTGTAGTCCCAGCACTTTGGGAGGCAGGCGAGGCACTTGAAACCCTGTCTCTACTAAAAATACAAAAATTAGCTGGACATGGTGGCATGTGCCTGTAATCCCAGCTACTTGGGAGGTGCAGACAGGAGCATCGCTTGAACCCAGGAGGCAGAGGTTGCAGTGAGCCAAGATAATGGCACTGTACTGCAACCTGGGTGACAGAGCGAGACTCAAAAAAAAAAAAAAGTGCTTCCTGTGAAGGTTTCCTTTCCCTTCTGCCCCCCATACCAGTCCATCTATTTAGTAGATGTCCTGGTTTCTACCCAGGATATCATGGACCAGGGGTTCTGTCTTCCAGCCTTGAGTACAATGGTGCGACTATAGCTCACTGCAGTCTCAACCTCCTGGGCTCAAGTGATCATCCTGCCTCAGCCTCCAAGTAGCTGGTATTACAGATGCACGTGCCCCCATTCCCAGAGGTTCTTAAATTTATGACAAAAACCCAGAAGCTTGGCTGAAGCAGCTTGTTGGGGCCCACCCACAGATTTTGTTTGGTGCCATAGACCTGGGTTGGGATCTGGGGAGCCATTTTTCTTAGTCTCAATGTAAATGTCTAAGCATTTTCTTTTTTTCTTTCTTTTTTTTTTTTTGAGACAGGGTTTCGCTCTTGTTGCCTAAACTGGAGTGCAGTGGCACAATCTCGGCTCACTGCAACCTCTGCCTCCTGGGTTCAAGTGATTCTCCTGCCTCAGCCTCCCAAGTAGCTGGGATTACAGGTGTGCACCACCATGCCCGGCTAATTTTTTTTTATTTTTTTATTTTTTTTATTTTTTGAGATGGAGTCTTGCTCTGTTGCCCAGGCTGGAGTGCAGTGGTGTGATCTCGGATCACTGCAAGCTCCGCCTCCTTGATTCATGCCATTCTCCTGCCTCAGCCTCCCGACTAGCTGGGACTACAGGTGCCCGCCACCACGCCCAGCTAATTTTTTTGTATTTTTAGTAGAGACGGGGTTTCACTGTGTTAGCCAGGGTGGTCTCGGTCTCCTGATCTCGTGATCTGCCTGCCTCGGCCTCCCAAAGTGCTGGGATTACAGGCTTGAGTCACTGCCCCTGGCCAATTTTTTGTATTTTTAGTAGAAATGGAGTTTCACCATGTTTCCTGCCTATCTCTCTATGTATTTAGACAGGGTCTCACTATGTTGCCCAGGTTGGTCTCAAACTCCTGGACTCAAGCAATCCTCCTGCCTCCACCTTCCAAAGTGCTGGGACTACAGGCTTGAGCCATCCTGCCTGACCATTTGAGAGTTTTTTTTTTTTGAGATGGAGTCTCTCTCTGTCACCCATGCTGTAGTGCAGTAGTGTGATCTTGCCTCACTGCGACCTCTGCCTCCCGGGTTCAAGCAATTCTCCTGCCTCAGCATCCCCAGTAGCTGGGATTACAGGCGCCCGCCACTACACCCAGCTAATTTTTGTATTTTTAGTAGAGACAGGGTTTCACCATGTTGGCCAGGCTGGTCTCGAACTCCTGACCTCAGGTGGTCTGCCCACCTCCGCCTCGCAAAGTGCTGGGATAAGAGGCGTGAGCCACCGTGCCTGTCTTCAACAATGATTTCTAATTGCATTTTATGGTGGTGATTGAACATAATGTACTTTGGTCCTTCTCCATTGTATGCCTCGTGTATTATGTGTCTCATAACGTCTGTCCCGTCCTATGCTATGTGTGCATTTGAATGTTGGGGAGGGTTCAGTAGATGTCCATTGAGTTGGTTTGCAAACTTATTTGAAACTTCTACTTACTTCTGCCTAATTCTGCTTATTATTGAGAGTGGACTGCTCTGGGATGCCTTTTGTTTGCACTCTGATTTCAGATGGACCCTGAGAATGCTCAAGCCCCAAACCCTCCTTGGGAAGTGAAGCTCAGGCTGTGATTTCAAGCCAGGGGGCGTTTTTCTATAACTGGATGAAAAGCACCTCCAGAGCTTGAAGCTCACAGTTTGAGAGCAATCGTCTAAGGAAGTTGATGGCAATGTTAATAGTTTTTTAAACAAGCATGAAATCAGATTCCTGTGTTTACTTCTGGATGCTGTTGATCCAGGAAATGTACTTAGAAAATTCATTTTAACGGAAATAGTCATAAGCGTCTTGGTAATTTCATGAAGCTACAGTGAGTAAATTGCCTGAGAATTTCCCTGCCTGAAAGGTCTTCAGGAGTGTAATTTTTTTTTAATATAGCTTATTTAATACAAATAGAGATGCGGTCTCACTCTTGCCTAGACTGGTGTGCAGTGTCATGTTCACAGCTCACTGCAGCCTCTCAACCTCCGGGGCTCAAGCATCCTCCTGCCTCAGCCTCCCAAAGTGCTGGAATTACAGGTGTCAGCCACCACTCCCTACTCATACTTGTATATTTCTCTTTAAATTCTGTTGAGGTTTTATGGCCTAGCCTGTGGTCTATCCTGGAGAATATTTGTGTGCATGACAATGTGTATATATATATATATATATATATTTTTTTTTTTTTTTCTTTTTTTTGAGATGGAGTTTCACTCTTGTTGCCCTAGCTGGAGTACAGTGGCATGAATCTCAGCTCACTGCAACCTCCGCCTCCCGGGTTCAAGCGATTTTCCTGCCTCAGCCTCCCGAGTAGCCGGGATTACCCTCCACCACACCCGGCTAATTTTTGTATTTTTAGTAGAGGTGGGGTTTCGCCATATTGACCAAGGTGGTCTTGAACTCCTGACCTCAGGAGTCCCGCCTCGGCCTCTCAAAGTGCTGAGATTACAGGCGTGAGCTACCCTGCCCAGGCTGACCATGTATATTCCTAATTTTTGTACTTTTTTTTTTTTGAGACGGAGATTCACTCTTGTGGCCCAAGCTGGAGTGCAATGGCATGATCTCGGCTCACTGCAACCTCTGCCTCCTGGGTTCAAGCAATTCTCCTGCCTCGGCCTCCCGAGTAGCTGGGATTACAGGTGTGCACCACCACGCCTGACTGACAATATATATTCTTAAACAGCTCAGATTCCATTTTGGATCCTCCCATCAGGACTGGAACTTAGGTGTACTGGAACTTAGGTGAACACTTGGCTCAAAATTCATTGCTGTTCTCTATAAATCTAGCCAGTTCTCTTGGTTAAATTTAAGGTATGTATAGTAGTCGCTGCTTTTTCTTTCGGGGGACAAAACTCAGGAGGATTGCTTCTTGATTCATAAGGGCAACCTGTTGAGATTTTCACGCAAGGAACCCGAGATGTTCATTTAATGGGCTTATAATTTGGGATTCCAGAACACATGCAAACAGGGCAAATGAATGTTTGGCTGTATCTTTATTTTTGTGTTCATTTCAGCCTGGTCAAGGTTTTAGAATCCAAGGAAACCAATAAACACCCAGAGTGCTGGAGCAAGACTGTCTCCTGCTGTGACCCTCAAGATGGAAGCAGTTTCTGTTGTCTGAAAGGAAAGAAAGTGCTTCCTTTTTGAGGGTTACTGTTTGAGAAAAGCAACCTTGAGGTTGATGCTGATGTTTGTAACACACCTGCAGAGTATACTTATAATCAGACTTGGGTGATGTGAGGTTTTGTTTTTACTCCAAGATGAGGGTCTCCACCCAGGCTGGAATGCAGTTGCCCTTCCAACCTAGAACTCCTGGGATGAACTGGTCCTCTATGCCTCAGCCTGCCGAGTAGCTGGGACTATAATATAGGGGTGTGCCGCCATATTTGGTAGATTTTTCAATTTTTTGTAGAGATGGGGCCTCACCCTGGCCAGGATGGTCTCAACTCCTGAGCTCAAGCAATCCTACAGGTGTGAGCCACCGTGCCCATTTTAAAGATAGTTGACATGATCAAGCATAGTGGGACACACAGCCCCAGCTACTGCAGAGGCTGGGGTGGGAGAGTCTCTTGATTTCAATGCTATACCGTGCACTAATGACACCTTTGAATAGCCACTGCACTCCAGCCTGGGCCAACATAGCAAGATCCCATCTCTTAAAAAAAAATACATTACATGGCACCTGGTTCCAGAGACACCATTTGTGTTGGTCAAACAATGGCCTCCTATAAATTTAGTTTAATGAATCCAAACCATGTTTCCTTCATTAAGAGAGTAAATAAGCCTCCAAGTCTATCCAGTCTTTTTGAGACAGAGCTTGGCTCTTGTCACTCAGGCTAGAGTGCAATGGTGCAATCTCAGCTCACTGCAACCTCTGCCTCCTGAGTTCAAGGAGTTCTCTCACCTCAGCCTCCCAAGTAGCTAGAATGACAGGCGCCTGCCACCATGACCAGCTAATTTTTGTGTTTTTACTAGAGATGGGGTTTCACCATGTCGGTCAGGCTGGTCTCGAACTCCTGACCTCCGTGATCCACCCACCTCAGCCTCCCAAAGTGCCGGGATTACAGACGAGAGCCACCACGCCCGGCCTGTCCAGTCTTGTTCTGCAGTCCCCAATGGGGATTTTTTTTTTCCTGTTCATTTGTCTTTTTATTTTAATCTACTTGTCCCTGACACTGAAAATTTTTCCTTCCTAACAGCTTACCATCATTTCTCAGAATAGACCTGCTTCCTCTGTGAGAAGCTTATAGTTGATTCAACCCTCAACCACTAATGCCAACAACCCTAGTGAGTTCTTTTGACTACAGCTGGACCATTTATCCTGTTTCCTGTGGGTAGCGGTTCCAATGTACCATTCCAACAGGCAAAACCTCGCCTCTGAATACAGGTTGCTTGGCAAGATCTAAAATGTTTGCTGTGCCTAATATAAACTATTGTAAAGAAAATCCATCTCAATCACAGTGACAAATGTCACATGAGACAAAACCACAGATATTTTCGCAAAAATAGGGTCCTTTAGAACCCTAGAAGGGTCTCTCTAGTAACAGGTGGGATGTTCAGCAGCTCTTGTTGTTGCCACAGTGAGCGATGCCTGTTCGTCCAGCCCTTAACACCTCTTACTCCATGGAAGTTCTGCCTGCACTGCTTTATAGAACACCTCTTGGGTTGAGGTAGAGTTGGAGGGGACCTCAGTGTCCCTTGCTGATGGGATGTGCACTGCTTAGCAAGCGCACGGAGGTGGAGTGCATGGGCTCTGAGTTTTTATTGGGTAAATGCAGCCGAAATGTAGTGTGCATGAACAGGTCAAAAAATTGCACATTTGATTTAATTTTTAAATTTTAGAGATGGGGGTCTCACTGTGTCACCCAGACTAAACTGGGCTGTGCTCCTATGCGTACCCTAGTAGCTGGGACTTCAGGTGAATATTAACCCATGCATAGGCAAGGAGAGAGGAAGGCTCTGACAGTCTGTGATCTCCCCTCACTGCAACCTCCACCCTCTGGACTGGGAACGTCAGGGCACTGCACCGATGCAGGCAGGATGAGCCGAGGGGAAAGGAGAGCCAGGCATCACTGGCTGGGGACATTTTGGGTTTGATCTGGATGGAGCAGGTGTCTCCTGGAGAGAGAGCCCCTGGGATTTTCACTCTGCTCCCTGGCTGTCTTAGTCATGGAATCTGACAACAGAGACTCCTGCCCAGGGCCACTTCATTTGGTTTCTGGACCCCAGTGGTCCTTCCTGCCTGGACTTAGGATCTTTTGGGGAAGTTTGGGATCTGGCAGGGCATCTGCATAATCCATAGAAATCCCTGAGAGTCACTTCCCTTGGCTGACATCTCCATGTTCCTACCCATTACCTTCCAAAGGAGACCCTTAACTGAATTACCAAAGGGGGCTTCCCAGAGCAGGGAAACCCGGTTAACTTTCTATTTCAGGTCAACAGTATACTTGAGATGTACTTGAACTAGAAATGATTGGTTGTTTAGGTGTGGGCATTTGTTTTTCCTAACTTAGTCTCCAAGAAAAAAAATTATTGAGGTTTTACAGCCTAGCCTGTGGTCTATCCTGAAGAATGTTCGTGTGTGTGACAATGTACATTCTTTTTTTCCCCCCAGCTCTGTCAAATCTTACTGAGGAGCTTTTACGGCCTAGCCTGTGGTCTGTCCTGGAGGGTATTTGTGTGTACAACAATGTATATTCTTAAACATTATCTTAGATTCCATTTTGGATGTTCCCATCAGGACTGTGTGTTTCTGTGCTGGAACTCAAGTGAACACTGGCTCAACATCCTTAGAAATCCAGCCCAATTCTCTTGGTTAAAGATAAGGTATGTGTGGTAGGCATTGCTTTTTCTCTTTGGGGACAAAACTCAGGAGGATTGCCCCTTGATGAACAAGGCTAACCTGCTAAGCCTTTGAAGCAAGGAACTGGAGATGGTCCTTTCAGGGGTTTATGTTCTGGATTCCATAAAACATGCAAACAGGGGCAATGAATGCACCTTTTTTATTTTTATTTTTATTTTTTTTTGAGATGGAGTCTTACTCTTGCCAGTCTGGAGTGCAGTGGCACGATCTCGGCTCACTGCAACTTCTGCCTCCTGGTTCAAGTAATTCCCCTGCCTCAGCCTCCCGAGTAGCTGGGACTACAGGTACATGCCACCACAGGCGGCAAATGGTTGTATTTTTAGTAGAGACGGAGTTTCACCATGTTGGCCAGGATGGTCGTGGTCTCTTGACCAGCCTCCCAAAGTGTTGGGATTCCAGGCGTGAGCCACCGCGCCTGGCCAATGAATGCATCTTTATTTTTGTGTTCATTTTAATCTGGTAAGGTAAATTCCAACAAAAAACCCAGAGTTTTGGAGTGAGAAGATCTCATGCAGTCATTCTCCAAAAGAAAGCACTTTCTGTTGTCTGAAAGCAGAGTGCCTTCTTTTGGAGCGTTACTGTTTGAGAAAAACCACGTTGAAGTTGATGCTGATCTTGGTAACACATTTGCAGAGCGTGCTTATCATCAGACTTGCATGATGTTGGGGTTCTGTTTTTGTTTAGTTTTTTTGCAACACAGGGTCTCTTGCCCAGGCTGGAGTGCGGTGACACTTCCAACCTAGACCTCTTGGGCTCAGTTGGTCCCTGCCCCCACCCCCTCCCCCTTTTTTTTCTCTTGAGACAGTCTCTCTCTGTGGCCCAGGCTGGAGTGCAGTGGTATGTTCTCTGCTCACTGCAACCTCTGCCTCCCGAGTAGCTGGTATTACAGGCACATGCCACCACGCCTGGCTAATTTTTGTATTTTTAGCAGAGACGGAGTTTCATCATGATGGCCAGATTAGTCTTGAACTCCTGACCTTAGGTGATCCACCTGCCTCGGCCTCGCAAAGTGCTGGGATTACAGGCATGAGCCACTGTGCCTGGCCCACAACGTATATTCTTAAATATCATCTTAGATTCCATTTTGGTTGCTCCCATCGGGACTGTGTGTCCCTGTGCTGGAACTCAAGTGAACACATGGCTCAAAATCCATTGCTGTTCTCTAGAAATCCAGCCCAATTCTCTTGGTTAAATATAAGGTATGTGTGGTAGGCTTTGCTTTTTCTCTTTGGAGACAATACTCAGGAGGGTTGCCCCTTCGTGAACAAGGCTAACCTGCTGAGCCTTTGAAGCAAGGAACTGGAGATGGTCCTTTTAGGGGTTTATGTTCTGGATTCCAGAAAACATGCAAACAGGGACAATGAATGCATCTTTATTTTTGTGTCCATTTTAACCTGGTAAGGAAAATTCCAACAAAAACCCAGAGTTTTGGAGCGAGAAGATCTCATGCAGTCATTCTCCAAAAGGGAGCACTTTCTGTTTGAAAGAAAACAAAGTGCCTCCTTTTAGAGTGTTACTGTTTGAGAAAAACCACGTTGAAGTTGATGCTGATCTTGGTAACGCATTTGCAGAGCGTGCTTATCATCAGACTTGCATGATGTTGGGGTTCTGTTTTTGTTTAGTTTTTTTGCAACACAGGGTTTCTGTTGCCCGGGCAGGAGTGCGGTGGCGCTTCCAACCTAGACCTCTTAGGCTAGTTGGTCCCCCCTACTTTTTTTGTTGTTTTTGTTCTTGAGACAGAGTCTCACTATGTGGGCCAGGCGGGCAGGCAGTGACACATTCTCTGCTCACTGCAACCTCGGCCTCCCAAGTAGCTGGTATTATAGGCACGTGCCACCACGCCTGGCTAATTTTTGTATTTTTAGCAGAGATGGAGTTTCACCACATTGGCCAGGTTAGTCTTGAACTCCTGACCTCAGGTGATCTGCCCGCCTCTGCTTTCCAAAGTGGTGGGATTACAGGCATGAGCCACCCTGCTCGGACTGCAGGGTGTTTTTTTTTTTTTTTTTAATTATTATTTGTATTTTTTTGTGCTGCCAAAGCAAGCACTTGTGTGTAGGAATTTTGTTTGTTTGTTTGTTTGTTTGTTTGAGATGGAGTCTCATTCTTGTCGCCCAGGCTGGAGTGCAGTGGCATGATCTCGGCTCACTGCAACCTACGCCTTCCGGGTTCAAGCGATTCTCCTGCCTCAGCCTCCTGAGTAGCTGGGATTTCAGGTGCATGCCGCCACCCCGGCTAATTTTTGTCCTTTTGGTAGAATCGGGGTTTTGCCATGTTGGTCCGGCTGGTCTCAAACTCCTGACCTCAACTAATCCACCTGCCTCGGCCTCCCAAACTGCTGGGATTACAGGCATGAGCCACCGCACCCGGTGAGGAGTTATTTTTAATGTGAGCAAACAGTATATTCTTTTTTTTTTTTTTCATAGACAGGGTCTCAACAATATATGATGTATATTTAATCATATAGTCTTATCATGTATATAATGTAGTCATATGTACACCAAACCCTGTTCTACACACGGAGAATACTCTTGTATCACTTTGGGTATTTATTTACTTGTTTCTTTCTGTGTTTTTCTTGTTTGTTTGTTTGTTTTGTTTTGAGACAAGGTCTAGCTTTATCACCCAGGCTGGAGTGCAGTGGTGCCATGTCGACTTACTGCAACCTCCACCTGCCACCTCAGCCTCCTGAGTACTTGTCTACAGGTGCGCACCACCACACCCAGCTAACTTTTCTATTTTTTGTGCATAAGGTTTCACCATATTACCCATGCTGGTTGAGCTCGAACTCCTGAGCTCAAGTGATCCTCCTGCCTTGCCCTCTTTAAGTGCTGGGTTTATTGGTGTGAGCCACCACGCCCCACCCATACTTGTGTATTTCTGTATTTATTGAGGAGCTTATACAGCATACCCTGTGGTCTATCCTGCAGGATGTTTGTGTGTGAGACAGTGTATATTCTTGAACATAGTAGATTCCATTTTGGATGCTCCCATCGGGACTGTGTGTCCCTGTGCTGGAACTCGAGTGAACACTTGGCTCAAAATCCATTGCTGTTCTCTAGAAATCCAGCTCAATTCTCATGGTTAAATATAAGGTATATGTGGTAGGCATTGCTTTTTCTCTTTGGGGACAGAACTCAGGAGGATTGCCCCTTGATGAACAAGGCTAACCTGCTGATTCTTTGAAGCAAAGGACTGGAGATGGTCCTTTTAGGGGTTTATGTTCTGGATTCCAGAAAACATGCAAACAGGGCCAATAAATGCATCTTTTTGTTTTGTTTTGTTTTGTTTTTGAGATGGAGTCTCGTTCTGTCACCCAGGCTGGAGTGCAGTGGCACAATCTTGGCTCACTGCAAGCTCAGCCTCCTGGGTTCACGCCATTCTCCTGCCTCAGCTTTCCAAGTAGCTGGGGCTACAGGTGCCCACCACCACGCTAGGCTAATTTTTTGTATTTTTAGTAGAGGCGGGGTTTCACCCTGTTAGCCAGGATGGTCTTGATCTCCTGACCTCGTGATCTGCCCGCCTCGGCCTCCCAAAGTGCTGGGATTACAGGCATGAGCCACTGCGCCCGGCCCCAATAAATGCATCTTTATTTTTGTGTCCATTTAAACCTGGTCAAGGAAGATTCCCACAAAAAATCCACGGTGCTGGAGCAAGAGGATCTCAGGCTGTGACCCTCTAAAGGGAAGCGCTTTCTGTGGTCAGAAAGAAAAGCAAGTGCTTCCTTTTAGAGGGTTACCGTTTGGGAAAAGCAATGTTGAAGTTGATGCTGATCTTGGTAAAATATTTGCAGAGCGTGCTTATCATCAGACTTGGATGATGGTGGGGTTTTGCTTTTGTTTTGTTGTATTCCAAGACAAGGTCCCTGTTGCCCAGGCTGGAGTGCGGTGACACTTCAACCTACATTTCTTGGGCTCCGGTCGTTTTTGTTTGTTTGTTTGTTTGTTTGACAGGGAGTCTCACTGTGTGTCTCAGCAATGCAGTGGCACTATCTTGGCTCACTGAAACCTCAGCCTCCTGAGTAGCTGGGATCACAGGTGCGTGCAACCACGCCCATCTAATTTTTGTATTTTTTGCATTTTCAGTAGAGACGGGGTTTCACCGTGTTAGCCAGGATGGTCTCGATCTTCTAACCTCGTGATCCGCCCGCCTCGGCCTCCCAAAGTGCTGGGATTATAGGCGTGAGCCACCGCGCCCGGCCGAGAAACTAATCTTTTGAGATGAACTCTGAGATGTGGATTTTAGCTTGTTTGCAGCCACCACCACTCTAGTTTTGGAAGATTTTCATCACCCCGAAGAGGCTTATACTCATTTGCAGTCAGTACCCACCCACCTCTTCCACCCAGACCGTGGCAACGACTCCCCATCTCTCTAGCTCTGGATCTGCCTCTTGTAGGCCGGTCACGTAGACCAATCTTGTATGGGTGTCCAGTTGAGGATAATGGGTTGGTCCTGGTTGTCTGCAATGTGAATCTTACCACTGAAGGGTGGTCCCTGGAGGGAAGCAGGAGGCTGGGAGAACTGGGCGGAACATCCTTTGGGAATGGAGTGGGGCGGGCAGACCCTGATGTCTGGGAAGCTCACAAGGGTGGAAGACCCCATCTTCCTCCCTGAGAACTGCAAGGTGACCCTCCTGGGGCACTGGAAGGAGTGAAGGCCTCTGGGCTGGGAACGTCAGGGCACTGCACCGATGCAGGCAGGATGAGCCGAGGGGAAAGGAGAAGCAGGCATCATTCTCTGGGGACATTTTGGGTTTGATCTGGATGGAGCAGGTGTCTTCTGGGAGAGAGAGCCCCTGGGATTTTCACTCTGCTCCCTGGCTGTCTTAGTCATGGAATCTGACAACAGAGACTCCTGCCCAGGGCCACTTCATTTGGTTTCTGGAGCCCAGTGGTCCTTCCTGCCTGGACTTGGGATCTTTTGGGGAAGTTTGGGATCTGGCTGGGCGTCTGCATAATCCATAGAAATCCCTGAGAGTCACTTCCCTTGGCTGACATCTCCATGTTCCTTACCCATTACCTTCCAAAGGAGACCCTTATCTGAATTACCAAAGGGGGCTTCCCAGAGCAGGGAAACCTGGTTAAATTTGTATTTCAGATTAACAGTATACTTGAGATGTACTTGAAGTAGAAATGATTGGCTGTGGGTGTCGGCATTTGTTTTTTCTAATTTTAAATATGGGACCATCATGAATTTGGGTGTCACTTTGTGCAGGGGACGTGGGAATCGCTGTCATTTTTTTTTTTTTTTAACATATGCTGCCAGAGAAGGCACTTAGGTGGAGAAATTACTCTTCGTGTGAGCATTCAGTATATAGAACTTCCTTTTCTGGGGGCAGTGTCTTATATATGATACACATTTTATCATATCATCTTCTATAGATAATATAATGATTAACACAAAACACTCTTCTACACACACAGAATACTCTTGTATCACTTTGGGTTTTTTTTCCTTCGTGTGTGTGTGTGTGTGTGTGTGTGTGTGTGTGTGTGTGTGTTATGAGACAAGGTCTGGCTCTGTCACCCAGGCTGCAGTGCAGTGTTGCAGTCTTGGCCCATGCCCCACCGCAGCCTCTGGAATAGCTGTCTGCAGGCCAGGCACGGTAGCTCAGGCATGTCGTCTCAGCACTCTTGGAGACCAAAGCAGGCTAATCACCTGGAGTCAGGAGTTTGAGACCAGCCTGGCCAAGATGGTGAAACCTCATTTCTACTAAAAGTACAAAAATTAGCCGGGCGCGGTGGCTCACGCCTGTAATCCCAGCTCTTAGGGAGGCAGAGGCAGGAGGATAGCTTGAGCCCAGGAGTTTGAGACCTGCCTGGGCAATACAGTGAGACCCTGTTCTCCACAAAAAGAAAAGAAAAAAAAGAAAAAAAAATTTTAAAAATGCAAAATTAGGTGGGCATCGTGGCACGTGCCTGTAATCCCAGGTACCCCAGAGGCTGAGACAGGAGAATTGCTGGAAACCTGGAGGCAGAGCTTGCAGTGAGCTGAGATCACGGCCCTGCACTACAGCCTGGGCAACAAAGTGAGACTTGTTTCAAAAAAAAAAAAAAAATTTATTGAGGAGCTTTTATGGCCTAGCCTGTGTTCTATCCTGGAGAATGTGTGTACAACAGTGTATATTCTTAAACATCATCTTAGATTCCATTTTGGATGCTTGCATGGGGACTGTGTGTCCCTGTACTGGGACTTATGTGAACACTTGGCTTCAAATCCATTGCTGTTCTCTAGAAATCCAGCCCAATTCTCATGGTTAAATATAAGGTATGTGTGGTAGGCATTGCTTTTTCTCTTTGGGGACAGAACTCAGGAGGATTGTCTCTTGATGAACAAGGCTAACCTGCTGAGCCTTTGAAGCAAGGAACTGGAGATGGTCCTTTTAGGGGTTTATATTCTGGATTCCAGAAAACATGCAGAGAGAGTCAATAAATGTATCTTTATTTTTGTGTCCATTTTAACCAGGTGAGGAAAATTCCGTCAAAAAACCCAGACTTTTGGAGCGAGAAGATCTCATGCAGTCATTCTCCAAAAGAAAGCACTTTCTGTTGTCTGAAAGCAGAGTGCCTTCTTTTGGAGCGTTACTGTTTGAGAAAAACCACGTTGAAGTTGATGCTGATCTTGGTAACACATTTGCAGAGCGTGCTTATCATCAGACTTGCATGATGTTGGGGTTCTGTTTTTGTTTAGTTGTTTTGCATCATGGGGTCTCTGTTGCCCAGGCTGGAGTGCGGTGGCGCTTCCAACCTAGATCTCTTGGGCTCAAGTGGTCCCGTGCTTGCTTTTTTTTTTTTTCTTGAAACAGAGTCTCTGTCTCTGGCCCAGGCTTGAGCGCAGTGGCATGTTATCTGCTCACTGCAACCTCTCCTCCCAAGTAGATGGGATTACAGGTGCACGTGCCACGACGCCTGGCTAATATTTGCATTTTTAGCAGAGATGCAGTTTCATCATGATGGCCAGGTTAGTCTCCAACTCCTGACCTCAGGTGATCCGCCTGCCTCAGCCTCCCAAAATGCTGAGATTATAGGTGTAAGCCACCCAGCCTAGCCTCCAATTTTTTTTAATGTGTGCTGCCAATGCAAGCACATATGTGTAGGAATTATTTTTCATGTGAGCACATAGTATATGGAACTTAATTTTTATTGATGTACGGTCTCAAAAATATATATTTTATCATATTCTTATTATACATGTAACATAGTCATATACACACAAAACACTCTTCTATACACAGAGAATACTCTCGTATCACTTTGGGTAATTTTTTGTTTGTGTGTGTATGTTTTTGTTTTTTTTTTAGATAAGGTCTGGGTCTGTCACCCAGGCTAGAGTGCAGTGGTGCCATCTCAGCTTATTGCAACCTCCACCTGCCACTTCAGCCTCTTGAGTAGCTGTCTACAGGCGCACACCACCACGCCCGGCTAACTTTTCTGTTTTCTCTACACATGAGGTATCACCATGTTGCCCAGGCTGGTCTCAAACTCTTGAACTCAAGTGATACTCCTGCCTCAGCCTCCTAAAGGGCTGGGTTTAGAGGTGTGAGCCACCACACCTCACCTGTACCTGTGTGTTTCTGCTCATTTTATTGAGGAGCTTTTACAGCCTGGCCTGTGGTCTCTCCTGGAGGGTGTTTGTGTGTGTGACAATGCATATTCTTCAACATCGTAGATTCCATTTTGGATGCCCCCGTCGGGACTGTGTGTCACTGTACTGGAACTCGAGTGAACACTTAGCTCAAAATCTATTGCTGTTCTCTAGAATCCAGCCCAATTCTCATGGTTAAATATAAGGTATGTATAGTCGGCATTGCTTTTTGAAACAAGGAACTGGAGATGGCCCTGATAGGGGTTTATGTTCTGGATTCCAGAAATCATGCAAACAGGGCCAATAAATGCATCTTTATTTTTGTGTCCATTTTAACCTGGTCAAGGAAAATTCCAACAAAAAATCAATGGTGCTGGAGCAAGAAGATCTCAGCCTGTGACCCTCTAGAGGGAAGCGCTTTCTGTTGTCTGAAAGAAAAGAAAGTGCATCTTTTTAGAGGATTACAGTTTGAGAAAAGCAACGTTAACGTTCATGCTGATCTCGGCAATACATTTGCAGAGCGTGCTTATCATCAGACTTGGATGAGGGTGGGCTTTTGTTCCTGGTTTGTTTGTTTTCTAAGACGGGGTCTCTTTTGCCCAGGCTGGAGAGCAGTGGCACTTCCAACCTAGCTCTCTTGGGCTCAGGTGGTCCTCTTTGCAGGGTCACGATCTCTGCTCACTACAATCTCCCCTTCCCGGGTTGAAGTGGTTCTCCCATCTCAGTCTCCTGTGTTGCTGGGAGTACAGGCCCATGCCACCACGCCCGGCTAATTTTTGTATTTTTAGCAGAGATGGGGTTTCACCGTGTTGACCAGGATGGTCTCCATCTCCTGACCTCGTAATCCACCTGCCTCGGCCTCCCAAAGTGCTGGGTTTACAGTCATGAACCACTGCACCCGGCCTTTGATCTTAATTTTCAATATGAGACCCATCATGAATTTGGGCATCACCTCTGCACAGGGGCCATGGTGATCTCTGTCACTCCATTCATTTCTTATGTGTGGAGCAAACATTTATGTGTAGGAGTAATTCTTTATGTGAGCATACAGTATATGGAACTTTCTTTTTTTTTGAGATAGGGTCTGGAAAATAAATGATGTACAGCCAGGCGCATGAGTATATGAGCAGTTTTTGTGTGTATACGACATGAGCGGTGGCTCATGCCTGCAATATCAACACTTTGGCAGGTTGAGGCGAGTGGATCACTTGAGGTCAGGAGTTTGAGACCAGCCTGACCAACATGGTGAAACCCTGTCTCTACTAAAAATACAAAAAATTAGCCAGCTATGGTGGCGCACGCCTGTATTCCCATCTGCTGGGGAAGTTGAGGGAGGAGAATCACTTGAACGGACAGATGGAGGTTGCAGTGAGCCAAGATCACGCCACCACACTCCAGCCTGGGCGAGAGAATAAGACTGTCTCAAAAAAAAAATATATATATACATATATATTTATATAGAGAGAGAGACTCTGTCTCAAAAAAAAAAATATATATATGGGTGTGTTTGTGTGTATATATATATTATATATGATGTATATTTCATCATATAGCCATATATATAATTATATACACAAAAAATACTCTTCTACACACAGAGATGACTGATATCACTTTGGGGTGGTTTTTGCTTGTGTGTTCTTTTAAATTTTTTTTTGCAACAAGATCTGGCTCAGTCGCCCAGGTTGGAGTGCAGTGTTTCAGTCTTGGCTCACTGCAACCTTCGCCTCCCACCCCAGCCTCCTGAATTAGTGTCTACAGGCATGTACCACCACACCTGGCCTACATTTGTATTTTTTTACAGACAGGGTTTCACCGTGTTGTACACGCTGGTCTTGAGCTCCTGAGCTCAAGTGAATCTCCTGCCTTGGCCTCCTGATGTGCTGGGATTAGAGGTATGAGCCACCACACCCAACTGGTACTTGTGTATTCCTGTTCAAATTTTATTGAGGAGCTTTTACCACCTAGCCTGTGGTCTATCCTGGAGGATGTTTGTGTGTGCGACAATGTATATAGTTCAACATCTTAGATCACATTTTGGATGTTTCCAATGGGACTGTGTGTCTCCGCACTGGAACTCAAATGAACACTTGGCTCAGAATCCATTTGCTGTTCTCTGGAAATCCAGTCCAATTCTCTTGGTTAAGTATAAGGTATGTCTAGTAGGCATTGCTTTTTCTGTTTGAGAACAAAACTCGGGAGGATTGTCCCTTGATGAACAAGGCTAACCTGCTGAGCCTTTGAAGCAAGGAACTGGAGATGGTCCTTTTCAGGCGTTTTATTCTGGATTCCAGAAAACATGCAAACAGGGCCACTAAATGCATCTTTATTTTTCTGTCCATTTAAACCTGGTCAAAGAAAATTCCAACACGAAACCCAGAGTGCTGGAGCAAGAAGATCTCAAGCTATGAGTCTACAAAGGAAAGCGCTTTCTGTTGTCAGAAAGAAGAGAAAGCGCTTCCCTTTTGAGGGTTACGGTTTGAGAAAAGCAGTGTTGAAGTTGATGCTGATCTTGGTAATACATTTGCAGAGCATGCTTATCATCAGACTTGGATGATAGCGGGGTTATGTTTTGGTTTTGTGTTTTTCTAAGACAGGGTCTCCGTTGCCCAGGCTGGAGTGCGGTGGCACTTCCAACCTAGCTCTCTTGGGCTCAAGTGATCCTCTTTTTATTTATTTATGTATTCATTTTTGAGATGGAGCCTGGCTCTGTCACCCAGGCTGGAGTAGAGTGGGATGATCTCCACTCATTGCATCCTCTGCCTCCCAGGTTCCAGAAATTCTCCCACCTCCGTGTCACTAGTAGCTGGGATTACAAATGCTCACCACTATGACCTGCCAGTTTTTGTACTTTTGGCACAGACGGGGTTTCACCATGTTTGCGGGGCTGGTCTCAACTCCTGACCTCAAGTGATCTGCCTCCTTGGCCTCCCACAGTGCTGGGGATTATAGATATAAGCCACCGTGCCCGGCCCATTCCTGTCTTTTTAATTTAATCTGCTCGTCCCTGACATCGAAAATTTTTCTTGCTTAACAGCTTCCACTTATTTCTCGGAATAGACCTTTTTCTGCAGGAAGGGTGTAGTTGATTCAACCCTCACCCACTCATGCCAACCGTAGTGAGTGCTGTGACTGCAGCTGCACTGTTTATCCTGTTTTCTGCAGGTAATTTTTCCAGTGTACCATTCCAACCTGCAAAACCTCACATTTAAATGCAAATTTCTTGGTAAGCTGTGAAATGTTGGCTGTGGCTAATATGAGAAACAAGCTATTATAGACAAGATGAATCTCAGTTGCAGTGATAAATGTCACATGGGACAAAACCACAGATACTTTCACAAAAACCTTGAGGACCCTAGAAGGGCCTCCCTAGTAACAGGTGGGATGCGCATCCGCTCTTGTTGCCATAGTGAGTGATGCCTGTTCGTCCAGCCCTCAACACCTTTCACTCCGTGGAAGTTATGCCTGCACTGGTTTACAGAACCTCCCTTGACTTGACTTGAGGTAGAGTTGAAGGGAACCTCAGTGTCCCTTGCAGATGGGATGTGCATTGCTTCGCAAGAGCACAGAGGTGGAGTGCATGGGCTTTGAGTTTTTATTGGGTAAATGAAGCTGAAATACAGGGTGTATGACCACGTTATCAACGCACACTTGATTTAGGTTTTGTATTTTAGAGACGGGGGTGTGAGCTGCCAAAGCAAGGACTTATGTGTAGGAATTATTCTTTCTGTGAGCATACAGTATATGGAACTTTCTTTCTTTTGAGACAGGGTCTCAAAAATATATGATGTATGGCCAGGTGCGGTGGATCACGCCTGTAATCCCAGCAGTTTGGGAGGCCGAGGCGGGTGGATAACCTGAGATCAGGAGGGCGAGACCAGACTGGCCAACATGGTGAAACCATGTCTCTGCTAAAAATACAAAAAATTAGCCAGGGCTGGTGGCGCACGCCTGTAGTCTCAGCTACTCCGGAGGGTGAGGCAGGAGACTATCACTTTGAGTGTGTGTCTTTGTGTGTGTGTGTGTGTGTGTGTGTGTGTGTGTATGTGTTTCTAGTTTTTACAAGACACAGCCTGACTATATCACCGAGGCTGGAGTGCAGTGGTGCAATGTTGGCTCACTGCAACCTCCACCTGCCACCGCAGCCTCCTGAATTAGTGTCTACAGGTATGCACCACCACACCTGGCTCACTTTTGTATTTTTTGTACAGATGAAGCTTCACCATGTTGCCCAGGCTTGTCTGGAACTCTTGAGCTCAAGTGATCCTCTCACTTCGGCGTCCTGAAGTGCTGGGGTTAGAGATGTGAGCCACCGCACCCAACAGGTACTTGTGTATTTTTTTATTGAGGAGCTTTTACAGCGTAGCCTGTGGTCTCTCCTGGAGGATGTTTGTGTGTGCGACAATGTACATTCTTCAACATCTTAGATTCCATTTTGGATGCCCCCATGGGTACTACATGTGCCTATACTGGAACTCAAGTGAACACTTGGCTCAAAATCCATTGCTGTTCTCTAGAAATTCAGTTCGATTCTCTTGGTTAAAGATAAGGTATGAGTAGTAGGCATTGCTTTTTCTCTTTGGGGGCAAAACTCAGGAGGATTGCCCCTTGATGAACAAGGCTAACCTGCTGAGCCTTTGAAAGAAGGAACTGGAGATGGTCCTTTTAGGGGGTTTATATTCTGGATTCCAGAAAACATGCAAACAGGGCCAGGAAAAATGCATCTTTATTTTTGTGTCCATTTAAACCTGGTCAAGGAAAATTCCAACAATAAACCCAGAGTGCTGGAGCAAGAAGATCTCAGGCTGTGACCCTCCAGAGGGAAGTACTTTCTGTTGTCTGAGAGAAAAGAAAGTGCTTCCCTTTGGACTGTTTCGGTTTGAGTAAAGCAGCGTTGAAGTTGATGCTGATCTTGGTAATACATTTGCAGAGCACGCTCATCATCAGACTCGGATGATGTTGGGGTTCTGATTTTGTTTTTCTCCAAGACAGGGTCTCTGTTGCCCAGGCTGGAGTGCAGTGGCAGTTCCAACCTAGCTCTCCTGGGCCCAAGAGACCCTCTATTTATTTATTTATTTATTTATTTATTTATTTATTTATTTATTCATTCATTCATTTAGAGATGGAATCTGGCTCTGTGACCCAGGCTGGAGTGCAGTAGGACAATCTCCACTCACTGCAACCTCCATCTCCCAGGTTCCAGCAGTTCTGCCACCTCAGCCTCCCATGTAGCTGGGATTACAGGCGCCCACCACCATGTCATGCTAATTTTTGTATTTTTAGCAGAGATGGGGTTACACCATGTTTGCTGGGCTGTTCTCAACTCCTGACTTCAAGTGATTTGCCTCCCTGGCTTCCCAAAGTGCTGGTATTACAGGCGTGAGCCACTGTGTCCGGCCTCAAGTGGTCTTCCTGAGTCAGCCTCCCAAGTAGTTGGGATTACATGGGGCGTGACACAACACTTGGTTCAGCTTTTAATTTTTGGTAGAGATGGGGTCTCTGTTGCTCAGGACGGTCTCAACTCCTGAGCTCAAGCGATCCTACAGGTGTGAGCCACCTTGTCCTGATGACCCATTTCAAAGATAGTTGACTTGGCCAGGCATCATGGGGCACACAGTCCCAGTTACTGCAGGGGCCGGGGCGGGAGGGTGCTTTGATTTTAAGGCTATACCGTGCACAGATCCCACCTTTGAATAGCCACTGCACTCCAGCCTGGGCCAACATAGCAAGATCCCATTTCTTTAAAAACAGATTACATAGCACCTGGTCCCACAGATTTCATTTGGGTTGGTCATGTCATACAATGGCCTCCCATCAATTTAGTATAATCAATCCAAACCATGGTTCCTTCATTAAGAGAGTGGGTAATCCTCCAAGTCCATCCAGTCTATTCTGTAATCCCCAGTGGGTGTCCGTATTGATACAATTTCTTTTTGTTCCTGTTCACTCGTGTCTTTTTAGTGTAATCTGCTTGTCCGTAACACTGAAATTTGTTTTTCCCCAACATCTTGCCATCATTTCTCGGAATAGACCTGCTTTCTCTGCAGGAAGGGTGTAGTTGATTCAACCCTCACCCACTAATGCCAACCCCAGTGAGTTCTTTGACTGTAGCTGCCATGTTTATCCTATTTTCTTTGGGTAACGATTCCAAGGTACCATTCCAATGGGCTTAAACCTTGCATCTAAATGCCAGTTACTTGCTAAGATGTCAAATGTGTCTTATATTAGCTGTGGCTAATATAAGAAACTGTTGTAGACAAGATGAATCTCAGTCACAGTGATAAATGTAGCATGCAACAAAACCAGTTGTTTTCACAAAAATCTTGAGGACCCTAGAAGGGGCTCCCTCGTAACAGGTGGAATGCACAGCAGCTCTTCTTGTTGCCATAGTGAGCGATGCATGTTCTTCCAGTCCTCAACACCTTTTATTTATTTATTTATTTATTTATTTATTTTATTATTATTATTTTTTTTTGAGACAGAGTCTCGCTCTGTCACCCAGGCTGGAGTGCAATGGTGTGATCTCAGCTCACTGCAACCACTGCCTCCCGGGTTCAAGCGATTCTCTTGCCTCAGCCTCACGTGTCGCTAGGACTACAACCGTGCACCACCACGCCCGGCTAATTTTTGTATTTTTAATAGAGACAGGGTTTTGCCATGTTGGCCAGGTTGGTCTGGAACTCCTGACCTCAGTTGGTCCACCTGCCTCAGCCTCACAAAGTGCTGTGAATACAGGTGTGAGCCAACACGCCCGGCTATCAACAACTTTTCCTACGTAGAAATTATTCGGGCACTGGTTTATAGAACCTCACGTGGGTTCACGTAGAATTGAAGGGGACCTCAGCGTCCCTTGCAGATGGGATGTGCAATGTATTTGAGATGTACTCGAACATTGCTGTTGAGGTGTGGGCATCTTTTGCTTTTTCCTAATTTTAAATATGGGACTAGTCTGGGTATGGTGACTTCCACCAGTAATTCTAGCACTTTGGGAGGCTGAGACAGGAGGATCACCTGAGGTCAGTTGTTCGAGACCAGTCTGGCCAGCATGGTGAAACCCCGTCTCTACTAAAAATACAAAAATTAGCCGGGTGTGGTGGCACTCACCTGTAATCCCAGCTACTCGGGAGGCTGAGGCAGGAGAATCACATGAATCTGGGAGGCGGAGGTTACAGCGAGCAGAGATCACACCGTTACACTCCTGCCTGGGCAACAGTGTGAGACTCTGTCTCTAAATAAATAAATAAATAAAAATAAAAATAATTAGGTGAATATGGGACCAGCATGGACTTGGGTGTCGCCTTTGTGCAGTGGCCAGGATATTCTATGTCATTTAAATTTTTTTATGTGTACTTCCAAAGCAAGCAGTTATGTATAGGAATTATTCTTCCTATAAGCATGCAATATTTGGAACTTTCTTTGAGACAGGGTCTCAAAAATACATGATGTATATTTCATTTTATATTCTTATATATTATGTACACACAAAATACTCTTCTAAACACAGAGAATACTCCGATATCACCTAGGGTGTGTGTGCGTGTGCGTGTGTGTGCGTGTGTGTGTGGTTCTTTTCTGAGACAATATCTGCCTCTGTCACCCAAGATGGAGTGTGGTGGTGCAATCTCGGCTTACTGCAACCTCCACCTCCCACCTAAGCCTGCTGAATTAGTCTCTACAGGCATGCACCACCACACCTGGCTAACTTCTGTAATTTTTGTACACATGGGGTCTCGCCATGTTGCCGGGGCTGGTCTCGAGCTCCTGAGGCAGGTGATCCTCCTGCCTGGGCCTCCTAAAGTTCGAGGAGTTAGAGGTCTGAGCCACTGGGCCCCACTTGTACTTGTGTATTTCTGCTCAAATTTTATTGAGTAGTTTTTACATCCTAGCCTGTGATCTACTCTGGAGAGTGTTTGTGCATATGACAGTGTATATTCTTCAACATCGTAGACTCCATTTTGGATGCTCCCTTCGTGACTGTGGGTCCTGTACTGGAACTCGAGTGAACACTTGGCTTAAAATCCATTGCTGTTCTCCAGAAATCCTGCCCAATTTTCTCGGTTAAAGGTACGTGTAGTAGGCATTGCTTTTTCTCTTTGGGGACAAAACTCAGGAGGATTGCCCCTTGATGAACAAGGCTAACCTGCTGATTCTTTGAAGCAAGGAACTGGAGATGGTCCTTATAGAGTTTTATATTCTGGATTCCATAAAACATGCATACAGGGTCAATAAATGCATCTTTATTTTTGTGTCTATTTTAACTTGGTCAAAGAAAATTCCAGGAAAAAATCCACGGCATCAGAGCAAGAAGATGTCAGGCTGTGACCCTCTTGAGGGAAGCACTTTCTGTTGTCTGAAAGAAGAGAAAGTGCTTCCTTTTAGAGGCTTACTGTCTGAGAAAAGCAACGTTGTAGTTGATGCTGATCTTTGTAATATCTTTGCAGAGCACGCTTATAATCAGACTTGGATGATGTTGGGGTTTTGTTTTTCTTTTGTTTTTTTATCTAAGACTGGGTCTCTGTTGCCCAGGCTGAAGTGCAGTGGCACAATCTTGGCTCACCACAACCTCCGCCTCCCGGGTTCAAGTGATTCTTCTGCCTCAGCCTCCCAAGTAGCTGGGATTATAGGACTGCGCCACCATGCCTGGCTAATTTTGTATTTTTAGTAGAGACAGGGTTTCTTTAGGAGCTTTTAAGGCCTCCCTTGTAGTCTATCCTGGAGGATGTTTGTGTGTGCAACAATGTATATTCTTCAACATGGTAGATTCCATTTTGACTGCTCTAATCAGGACTGTGTGTCCCTGTGCTGGAAATCAAGTGAACACTTGGCTGAAAATCCACTGCTGTTCTCTAGAAATCCAGCCCAATTCTCTTGGTTAAATATAAGGTATGCATAGTAGGCATTGCTTTTTCTTTCTGGACACAAAACTCAGGAGGATTTCCCCTTGATGAACAAGGCTAACCTGCTGAGCCTTTGTAGGAAGGAACGGGAGATGGTCTTTTTAGGGGTCTATGTTCTGGATTCCAGAAAACATGCAAACAGAGCCAATAAATAGGTCTTTATTTTTGTCTCTATTTTAACCTGGTCAAGGAAAATTTCTACAAAAAACCCAGGGTGCTGGAGCAAGAAGATCCCATGCTGTGACCCTCTAGAGGGAAGCGCTTTCTGTTGTCTGAAAGAAAAGAAAGTGCATCCTTTTAGAGGTTTACTGTTTGAGGAAAGCAACAGTGAAGTTGATGCTGATCTTGGTAATACATTTGCAGAGCATGCTTATCATCAGACTTGGATGATGGTGGGATTCTGTTTTTATTTTGTTTTTTTTTCTAAGACAGAGTCTCTCTTGCCCAGGCTGGAGTAGGGTAGCACTTCCAACGTAGATCTTTTAGGCTCAAACGGTCCTCTTTTTTTTTTTTTTTTTTTTGAGGCGGAGTCTTGCTCTGTGACCCAGACGAGAGTGCAATGGCGCGATCTTGTGTGCAAGCTCACCTCCTGAGTTCAAGCAATTCTTCTGCCCCAGCCTCCCAAGTAGCTGGGACTACAGGTGCCTGCCACCACTTCCAGCTAATTTTTGTATTTTTAGTAGAGACAGGGTTTCACCACGTTGGCCAGGCTGGTCTCAAACTACTGACCTCAAGATCCACCCACCTCAGCCTCCCAAAGTGCTGGGATTACAGGCGTGGGCCATTGTGCCCAGCGGTCCTCTTTTTTGAGATGGAGTCTTGCTCTGTGACCCAGGCTGGAGTGCAGTGGCAGGAACTTCGCTCCCTGTACCCTCCACCTCCCAGATTCAAGCCATTCTCTCCTGAGTCAGCCTCCCTAGTAGCTGAGATCGCAGACATGAGCCACCATACCCAGCTAATTTTTGTATTTTTATTATTTATTTATTTACTCATCGATTTTTGAAACAGAGTCTTACTCCGTCCATCAGGCTGGAGGTCAGTGGCACAATCCCACGTTCAAGCAATTCTCCTGCCTCATCCTCCCGAGTAGCTGGGATCACAGGCGCACACCACCACGCCCGGCTAATTTTTGTGTTTTTTTTGTTTGTTCGTTTTTTTTTTTTTTGTAGAGACAGGGTTTCAACATGTTGGCCAGCCCAGTCTCCAACTCCTGACCTTAAGTGAGCCCATACACAATCAAGAAGAGAGCGAGACCTGTTCTTTTTTTCTGTCTTTGACTATTTGAGACAGTCTTGCTCTGTCACCCGAGATGGAGTACATTAGTGTGATCTTGGCTCACTGCAACCTCTGCCTCCTGGACTCAAGCAATTCTCTTTTTTTTTTTTTTGGAGAAAGAGCCTCTCTGTGTCTCCCAGGCTGGACTGCAGTGGTGTGATCTCAGCTCACTGCAACCTCAGCCTTCCAAGTAGCTGGGATTGCAGACATGTACCCCCATACCAGCTATATATATATATGTATTTTAGACACAGTTTCACCATGTTAGCCAGGCCATTCTTGAATCCTGACCTCAGGTGATTTGCCGACGTAGGCCTCCCGAAGTGCTGGGATTACAGGTATGAGCCACTGCACTCAGCCTTTTTTCCTAATTTTGAATATGGGACCCATTATGAATTTGGGTGTCACCTATGTGCGGGGGCTATGGAAATCTCTGTCACCCCATTCATTTGTGTGTGCTGTCAAAGCACCAATATGTGGGAATTATGCTTTATGTGAGCATATAGTATATGGAACTTTGGTTTTTTTTTATACAGGGTCTCAAAAAAAAATGAGTATATTTCATCACAATGTTCTGTGTATAATTCCATACACACAAAATAGTCTTCTATACACAGAGAACACTCTTATATCACTTTGGAGTTGTTTTTGTTTGTGTATTTTGTTTTAATTTTTATGAGACAGGGCCTGGCTATGTCGCTGAGGCTGGAGGGCAGTGGTGAGATCTTGGCTCACTGCAACCTCCACCTGCCACCTCAGCCTCCTGGATTAGTGTCTACAGGCAGGCACCACCACCCCTGGGTAAGTTCTGTATTTTTGGTACTGATGAGGTTTCAGCACGTTCCACAGGCTGGACTCTTAACTCCTGCGATCAAGTGATCCTCCCGCTGTTCAAATTTTACTGAGGAGCTTTTAAGGCCTCGCCTGTGGTCTGTCCTGTAGTGTCCCTGTCCTGGAACTCAAGTGAATACTTGGTTTAAAATTGATTGCTGTTCTCTAGAAATCCAGCCCAATTCTCTTGGTTAAATATAAGGTATGTGTAGTAGGCACTGCTTTTTCTTTCTGGAGGCGAAACTCAGGAGGATTGCCCCTTGATGAACAAGGCTAACCTGCTGAGCCTTTGAAGCAAGGAACTGGAGATGGTCGTTTTAGGGGTTTATGTTCTGGATTCCAGAAAACATGGAAACAGGGCCAATAAATGCATCTTTATTTTTGTGTCCATTTTAACCCAGTGAAGGAAGATTTCAACCAAAAACCCACGGTGCTGGAGCAAGAAGATCTCAAGCTGTGACTCTCCAGAGGGATGCACTTTCTCTTATGTGAAAAAAAAGAAGGCGCTTCCCTTTAGAGCGTTACGGTTTGGGTAAAGCAACGTTGAAGTTGATGCTGATCTTGGTAATATATTTGCAGAGCATGCTTATAATTAAGACTTGGATGATGGTGGGTTTCTGTTTTGTTTTTTGTTTTAAATCAGAGTCTCACTCTGTCACCCAGGCTGGAGTGCAATGGCGCAATCTCGGCTCACTGCAACTTCCCCCTCCTGGGTTCAAGTGATTCTCCTGCCTCAGCCTCCTGAGTAGTTAGGATTACAGACATGCGCCACCTCACCCGGCTCAGTTTTTGTATTTGGTGGAGATGGGGTTTCACCATGTTAGTCAGGCTGGTCTTGAACTCCTGATCTCAGGTGATCCACCTGCCTCAGCCTCCCAAAGCATTGGGATTACAGGCGTGAGCCACCACGCCAGGCCTGTTCAACATCTTAGATTTCATTTTGGATGTTCCTGTGAGGACTGCGTGTCCCTGTGCTGGAACTCAAGTGAACGCTTGGCTCAAAATCCATTGCTGTTCTCTAGAAATCCAGCCAAATTCTATTGGTGAAATATAAGGTATGTCTAGTAGTCATTGCTTTTTCTCTTTGGAGACAAAACTCAGGAGGATTGCCCCTTGATGAACAAGGCTAACCTGCTGAGCCTTTGAAACAAGGAACTGGAGATGGTCCTTTCAGGGGTTTATATTCTGGATTCCAGAAAACATGCAAACAGGGCCAGTAAATGCATCTTTATTTTTGTGTTCATTTTAACCTGGTCAAGGAAAATTGCTACAAAAAACCCAGGGTGCTGGAGCAAGAAGATCTCATGCTGTGACCCTCTAGAGGGAAGCGCTTTCTGTTGTCTGAAAGAAAAGAACGCGCTTCCCTATAGAGGGTTACCCTTTGAGAAAAGCAGCATTGAAGTTGATGCTGATCTTGCTAATACATTTGCAGAGCATGCTTATCATCAGACTTGGATGAAGGTGGGGTTCTGTTTTTTTTTTTTTTCTAAGACAGGATCTCTGTTGCCCAGGCTGGAATGTGGTGGCACTTCCAACCTAGCTCTCTTGGGCTCAAATGGTCCTCTCTTTTGGGATAGAGTCTTACTCTGTGACCCAGGCTGGAGTGCAGTGGCGTGATCTCAGCTTACTGCCACCTCCACCTCCCAGTTTCAAGCCGTTCTCCTGCCTCAGATTCCTGAGTATCTGGGATTATAGGTACCTGACACCACGCCTGGCTAATACTTGCATTTTTCTTTCTTTTTTCTTTTCTTTTTTTTTTTTTTTTTTTTGAGATGGAGTCTTACTCTGTCACCAGGCTGGAGTGCAGTGGTGCGATCTTCGCTTATTTCAACCTCCGCCTCCCAGTTTCAAGTGATTCTCCTGCCTCAGCCACCCGACTAACTAGGATTTCAGGCATGCACCACACGCCTGGCTAATTTTTTGTATTTTTAGTAGAGACAGGGTTTCACCATGTTGGTCAGGCTGGTCTCGAACTCCCGACCTCTGGTGATCTTCCCGCCTTGGCCTCCGAAAGTGCTGGGATTGCAGGCATTAGCCACCCCGCCCGGCCATTATATATTCTTATATATATAATACCATATACGTGCAAAATACTCTTCTACATGAAGAGAATACTCTTATATCACTTTGGGGTTTTTTTTGTTTGTTTGTGTGTGTGTGAGTGTATGTTTTATTTGTTTTTGGATAAGGTCTGGCTCTGTCACCCAGTCTAGAGTGCAGTTGTGCCATCTCTCTCAGCTCACTGCGACTTCTACCTCCCACCTAAGCCTGCTGAATTAGTGTCTACAGGCATGCACCACCACACCTGGCTCCGTTTTGTATTTTTTATACACATGGGCTTACACCATGTTGCCGAGACTGGTCTCGAACACCTGAGCTCAGGTGATACTTCAGTTTCAGCCTCCTAATGTGCTGGGATTAGAGGTGTGAGCCACCGTGCCCCACTTGTAGTTGTGTGTTTCTGTTCAAATTTTATTGAGGAGTTTTTAGGGCCTAGCCTGTGATCTACCCTGGAGGATGTTTGTGTGTACAACAATGTATATTCTTTAACATCGTAGATTCCATTTTGGATGCTCCCATCGGGACTGTGTGTCCCTGTGCTGGAACTCTGGTGAACACCTGGCTCAATATCCATTTCTCTTCTCTAGAAATCCAGCCCAGTTCTCTTGGTTAAATATAAGGTACATATGTCTATGAGGCATTGCTTTTGCTCTTTGAGAACAAAACTCAGGAGGATTGCTCTTTGATGAACAAAGCTAACCTGCTGATCCTTTGAAGCAAGGAACTGGAGATGGTCCTTTTAGGGGTTTATATTCTGGATTCCAGAAAACATGCAAACAGGGCCAATAAATGCATCTTTGTTTTTGTGTCCATTTTAACCGGGTGAAGGAAAATTCCAACAAAAAACCCAGAGTGTTGGAGCAAGAAGATCTCATGCTGTGACCCTCTAGAGGGAAGCACTTTCTCTTGTCTAAAAGAAAAGAAAGCGCTTCTCTTTAGAGGATTACTCTTTGAGAAAAGCAACGTTGAAGTTGATGCTTATCTTGGTAATAAATTTGCAGAGAATGCTTATAATCAGACGTGGATGATGTTGGTGTTTCATGTTTGTTTTGTTTTGTTTTTAATACAGGGTGTCTGTTGCCCAGGCTGGAGTGTGGTGGTCCCTCTCCAACCTAGATCTCTTGGGTTCAAGTGGCCCTCTTTTTTGGGTCAGAGTCTTGCTCTGTGGCCCTGGCTGGAGTGCAGTGTCAGGATCTCTGCTCACTACAACCTCTGCCTCCTGGGTAAAAGCGATTCTCCTGCCTCAGCCTCCCAAGCAACTGGGATTACAGGCATGTGCTACCATGCCCGGCTAATTTTTGTAATTTCCTTTATTTATTTTTGAGACAGAGTCTTACTCTTTCGCCCAGGCTGGAGTGCAGTGGTGCAATCTCGGCTCACTGCAACCTCCAACTCCCACCTCAGCCTCCTGAATAGCTGTCTACAGGCATGCACCACCACACCTGGCTAACTTTTGTATTTTTTGTACAGACATGGTTTCTCCATGTTGCCTGGGCTGGTCTTGAACTCCTGAACTCAAGTGATCCTCCCACCTCGGCCTCCTAAAGTGCTGTGATTAGAGGTATGAGCCACCGTGCCCCACCTGTACTTGTGTGTTTCTGCTCAAATTTTATTGGGGAGCTTTTATGGTATAGCCTGTGGTCTCTCTGGAGAATGTTTGTGTCTATGACAATGTATATTCTTCAGTATGTTATGTTCCATTTTGGATGCTTGCATGGGGACTGTGTGTCCCTGTACTGAAACTCAGGTGAACACTTGGCTCTCCGTCCATTGCTGTTCTCTAGAAATCCAGCCCAGTTCCCTTGGTTAAAGATAAGGTATGTCTAGCAGGTATTGCTCTTTCTCTTGCAGACAAAACTCAGGAGGATTGCCCCTTGATAAACAAGGCTAACCTGCTGATTCTTTGAAGGAAGGAACTGGAGATTGTCCTTTTAGGGGTTTATATTCTGGATTCCAGAAAACACACAAATAGAAAACAGGGCAAATAAATGCATCTTTCTTTTCGAGTCCATTTTAACCTGGTTAAGGAAGATTCCAACAAAAAATCCACGGTGCCACAGCAAGAAGATGTCAGGCTGTGTCCCTCTACAGGGAAGCGCTTTCTGTTGTCTGAAAGAAAAGAAAGTGCTTCCTTTTAGAGGGTTACCGTTTAAGAAAAGCAACGTTTAGGTGGATGCTGATCTTGGCAATAATACATTTGCAGAGCATGCTTATCATCAGAGTTGGATGATGGTGGGGTTCTGTTTTTTTGTTTTTTTTTTTCTGAGACAGAGTGTCTATTGCCCAGGCTGGAGTGCAGTGGCACTTTTAACCTAGATCTCTTGGGCTCAAGTGGTCCTGTTTTTTGGGATAATCTCACACTGTGACCCAGTCCGGAGTACAGTGGCATGAACACCACTCATTGCATGCTTTGCCTCCCAGGTTCAAGTCATTCTTATGACCCAGCTTCCAGAGCAGCTGGGATTACAGGCATGAGCCACCACACTGGCTAATTTTTGTATTTTTAATAGAGATGGGGTTCACCATGTTGGCCAGGCTGGTCTCCAACTACTGACCTCATGATCCACCCACGTCGGCCTTCCAAAGTGCTGGGATTACAGACGTGAGCCACTGTGCCCGGCCAACACAGAGAATACTCTTATATCACTTTGGGGTTGTTTCTGTTTGTGTATTTTTTAAATATTTTTTGAGACACAGTCTGGCGCTATTACCTAGGTTGGAGTGCAGTGTTGTGACCTCGGCTCACAGCAACCTCTACCTCCCAGCTGAGCCTCCTGAGTTAGCATCTGCAGGCATGAACCACAACACCTGGTAACCTTTGTATTTTTGGACACATGAGGTTTCACCATGTTGCCCAGGCTAGTCTTGAACTCCTGAGCTCAAGTAATCCTCCTGCCTCCGACTCCTAAAGTGCTGGGATTACAGGTGTGAGCCACTGCACCCCACCTGTACTTGTGTATTTCTGTTCAAATTTTATTGAGGAGCTTTTACGGCCTAGACAGTAGTCTATCCTGGAGAATGTTTGTGTGTATGACAATGTATATTCTTTTTTTTTATTTTTATTTTTTGGAGACGGAGTCTCACTCTGTCACCCAGGCTGGAGTGCAATGGCATGATCTCGGTTCACTGAAACCTCCGCCTCCTGGGTTCCAGCGATCCTCCTGTCTCAGCCTGCTGAGTAGCTAGGATTACAGGTGGGCGCCTGGCTAATTTAGATTCCATTTTGGATGCTCCCATCGGGACTGTGTGTCCCTATGTTGGAACTCAGGTGAACGCTTGGCTCAAAAATCCATTGCTGTTCTCTAGAAATCCTGCCTAATTCTCTTGGTTAAAGATAAGGTATATGTAGCAGGCATTGCTTTTTCTCTTTGGGGACAAAACTCAGGAGGATTGCGCCTTGATGAACAAGGCTAACCTGCTGAGCCTTTGAAGCAAGGAACTGGAGATGGTCCTTTTAGGGGTTTATGTTCTGGATTCCAGAAAACATGCAAACAGGGCAAATAAATGCATCTTTATTTTGTGTCCATTTTAACCTGGTCAAGGAAAATTCCAACAGCAACATCAAAAAACCAGTGTTGGAGCAAGAATATGTCATGCTGTGGCCCTCCAGAGGGAAGCGCTTTCTGTTGTCTGAAAGAAAACAAAGCGCTCCCCTTTAGAGGTTTACGGTTTGAGTAAAGCAGCGTTGAAGTTGATGCTGATCTTGGTAATACATTTGCAGAGCGTGCTTATCATCAGACGTGGACGATGGTGGGGTTCTGTTTTGGTTTTGTTTTTTTCTAAGACAGGGTCTCCGTTGCCCAGACTGGAGTGCGGTGGCACTTCTACCTAGATCTCTTGGGCTCAGATGGTCTTCTTTTTATTTCATTTTTTTAATTGTTTGAGATGGAGTCTCACTCTGTCACCCAGGCTGGAGTACAGTGGCAGGATCTCCACAACTACAGCCTCCCAGGTTCCAGACATTCTCCCACCTCAGCCTCCCGAGTAGCTGGAATTATAAGCACCCACCGCCATGCCCTGCTTTTTGTATTTTTAGACAAGAAAGGGTTTCACCATATTGGCCAGGCTCATCTCAACTCTTGCCCTTAAGTAATCCTCCTCCCTGGCCTCCCAAAGTGCTGAGATTACAGGCGTGAGCCACCGCGCCCAGCCTCAAGTGGTCCTCTTGAGTCAGCCTCTCAAGTAGTTGGGACTACGTGGGGCGTGCCACCATACTTGGCTAAGTTTTTAATTTTTGGTACAATTGGGGTCTCTTTTTCCCAGGATAGTCTCATCTCCACAGCTTATGTGGTCCTACACGTGTGAGCCACCTCGTCTTGATGACCCATTTCAAAGAGAGTTGACATGGCCAGGCATTGTGGGGCACACAGTCCCAGCCACTGCAGAGGCCAGGGTCGGAGGGACCTTTGATTTCCAGACTGTACCATGCACTGATCACACCTTCGAATAGCCACTGCGCTCCAGCCTGGGCCAACATAGCAAGATCCCATCTCTTTAAAAACAGATTACATGGCACCTGGTTACAGAGGCTCCATTTGGGTTGGTTATTTGAAATGGGTCTCCCATCAATTTAGTGTAATCAATCGAAATCATTTCCTTCATTAAGAGAGTAAGTAGCCGGGGCATGGTGCCTCATGCCTGTAATCCCAGCACTGTGGGAGGCAAAGGCAGGCGGATCGCCTGAGGTCAGGAGTTCAAGACCAGCCTGGCCAATATGGTGAAACCCTATCACTACTAAAAATACAAAAATTAGCCGGGTGTGGTGGCGTGAACCTAGGAGGCTGAGGTTGCAGTGAGCTGAGATTGCACCATTGCACTCCAACCTGGGCGACTGAGCTGGACTTAAAAAAAAGGTAAGTAAGCCTTCAAGTCTATCCAATCTTAATTTGTAATCTCAAATGGATGTCCATATTAACAAAATTTTCTTGTTTTTCCTGTTTGTGTCTTTTTAGTTTAATCTTCTTGTCCTTGACACTGAAATTTTTTTCTCTCCAACAACTTGCCGTCGTTTCTCGGAATAGAGCTGCTTTCTCTGCAGGAAGGGTGTAGTTGATTCAACCGCCACCCACTCACGCCAGCCCCGGTGAGTTCTTTGACTGCAGCTTCCCTGATTATGCTATTTTCTTCGGGTAATGAACCCAAGGTACCTCGCATTTAAAGGCTAGTTGCTTGGTAAGCTGTGAAATGTTGGCTGTGGCTAATATGAGAAACAAACTATGGTAGACAAGATGAGTCTCAGTGGCAGTGATAATTGTCACATGGGACAAAACCACAGATACTTTTCACAAAAACCTTGAGGACCCTAGAAGGGCCTCTCTAGTAACAGGTGGGATGCGCCGCAGCTCTCGTTGTTGCCGTAGTGAGCGATGCCTGTTCGTCCAGCCCTCAACACCTTTTACTCCGTGGAAGTTATGCCTGCACTGGTTTACAGAACCTCCCTTGACTTGGGTTGAGGTAGAGCTGAAGGGAACCTCAGTGTCCCTTGCAGGTGGGATGTTCACTACGTAGCAAGAGCACAAAGGTGGAGTGCGTGGGCTTTGAGTTTCTATTGGGTAAATGAAGCTGAAATGTAGGGCACATGAGCACGTCATCAATGTACAATTGATTTAATTTTTGTATTTTAGAAACGGAGGTCTCGCTATGCCGCCCAGGGTAGAATGTGCTCTCTCCCTCTCCTCTTCCTAGTATCTGGGACTACAGGTGAATATTTTAATCTATGCACAGGCAAGAAGAGGGCAAGGAGGGTTCTTTTGTTCTGTCTTTGACTTTGTGAGGCAGTGTCACTCTGTCACTCAAGCTGGAGTGCAATAATGTGATCTCGGCTCACTGCAACCTCTGCCTCCTGGGTTCAAGCAATTTTTTTTTTTTTTTTTTTTTGAGTCAGTATCTCACTCTGTCCCTCAGGGTGGAGTGCAGCGGCCCAGTCTCTGCTCCTGCAACTTCTGACTCCCAAGTAGGTACAATTGCAGACACGTGTCACCACGCTTGGCAAAATTTTTTTTGTATTTTTAGAGCTGGGATTTTACCTTGTTGGCGAGGCTGGTCTGGAACTCCTGACCTCAGGTGACTCGCCCACCTTGGCCTCCCAACAAGTTATGCTGATCTTGGTAATAACTTCGCAGAGCGTGCTTCCATCAGACATGGAGGATGGTGGGGTCCTGTTTTGTTGTTGTTGTTTTTCTAAGATAGGGTCTCTTGCCCAGGCTGGAGTGTGTTGGCACTTCCAACCTAGGTGTCTTGGGCTCAAATGGTCCTCTTTTTTCGGACAGTCTTGCTCTGTGACCCATGCTGGAGTGTAGTGACGTGATCTCAGCTCACTGCAACCTCCACCTCCCAGTTTTAGGCAGTTCTCCTGCCTCACATTCCTGAGTAGCTGGGATTATAGGTGCCTGACACCATGCCTGGCTAATATTTGCATGTTATTTATTCATGTATTTATTTGTTTTGAGATGGAGTCTCACTGTCACTCAGGCCAGAGGGCAGTGGCAGGACCTCGGCTCACTCAAACCTTTGCCTCTCAGGTTCAAGCAAGTCTTCTGCCTCAACCTCCTGAGTAGCTGGAATCACAGGCACCCGTCACCACGCCCGGTTACTTTTGTATTTTTTTTTTCACCATGTTGGCCAGGCTGGTCTGAAACCCCTGACTTCATGTGAGCCGCCCGCCTCAGCCACCCAAAGTGGTGGGATTACAGGCATAAGCCACTGCGCCCGGCCAACAATGTATATTTTTCAACATGGGAGATTCAGTTTTGAATGCTCCCATCGGGACTGTGTGTCCCTGTGCTGGAACTCAAGTGAACGCTTGGCTCAAAATCCATTGCTGTTCTCTAGAAATCCAGCCCAATTCTCTTGGTTAAATGTAAGGTATGTGTAGTAGGCAATGCTTTTTCTGGAGACAGAACTCAGGAGGATTGTCCCTCGATGATCTAGGCTAACCTGCTGAGACTTTGAAGCAAGGAACTGGAGATGGTCCTTTTAGGGTTTTATGTTCTGGATTCCAGAAAACATGCAAACAGGGCCAATAAATGCATCCTCATTTTTGTGTCCATTTTAACCTGGTGAAGGAAAATTCCAACAAAAAACCCACAGTGCTGGAGCAAGAAGAGCTCAGGCTGTGACCCTCTAGAGGGAAGCACTTTCTGTTGCTTGAAAGAAGAGAAAGCGCTTCCTTTTAGAGGATTACTCTTTGAGAAAAACAACATTGAAGTTAATGCTGATCTTGGAGATCATGCTTATAATCAGACTTGGATGATGTTGGGGTTTTGTGGGGTTTTTTTGGTTTTTTTTCCTAAGACAGGGTGTCTGTTGCCCAGGCTGGAGTATGGTGGCCCCTCCAACCTAGATCTCTTGGGTTCAAGTGGCCCTCTTTTTTGGGACAGAGTCTTGCTCTGTGACCCTGGCTGGAGCTCAGTATCAGGAACTTTGCTCACTGCAACCTCTGCCTCCCAGGTTCAAATGATTCTCCTGCCTCAGCCTCCCGAGCAGCTGGGATTACAGGCATATGCCACCACGCCCAGCTAATTTTTGTATTATTGTTATGTATTTATTTTTTAACTTATTCATTTTAGAGACAGAGTCTCACTCTGTCGCCCAGGCTGGAGTGCAGTGGTGCGATCTCGGCTCACTGCAACCTCCAACTCCCAGCTCAGCCTCCTGAATAGCTGTCTGCAGGCATACACCACCACACCTGGCTAACTTTTGGTTTTTTTGTACAGATGTGGTTTCCCCATGTTGCCCAGGTTGGTCTCGAACTCCTTAGCTCAGGTGATCTTCCACCTTGGCCTCCTAAAGTGCTAGGATTAGTGGTGTGAGCTGTTGTGCCCCACCTATACTCGTCTGTTTCTGCTCAGATTTTATTGAGGAGCGTTTACAGGGTAGCCTGTTGTCTACCCTGCAGGATGTTTGTGCCTACAACAGTGTATATTCTTCAACATCTTAGATTCCATTTCGGATGCCCCCATGAGGACTGTGCGCTCCTGTACTGGAACTCAAGCGACCACTTGGCTCAAAATCCATTGCTATTCTCTAGAAATCCAGCCCAATTCTCTTGGTTAAAGATAAGGTATGTGTAGTAGGCATTGCCTTTTCTCTTTGGGAACAAAACTCAGGAGGATTGCCCGTTGATGAACAAGGCTAACCTGCTGATTCTTTGAAGCAAAGAACTGCAGATGGTCCTTTTAGGGATTTATGCTCTGGATTCCAGAAAACATGCAAACAGGGCAAATAAATGCATCTTTATTTTTGCGTCCATTTTAACCTGGTCAAGGAAGATTCCCACAAAAAATCCACAGTGCCAGAGCAAGAAGATCTCAGGCTGTCGTCCTCTAGAGGGAAGCACTTTCTGTTGTCTGAAAGAAAAGAAAGTGCTTCCTTTTAGAGGGTTACCGTTTGAGAAAAGCAACATTGAAGTTGATGCTGATCTTGGTAATACATTTTCAGAGCATGCTTATCATCAGAGATGGATGATGGTGGGCTTCTGTTTTTGTTTTGATTTTTTCTTTTTTTTTTTTTTGAGATGGAGTTTCGTTCTTGCTGCCCAAGCACTAGTATGTAGGAATTATTCTTTATGTGAGCATATAGTACATGGAACTTTGTTTTTTTGAGACAGGGTCTCCAAAATATATACATGTTATCATATAATCTTCTATGTATAATTATATTCACACAAAATAGTCTTCTGCACACAGAGAATACTCTTATATCACTTTGGGGTTGTTTTTGTTTGTGTATTTTTTTTTTTTTTAATTTTTTTTGAGACACCATCTGGCTCTATTGCCCAGGCTGGAGTGCAGTGTTGTGACCTCAACTCACTGCAGCCTCTACCTCCCACCTCAGCCTCCTGAATTAGTGTCTACAGGCATGAACCACTACACCTGGCTATCTTTTGTATTTTTACAGATGAGGTTTTACTATGTTGGGCAGGCTAGTTTTGAACTCGAGCTCATGTAATTTTCCCGCCTTCGACTCCTAAAGTGCTGGGATTAGAGGTGTAAGCCACTGCACTCCACCCGTACTTCTGTACAAATGTTATTGAGGAGCTTTTACGGCCTAGGCAGTGCTCTATCCTGGAGAATGTTTGTGTGTAAGACAATGCATATTCTTTTTTTCTTTCCTGTCACCCAGGCTGGAGTGCATTGGCACGATCTCGTCTCACTGCAACCTCCGCCTCCCGGGTTCAAGCAATTCTCCTGCCTCAGCCTCCTGAGTAGCTGGGATTACAGGTGGGCACCACCACGCCTGGCAAATTTAGATTCCATTTTGGATGCTCCCATCATGACTGTGTGTCCCTGTGCTGGAACTCAAGTGACCATGTGACTCAATCCATTGCTGTTCTCTAGAAATCCACCTCAATTCTCTTGGTTAAAGGTAAGGTATGTGTAGTGGGCATTGCTTTTTCTCCTTGGAGACAAAACTTAGGAGGATTCCCCTTGATGAACAAGGCTAATCTGCTGAGCCTGGAGATTGTCCTTTTAGAGGTTTATGTTCTGGATTCCAGAAAACGGTCAAACAGCGAATAAATGCATCTTTATATTTGTGTCCATCTTAACCTGGTCAAGGAAAATTTCAACAAAAATCCCAGATGGCTGGAGCGAGAAGATCTCATGCTGTGACTCTCTGGAGGGAAGCACTTTCTGTTGTCTGAAAGAAAACAAAGCGCTTCTCTTTAGAGTGTTACGGTTTGAGAAAAGCAACGTTGAAGTTGATGCTGATCTTGGTAATACATTCGCAGAGCATGCTTATCAGGCTTGGATGACGGCAGGGTTCTGTTTTGGTTTTATTTTTTTCCAAGACCAGTCTCTGTTGCCCAGGCTGGAGAGGGAGGGGTTGCACTCCAAACTAGATCTCTTGGGGTCATGTCTTGCTCTATTATTATTATTAATTCTTATTTTTGTGTGTGTGTGAGACGGAGTCTCGCTCTGTCACCAGGTTGGAGTCCAGTGGCGGAATCTCAGCTCACTGCAACCTCCGACTCCGTGGTTCAAGCGATTCTCCTGCCTCAGCCTCCTGAGTAGCTGGGATTACAGGCACGCACCGCCATGCCGAGCTAATTTTTGTATTTTTAGTAGAGACCGGGTTTCACCACGTTGGCCAGGATGGTCTCAAACTCCTGACCTCATGATCCACCCGCCTCGGCCTCCCAAAGTGCTGGGATTACAGGTGTGAGCCTCCGTGCCCAGCCTGTTATTTTATTTTGTTTTATTTTATTTATTTTATTTTATTTTGAGATGGAGACTGGCTCTGTCGCCCAGGCTGGAATGCAGTGGCAGGATCTCCACTCACTGTAACTCCCACCTCTGTCGCCCAGGCTGGAGTGCAGTGGCAGGATCTCCACTCACCGTGGAGTTCCAGTGATTCTTTCACCTTAGCCTCGCAAATAGCTGGTATTACAAGCACCCACCAACACACCCTGCCAATTTTTGTATTTTTAGACAAGAAAGGGTTTCGCCATGTTGGCCAGGCTGGTCTCGACTCCTGACCTTAAGTGATCCACCTCCCTGGCCTCCCAAAGTGCTGGGATTACAGGCGTGAGCCACCACGTCCAGCCTCAAGTGGTCTTCTTGTCAGCCTCGCAAGTAGTTGGGCTCAGGTTTTAATTTTTGGTAGAGATGGGGTCTCTTTTGCCTGGGATGGTCTCAGCTGAGCTTAAGTGATCCTAAATGTGTGAGCCACCTTGTCCCATTTCAAAGATAGGTGACACGGCCAGGCATCCTGGGACACACAGGGTCCCAGTTACTGCAAAGGCTAGGGTGGGAGGGTCCTTTGATTTTAAGGCTATACCATGCACTGATCACACCTTTGAATAGCCACTGCACTCCGGCCTGGGCCACATAGCAAGATCCCATCTCTTTAAAAACGCAGATTACATGCCATCTGGTTCCTGAGGCTCCATTTGGGTTGGTCACTTCAAATACAGGCCTTTCATCAGTTTAGTTTAATCAATCCAAACCATGTTTCCTTCATTAGGAGAGTAAGGGCCAGGTGTGTAATCCAAGCACTTTGGGAGACTGAAGCAGGCGGATCAGGAGGTCAGGAGTTCGAGACCAGCCTGACCAATATGGTGAAACCCCGTCTCTACTAAAAATACAAAGATTAAGTGGGCGTGGTGGTGCGTGCTTGTAATCCCAGCTACTCAGGAGGCTGAGGCAGCAGAATCTCTTCAACCCAGGAGGCGGAGGTTGCAGTGAGCCAAGATCGCGCAGGTGCACTCCAGCCTGGGCGACAGAGCGAGGCTCCATCTCAAAACAAAACAAAACAAAAAATATAGGCCTCCACATCTATCCAGTCTATTCTGTAATCCCAATGGATGTCAATATTAATACAATGTTCTTATTTTTTCTATTTATTTGTATCTTTTTAGTTGAATCTCCTTGTCCCTGACACTAAATTTTTTTTATTTTTATTTATTTATTTTTTTTGAAACAGTCTTGCTCTGTCGCCCAGGCTGCAGTACAGTGGCGCAATCTCGGCTTACTGTAGCCTCTGTCTCCCGGGTTCCAGTGATTCTCCTTCCCCAACTCCCGGGTAACTGGGATTTTCAGGCACACACCACCACCCCAGCTAATTTTTTTGTACGTTTAGTAGAGACAGGGTTTCACCATATTGGGCAGGCTGGCCTTGAACTCCTGAACTAAGGTGATCCGCCCACCTCGGCCTCCCAAAGTGCTGGGATTAGGGATAAGGCTAACCTGCTTATTCTTTGTAGCAAGGAACTGGAGATGGTCATTTTAGGGGTTTATGTTCTGGATTCCAGAAAACATGCAAACAGGGCCAATAAATGCATCCTCATTTTTGTGTCCATTTTAACCTGGGCAAGGAAAATTCCAACAAAAAACCCAGAGTTCTGGAGCAAGAAGATCTCATGCTGTGACCCTACAAAGGGAAGCACTTTCTCTTGTCCAAAGGAAAAGAAGGCGCTTCCCTTTGGAGTGTTACGGTTTGAGAAAAGCAGCGTTGAAGTTGATGCTTATCTCGGTAATACATTTGTAGAGCATGCTTATCATGAGGCTTGGACGATGGCGGGGTTCTGTTTTGGTTTTGCTTTTTTATTCTAAGACAGGATCTCTGTTGCCCAGGCTGGAGTGCGGTGGCACATCCAACCTAGGTCTTTTGGATTCAAATGGTTTTTTTAGCGGACAGAGTCTCTCTATCACCCAGGCTGAAGTGCAGTGGTGTGATCTCGGCTCACTGCAACCTCCACCTCCCAGGTTCAAGCGAGTCTCCTGCCTCAGCTTCCCAAGTAGGTGAGATTACAGGTGCCCATCACCACACCTGGATAATATTTTCATTTTTTAAAATTCATTTATTTATGTTTTTGAGATGGAGTCTCACTGTTACCCAGGCTGGAGGGCCGAGGCGTGATCTCTGCTCAGTGCAACCTCTGCCTCCCGGATTCAAGCAATTCTTCTACCTCAGCCTCCTGAGTAGCTAGAATTACGGGAGCCCACCACCACACCTGGCTACTTTTTGTTTTTTGTTTTTTGTTTTTTTTTTAGTAGAGATGGGATTTCACCATGTTTGCCAGGCTGGTCTCAAACCCCTGACCTCAAGTTAGCCACCGGCCTCTGCCTCCCAAAGTGCTGGGATTACAGGCATGAGCCACCACGCCTGGCCTAATTTTTATATTTTCAGCAGAGGCGGGGTTTCACCATGTTGGCCAGGCTGGTTGCGAACTCCTGACCTCAGGTGATCTGCCCACCTCAGCCTCCCAAAGTGCTAAGATTACAGGCGTGAGCCACCACACATGGCCATTAACACCTTTTAGTCCATGGAAATTATTCTGGCACTGATTTATAAAGCCTCATGTGGGGTCAGGTAGAGTCAAAGGGGGACCTCAGTGTCCCTTGCAGATGGGATGTGCTCAGCAAGAGCACGGAGGTGGAGTGCATGGGGTTTGAGTTTTCACTGGGGAAATGAAACCAACATCTTGGGTGCATGACCAGGTCATATATGCAGTCATATATGCAATATGCATGGTGGTGGGTGCCTCTAATCCCAGCTACTCAGGAGGCTGACGCAGAAGAATCGCTTGAACCCAGGAGGCAGAAGTTGCCATGAGCCGAGATCCCACCACCGCATCCAGCCTGGGCGGCAGAGTGAGACTCCGTGTCAAAAAAAAGAAGATCTCAGGCAGTGACCCTCTAGATGGAAGCACTGTCTGTTGTATAAAAGAAAAGATCGTGCATCCCTTTAGAGTGTTACTGTTTGAGACAAGCAACGTTGAAGATGCTGCTGATCTTGGTAATACATTTGCAGAGCGTGCTTATCATCAGACTTGCATGATGTCGGGGTTCTGTTTGTGATTTGAAATTTTTCCAAGACAGGCTTTCTATTGCCCAGGCGTGGGTGGATAGCACCTTCCACCAAGATTTCTTGGGCTTAAGTGGTCCTCTTTTTATTTTTTGATTTTTTGAGACACACTCTTGTTTCGTTGGGAGTGCAGTAGCAGGATCTCTGCTCACCGGAAACTCCACCTCTCGGGTTCCAGTGATTCTCCCACCTCAGCCTGCCGAATTGTTGGGAATTCAGGCATCAGGCACCCACCATCGTGTCCTGCACTCTTGCTGCCCATCCTGGAGAGCACTGGCATGATCTAGGCTCACTGCAACCTCCGCCTCCTGGGTTCGAGTGATGCTTCTGCCTCAGCCTCCCAGGTAGTTGGGATTACAGGCACCTACTGCCCCACCCAGCTAATTTTTATGTTTTTAGTAGAGACGGGTTTCACCATGTTGGCCAGGCTAGTCTTGAACTCCCGCTTTCAGGTGATCCACTAGCCTGTGGTCTATCCTGGAGGATGTTTGTGTGTGTGACAATGTATATTCTTCAACATCTTAGACTCCATTTTGGATGCTCCCATCGGAACTATGTATCCCTGTGCTGGAACTCAAGTGAACACTCAGCTCAAAGTCCATTGCTGTTCTCTAGAAATCCAGCCCAGTTCTCTTGGTTAAATATAAGGTATGTGTAGTAGGCATTGCTTTTTCTCTTTAGAGGCAAAACTCAGGAGGGTTGCCCCTTGATGAACAAGGCTAACCTGCAGAGCCTTTGAAGAAAGGAACTGGAGATGGTCCTTTTAGGGGTTTATGTTCTGGATTCTAGAAAACAGGCAAACAGGGCCAATAAATGCATCTTTATTGTTGTGGCCATTTTAACCTGGTCAAGGAAGATTTCAACAAAAAACCCAGAGTGCTGGAGCAAGAAGATCCCATGCTGTGACCCTCCAAAGGGAAGCGCTTTCTGTTTGTTTTCTCTTAAACAAAGTGCCTCCCTTTAGAGTGTTACCGTTTGGGAAAAGCCACGTTGAAGATGATGCTGATCTTGGTAATACATTTGCAGACCATGCTTGTAATCAGACTTGGATGATGTTGGGAGTCTGTTTTTTTGTTTGTTTGTTTGGTTGGTTTTTTTGTTTGTTAGGTTTTTGTTTTTTGTTTTGGTGTGTGTGTTTTGTTTTGTGTTTTTTTTTTTTTCTAAGACAAGGTCTCTGTTGCCCAGGAGAGACTAGAGAAGCACTTTTTAAGATAGGCCTGTTGGGCTCAGATGGTCCTTTTATGGGATACAGTCTTGCTCTGTGACCCAGACTGGAGTGCAGTGGCGCGATCTTGGCTCAATGCAACCTCCACCTCCCGGGTTCGAGTGATTCTCCTGCCTCAGCTTCCTGGGTAGCTGGGATTACAGATGCCTGACATCACACTCGGCTAATATTTGTATTTTTCTTTTTTATTCATTCATTCATTTTTGAGATGGAGTGTTGCTGTCACCCAGCCTGGAGGGCAGTGGCATGATCCCGGCTGACTCCAACCTCTGCCTCTCAGGTTCAAGCCATTCTCCTGCCTCAGTCTCCTGAGTAGGTGGAATTACAGGCACCCACCACTACAACCAGCTACTTTTTGATTTTGATTTTTTTTTTTTTTTTTTTTTTTTAGTAAAGGTGGGGTTTCACCATGTTGGCCAGGCTAGTCTCAAACCCCTGACCTCAAGTGAGCCGCTGGCCTCGGCCTCCCAAAGTGCTGAGAATACAGGCGTGAGCCACCGGGCACAGCCATCAGCACCTTTTACTTTATGGAAATTTTTCTGGCACTGGTATAGAACCTCACGTGGGGTCAGGTGGAGTTGAGGGGACCTCAGTGTCCCTGCAGATGGGATGAGCAAGAGCACGGAGGTGGAGTGCATGGGGCTTCAGTGTTTATTGGGGAAATGAAGCTGAAATCTGGGTGCATGACCAGGAGATAAATGCATGAGACGGCGGTCTCACTATGCTGCCCTGGCTGAAGTGGGCTTAGATCCTCCTGCCTCTGCCCCTCCCCAGTCCTTGGTAGATGGGACCACATGTGAATATTAACCCCCCATGCACAGACAAGAAGAAAGTAAGGACTGTTCTTTGGTTCATACCTGACCCCAGTTAAACTTGTATTTTAGATAAACAATGTATTTGAGATGTACTTGAACAACAAACGATTTGCTGTTCAGGTGTGGGCATCTTTGTTTTGTTTTTTTTTTTCCTAATTTTAAATATGGGACTAGTGTGCATATGGTGGCTCTTGTCTGTAATTCCTGCACTTTGTGAGGCTGAGACAGGAGGATCACCTGAGATCAGTTGTTCGAGACCAGCCTGGCCAACATGAAGCCAGGAGGCTGAGCTTTCAGTGAGCTGAAATCTTCTGCTGCACTCCACCCTGGGCAACAGAGTGAGACTCAGTCTCAAGAAAGTAAAAAATAGGCCGGGCGCGGTGGCGCATGCCTGTAATCCCAGCACTTTGGGAGGCCGAGACGGGAGGATCACCTGAGGTCAGGAGTTCAAGACCAACAGGGCCAACATGGCAAAGCCTCGTCTCTACTAAAAATACAAAAATTAGCTGGGTGCAATGGTGCACATCTGTAATTCCAGCTACTCCGGAGGCTGAGGCAGGAGAATCCCTTGAACCCAGGAGGAGGAGATTTCAGTGAGCTGAAATCAAGCCATGGCATTCCAGCCTGGGCCAGAGAGCAACATTCCGTCTCAAAAATAAATGAATAAATAAAATAAATAAAAATAAATAGATAAATATGGGACATCATAAATTTGGGTGTCACCTTTGTGTAGCAGCCAGCGTAATCTCTGTCATTCCAATTTTTTTTTATGTGAACTGCCAAAGCAAGCACTTGTGTAGGAATTTTTCTTCCTGTGAGCATACAATATATGGAACTTTCTTTGACACAGGGTCTCAGAAATATATGGTATATATTTCGTTATATATATACTTATATATAATATAATCATATACACACAAAATACTGTTCTAAATACAGAGAATACTCTGATATAACCTTGGGTATTTTTTTCTTTCTTTGTGTGTGTATGTTTTTTATTTGTTTGGCTGGTTTTTTTTTGTTTTTGTTTTTTGTTTTTTGTTTTTTGTTTTTGTTTTTGTTTTGAGACAGAGTCTCACTCTGTCGCCGAGGCTGGAGTGCAGTGACAGGATCTCGGGTCACTGCAAGCTCCGCCTACCGGGTTCACGCCATTCTCCTGCCTCAGCCTCCTGAGTAGCTGGGACCACAGGCACCCACCACCACACCTGGCTAATTTTTTTTTGTATTTTTAGTAGAGACAGGGTTTCGCCATGTTAGCCAGGATGATCTCGATCTCCTGACCTCGTGATCCACCCGCCTCGGCCTCCCAAAGTGCTGGGATTACAGGCGTCAGCCACCGCGCCCGGCCAGTTGGTTATTTTTGAGACAAGGTCTGGCTCTATCACCCAGGCTGGAGTGTAGTGGTGCGATCTTGGCTCACTGCAACCTCCACCTCCCACCTAAACCTGCTGAATTAGTGTCTACAGGCATGCACCACCACACCTGGCTCACTTTTGTGTTTTTCATACACATGGGTTTACACCATGTTGCTGGGGCTGGTCTCAGGAACTCCTGAGCTCAGGTGATCCTCCCGTCTTGGCCCCCTAATGTGCTAGGATTAGAGGTGTGAGCCAACCCACCCCACCCATACTTACGTATTTCTGTTCAGATTTTATTGAGTTTTTATGACCAAGCCTATGGTCTATCCTGGAGAATATTTGTGTATGTGACAATGTATATTCTTCAACATCGTAGACTCGATTTTGGGTGCTCCCATCGGGACTGTGTGTACCTGTCCTGGAACTCAAGTGCACCCTTGGCTCATAATCCATTGCTCTTCTCCAGAAATCTTACCAATTCTCCTGCTTAAATATAAGCTACGTGTAGTAGGCATTGTTTTTTCTTAGCAGATACGAAACTCAGGAAGATTGTCCTATGATAAACAAGGCTAACCTGCTGATTGTTTGAAGCAAGGAACTGGAGATGGTCCTTTTAGGGGTTTATGTTTTGGATTCCAGAAAACGTGTAAACAGGGCCAATACGTGCATCTTTATTTTGTGTCCAGTTTAGCCTGGTCAACAAAAATGTCAACAAAAAACCCAGAGTGCTGGAGTAAGAAGGTCTCGGGCTGTGACTCTCCAAAGGGAAGAATTTTCTCTTGTCTAAAAGAAAAGAACGCACTTCCCTTTAGAGTGTTACCGTGTGAGAAAAGCAATGCTGAAGTTGATGCTGATCTTGCAAATAACTTTGCAGAGCCTGCTTATAATCAGACTTTGACAATGGTGGGCGTCTGTTTTTTTTTTTCTAAGACAGGATCTCTGTTGCCCAGGCTGGAGTATGGTGGCACTTCCAACCTAGGTCTCTTGGGCTCAAATGGTCCTCTTTTTTGGGACAGAGTCTTGCTCTGTGACCCAAGCTAGACCACAGTGGCACGATCTTGGCTCACGGCAATCTCTGCCTCCCAGTTTCAAGTGATTCCCCTGCCTCAACTTCCTGAGTAGCTGGGATTATAGGTGTCTGACACCATGACTGGCTATAATTTTCATTTTTCTTATTTATTTATTTTTGAGTCTCGCTGTCTCTCAGGCTGGAGTGCAGTGGCAGCCTTTGCCTCTTGGGTTCAAGCAATTTTCCTGCCTCAGCCTCCCAAGTAGTTGGAATTATATGTGTCACCATCATGCCCTTTTTGTTTTTTTTTAGTAGAAAATGGGTTTCACCACGTTGGCCAGGCTAGTCTCAAGCCCCTGACCTCAAGTGATCCTCCCGCCTCAGACTCCCAAAGTGCTGAAAATGCAGGCGTGAGCCACTGCACCGAGCCATCAACACCTTCTACTCCATGGAAATGATACTGGCGCTGGTTTATAGAACCTCACTTGGGGTCGGGCAGATTTAAAAGGGACCTCAGGCTGGGTGTGGTGGCTGACGCCTGTAATCCCAGCACTTTGGGAGGCCGAGGCGGGTGGATCACGAGGTCAGGAGATCGAGACCATCCTGGCTAACATGGTGAAACCCTGTCTCTACTAAAAATACAAAAAATTAGCCAGGCGTGGTGGCGGGTGCCTGTAGTCCCAGCTACTCGGGAGGCTGAGGCAGGAGAATGGTGTGAACCCGGGAGGCGGAGCTTGCAGTGAGCCGAGATGGCACCACTGCACTCCAGCCTGGGCGACAGAGCAAGACTCTGTCTCAAAAAAATAAATAAATAAATAAGGGGGTGGGGGACCTCATTGTCCCTTGCAGATGGGATGTGCCCTGCTTAGCAAGAGCACGGAGGTGGAGTGCATGGCTTTGAGTTTTCACTGGGGCACGGAGGTGGAGTGCATGGCTTTGAGTTTTCACTGGGTAAATGCAGCTGAACTCTTGGCTGCACGACCAGGTCATATGTGCAACGAGACAGGGGTCTCACTATGCTGCCCAGGCTAAAATGGGCTTAGGTCCTTTTGCCTCCACCTCTCCCCAGTCCTTAGTAGCTGGGACTACATGTGAATATTAACCATGCACAGGCAAGAGGAAAGAAAGGACCGTTCTTTGGTTCACACCTAGCCGCCAGTCAAATTAGTATTTTAGATGAAGACTGCATTTGAGACATACTTGAACAACAAATGATTTGCTGTTTAGGTGTGGGCATCTTTCTTTTTTCCTAGTTTTAATAATGGCACCAGGCAGAGTACAGTGGCCCACGCCTGTAATTCCAGCACTTTGGGAGGCTGAGACAGGAGGATCACCTGAGGTCGGGAATTTGATTCCAGCCTGGCCAACATGGTGCAGCCCCATCTCTACTAAAAATACAAAATTAGCCCAGCATGGTGGTGGTATATGCTTGTAATCCCAGCTACTCTGGAGGCTGAGGCAGGAGAGTCGCTTGAAGCTGGAAGGCTGATCTTTCAATGAGCTGAGATCACGCCACTGCACTCAAGCCTCGGCAAAAAGAGTGAGACTCCATCTCAAAAACATAAAAAATAGGCCAGACACGGTGGTCCACTCCTGTAATCCCAGCACTTTGAGAGGCCAGGACAGGCGGATCTCCTCAGGTCAGGAGTCCAAGACTAGCTGGGCAAACAAGGCAAAACCTCGTCTATACTAAAATTAGGAAAAATGGCTGGGAACAGTGGTGGACACCTGTAATCTCAGCTACTTGGGAGGCCACGGCAAGAGAATCTCTTGAACCTGGGAAAAGGAGATTGCAGTGAGACGAAATCACACCATTGTACTCCATCCTGGGTGACAGAGTGAGATTCTGTTTCAAAAATTAAATAAATAGGCCGAGCACAGTGACTCATGCCTGTAATCCCAGAACTTTGGGAGGCCGAGGTGGCGGATCACCTGAGGTCGGGAGTTCAAGACCAGCCTAACCAACACGTAGAAACCCCATCTCTACTAAAAATACAAAATTAGCCGGGCATGGTGGCGCATGCCTGTAATCCCAGCTGCTCGGGAGGTTGAGGCAAGAGAATCACTTGAACCCCAGGGGGCGGAGGTTGTGGTGAGCCGAGATTGTGCCATTGTATTCCAGCCTGGGCAACGAGTGAAACTCTGTCTCTAAATAAATAAATAAAACTATTAAATAAACATTAAACGTTAAAAAATAAAAATAGATAAATATGAGATCATCATGAATTTGAGTGTCACCTTTGCGCAGGGCCCATGGTAATCTTTGTCATTCCAATTTTTTCATGCGTGCTGCCAAAGCTAGCACTTGTGTGTAGGAAGTATTCTTCCTGTGAGCATACAATATATGGAAGTTTCTTTTATTATTATTATTTTTTATGTTTTTGCGACTGAGTTTTGCTCTTGTCGCATAGGCTGAAGTGCAATGGTGTGATCTGGGCTCCCTGCGATGTCCACCTCTTGGGTTAAAGCGACTCTCCTACCTCAGCCTCCTGAGTAGCTGGGATTACAGGCATACACTTCCAGGGCTAGCTAATTTGTTGTATTTTAGTAGACGGGATTTCTCCATGTTGGTCAGGCTGGTCTCAAACTCCCGACTTCAGGTGATCTGCCCACCTTGGCTTTCCAAAGTACTGGGATTGCAGACAGCCACCGCGGCTGGCCTTCATATATTCTTATATATATAATATCATGTACACACAAAAGACTCTTTTACACCCTGAGAATACTCTTATATCACTTTGGGCATTTTTTTGTTGGTGTGTGCATTTTTTGTTTGTTCGTTCGTTTGTTTTTGAGACAAGATCTGGCCCTGTCACCTATGCTGGAGTGCAGTGGTGTGATCTCGGCTCCCGGCAACCTCAACCTCCCACCTCAGCCTCCTGAATTAGTGTCTACAGGCATGCACCTCTATACCTGGCTAACTTTTGTATTTTTACAGATGAGGTTTTACCATGTTTCCCAGGCTGGTGTCTAACTCCTGAGAATATAAGGTATATGTAGTAGGCGTTGCTTTTTCTCTTTGAAGACAAAACCCAGGACAGTTGTCCCTCGATGAACAAGGCTAACCTGCTGAACGTTTGAAGCAAGGAACTGGAGATGGTCTTTGTATCGGTTTATGTTCTAGATTCCAGAAAATATGCAAACAGGACCAATAAATGCATCTTTATTTTTGTGTCCATTTTGACCAGGTCAAGGAAAATTTCAACAAGAAACCCAGAGTGCCGGAGCAAGAAGATCTCAAGCTGTGAGTCTACAAAGGGAAGCCCTTTCTGTTGTCTAAAAGAAAAGAAAGTGCTTCTCTTTGGTGGGTTACGGTTTGAGAAAAGCAACGTTGAAGTTGATGCTGATTTCGGTAATACATTTGCAGAGCATGCTTATCACACTTGGACGATGGTGGGGTTCTGTTTTGGTTTTGCTTTTTTATTCTAAGGCTCTGTGTTGCTCATGCTGGAGTGCAGTGACATGTCCAATATATCTCTTGGCTTCAAATGGTCAGCCTGGGCAACACAGGGAAATTCTGTCTCAAAAAATAAACAAATGAATAAAAATACAAAATAAAGCCGGGCATGGTGGCTCATGCCTGTAATCCCAGCACTTTGGGAGGCCGATGCAGGTAGATCATCTCAGGTCAGGAGTTTGAGACCAGTCTGACCAACGTGGTGAAAATCCGTCTCTACTAAAAATACAATAACAACAAAAATTAGCCCAGTGTGGTGGTGGGCACCTGTAATCCCAGCTACTTAGGAGGCTGAGGCAGGAGAATTGCTTGAACCCGGGAGGCAGAGGCTGCAGTGAGCCGAGATTGTGCCACAGCATCCAGCCAGGATGACAGAGTGAGATTCCGTCTGAAAAAAAAAAAAAAAAAAAAAAGCTGGGCGCTGTGGCTCACGCCTGTAATCCCACCACTTTGAAAGGCCGAGGCGGGTGGATCACGAGGTCAGGAGATCGAGACCATCCTGGCTAACACGGTGAAACCCCATCTCTATTTAAAAATACAAAAAATTAGCGAGGCGTGGTGGTGGGTGCCTGTAGTCCCAGCTACCCGGGAGGCTAAGGCTTGAGAATGGCTTGAACCCAGGAGGCGGAGCTTGCAGTGAGCCGAGATCGTGCCATTGCACTCTAGCCTCGGCAACAGAGCAAGACTCCGTCAAAAAGAAACAAAAACAAAAACAAAAAAAAGAACCCTACAGTACTGGAGCAAGAAGACCTCATGCTGTGACCCTCTAGATGGAAGCACTGTCTGTTGTCTAAGAAAAGATCGTGCATCCCTTTAGAGTGTTACTGTTTGAGAAAAGCAACGTTGAAGATGCTGCTGATCTTGGTAATACATTTGCAGAGCGTGCTTATCATCAGACTTGCATGATGTTGGGGTTCTCTTTGGTTTGTTTTTTTCCAAGACAGGTTCCCTGTTGCCCAGGCGGGAGTGGGTGGCACCTCCAACCGAGATCTCTTGGGCTCAAGTGGTGATCTTTTTATTTTTGATTTTTTGAGATGCGCTCTCATTCCGTTTCCCAGGCTGGAGTGCAGCGGCAGGATCCCTGTTGACCGGAAACTCCGCCTCCCAGCTTCCGGCGATTCTCCCACCTCAGCCTGCCGAATAGTTGGGAATAGAGATGCCCGCCATCGTGTCCTGCTAGTTATTATTTTTATTGTTGTTGTTGTTGTTGAGATGGAGTTTCACTCTTGATGTCCAGGCTGGAGTGCAGTGTTGCAATTTAGGCTCACTGCAACCTCCACCTCCTGGGTTCAAGCGATTCTCCTGCCGCAGCCTCCTGGGTAGCTGGGATTACAGGTGCCTACTGCCCCACCCAGCTAATTTTTGTGTTTTGAATAGAGACTGGGTTTCACCATGTTGGGCAGGCTGGTCTCAAACTCCCGACCTCAGGTGATCCACCAGCCTTGGCCTCCTAAAGTGCTGGGATTACAGGCGTGAGCCACCGCCCCTAATCTCACGTGGTCCTCTAGAGTCAGCCTAGACTCTGGTCTATCCTGGAGGATGTTTGTGTGTGAGACAATGTATATTCTTCAACATCAGCCCAATTCTCTTAGCTAAATGTAAGGTATGAGTAGTAGGTATTCCTTTTTCTCTTTGGGGACAAAACTCAGGACGATCGCCCCTTGATGAACAAGGCTAACCTGCTGAGCCTTTGAAGCAAGGAATTGGAGATGGTCCTTTCAGGGGTTTATGTTCTGGATTCCATAAAACATGTAAACAGGGCCAATAAATGCATTTTTATTTTTGTATCCGTTTTAACCTGGTCAAGGAAAATTCCAACAAGAAACCCAGAGTGCTGGAGCAAGAAGATCCCATGCTGTGACCCTCTAGAGGAAGCACTTTCTGTTTGTTGTCTGAGAAAAAACAAAGTGCTTCCCTTTAGAGTGTTACCGTTTGGGAAAAGCAGTGTTGAAGTTGATGCTGATGTTGGTAATATATTTGCATGCTTATTATCAGACTTGGATGATGTTGGGGTTCTGTTTTGTTTTTGTTTTCTAAGACAGGGTCTCTGTGGCCCAGGCTGGAGTACAGAGGCACTTCCAACCTAGGTCTCTTGGGCTCATATGGTCCTTTTTGGGACAGTCTTCCTCTGTGACCCAGGCTGGAGTGCAGTGGCACGATCTTGGCTCACTGCAATCTCCACCTCGCGGGTTCAAGCTATTCTCCTGCCTCAGCTTCCTGAATAGCTGGGATTGCAGGGGCCCGACATCACACTTGGCTAATATTTGTATTTTTCTTTTTTATTCATTTATTTATTTTTGAGATGGAGTCTCGTTTCCCCAGCTGGAGAGCGGTGGCATGATCCCGACTGACTCCAACCTCTGCCTCTCAGGTTCAAGCAATTCTCCTGCCTCAGCCTCTGAAGTAGCTGAAACTACAGGTGGCCGCCACCACGCCTGGCTACGTTTTGAATTTTTTTTTTTTTTTTTTTCAGTAGAGATGGGGCTTACCATGTTGGCCAGGCTGGTCTCAAACCCCTGACCTCAAGTGAGCCACTCACCTTGGCCTCCGAAAATGCTGAGAATACAGGCATGAGCCACCACCGCGCGCCTCCCAAAGGCGTGAGCCATGGTGCGTGGCCATCAACACCTCTTACTTTATGGAAATTTTTCTGGCACTGGTATAGAACCTCACATGGGGTCAGGTGGAGTTGAGGGGACCTCAGTGTCCCTGCAGATGGGATGAGCAAGAGCACGGAGGTGGAGTGCATGGGGCTTCAGTGTGTATTGGGGAAATGAAGCTGAAATCTTGGGTGCATGACCAGGAGATAAATGCATGAGACGGGGGTCTCACTATGCTGCCCTGGCTAAAGTGGTCTTAGATCCTCCTGCCTCTGCCCCTCCCAGGCCTTGTTAGATGGGACTACATGTAAATATTAACCCATGCACAGGCAGGAAGAAAGTAAGGACCATTTTTTGGTTCGTCCCGGCCCTCAGTTAAACTTGTGTTTTAGATAAACAATGTATTTGAGATGTGCTTAAACAATAAATGATACGCTATTTAGGTGTGGGCATCTTTGTTTCCCCCTAATTTTAATGATGGGACTAGTCCAGGTATGGTGGCTCCTGCCTATAATTCCAGCACTTTGGGAGGCCGAGACAGGAGGATCACCTGAGGTCAGTTGTTCGAGACCGGCCTGGCCAACATGGTGAAACCCCGTCCATACTAAAAATACAAAAATCAGCCAGGCCTGGTTGCACACACCTGTAATCCCAGCTACTCGGGAGGCTGAGGCAGGAGACTCGCTTGAAGCCAGGAGGCTGAGCTTTCAGTGAGCTGAGATTGCGCCACTGCATTCCAGCCTGGGCAACTGAGTGAGTCTCAGTGTCAACAAAGTAAATAATAGTCTAGGCACAGCGGCACACGCCTGTAATCCCAGCACTTTAGGAGGCTAAGACGGGAGGATCACCTGAGGTCAGGAGTTCAAGACCAACGGGGCCAACGTGGCAAAGCCTTGTCTCTACTAAAACTACAAAAATTAGCTGGGTGCGGTGGTGCACATCTGTGATTCCAGCTACTCGGGAGGCCAAGACAGGAGAACCACTTGAACCCAGGAGGAGGCGATTTCAGTGAGCTGTAATGAAGCCATGGCATTCCAGCCTGGGCCACAGAGCAAGATTCCGTCTCAAAAATAAATAAAACAAATAAAAATACGTAGATAAATACGGGACCGTCGTGAATTTGAGTGTCACCTTTGTGGAGCAGCCACGGTAATCTCTGTCATTCCAATTTTTTTTATGTGCACTACCAAAGCAAGAACTTGTGTAGGAATTATTCTTCCTGTGAGTATGCGATGTATGGAACTTTCCTTGAGACAGGGTCTCAAAAATATATCATGTATATTTTATATATTCTTATCATATATAATATAATCATGTACACACAAAATACTCTTCTAAATACAGAGAATACTCTGATATCACCTTGCGTATTTTTTGTTTGCATGTGTCTGTGTTTGGTTGTTTTTTTTTTGTCATATTTTTGTATCCCTACTTATATATTTATTTTTAATTTTATTATTATACTTTAAGTTCTAGGGTACATGTGCACAACGTGCAGGTTAGTTACATATGTATACATGTGCCATGCTGGTGTGCTGCACCCATTAACTCATCATTTAGCATTAGGTATATCTCCTAATGCTATCCCTCCCCGCTACCCCCACCCAACAACAGTCCCCGGTGTGTGATGTTCCCCTTCCTGTGTCCATGTGTTCTCATTGTTCAGTTCCCACCTATGAGTGAGAACATGCGGTGTTTGGTTTTTTGTCCTTGCGATAGTTTGCTGAGAATGATGGTTTCCAGTTTCATCCATGTCCCTACAAAGGGGTTGGTTATTTTTGAGACAAGGTCTGACTCTATCGCCCAGGCTGGAGTGTAGTGGTGCCATCTCGGCTCACTGCAACCTCCACCTCCCACCTAATCCTGCTGAATTAGTGTCTGCAGGCATGCACAACCACATCTGGCTCACTTTTGTATTTTTTATACACATGGGTTTACACCATGTTGCAGGCGCTGGTCTCAAACTCCCTCCCAAGCTCAGGTGATCCTCTGTCTCAGCCTCCTAAAGTGCTGGGATTAGAGGTGTGAGCCACCACACCCCACTGGTATTTGTGTGTTCCTGTTCAAATTTTATTGAGGAGTTTTTATAACCAAGCCTGTGGTCCATCCTGGAGGATGTTTGTGTGCATGACAATGTATATTCTTCAACATCGTAGACTCGATGTTGGATGCTCCCATCGGGACTGTGTGTCCCTGTACTGGAACTCGAGTGAACACTTGGCTCTAAGTTCATTGCTGTTTTCTAGAAATCCAGCCCAATTCTCTTGGTTAAATATAAGGTGCACGTAGTAGGCATTGCTTTTTCTTTCTGGAGACAAAACTCAGGAGGATTGCCCCTTGATGAACAAAGCTAACCTGCTGAGACTTTGAAGCAAGGAACTGGAGATGGTCCTTTTAAGGGTTTATATTCTGGATTCCAGAAAATGTGCAAACAGGGCCAATAAATGCATCTTTATTTTTGTGTCCATTTTAACCTAGTCAAAGAAAATTACAACAAAAAATCCACAGTGCTGGAGCAAGAAGATCTCATGATGTGACCATCTGGAGGTAAGAAGCACTTTGTGTTTTGTGAAAGAAAGTGCTTCCTTTCAGAGGGTTACTCTTTGAGAAAAGCAGCATTGAAGTTGATGCTGATCTTGGTAATACATTTGAAGAGCATGCTTATCATCAGACTTGGATGATCTTGGGGTTTTGTTTTTTTCTAAGACAGGGTGTCTGTAGCCCAGGCTCGAGTGCGGTGGCACTTCCAACCTAGATCTCTTGGGCTCAACAAGTAGCCCTCTTTTTCGGACAGAGTCTCGCGCTGTGACCCTAGCTGGAGTGCAGTGGCAGGAACTTGGCTCACTGCCACCTCTGCCTCCTGGGTTCAAGCAATTCTCCTGCCTCAGCCTCCCGAGCAGGGTTATAGGCATGTGCCACCACACCTGGCTAATTTTTGCATTTTATTATCGATTGATTGATTGATTGTTGAGACAGAGTCTCACTCTGTTGCCCAGGCTGTAGTGCAGTGGTGTGATCTCGGCTCACTGCAACCTCCACCTCCCACCTCAGCCTTCTGAATACCTGTCTACAGGCATGCACCACCACACCTCGCCAACTTTTGTGTTTTTTGTACAGATGAGGTTTCACCATGTTGCCCAGGCTGGTCTTGAACCCCTGAGCTCAAGTGATCCTCCCACCTCGGCCTCCTAAAGTGTGAGTCACTATGTCCCGCCCTACTTGTGTGTTTCTGCTTACATTTTATTGAGGCGATTTTTTTTTTTTTTTTGAGACGGAGTCTTGGTCTGTTACCTAGGCTGGAGCGCAGTGGCGCGATCTTGGCTCACTGCAAGCTCCGCCTCCCAGGTTCATGCCATTCTCCTGCCTCAGCCTCCTGAGTAGCTGGGACTACAGGCGCCCACCACCACGCCCGGCTAATTTTTTTGTATTTTTAGTAGAGATGGAGTTTCACCTTGTTAGCCAGGATGGTCTAGATCTCCTGACCTTGTGATCCTCCCGCCTCGGCCTCCCAAAGTGCTGGGATTACAGGCATGAGCGACCGTATTGAGGCGCTTTTACAACATAGCCTGTGGTCTATCCTGGGGAATGTTTGTGTGTGTGACAATGTATATTCTTAGACATCTTAGATTCCATTTTGGATGCTCCCATCGGTACTATGTGTTCCTATATAGGAACTCAAGTGAACACTTGGCTTAAAATCCATTGCTCTTGTCTAGAAATTTAGCCCAGTTATCTTGGTTAAAGATAAGGTGTGTCTGGTAGGCATTGATTTTTCTTTCCGGAGAAAAAACTTAGGAGGATTTCCTCTTGATGAACAAGGCTAGCCTGCTGAGCCTTTGAGGCATGGGACCTGGAGATGATCCTGTGAGGGGTTTATGTTTTTGGATTCAGGAAACACACCAGCAGGACAAATAATTGCATCTTTATTTTTGTGTCTATTTTCACCAGGCTAAGGAAGATTCCAACAACATATCCATGGTGCTGAAGTAAGAAGATCTCGTGCTGTGACCCTCTAGAGGGAAGCACTTTCTGTTGAAAGAAAAGAACATGCATCCTTTCAGAGGGTTACTCTTTGAGAAGAGCAACGTTTAGTTTGATGTTGATCTTGGTAGTACATTTGCAGAGCATGCTTTTATCATCAGACTTGGCTGATGGTGGTGTTCTGTTTTTTGTTGTTGTTTTCTACAACAGGATGTCTGTTGCCCAGGCTAGGGTGTGGTGGCACTTACAACCTAGATCTCTAGGGCTCAAATGGTCCTCTTATTTGGGGCAGAGTCTTGCTCTGTGATCCAGGCTGGAGTGCAGTGGCAGGAACTCTGCTCACTGCAACCTCCGCCTCCCGGGTTCAAGTGATTTTCCTGCCTTGGTTTTCTGAGTAGGTGGGATTACAGGCGCACACCACCACACCCAGCTAGTATTTGTAGTTTTCTTTATTATTCTTTTTTTTATTTTAATTTTTGAGACGAAGTCTCGCTGTTGCCTACGGTGGAGTGCAGTGGCGTGATCTCGGCTCTCTACAACGTCTGCCTCCCAGGTTCAAGCAATTCTGCTGCCTCAGCCTCCCGAGTAGCTGGAATCAACAGGAACACACCACCATGCCTGGCTACTTTTTGGATTTTTTTTTAGTAGAGACGGAGTTTCACCATGTTGGCCAGGCTGGTCTCAAACTCCTGACCTCATGTGAGCCACCCACCTCGGCCTTCCAAAGTGCTGGAATTACAGGCATGAACCACGACGTCTGGCCTAATTTTTGTATTTTTAGAAGAGACAGGGTTTCACCATGTTGGCCAGGCTGGTCTCAGCTCCTGACCTCAAGTGATCCTCCCCCTCGGCCTCCCAAAGTGCTGGGATTACAGGCGTGAGCCACCTCGCCCAGCCTCAAGTGGTCCTCTTGACTCAGCCTCCCATGTAGTTGGGACTACATGGGGCGTGCCACCACACTTGGCTAAGTTTTTAATTTTTCATACAGATATGATCTCTGTTGCTCAGGAAGGTCTCAACACCTGAGCTCAAGGATTCCACAGGCGTGAGCCACATTCTCCTGCTGACCCTTTTCAAAGATAGTTGACATGGCCAGGCATCATGGGGCACACAGTCCCAGCCACCGCAGATCCCGGGGTGGGAGGGTCCTTTGATTTCCAGACTATTCCATGCACTGATCACACCTTGTTTTTTTGTTTGTTTGTTTGTTTGTTTGTTTGTTTGACAGAGTCTCAGTTTGTTGCCTGGCGGGAGTGCAATGATGTGATCTCGGGTGACTGCAACCTCTGCCTCCAAGGTTCAAGTGATTCTCCTGCCTCACCCTCCAAAGTAGCTGCGGTTACAGGCATGCACCACCACACCCAGCTCAGTTTTTGCATTTGGTAGAGACAGGTTTTCACCATGTTGGTCAGGCTGGTCTCGAACTCCTGATTTCAGGTGATCCACCTGCCTCAGCCTCCCAAAGAGCTGGGATTATAGGCGTTAGCCTATGCGCCCGGTCTGTATTTCCTAATTTTAAATATGGGACCCATGGTGAATTTGGGTGTCACTGTGTACAGGGGACATGGGAATCTCTGTCATTCCAATTTTTTTAATGCATGCTGTTCTGTGTAGGAATTATTCTTCCTGTGAGCAAACAACATAGAGAGCTTTCTTTTTTTGACACCGGGTCTCAAAAATATATCATATACATTTTATTATAATGTCTGATATTGATAATATAATCATACACACACAAAATACTCTTCTGTACACAGAGAATACTGATATCACTTTGGGGTTTTTTTGTTTGCGTGCGTTTTTTGGGATTTTGGGGTGTTTTTTTTTTTTTTTTTGAGACAACATCTGGCTCTGTTGCCCATGCTGGAGTGCAGTGGTGCAATTGGCTCCCTGCAACCTCCACCTCCCACCTCCCACTTCAGCCTCCTAAAGAGCTGAATACAGGCATGCACCACCACACCTGACTAACTTTTGTATTTTTTGTACACACAGGGTTTACCATGTTTCCCAGGCTGGACTGGAACTCCAGAGCTCAAGTGATCCTCCCGACTTGGCCTCCTTAAGTACTGCAGTTAGAGGTATGAGCCGCCGAGACCCACCGTACTTGTGTTTTTCTATTCAAATATTATTGAGGAGCTTTTATGGCCTAACCTGTGGTCTATCCTGGAGGTTGTTTGTGCGTACAATACATAGTCTTCAATATCTTTTTTTTTTTTTTCATTTTTTGAGAGGGAGTTTCGCTCCTGTCACCTAGGCTGGAGTGCAATGACATGATCTCAGTTCACTGCAACCTCCGCCTCCTGGGTTCAAGTGATTCTCCTGCCTCAGCCTCCTGAGTAGCTGGGATTACAGGCACCCGCCACCATGCCTAGCTAAGTTTGTATTTTCAGTAGAGACGGGCTTCTCCATGTTGGTCAGGCTGGGCTCAGACTCCTGACCTCAGGTGATCCGCCCGCCTCGGCCTCCCAAAGTGCCGGGATTACAGGCGTGAGCCACCGCGCCCAGTCATCATATATTCTTATCATATATATAGTAGGATGTTTGTGTATATAACAATGTACATTTTCAACATTGTAGATTCCATTTTGGATGCTCCCATTGGGACTGTGTGTCCCTGTGCTGGAACTCAAGTGAACACTTGGCTCAAAATCCATTGCTGTTCTCTAGAAATCCAGCCCAATTCTCTTGGTTAAATATAAGGTATGTGTAGTAGGCATTGCTCTTTCTCTTTAGAGACAAAGCTCAGGATTGCCCCTTGATGAACAAGGCTAACCTGCTGATTCTTTGAAGCAAGGAACTGGAGATGGTCCTTTTAGTGGTTTATGTTCTGGATTCCAGAAAACATGCAAACAGGGCCAATACATGCATCTTTACTTTTGTGTCCATTTTAACCCGGTGAAGGAAAATTCCAACAAAAAACCCACAATGCTGGAGCAAGATCTCAGGCTGTGACCCTCTAGAGGGAAGCGCTTTCTGTTGGCTAAAAGAAAAGAAAGCGCTTCCCTTCAGAGTGTTAACGCTTTGAGAAAAGCAACGTTGATCTTGGTAATACACTTGCAGAGAATGCTTATAATCAACCATGGAAGGTGGTGGGGTTTTGTGTTTGTTTGTTTTGTTTTGTTTTCTAAGACAGGGTGTCTGTTGCCCAGGCTGGAGTGTGGCGGCCCCTCCAACCTAGATCTCTTGGGTTCAAGTGGCCCTCTTTTTTGGGACAGAGTCTTGCTCTGTGACCCTGCCCTGGCTGGAGTGTCCTGTCAGGATCTCCACTCACTGCAACCTCTGCCTCCTGGGGTCAAGGGATTCTCCTGCCTCAGCCTCCCGAGCAGCTGGGATTACAGGTATGTGCCACCACACCTGGCTTATTTATTTATTTATTTATGAGACAGAGTCTTGCTGTGTCATCCATGCTGGAGAGCAGTGGTGCAATCTCGGCTCTCTGCAACCTCCACCTCCCACCTCAGTCTCCTGAATTAGTATCTACAGGCATGTACCACCATACCTGGCTAACTTTTGTATTTTTACAGATGAGGTTTTACCATGTTTCCCGGGCTGGTGTCTAACTCCTGAGCTCAAGTGATCCTCCTGCCTTGGCCTACGTAAGTGCTGCGGTTAGAGGTGTGAGCCACCGCGCCCCACCTGCCCTTGTGTATCTCTGTTCAAATGTTACTGAGAAGCATTTACGGGATAATGCCCGGAGGATGTTTGTGTGTGTGACAGTGTACATTCTTCAACATCTTAGATTCCATTTTGGATGCTCCCCTCGGGACTGTGTGTCTCTGTCCTGGAATTCAAGTGAACACCTGGCTCTCCATCCATTGCTGTTCTCTAGAAATCCAGCCCAATTCTCTTGGTTAAATATAAGGTAGGTGTAGTAGGCATTGCTTTTTCTCTTTGGGGACAAAACTCAGGAGGATTGCCCCTTGATGAACAAGGCTAACCTGCTGATTCTTTGAAGCAAAGAACTGGAGATGGTCCTTTTAGGGGTTTTTATTCAGGATTCCAGAAAACATGCAAACAGGGCCAAAAATTGCATCTTTATTTTTGTGTCCATTTTGACCTGGTCAAGGAAAATTTCAACAAGAAACCCAGAGTGCCGGAGCAAGAAGATCTCAAGCTGTGACTGCAAAGGGAAGCCCTTTCTGTTGTCTGAAAGAAGAGAAAGCGCTTCCCTTTGCTGGATTACGGTTTGAGAAAAACAACACTGAAGCTGATGCCGATCGTGGTAATACATTTGCAGAGCATGCTTATCATCAGGCTTGGACAATGCCGGGGTTCTGTTTTCGGTTTTGCTTTTTTATTCTAAGACAGGATCTCTGTTGCCCAGGCTGGAGTGCAGTGACATGTCCAACCCAGGTCTCTTGAATTCAAATGGTCCTTTTTAGGGGGCAGAGTCTTTCTCTGTCACCCAGGCTGATATGCAGTGAGGCGATCTCGGCTCACTGCAACCTCTGCCTCCCAGGTTCAAGCAATTCTCCTGCCTCGGCTTCCCAAGCAGCTGAGATTACAGGCGTTCATCACCATACCTGGATGATATTTGTATTTTTTAAAATTTATTTATTTATTTATTTTTGAGACGGAGTCTCGCTGTCACCCAGTCTGGAGGGCAGTGGCACAATCTCGGCTCACTGCAACCTCTGCCTCCCCGGTTCAAGCAATTCTTCTGCCTCAGCCTCCTGAGTAGCTGGAATTACAGAAGCACACCACCGCACCTAGTTACTTTTTGTATATTTTTTTTAAGTAGAGACTGGATTTCACCGTGTTGGCTAGGCTGGTCTCAAATTCCTGACCTCAAGTGATCCACCCACCTCTGACTCCCAAATTTCTGGGATCACAGGTATGCGCCCCCATGCCTGGCCTAATTTTTGTATTTTTAGCAGAGACGTGGTTTCACCATGTTGGCCAGGCTGAACTCAGCTCCTGACCTTAGGTGATCTGCCCGCCTGGGCCTCCCAAAGTGCTGAGAATACAGGCGTGAGCCACCGTGCCTGGCCATTAACACCTTTTGGTCCACGGAAATTATTCTGGCACTGGTTTATAGAACCTCGCTTGGGGTCAGGTAGAGTTGAAGGGGACCCCAATGTCCTTGCAGGTGGGATGTGCACTGCTTAGCAAGAACACGGAGGTGGAATGCATGGGGTTTGAGTTTTTATTGGAGAAATAAAGCCAAAATCTTGGGTGCATGACCAGGTCGTATATGCAACAATACGGGCGTCTCACTATGCCGCCCAGGCTAATGTGGGCTTAGATCCTCCTGCCTCTGCCCCTCCCCAGTCCTTAGTAGCTGGGACTACATGTGAATATTAACTCACGTACAGGAAGAGGAAAGTAAGGACTGTTCTTTGATTCACGTCCCACCCCCAGTTAAATTTGTATTTTAGATAAACAATGTATTTGAGATGTACTTGAACAACAAATGATTTGCTGTTTAGATGTGAGCATCTTTTTTTGCTCCTGATTTTAAACATAGGACAAGGTCAGGTATGGTGGCTCACGCCTGTAATTCCATCATTTTGGTAGGCAGAGACAGGAGGATCACCTGAGGTCAGCTGCTTGAGACCAGCCTGGCCAACATGGTGAAACCCCATCTGTACTAAAAATACAAAAATTAGCCATGCGTGGTTGTGCTGCACGCCTGTAATCCCAGCTACTCAGGAGGATGAGGCAGGAGAATCGCTTGAAGCCGGGAGGCAGAGGTTGCAGTGAGCTGAGATCGCGCCAGTGAACTACAGCCTGGGCAAAAGAATAAGATTCAATCTCAAAAAAATAAAAAATAGGCCAGGCACGGTGGCACACACCTGTAATGCTAGCACTTTTGGAGGTCGAGACGGGGGCATCACCTCAGGTCAGGAGTTGAAGACCAGCTGCGGCATCACGGCAAAGCCTCATCTCTACGAAAAATACAAAAATTAGCCAGGTGCAGTGGCAGGTGCCTGTAATACCAGCTACTCGGGAGACCAAGGCAGGAGAATCGTTCCAACTGGGCGGCAGAGGTTGCAGTGAGCCAAGATCGTGCCACTGCACTGCAGCCTGTCGACAGAGTAAGACTTGGTCTAAAAAAAAAAAATAAATAAATAAATAAAAGATAAATATGGAACCATCATGAATTTGGGTGTCACCTCTGTGTGGGGGCCAGGGTAATCTCTGTCAATCCAATTTTTTTTTATGTGCACCAGCAAAGCAAGCACTTATGTTTAGGTATTATTCTTCCTGTGAGCATACAATATGTAGATCTTTATTTTCTTTGAGACATGGTCTCAAAAATGTATGATGTGGCTGGGCACAGTGGCTCAAGCCTGTAATCCCAGCACTTTGGGAGGCTGAGGCGTGTGGATCACCCGAGGTCAGGAGTTCAAGACCAGCCTGGCCAACATGGTGAAAATCCGTCTCTACGATAAATACATATATATATATATGTATATATGCCGGGCATGGTGGCAGGTACGGGTAATCCCAGCTACTTGGGAGCCTGAGGCAGGAGAATCGCTTGAACCTGGGAGGTAGAGGTTACTCATATCACTATGAGATTGTTTTTTGTTCTTGTGTGTGTGGTTTTTGTTTGTTTTTGAGACAAGGTCTGGCTCTGTCACCCAGGCAAAAGTGTAGTAGTGCGATCTCGGCTTACTGTAACCTCCATCTCCCACCTATGCGTCCTGAATTAGTGTGTCTACAGGCATGCACCACCACAGTGGGCTACCTTTTTTTTTTGAGAGGGAATTTTGCTCTTGTTGCACAGGCTGGAGTACAATGGCAAGATTTCAGATCACTGCAACCTCCGCCTTCCGGGTTCATGTGATTCTCCTGCCTCAGCCTCCCAAGTAGCTGCGATTACAGGCATGCACCATCACACTTGGCTAATTTTGTATTTTGAGTAGATACAGGTTTCCCCATGCTTGTCAGGCTGGTCTCCAACTCCTGACCTCTAGTGATCCACCTGCCTCGGACTCCCAAATTGCTGGGATTACAGGCATGAGCTACCACACCCAGCCACCTGGCTAACTTTTGTAGTTTTTCTACAGACTACAAAATGGTTTCACCATTTTACCTGAGACTACAAAATGGTTTCACCATTTTACCTGAGACTACAAAATGGTTTCACCATTTTACCTGAGCTGGTCTCCAACACCTGAGCTAAAGTGATCCTCCTGCCTCGGCCTCATAAAATGTTGGGATTAGAGGTGTGAGCCACCGTGCCTCACCCGTACTTGTGTATTTCTTTATTTTTATTGATTTATTTATTTTGAGACAGAGTTTCACTCTTGTTGCCCAAGCTGGAGTGCAATGGCACAATCTCGGCTCAATGCAACCTCCTTCTCTTAGGTTCAAGCGATTCTCCTGCCTCAGCTTCCCGGGTAGCTGGGATTAAAGGCGTCCACCACCACACCCAGCTAATTTTTGTGTTTTTAGTAGAGACAGGGTTTCAGCATGTTGGCCAGACTGGTCTCAAACTCCTAACCTCAGGTAATCCACCTGCCTCAGCCTTCCAAACTGCTGGGATTACAGGCATGAGCCACTGCGCCTAGCCTCAAGTGGTCCTCTTAAGTCAGCCTAAACTGTGGTCTATCCTGGAGGATGCTTGTGTGTGTGACAATTTATATTCTTCAACGTCTTAGATTCTATTTTGGAGGCTCCCAAGGGGATTGTGTGTCCCTGTGCTGGAACTCAAGTGAACACTTGGCTGTACATCCATTGCTGTTCTCTAGAAATTCAGCCCAATTCTCTTGGTTAAAGATAAGGTATGTGTAGTAGGCATTGCTTTTTCTTTCCAGAGACAAAACTCAGGAGGATTGCCCCTTGATGAGCAAGGCTAACCTGCTGATTCTTTGAAGCAAAGAACCAGAGATGGTCCTTTTAGGGGTTTATGTTCTGGATTCCAGAAAACAGGCAAACAGGACCAATAAATATATTTTTATTTTTCTATCCACTTTAACCTGGTCAAGGAAAATTCCAACAAGAAACCCAGAGTGCTGGAGTGAGAAGATCCCATGCTGTGACCCTCTAGAGGGAAGCACTTTCTGTTGTCTGAAAGAAACCAAAGCGCTTCCCTTTGGAGCGTTACGGTTTGAGAAACTCAATGTTGAAGTTGATGCTGACTTCAGTAATACATTTGTAGAGGATGCTTATCATCAGACTTGGATGATATCGGGGTTCTGTGCTTTTTTTTTTTTTTTTCTCCTAAGACAAAATCTGTATTTTCCAGGCTGGAGTCCATAAGCACTTCCAACCTAGGTCTCTTGCGCTCAGATAGTCCTCTTTTTTGGGACAGAGTCTTGCTCTGTGACCCAGGCTGGAGTGCAGTGGCGTGATCTCGGCTCACTGCAACCTCTGTCTCCTGGGCTCAAGCAATTCTCCTTCCTGAGCTTCCTGAGGAGCTGGGATTACAGGCGCCTGACATCATCCTTGGCTAACATTTGTATTTTTCTTTTTTATTCATGTATTTATTTACTTTTCAGATGGAGTCTCGCTGTCGACCAGGCTAGAGGGCAGTGGCACGATCCCGGCTGACTACAACCTGTACCTCTCAGGTTCAAGCAATTCTCCTGCCTCAGCCTCTGGAGTAGCTGGAATTACAGGAACACACCACCAGGCCCGGCTACTTTTTGTATTATTATTATTATTATTATTTTTTTTTTTTTTCACTAAAGAGGGGGTTTCACCATGTTGTCCAGAGAATACAAGCATGAGCCACTGCGCAGCCATCAACACCTTTTACTGCATGGAAATTATTCTGGCACTGGTATAGAACCTCACATGGGGTCAGGTGGAGTTGAGGGGACCTCAGTGTCCCTGCAGATGGGATGAGCAAGAGCACGGAGGTGGAGTGCATGGGGCTTCAGTGTTTATTGGGGAAATGAAGCTGAAATCTTGGGTGCATGACCAGGAAATAAATGCATGAGACAGGGGTCTCACTGTGCCGCCCTGGCTAAAGTGGTCTTAGATCCTCCTGCCTCTGCCCCTCCCCAGTCCTAGGTAGATGGGACTACATGTGAATATTAACCCATGCACAGACAAGAAGAAAGTAAGGACTGTTATTTTGTTCGTACCCAGCCCCCAGTTAAATTTATCATATATATAATATATCATATATATAACATAATCATATACACACAAAATGCTGATTTGAATACAGAGAATACTCTGATATCACTTTGGGTATTTTTTGGTTTGTTTCTGTGTGTGTGTGTTTTATTTGTTTGGTTGGTTATTTTTGAGACAAGGTCTGGCTCTATCACCCAGGCTGGAGTGTAGTGGTGCGTTCTCAGCTCACTGCAACCTCCGCCTTCCACCTAAGCCTGCTGCATTAGTGTCTACAGGCATGCACCACCACACCCGGCTCACTTTTGTATTTTTTGTACACATGGGGTTACACCATGTTGCCGGGGCTGGTCTCGAACTCCTGACCTCAGGTGATTCTCCCGTCTTGGCCTCCTAAAGTGCTAGAATTAGAGGTGTGAGCCACCGTGCCCCACCTGTACTTGTGTATTTATGTTAAAATTGTGTTAAGGAGTTTTTATGACCAAGCCTGTGATCTATTCTGGAGAATATTTGTGCGTATGACAATGTATATTCTTCAACATCGTAGATTCCATTTTGGATGCTCCCACTGGGACTGTGTGCCTATACTGGAACTCAAGTGAACACTTGGCTCAAAATCCATTGCTGTTCTCTAGAAATCCAGCCCAATTCTCTTGGTTAAATATAAGGTATGTGTAGTAGGCATTGCTTTTTCTTTCTAGAGACAAAACTCAGGAGGATTGCCCCTTGATGAACAAGGTAACCTGCTGATTCTTTGAAACAAGAAACTGGAGATGGTTCCTTTAGGGGTTTATGTTCTGGATTCCAGGAAACATGCAAACAGGGCCCACAAATGCATCTTTATGTTTGTGTCCATTTTAACCTGGTCGAAGAACATTCCAACAAAAAATCCACCATGCACCGAGCAAGAATATCTCAGGCTGTGACCATCTGGAGGTAAGAAGCACTTTCTGTTTTGTGAAAGAAAAGAAAGTGCTTCCTTTCAGAGGGTTACTCTTTGAGAAAAGCAACGTTGAAGTTGATGCTGATCTTGGTAATACATTTGGAGAGCATGCTTATCATCAGACGTGGATGACGGTTGGGTTTTGTTTTTGTTTTATTTTTTATCTTAGGCAGGGTCTCTGTTGCCCAGGCTGGAGTGTGTTGGCACTTCCAACCTAGATCTCTTGGTCTTAAATGGTCCTCTTTTTGGGGGGCGGAGTCTCACTCTGACCCAGGCTGGAGTGCAATGGCAGGAACTCCCCTCACTGCAACCTCCACCTCCCGGGTTCAAGCGATTCTCCTGCCTCAGTTTTCCGAGTCGCTAGGATTACAGGCTCACTCCTCCACACCTGGCTAATATTTGTAGTTTTCTTTATTATTCATTTATTTATGTGTTTTTGAGAAGGAGTCTCGCTGTCGCCCAGGCTGGAGTGCAGCTGCACAATCTCAGCTCACTGCAACTTCTGCCACTGGAGTAACTGGGATTTCAGGTGCGTGCCACCACACTTGGCCAATTTTTTATGTGTGTATTTTTAGACCCGGGGTTTTCCCATGTTGGCCAGGCTGGTCTGGAACTCCTGACCTCAGGTGACCCATGCACCTCGGCCTCCCAGAGTGCTGGGATTACAGGCATCAGCCACCGCACCCGGCCCTGTCTCTGACTTTTGCGAACTGAGGAAGTAACCTTTTGAAATTTACTCTGAAGTGTGAATGATTTTAGCATATTTTCAACCACCAACATTCTAGTTCAGGAGATTTTCATCACCCCAAAGAGGCTTATTCCCATTTGCAGTCAGTTCCCACCCCACTCTTCCACCCAGACCGTGACAAACACTTTGCATCTCTCTAGCTCTGGATCTGCCTCTTGTGGGCATGTCACATAGATCAGTTTTGAATAGGTGGCCTGTTGTGACCACTGTAATTGAGGATAATGGGTTGGTCCTGGTTGTCTGCAGTGTGAATCTTACCACTGAAGGGTGGTCCCTGGATGGAAGCAGGAGGCTGGGAGAACTGGGCGGAACATCCTTTGGGAATGGAGTCGGGCGGGCAGACCCTGATGCCTGGGAAGCTCACAAGGGTGGAAGACCACATCTTCCTCCCTGAGAACTGCAAGGTGACCCTCCTGGGGTACTGGAAGGAGTGAAGGCCTCTGGACTGGGAACACCAGGGCATTGCACCGGTGCAGGCAGGATGAGCCAAGGGGAACGGAGAGCCAGGCATCGCTAACTGGCGACAATTTGGGTTTGATCTGGACGGAGTCTGTGTCTTCTGGTAGAGAGAACCCCTGGGATTTTCGCTCTGCTCCTGGCTGTCTTTCAGTCATGGAATCTGATGACAAAGACTCCCGCCCAGAGCCAAGACATTTGGTTTCTGGACCCCAGTGGTCCTTTCTGCCTGGACTTGGGATCTTTTGGGGAAGTTTGGGATCTGGCAGGGCATCTGCATAATCCATAGAAATCCCTGAGAGTCCCTTCCCTTTGCTGACATCTCCATGTTCCTACCTATTAGCTTCCAAAGGAGACTCCTATCTGAATTGCCGAAGGCAGCTTCCCAGGCCAGGGATACCCAGTTAAATTTGTATTTCAGATCAATAGTATATTTCAGATGTACTTGAACAAGAAATGATTTGCTGTTTAGGTGTGGGCATTTGTATTTCCCCCTTTTTTTTTTTTTTTTTTTTTTTTTGACAGAGTTTTGCTCTTCTTACCCAGGCTGGAATGCAATGGCACAATCTTGACTCACTGCAACCTCCACCTCCCAGGTTCAAGCGATTCTCCTGCCTCAGCAGCCCGAGTAGCTGGGATTACAGGCATGCGCCACCACACCCGGCTCAGTTTTTGCATTTAGTGGAGATGGGGGTTCACCATGTTAGCCAGGCTGGTCTCAAACTCCTGACCTCAAGTGATTTCCCTGCATCGGCCTCCCAAAGTGCTGGGATTATAGGCATGAGCCTCCACGCCTAGCCTCAAGTGGTCCTCTTGAGTCAACCTAGACTACAGTCTATGCTAGAGAATGTTTGTGTGTGTGACAATGTATGTTCTTGAACATCATAGATTCCACTTTGGATGCTCCTGTCGGGACTGTGTGTCCCTGTGCTGGAACTCAAGTGAGAGTTGGCTGAAAATCCATTGCTGTTCTCTAGAAATCCAGCCCAAGTCTCTTGGTTAGAGATAAGGTATGTCTAGTGGGCATTGCTTTTTCTTTTTGGGGACAAAACTCAGAAGGATTGCCCCTTGATGAACAAGGCTAACCTGCTGATTCTTTGAAGGAAGGAACTGGAGATGGTCTTTTAGGGGTTTATATTCTGGATTCCAGAAAACTTGCAAACAGGGCCAATACATGCATCTTTATATTTGTGTCCGTTTTGAACTGGTTAAGGAAAATTTCAACAAGAAACCCAGAGTGCCGGAGCAAGAAGATCTCAAGCTGTGGGTCTGCAAAGGGAAGCCCTTTCTGTTGTCTAAAAGAAGAGAAAGCGCTTCCCTTTGCTGGATTACGGTTTGAGAAAGCGACGTTGAAGTTGATGCATTTGCAGAGCATGCTTATCATCAGGCTTGGACAATGGCGGGGTTCTGTTTTGGTTTTGCTTTTTCATTCTAAGACAGGATCTCTGTTGCCCAGGCTGGAGTGCGGTGGCAGTGGCATGTCCAACCTAGCCCTCTTGGATTCAAATGGTCCTTTTTTGCAAGCAAAGTCTCTCTCTCTCACCCAGGCTGGAGTGCAGTGATGTGATCTCGGCTCGCCGCAACCCCCGCCTCCTGGGTTCAAGCGATTCTCCTGCTTCAGCTTCCCAAGTAGCTGAGATTACAGGCACCCATCACCACACCTGGATAATATTTGTATTTTTAAAAATTCATTTATTTATTTATGAGACGGAGTCTCGCTGTCACCCATGCTGGAGGGCAGTGACACGATCTCGGCTCACTGCAATCTCTGCCTCCTGGGTTCAAGCAATTCTTCCTCAGCCTCCTGACTAGCTGGAATTACAGGAGCACACCACCGCACCTGGCTACTTTTTGTATTTTTTTTTTAGTAGAAATGGGATTTCACCATGTTGGTTAGACTGGTCTCAAACTCCTGACCTCAAGTCATCCGCCCACCTCTGACTCTTTCTGGGATTGCAGGTATGCGCCCCCACGCCTGGCCTAATTTTTGAATGTTTAGCAGAGATGGGGTTTCACCATGTTGGCCAGGCTGAACTCAGCTCCTGACCTTAGGTGATCTGCCTGCCTCGGCCTCCCAAAGTGCTGAGAATACAGGCGTGAGCCACCGCGCCTGGCCATCAACACCTTTTACCCCACAGAAATTATTCTGGCACTGGTTTATGGAACTTCACTTGGGGTCAGGTAGAGGTGAAGGGGACCCCAATGTCCCTTGCAGATGGGATGTGTACTGCTCAGCAAGAGCATGGAGGTGGAGTGCATGGGGTTTGAGTTTTCATTGGGGAAATGAAGCTGAAATCTTGGGTGCATGACCAGGTCGTATATGCAACGAGACGGGCGTCTCACTATGCCGCCCAAGCTAAAGTGGGCTTAGATCCTCCTGCCTCTGGCCCTCCCCAGTCCTTAGTAGCTGGGACTACATGTGAATATTAACTCATGTACAGGAAGAGGAAAGTAAGGACTGTTCTTTGATTCATGCCCCACCCCCACTTAAATTTCTATTTCAGATAAACAATGTATTTGAGATGTACTTGAACAACAAATGATTTGCTGTTTAGGTGTGGGCATCTTTTTTTGTTCCTAATTTTAAGTATAGGACAAGGCTGGGTACCACGGCTCACACCTGTGATTCCATCATTTTGGGAGGCCAAGACAGGAGGATCACCTGAGGTCAGTTGTTTGAGACCAGCCTGGCCAACATGGTGAATCCCCATCTCTACTAAAAATACAAAACTTAGCCCAGTGTGGTGGTGGTACACGCCTGTAATCCCAGCTACTCAGGAGGCTGAGGCAGGAGAATCACAGGAAGCCGGGAAGCTGAGCTCTCAGTGAGCTGAGATCGCACCACTGAACTCCAGCCTAGGCAACAGTGAGACTCAATCTCAAAAAAATAAAAAATAGGCCGGGTGCGGTGGCACACGCTTGTAATCCCAGCACTTTGGGAGGTCGAGACGGGTGGATCACCTCAGGTCAGAGTTCAAGAGCAGCCCCGCCATCAAGACAAAACCTCCTCTCTACTAAAAATGCAAAATATAGCTAGGCGTGGTGGTACACACCTGTAGTCTCAGCTACGTGGGAGGCGGCAGCAGGAGAATCTCTTGAACCCGTGAGAAGGAGATTGCAGTGAGCTAAAATCACACCATTGCACTGCAGCCTGGGCGACTCCATCTCAAAAAATAAATACATAAATAAATAAATACATAAATACATAAAAAATAACCCAGAGTACTGGAGCAAGAAGATCTCAGGCAGTGACCCTCTAGATGGAAGCACTGTCTGTTGTCTAAGAAAAGATCGTGCATCCTTTTAGAGTGTTACTGTTTGAGAAAATCAACGTTGAAGATGCTGCTGATCTTGGTAACACATTTGCAGAGCGTGCTTATCATCAGACGTGCATGATGTTGGGGTTCTGTTTGTTTTGTTTTTTTTTTCCAAGACAGTGTCTCTGTTGCCCAGACTAGAGTGGGTGGCACCTCCAACCGAGATCTCTTGGGCTCAAGTGGTCCTCTTTTTATTTTTTGATTTTTTGAGACCCACTCTGGTTTCACTGGGAGTGCAGTAGCAGAATCTCTGTTGACCGGAAACTCCACCTCTCAGGTTCCAGTGTTTCTACCACCTCAGCCTGCCGAATCATTGGGAATTCAGTTGCCTGCCATCAGGTCTTGCTAATTATTATTGTTTTTTTGTTTTTTTTTTTTGAGGCGGAGTTTCGCTCTTGTTGCCCAGGCTGGAGGGCAATAGCGCGATCTCGGCTCACCGCAACCTCGGCCTCCCGGGTTCAAGTGATTCTCCTGCCTCAGCCTCCCAGATAGCTGGAATTACAGGTGCCTACCACCCCACCCAGCTAATTTTTGTGTTTTCAGTAGAGATGGGGTTTCACCATGTTGGGCAGGCTGGTCTCAAACTCCTGACCTCAGGTGATCCACCAGCCTTGGCCTCCCAAAGTACTGGGATTACAGCTGTGAGCCATCACCCCTAATCTCAAATGGTCCTGTAGAGTCAGCCTAGACTGTGGTCTATCTTGGAGGATGTTTGTGTGTGAGACAATGTATATTCTTCAACATTGTAGATTCCATTTTGGATGCTTCCATCGGGACTGTGTGCCCCTGTCCTGGAACTCAGCTGAACACTTGGCTCAAAATCCATTGCTGTTCTCTGGAAATTCTGCCCTAATCTCTTGGTTAAATATAAGGTATGTGTAGTAGGCTTTGCTTTTTCTCTTTGGGGACAAAACTCAGGAGGGTTGCCCCTTGGTGAACAAGGCTAACCTGCTGAGCCTTTGAAGCAAGGAACTGGAGATGGTCCTTTTAGGGGTTTATGTTCTGGATTCCAGAAAATATGCAAACAGGGCCAATAAATGCATCTTTATTTTGTGTGTATTTTAACCTGGTCAAGGAAAATTCCAACAAGAAACCCAGAGTGCTGGAGCAAGAAGATCCCATGCTGTGACCCTCTAGAGGAAGCACTTTCTGTTTGTTGTCTGAGAAAAAACAAAGTGCTTCCCTTTAGAGTTACTGTTTGGGAAAAGCAGTGTTGAAGTTGATGCTGATGTTGGTAATATATTTGCATGCTTATCATCAGACTTGGATGATGTTGGGGTTCTGGGTTTTTTTTGTTTTCTAAGACAGGGTCTCTGTGGCCCAGGCTGGAGTACAGAGGCACTTCCAACCTAGGTCTCTTGGGCTCAAATGGTCCTTTTTGGGACAGAGTCTTGCTCTGTGACTCAGGCTGGAGTGCAGTGGTGCAATCTCAGCTCACTGCACCCTCCACCTCCTGGGTTCAAGTGATTCTCCTGCCTCAGCTTCCTGGGATTACAGGCACCTGACATCATGCCCAGCTAATATTTGTATTTTTCTTTTTTATTCATTCATTTATTTATTTTTTAGGTGGAGTCTTGCTGTTGCCAAGTCTGGAGGGCCATGGCACGATCCCGGCTGACTCCAACCTCTGTCTCTCAGGTTCAAGCAATTCTCCTGCCTCAGCCTCCTGAGTAGCTGGAATTACAGGCGCTTACCACCACGCCTGACTGCTTTTCGAATGTGTGCGTATGTGTGTGTATGTGTGTTAGAGAGAAAGAGAGAGAGAGAGATGGAGTTTCACTCTTGTTGCCCAGGCTGGAGGGCAATGACATGATCTCGGCCCATACAACCTCAGCCTCCTGGGTTCAAGTGATTCTCCTGCCTCAGCCTCCTGAGTAGCTAGGATTACAGGCATGTGCCACCACACCTGGCTAATTTTGTATTTTTAGTAGATATGGGGCTTCCCCATGTTGGTCAGGCTGGTCTCGAACTCCTGACCTCAAATGATTCACCTGCCTCAGTCTCCCAAAGTGCTGGGATTACAGGTGTGAGCCAACATGCCCGGCCTGAATTTTTTTTTTTTTTTTTTTTTTTTCAAGTAAAGACGGGGTTTCACCATGTTGACCAGGCTGGTCTCAAACCTCTGAACTCACGTGAGCTGCTCGCCTCGGCCTCCCAAAGGCATGAGCCATGGTGCGTGGCCATCAACACCTCTTACTTTATCGAAATTTTTCTGGCACTGGTATAGAACCTCACGTGGGGTCAGGTGGAGTTGAAGGGACCTCAGTGTCCCTGCAGATGGGATGAGCAAGAGCACGGAGGTGGAGTGCATGGGGCTTCAGTGTTTATTGGGGAAATGAAGCTGAAATCTTGGGTGCGTGACCAGGAAATAAATGCATGAGACGGGGGTCTCACTATGCCACCCTGGCTAAAGTGGGCTTAGATCCTCCTGCCTCTGCCCCCCGCAGTCCTTGCTAGATGGGACTACATGTGAATATTAACCCATGCACAGACAAGAAGAATGTAAGAACCATTATTTGGTTCACACCGGGCCCTCAGTTAAACTTGTATTTTAGACAAACAATGTATCTGAGATGTCCTTGAACAACAAATGATTTGCTGTTCAGGTGTGGGCATCTTTGTTTTTTCCCTAATTTTAATGATGGGACTAGTCTGGGTACGGTGGCTCCCGCCTGTAATTCCAGCACTTTGGGAGGCTGAGATAGGAGGATCACCTGAGGTCAGTTGTTTGAGACCAGCCTCGCCAACATGATGAAACCTCGTCTGAACTAAAAATATAGATATTAGCCAGACGGGGTGGTGGTGCACCCCTGCAATCCCAGCTACTCAGGAGGCTGAGGCAGGAGAATCACTTGAAGCCAGGAGGCTGAGCTTTCAGTGAGCTGAGATTGAGCCACTGCACTCCAGCCTGGGCAACAGAGTGAGACTCAGTCTCAAAAAAGTAAAAAATAGGCTGGGTGTGGGCCGGGCGCGGTGGCTCACGCCTGTAATCCCAGCACTTTGGGAGGCCGAGGTGGGTGGATCACAAGGTCAGGAGACTGAGACCATCCTGGCTAACACGGTGAAACCCTGTCTCTAGTAAAAATACAAAAAAAAAAAAAAAATTAGCCAGACGTGATGGTGTGCGCCTGTACTCCTAGCTACTCAGAAGGCTGAGGCAGGAGAATGGCCTGAGCCCGGGAGGCGGAGCTTGCAGTTAGCTGAGATCGCACCACTGCACTCCAGCCTGGGTGACAGAGCAAGACTCCGTCTCAAAAAAAAAAAAAAAAAAAAAAAGGCGGGGTGTGGTAGTGCACATCTGTAATCCCAGCATTTCGGGAGGCCAAGACAGGAATTACCTGAGGTCAGGAGTTCAAGACCAACAGGGCCAACATGGCAAAACCTCGTCTCTACTAAAAATACAAAAATTATCTGGGTGCAGTGGTACACATCTGTAATTCCGGCTACCCAGAGGCTGAGGCAGGAGAATAGCTTGAACCCAGGAGGAGGAGATTTCAGTGAGCTGAAATCACACCATTGCACTTCAGCCTGGGCCACAGAGCAAGATTGTGTCTCAAAAATAAATAAATAATAAAAATGACATAAAATCAATAAATAAAAATAAATACATAAATACAGGAACATCATTAATTTGGATGTCACCTTTGTGCAGGGGCCAGGGTAATCTCTGTCATTCCAATTTTTTTTATGTGCACTGCCAAAGCAAGCACTCATGTAGGAATTATCCTTCCTGTGAGCATATAATATATGGAACATTCTTTGAGACAGGGTCTCAAAAATATGATGTGTATTTCATCATATATATAATATAATCGTATACACACAAAATACTGTTTAAATACAGAGAATACCCTGATATCACCTTGGGTATTTTTCTTTGTTTCTGTGTGTGTGTGTGTGTGTGTGTGTGTGTGTGTGTGTGTGTTTGTTTGGTTATTTCTGAGACAAGGTCTGGCTCTATCGCCCAGGCTGGAGTGTAGTGGTGTGATCTCAACTCACTGCAACCTCCGCCCCCCACCTAAACCTGCTGAATTAGTGTCTACAGGCATGCACCAGCACACCTGGCTAACTTTTGTATTTTTTGTACATATGGGGTTACACCATGTTGCCGGGGCTGGCCTCTAACTCCTGAGCTCAGGTGATCCTCCCGCCTCAGCCCCTAAAGTGCTGGGATTAGAGGTGTGAGCCACCGCACCCCAGCCATACTTGTGTATTTCTATTCAAATTTTATTGAGGAGTTTTTACCGCCCAGCCTGTGGTCTATCCTGGAGAATGTTTGTGTGTGCGACAATGTATATTCTTCACCATCGTAGATTCCGTTTTGGATGCTCCCATCGGGACTGTGTGTCCCTGTGCTGGAACTCGAGTGAACACTTGGCTCAAAATCCACTGCTGTTCTCTAGAGATCTGTAGGGTCCAGCCCTACTGGGCCTGTGGGTTTTTCTCTTCGTGAGCAGATAGGAGAGATTGTAGAAATAAAGACACAAGACAAAGAGAGAGAAGAAAAGGCAGCTGGGCCTGGGGGACCACTACCACCAAGACGTGGAGACCGGTAGTGGCCCCGAATGCGTGGCCGCGCCGTTATTTATTGTATACGAGGCAAAAGGGCAGGGTAAGAAGTGTGAGTCTTCTCTAATGATAGGTAAGATGACGCGAGTCACGTGTCCACCGGACAGGGGGCCCCTTCCCTATTTGGTAGCTTAGGCGGAGAGAGATTGGGGACAGCTTACGTCATTATTTCTTCTATGTATTTCTCGGAGAGATCAAAGACTTTAATACTTTCACTTATTCTGCTACCGTTATCTAGAAGGCGGAGCCAGGTGTGCAGAGCGGAACGTGAAAGTGGACCAGGAGCGTGACCGCTGAAGCACAGCATCACAGGGAGACGTTTAGGCCACCAGACGGCTGCGGGCGGGCTTGACTGATGTCAGGCTTTCCACAAGAGGTGGTGGAGCAGAGTCTTCTCTAACTCCCCTGGAGAAAGGGAGACTCCCTCTCCGGGTTTGGGAAGGTAAGGGGGTCCTTCCCAGGCACTGGCGCTACCGCTGTGCTAAGTGACGGGTGCCTTCCCCCTGGTGTTACCGCTGGACCAGGGAGCCCTCTAGTGGCCGTGTCCGGGCATGACAGAGGGCTCACGCTCTTGTCTTCTGGTCGCTTCTCACCGTGTCCCTTCAGCTCCTATCTCTGTATGGCCTGGTTTTCCCTAGGTTATGATTGTAGAACAAAGATTATTATAATATTGGAATAAAGAGTAATGCTACAAACTAATGATTAATAATATTCATATATAATCATATCTATAATCTATTTCTAGTATAACTAGTCTTATTCTATATATTTTCTTTGTTATACTGGAACGGCTTGTGGTGAGTTTCTTTATTATACCGGAACAGCTTGTGCCTTCGGTCTCTTGCCTCGGCACCTGGGTGGCTTGCCACCCACAGAAATCCTGCCCGTTTCTCTTGGTTAAATATAATGTATTTCTAGTAGGCATTGCTTCTTCTTTCCAGAGACAAAACTCAGGAGGATTGTGCTATGATAAACAAGGCTAACCTGCTGATTCTCTGAAGCAAGGAACTGGAGATGGTCCTTCTAAGGGTTTATATTCTGGATTCCAGGAAACATGCAAACAGGACCCATAAATGCATCTTTATTTTGGTGCCCATTTTGACCTGGTCAGGAGAATTCCAACAAAAAATCCACGGTGTTGGAGCAAGATCTCAGGCTCTCAGGCTGTGGCCATCTAGAGGTAAGAAGCACTTTCTGTTGTCTTAAAGAAAAGAAAGTCCTTTTTTTTTTTTTTTTTTTTTTTTGAGACAATGTCTCGCTCTGTCGCCCAGGCTGGAATGCAGTGGCGTGATCTTGGCTCACTGCAAGCTCCGCCTCCCGGGTTCATGCCATTCTCCTGCCTCAGCCTCCTGTGTAGCTGGGACTACAGGCGCCCGCCACCAAGCCCGGCTAATTTTTTGTATTTTTAGTAGAGACGGGGTTTCATCTTGTTAGGCAGGATGGTCTCGATCTCCTGACCTCATGATCCACCCGCCTCGGCCTCCCAAAGTGCTGGGATTACAGGCGTGAGCCACCACGCCCGCCCAGAAAGTGCTTTCTTTCAGAGGGTTACGGTTTGAGAAAAGCAGCATTGAAGTTGACGCTGATCTTGGTAATACATTTGCAGAGCATGCTTATGGTCAGACGTGGATGATGGTGGGGTTTTGTTTTTGTTTTGTTTTTTATCTGAGACAGGGTGTCTCTGTTGCCCAGGCTGGAGTGCAGTGGCACATCCAACCTAGATCTCTTGGGCTCAAGTGGTCCTCTTTTTGAAACAGAGTCTCACTCTGTTACCCTGGCTGGAGTTCAGTGGCAGGAACTTGGCTCACTGCAATCTCTGTCTCCTGGGTTCAAGCAATTCTCTGGCCTCAGCCTCCCGAGCAGGGTTACAGGCATGTGCCACCACGCCCGGCTAATTTTTGCATTTTTTTAATTGATTTATTTGTTTGTTGTTGAGACAGTCTCACTCTGTTGCCCAGGCTGTAGTGCAGTGGTGTGATCTCAGCTCACCGCAACCTCCACCTCCCATGTCAGCCTCCTGAATACCTGTCTCCAGGCATGCACCCCCACACCTGGCTAACTTTTGCATTTTTTGTACAGATGAGGTTTCACCATGTTGCCCAGGCTGGTCTTGAACCCCTGAGCTCAAGTGGTCCTCCCACCTCGGCCTCCTAAACTGCTGTGATTAATGGTGTGAGCCACCGTGCCACACCCGTACTTGTTTGTTTCTGCTCAAATTGTATTGAGGAGCTTTTACATCCTAGTCTGTGGTCTATCCTGGAGGATGTTTGTGTATATAACAATGTACATTTTCAACATTTTAGATTCCATTTTGGATGCTCCCATCGGGACTGTGTGTCCCTGTGCTGGAACTCGAGTGAACACTTGGCTCAAAATCCATTGCTGTTCTCTAGAAATCCTGCCCTATTCTCTTGGTGAAATATAAGGTATGTCTAGTCGGCATTGATTTTTCTTTCTGGAGACAAAACTCAGGAGGGTTGCCCCTGCATGAACAAGGCTAACCTGCTGAGCCTTTGAAGCAAGGAACTGGAGATGGTTTTTTTAGGGGTTTATATTCTGGATTCCAGAAAACATGCAAACAGGGACAATGAATGCATCTTTATTTTTCTGTCCATTTTAACCTGGTAAACGAAAATTTCACCAAAAAACCCAGAGTCCTGGAGCAAGAAGATCTCAGGCTGTGACCCTCCAAAGGGAAGAACTTTCTGTTGTCTAAAAGAAAAGAACGCACTTCCCTTTAGAGTGTTACCGTGTGAGAAAAGCAACGTTGAAGCTGATGCTGATCTTGGTAATAAGTTTGCAGAGCCTGCTTATCATCAGACTTGGACGACGGTGTAGTTCTGTTTTGGTTTTGAGTTTTTTGTTTGTTTGTTTTGTTTTGCTTTTGAGATGGAGGCTTGCTCTGTCGCCCAGGCTGGAGTGCAGTGGCGTGTTCTCAGCTCACTGCAACCTCCGCCTCCCAGGTTCACGCCATTCTTCTGCCTCTTGAGTAGCTGGGACTACAGGCGCCCGCCACCACGCCTGGCTAATTTTTTGTATTTTTAGTAGACACAGAGTTTCACTGTGTTAGCCAGGATGGTCTTGATCTCCTGACCTTGTGATCCACCCGCCTTGGCCTCCAAAAGTGCTGGGATTACAGGCGTGAACCACTGCGCCCGGCCTTAATTTTTGTATTTTTAGTAGAGACAGGAGGCTGAGCTTTCAGTGAGCTGAGTTCGTTCCACTGCACTCCAGCCTGGGCAACAGAGTGAGACTCCATCTCAAAAAAATAAAAAATAGGCCGAGCGTGGTGGCACATGCCTGTAATCCCAGCCCTTTGGGAGGCCGAGACAGGTGGATCACCTGAGGTCAGGAGTTAAAGGCTGGCTGGGCCAACAAGGCAAAACCTCGACTCTACTAAAAATACAAAATTACACCTGTAATCTTAGCTGCTTGGGGGGCTGTGGCAGAAGAACCTCTTGAACCCAGGAAGAGGAGATTGCAGTGAGACGAAATCATACCATTGCACTCTAGCCTGGGCGACAGAGCGAGATTCTGTCTCAAAAAATAAATAAGTAGGGCAGACAGGGTGGCTCACGTCTGTAATCCCAGCACTTTGGGAGGCAAGGCGGGTAAATCACAAGGTCAGGAGTTCGAGACCAGCCTGGCCAACATGGCGAAACCCCATCTCTACTAAAAATACAAAAAAGTAGCTGGGCATGGTGGCTGGCACCTGTAGTCCCAGCTACTTGGGAGGCTGAGGCAGGAGAATCGTGTGAACCCAGGAAGCGGAGGTTGCAGTGAGCCGAGATCGGGCCATTGCACTCCAGCCTGGGCGACAGTGCGAGACTCTGTATCAAAAATAAGTAAATAAATAAACAAAATAAAAGTAAAAAGAATTAAATAGATAAATATGGTACCATTATGAATTTGAGTGTCACCTTTGTGCAGGGGTCATGGTAATCTTTGTTATTTCAATTTTTTTATGCGTATTGCCAAAGCAAGCACATATGCGTAGGAATTATACTTCCTGTGAGAATACAATATATGGAGCTTTCTTTTTTGTTTTTTCTGTTTGTTTGTTTTTTGAGACACAGTTTCACTCTTGTTGCCCAGGCTGGAGTGCAATGTCACGATCTCAGCTCACGGCAACCTCTGCCTCCTGGGTTCAAGCGATTCTCCTGCCTCAGCCTCCCAAGTAGCTGGGATTGCTTGCATGTGCCACCAAGCCTAGCTAATTTTTTGTATTTAGAGTAGAGATGGGGTTTCTCCATGTTGGTCAGGCTGGTCTCGAACTCCTGACCTCAGATGATCCATCCACCTCAGCCTCCCAAAGTGCTGGGATTACAGATGTGAGCCACCATGCCCGGCCATGATATATTTTTATATATGTAATATCACATACACACAAAATACTCTTCTATGCACAGAGAATAGTCTTATATCACTTTGGGTATTTGTGTGTGTGTGTGTGTGTGTGTGTGTGTGTGTGTGTGTGTGTGTGTTTTGTTTGGTTGGTTATTTTTGAGACAAGGTCTGGCTCTGTCATCCAGGCTGGAGTGTAGTGGTGTGATCTCAGCTCACTGCAACCTCCACCCCCGACCTAAGCCTACTGAATTAGTGTCTACAGGCACGCACTACCACACCTGGCTCACTTTTGTATTTTTTGTACACATGGGGTTTCACAATGTTGCCGGGGCTGGTCTCAAACTCCTGTGCTCAGGTGATCCTCCCATCACGGCCTCCTAAAGTGCTGGAATTAGAGGTGTGAGCCGCCACGCCCCACCTGTACTTGTGTATCTCTGTTCAAATGTTACTGAGGAGCTTTTACAGCGTAACCTGTGGTCTATCCTGGAAAATGTTTGTGTGTGAGACAATGTACATTCTTCAACATCTTAGATTGCAGTTTGGATGCTCCCGTCAGGACTGTGTGTCCCTGTGCTGGGACTCAAGTGAACACTGGGCTCTCCATCCATTGCTGTTGTCTAGAAATCCAGCCCAATTCTCTTGGGTAAATATGAGGTATGTGTAGTAGGCATTGCTTTTTCTTTCTGGAGACAAAGCTCAGGAGGATTGCCCCTTGATAAACAAAGCTAACCTGCTGATTCTTTGAAGCAAGGAACTGGAGATGGTCCTTTTAGGGGTTTATATTCTGGATTCCAGAAAACATGCAAACAGGACCAATAAATGCGTGCTTATTTTTGTGTCTGTTTTAACCTGGTCAAGGAAAATTCCAACAAAAAATCCACGATGCTGGAGCAAGAAGATCTCAGGCTGTGTCCCTCTAGAGGGAAGCGCTTTCTGTTGTCTGAAAGAAAAGAAAATGGTTCCCTTTAGAGTGTTACGCTTTGAGAAAAGCATCGCTGATCTTGGTAACACATTTGCAGAGAATGCTTATAATCAGACGTGGATGATGTTGAAGTTTTGCGTTTGTTTTGTTTTGTTTTTTTTCCTAGACAGGGTGTCTGCTGCCCAAACTGGAGTGCGGTGGCACTTCCAACCTAGACCTCTTGGGTTTAAGTGGCCCTCTATTTTGGGATAGAGTCTTGCTCTGTGGCCCTGGCTGGAGTGCAGTGTCAGGAACTCTGCTCACTGCGACCTCTGCCTCCTAGGTTCAAGCGATTCTCTTGCCTCAGCCTCCTGAGCAGCTGGGATTACGGGCATGTGCCACCATGCCTGGCTAATTTTTGTATTTTTTATTATTTATTTATTTATTTATTTTTGAGACAGAGTCTCGCTCTGTCACCCAGGCTGAAGTGCAGTGGTGCGATCTTGGCTCACCGCAACCTCTACCTCCCACCTCAGCCTCCTGAACAGCTGTCTCCAGGCGTGCACCACCACACCTGGCTAACTTCTGTATTTGTTTTACAGTCATGGTTTCACCATGTTGCCCGGGCTCATCTTGAACTCCTGAGCTCAAGTGATCCTCCCGCCTCAGCCTCCTAAAGTGCTGTGAGCCACCGTGTCCCAACAGTACTTGTGTGTTTCCGTTCAAATTGTATTGAGGAGCTTTTACAGCATAGCCTGTGGTCTCTCCGGGAGAATGTTTTTGTTTACGACAATGTATATTCTTCAACATCGTAGATTCCATTTTGGATGCCCTCATTGGGACTGTGTGTCCCTGTACTGGAACTCAAGTGAACACTTGGCTCAAAATCCATTGCTGTTCTCTAGAAATCCAGCCTAATTCTCTTGGTTAAAGGTAAGGTATGAGTAGTAAGCATTGCTTTTTCTCTTTGGGAACAAAACTCAGGAGGATTGCCCCTTGATGAACAAAGCTAACCTGTTGATTCTTTGAGGGAAGGAACTGGAGATGGTCCTTTTAGGGGTTTATGTTCTGGATTCTAGAAAACACACAAACCGGACAAATAAATGCATCTTTATTTTTGTGTCTATTTTAACCTCGTCAAGGAAGATTCCAACAAAAAATCCACAGTGCCGGAGCAAGAAGACCTCAGGCTGTGACACTCTAGAGGGAAGCGCTTTCTGTTGTCTGAAAGAAAGGAAAGTGCATCCTTTTAGAGTGTTACTGTTTGAGAAAAGCAACATTGAAGCTGATGCTGATCTTGGTAATAAATTTGCAGCGAATGCTTATAATCAGACTTGGATGATGTTGGGCTTCTGAGTTTTTTTTTGTTTTGTTTTGTTTAGTTTTGGGGTTTTTCTGTTTTTTGTTTTTTGTTTTTTTTTTTTTTGAGGCCGAGTCTTGCTCTTTCGCCCAGGCTGGAGTGCAGTGGCGCTATCTCGGCTCACTGCAAGTTCTGCCTCCCGGGTTCACGCCATTCTCCTGCCTCAGCCTCCTGTGTAGCTGGGACTACAGGTGCCCGCCAGCACACCCGGCTAATTCTTTGTATTTTTAGTAGAGACGGGGTTTCACCGTGTTAGCCAGGATGGTCTCGATCTCCTGACCTCGTGATCCACCCGCCTCAGCCTCCCAAAGTGCTGGGATTACAGGCGTGAGCCACCGCGTCCAGCCTTGTTATTGTTTTTGAGACTGAGTCTTGCTCTGTGGCCCAGGCTGGAGCGCAGTGGCGTGATCTCGGCTCACTGCAACCTCCATCTCCCAGGCTCAAGCAATTCTCCTGCCTCAGCCTCCTGAGTAGCTGGGATTACAGGCCTGTGCCACCATGCCCGGCTAATTATTTGTATTTTTAGTAGAGACAGGGTTTGCACCATGTTGGCCAGGCTGGTCTCGAACTCCTGACCTCAGGTAATCCACCCACGTCGATCTCCCAAAGTGCTGGGATTACAACTGTGAGCCACTGCGCCCGGCCTGTTTTTCTCTACCACAGGGTGTCTGTTGCCCAGGCTGGAGTGCGGTGGCATTTTTAACATAGATCTCTTGGGCTCGAGTGGTCCTTTTTTTTGGTTCAGTCTTGCTTTGTGACCCAGGCTGGAGGGCAGTGGCAGAAACTCTCCTCACTGCAACCTCCGCCTCCTAGGTTCAAGCCATTCTCCTGACTCAGCCTCCTGAGCAGCTGGGATTACCGGTGTGAGCCACCACACCCAGCTAATTTTTGTATTTTTATTTATTTGTTTATTTATTTATTTATTGTTGAGACGGAGTCTTGCTGTGTCTCCCAGGCTGGAGTGCAGTGGCGCGATCGTGGCTTACTGCAACCTCCTCCTCCTTGGTTCAACCAATTCTCCTGCCTCAGCCTCCTGAGAAGCTAGGATTACAGGCATGCACCACCATGCCTGGCTAATTTAGATTCCATTTTGGATGCTCCCATCAGGACTGTGTCCCTGTACTGGAACTCAGGTGAACACTTGGTTCAAAATCCGTCGCTTTTCTCTAGACATCCAGCTCAGTTCTCGGTAAAGATAAGGTATGTGTAGTAGGCATTGCTTTTTCCCTTTAGAGACAAAACTCAGGAGGATTGCCCCTTGGTGAACAAGGCTAACTTGCAGATTCTTTGAAGCAAGGAACTGGAGATGGTCCTTTTAGGGGTTTATGTTCTGGATTCCAGAAAACATGCAAACAGGGCCAATACATGCATCTTTATTTTTGTGTCCGTTTTGACCTGGTCAAGGAAAATTTCAACAAGAAACCCAGAGTGCCGGAGCAAGAAGATCTCAAGCTGTGACTGCAAAGGGAAGCCCTTTCTGTTGTCTAAAAGAAAAGAAAGTGCTTCCCTTTGGTGAATTACGGTTTGAGAAAAGCAACGTTGAAGTTGATGCTGATCTCGGTAATACATTTGCAGAGCATGCTTATCACACTTGGACGGTGGTGGGGTTCTGTTTTGGTTTTGCTTTTTTATTCTAAGACAGGGTCTGTGTTGCCCATGCTGGAGTGCGGTGGCACATCCCACCTAGGTCTCTTGGATTCAAATGGTCCTTTTTGGGGGCAGAGTCTCTCTATCACCGAGGCTGGAGTGCAGTGATCCCATCTTGGCTCACTACAACCTCCGCCTCCCAGGTTCAAGCAATTCTCCTGCTTCGGCCTCCCAAGTAGCTGAGATTTACAGGTGCCCATCCCCACACCTGGATAATATTTGGTTTTATTCATGTATTTATTTATTTTTAAGATGGAGTCTCACTGTCACCCAGACTGGAGGGCAGTGGCACGATCTCGGCTCGCTGCCACCTGCGCTTCCCTGGTTCAAGTAATGCTTCTGCCTTAGCCTCCTGAGTAGCTGGAATTACAGAAGTACACCACCACACCTGGCTACTTTTTATATTTCATTTTTAATACAGACTGGATTTCACCATGTTGGCTAGTATGATATATATTTTGTCATATATTCTTATATATATAATCATATACACACAAAATACTCTTCTGCACACGAAGAGTATTCTTATATCGCTTTGGGTTTTTTTGTTTGTGTGTTTGTTTTGTGTTTGTTTCTTTGTTTTTGAGACAACGTCTGGCTCTGTTGCTCAGGCTAAAGTGTAGTATTGCAAGCTCAGCTCACTGCAACCTCCACCTCCCACCTAAAGTCCCCTGAATTAGTGTCTACAGGCATGCACCACCACACCTGGCTCACTTTTTTTTCTGAGAAGGAATTTTGCTTTTGTCGCTCAGGCTGGAGTGCAATGGGGTGATTTCAGCTCACTGCAACCTCTGACTCCCGGCTTCAAGCAATTCTCCTGCCTCAGCCTCCCAAGTAGCTGGGATTACAGGCATGCACCACCACACCTGGCTAATTTTGTATTTTTAGTAGAGATGGGTTTCACCTTCTTTCTCAGGCTGGTCTTGAACTCCTGACCTCAAGTGATCCACCTGCCTCGACCTCCCAAAGTGCTAGGATTACAGGTGAGAGACATTGCACCTGGCCACCTAACTTTTGTAGTTTTTTTACAGACAGGGCTTCACCATATTGCCCAAGCTGGTCTCCAGCTACTGAGCTCAAGTGATGCTCCTGTCTCGGCCACTGTCCCTCACCCAAACTTGTGTATTTCTTTTCTTTTCTTTTTTTTTTTTTTTTTTTGAGATGGAGTCTGGCTCTGTCACCCAGGCTGGAGTGCAGTGGCACGATCTTGGCTCACTGCAAGCTCCGCCTCCCCAGTTCATGATATTTTTCTGCCTCAGCCTCCCAAGTAGCTGGCACTACAGGCACCCGCCACCACGCCTGGCTAATTTTTTGTATTTTTAGTGAAGACGGGGTTTCACTGGATTAGCCAGGATGGTCTTGATCTCCTGAGCTCGTGATCTGCCTGCCTTGGCCTCCCAAAGTGCTGGGATTACAGGCTTGAGCCACCGCACCCAGCTTTTTTGTTTTTTTGTTTTGTTTTTTTGAGATGGGGTCTCGCTCTGTCACCCAGCCTGGAGTGCAATGGCACGATCTCGGTTCACTGCATCCTACCCCTCCCGGGTTCAAGCGATTCTCCTGCCTCATCCTCCCAAGTAACTGGGATTACAGGTGCCCACCACCGCGCCTGGCTAATTTTTTGTATTTTTAGTAGAGACGGGGTTTCACCGTATTAGCCAGGATGGTCTTGATCTCCTGACCTCGTGATCTCCCTGCCTCAGCCTCCCAAAGTGCTGGGATTACAGGTGTGAGCCACTGCACCCGGCCTTTTTTTTTTTTTTTTTTTTTTTGAGATGGGATCTCGCTCTGTCACCCAGGCTGGAGTGCAACGGCATGATCTCAGCTCACGGCAACCTCCCCCTCCCGGGTTCAGGTGATTCTACTGCCTCAGCCTCCCAAGTAGCTGGGATTACAGGTGCCCACGACCACGCCTGGCTAATTTTTTGTATTTTTAGTAGAGATGGGGTTTCATCAAGGTGGCCAGGCTGGTCTCAAACTCCTGACCTCATGATCTACTGGCCTCGGCCTACCGAAGTGCTGGGATTACAGGCATGAGCCACCGCGCCCAGCTTCTGTATTTCTTTTCAAATTTTATTGAGGATTTTTTATGTCCTAGCCTGTGGTCTATCCTGGAGGATGTTTGTGTGTGAGACAATGTATATTCATCAACATCTTAGATTCCATTTTGATTGCTTCCGTAGAAACTGTGTGTCCTTGTGCTGGAACTCCGGTGAACACCTGGCTCAATATCCATTGCTCTTCTCTAGAAATCCAGCCCAGTTCTCTTGGTTAAATATAAGATATGTGTAGCAGGCATTGCTTTTTCTTTCCAGAGACAAAACTCAGGAGGATTGCCCCTTGATGAACAAAGCTAACCTGCTGATTCTTTGAAGCAAGTAACTGGAGATCCTCCTTTTAGGGGTTTATATTCTGGATTCCAGAAAACATGCAAACAGGGCCAATAAATGCATCTTTATGTTTCTGTCCATTTTAACTTGATCTAGGAAAATTCCAACAAAAAACCCACGGTGCTGGAGCAAGATCTCAGGCTGTGACCTTCTCGAGGAAAGAAGCACTTTCTGTTGTCTGAAAGAAAAGAAAGTGCTTCCTTTCAGAGGGTTACGGTTTGAGAAAAGCAACGTTGAAGTTGACGCTGATCTTGGTAATACATTTGCAGAGCGTGCTGATCATCAGACGTGGATAATGGTGGGGTTTTGTTTTTTATCTAAGACAGGGTGTCTGTTCCCCAGGCTGGAGTGCGGTGGCACTTCCAACTTAGATCTCTTGGGTTCAAGTGGCCCTCTTTTTGGGACAGAGTCTCACTCTGTGGCCCTGGCTGGAGTGCAGTGGCAGGAACTTGGCTCACTGCAATCTCTGCCTCCTGGGTTCAAGCAATTCTCCTGCCTCAGCCTCCGGAGCAGCTGGGGTTACAGGCTGTGCCACCATGCCCAGCTAACTTTTGCATTTTTATTATTGATTTATTGATTTATTTTTGAGACAGGGTCTGGCTCTGTCACCCAGGCTATAGGGCAGTGGTGCGATCTCGGCTCACTGCAACCTCCACCTCCCACCTCAGCCTCCTGAATACCTGTCTCCAGGCATGCACTACCACACCTGCCTAACTTTTGTATTTTTTGTATAGATGAGGTTTCACCATGTTGCCCAGGCTGGTCTCGGACCCTTGAGCTCAATTGCTCCTCCCGCCTGGGCCTCCAAAACTGCTGTGATTAATGGTGTGAGCAAGCGTGCCCTACTCTTGTGTGTTTCTGCTCAAATTTTATGGAGGAGCTTTTACATCCCAGCCTGTGGTCTATCCTGGAGAATGTTTGTGTGTGTGACAATGTATATTCTTCAACATTTTAGATTCCATTTGGATGCTCCCATCCGGACTGTGTGCCCCTGTACTGGAACTCAAGTGAACACTTGGCTCAACATCCATTGCTGTTCTCATGAATTCCAGGCCAATTGTCTTGGTTAAAGACAAGGTATGTGGGCTGGGCGTGGTGGCTCATGCCTGTAATCCCAGCACTTTGGGAGACCGAGGTGGGAGGATCACGAGGTCAGGAGTTCGAGACAAGCCTGACCAACACGGTGAAACCCATCTCTACTAAAAATACAAAAATTAGCTGGGCGTGGTGGCTCCACCAGTAATCTCAGCTACTTGGGAGGCTGAGGCAGGAGAATTGCTTGAACCCAGGAAGCGGAGGTTGCAGTGAGCTGAGATCGCGCCACTGCACTCCAGCCTGGGTGACAGAGCGAGACTTCATCTCAAAAAATAAAAAATAAAAAGGTATGTGTAGTAGGCATTGCTTTTTCTCTTTGTAGATAATACTCAGGAGGACTGCCTCTTGAACAAGGCTAACCTGCTGAGCCTTTGAAGCAAGGAACTGGAGATGGTCCTTTTAGGGGGTTATGTTCTGGATTCCAGAAAACATGCAAATAGGGACAATGAATGCATCTTTATTTTTCTGTCCATTTTAACCTGGTCAAGGAAAATTTCAACAAGAAACCCAGAGTGCTGGAGCAAGAAGATCTCAAGCTGTGAGTCTACAAAGGAAAGCGCTTTCTGTTGTCTGAAAGAAAAGAAATCGCTTCCCTTTGGAGTGTTACGGTTTGAGAAAAGCAGCGTTGAAGTTGATGCTGATCTCGGTAATACATTTGCAGAGCATGCTTATCACACTTGGACGGTGGCGGGGTTCTGTTTTGGTTTTGCTTTGTTATTCTAAAACAGGGTCTGTGTTGCCCATGCTGGAGTGCGGTGGCACATCCCACCTAGGTCTCTTGGATTTAAATGGTCCTTTTTGGGGGCCAGAGTCTCTCTCTGTCACCGAGGCTGAAGTGCAGTCATCCCATCTTGGCTCACTACAACCTCCGCCTCCCAGGTTCAAGCAATTCTCCTGCTTCAGCTTCCCAAGTAGCTGAGATTTACAGGCGCCCATCCCCACACCTGGATAATATTTGGGTTTTTTTTTTATTTATTTTTAAGATGGGGTCTCACCGTCACCCAGGCTGTAGTTCAGTGGCTTGATCTCGGCTTACTGCAATGTATGCCACCCAGGATCAAGTGATTCTCCTGCCCCAGACTCCTGAGTAGCTGGAATTACACGCACCTGCCACTACACCCGGCTACTTTTTGAATTTTTTTTTTTTTTTTTAAAGTAAAGATGGGCTTTCACCATGTTGGCCAGGCTGGTCTCAAACCCCTGACCTCAAGTCAGCTGCTTGCCTCAGCCTCCCAAAGTGCTGAGAATACAAACATGAGCCACTGCGTGGCCATCAACACCTCTTACTTTATGGAAATTTTTCTGGCACTGGTATAGAACCTCACGTGGGGTCAGGTGGAGTTGAGGGGACCTCAGTTTCCCTTGCAGATGGGATGTGCACTGCTCAGCAAGAGCACAGAGGTGGAGTGCATGGGGCTTCAGTGTTTATTGGGGAAATGAAGCTAAAATCTTCGGTGTGTGACCAGGAGATAAATGCATGAGATGGGGATCTCACTATGCTGCCCAGGCTGAAGTGGGCTTAGATCCTCCTGCCTCTGCCCCTCCCCAGTCCTTGGTACATGGGACTACATGTGAATATTAACCCCCCATGCACAGACAAGAAGAAAGTAAGGACTGTTCTTTGGTTCATACCTGACCCCAGTTAAACATGTATTTTAGATAAACAATGTATTTGAAATGTACTTGAACAACAAATGATTTGCTGTTTAGGTGTGGGCATCTTTTTTTTTCTTCCTAACTTTAAATATGGGACTAGTCCAGGTACGGTGGCTCATGCCTGTAATTCCAGCACTTTGGGAGGCGGAGACAGGAGGATCACCTGAGGTCAGTTGTTCGAGACCAGACTGGCCAACATGGTGAAACCTCGTCTGTACTAAAAATAAAAAAATTAGTGAGACGTGGTCTTGGTGCATGCCTGTAATCCCAGCTACTCGGGTGGATGAGGCAGGAGAATTGCTTGAGGCTGGGAGGCTGAGCTTTCAGTGAGCTGAGATCAAGCCTCTGCACTCCAGCCTGGGCAACAGAGTGAGACTGAGTCTCAAAAAAGTAAAAAATCAGCTGGGTGCGCTGGCAAACACTTGTAATCCCAGCACTTTGGGAGGCCGAGACGGGAGGATCACCTGAGGTCATGTTCAAGACTAACAGGGCTGAAATAGCAAAACCTCATCTCTATTAAAAATACAAAAATTAGCTGGGTGCAGTGGTGTATATCTGTATTTCCAGCTACTTGGAGGCTAAGGCAGGAGAATCGCTTGAACCCAGGAGGAAGAGATTTCAGTGAGCTGAAGCCATGCCATTGCACTCCAGCCTGGGCCACAGAGCAAGATTCCATCTCAAAAATAAAATAAATAATAAAAATGAAATTAAATAGATAAAAATAAATAGATAAATATGAGACCATCATGAATTTGGATGTCACTTTTGTGCAGGGGCCAGGGTAATCTCTGTCATTCCAATTTTTTTTATGTGCACTGCCAAAGCAAGCACTCATGTGTAGGAATTATTCTTCCTGTGAGCATATAATATATGGAACTTTGAGACAGAGTCTCAAACATATATAATGTATATTTTATCATATATTCTTTATATATAAAATATCATATAGACACAAAATACTGTTCTAAATACAGAGAATACTCTGATATCAACTTGGGTATTTTTTGTTTCTGTGTGTGTGTATTTTGTTTGGTTGGTTATTTTTGAGACAAGGTCTAGCTCTATCACACAGGCTGGAGTGTAGTGGTGCGTTCTCGGCTCACTGCAACCTCCGCCTCCCACCTAAGCCTGCTGCATTAGTGTCTACAGGCATGCACCACCACACCCGGCTCACTTTTGTATTTTTTGTACACATGGGGTTACACCATGTTGCCGGGGCTGGTCTCGAACTCCTGAGCTCAGGTGATTCTCCTGTCTTGGCCTCCTAAAGTGCTGGGATTAGAGGTGTGAGCCACCATGCCCCATCGGTACTTGTGATTTAGGTTCAAATTTTGATGAGTTTTTATGACCAAGCCTGTGGTCTATCCTAGAGAATGTTTGTGTGTTTGACAATTCAACATCGTAGAGTTGATTTTGGGTGCTCCCATTGGGACTGTGTGTCCCTGTACTGGAACTTGAGTGAACACTTGGCTCATAATCCATTGCTCTTCTCTAGAAATCCAGCCCAATTCTCTTGGTTAAATATAAGGTATGTGTAGCAGGCATTGCTTTTTCCTTCCAGAGACAAAACTCAGGAGGATTGCCCCTTGATGAACAAGGCTAACCTGCTGATTCTTTGAAGCAAAGAACTGGAGATGGTCCTTTTAGAGGTTTATATTCTGGATTCCAGAAAACATGCAAACAGGGCCAATAAATGCATCTTTATGTTTTCGTCCATTTTAACTTGATCTAGGAAAATTCCAAAAAAAAAAACCCACGGTGCTGGAGCAAGAAGATCTCAGGTTGTGACCTTCTCGAGGAAAGAAGCACTTTCTGTTGTCTGAAAGAAAAGAAAGTGCTTCCTTTCAGAGGGTTACGGTTTGAGAAAAGCAACGTCGAAGTTGACGCTGATCTTGGTAATACATTTGCAGAGCGTGCTGATCATCAGACATGGATAATGGTGGGGTTTTGTTTTTGTTTTATTTTTTTATCTAAGACAAGGTATCTGTTGCCCAGGCTGGAGTGCGGTGGCACTTCTAACCTAGATCTCTTGGGTTCAAGTGGCCCTCTTTTCGGGATAGAGTCTTCTTTGCTCTGTGGCCCTGGCTGGAGTGCAGTGGCAGGAACTCGGCTCACCGCAACCTCTGCCTCCTGGGTTCAAGCAATTCTCCTGCCTCAGCCTGTCGAGCAGCTGGGGTTACAGACATGTGCCACCACGCCTGGCTAATTTTTGCATTTTTATTGTCGATCGATTGATTGATTTTTGAGACAGAGTCTGGCTCTGTCACCCAGGCTGTCGGGCAGTGGTGCGATCTTGGCTCACTGCAACCTCCACCTCCCACCTCAGCCTCCTGAATACCTGTCTACAGGCATGCACAACCACACCTTGCTAACTTTTGTATTTTTTGTACAGATGAGGTTTCACCATGTTGCCCAGGCTGGTCTCGGACCCCTGAGCTCAAGTACTCCTCAAACCTGGGCCTCCTAAACTGCTGTGATTAATGGTGTGAGCCACCGTGCCCTACTCTTACTTGTGTGTTTCTGCTCAAATTTTATTAAGGAGCTTTTATGGCCTCGCCTGTGGTCTGTCCTGGAGGATGTTTGTGTGTGTGACAATGTATATTCTTCAACATCTTCGATTCCATTTTGGGTGCCTCCATGGGGACTGTGTGTCCCTGTACTGGAACGCAAGTGAAGACTTGGCTCAGAGTCCATTTGCTGTTCTCTAGAAATCCAGCCTAATCCTCTTGTGCAAATATAATATATATCTAGTAGGCATTGCTTTTTCTTTCTGGAGACAAAACACAGGAGGATTGCCCCTTGATGAACAGGACTAACCTGCTGATTCTTTGAAGCAAGGAACTGGAAATGGTCCTTTTAGGGATTTATGCTCTGGATTCCAGAAAACACGCAAACAGGGCCAATAAATGCATCTTTATTTTTGTGTCCATTTTGACCTGGTCAAGGAAGATTCCAACAAAAAATCCACAGTGCCGGAGCAAGAAGATCTCAGGCTGTGTCCCTCTACAGGGAAGCGCTTTCTGTTGTCTGAAAGAAAGGAAAGTGCATCCTTTTAGAGTGTTACTGTTTGAGAAAAGCAACGTTGAAGTTGATGCTGATTTTGGTAATACATTTGCAGAGCATGCTTATCATCAGACTTGGATGATGTTGGGTTCTGTTTTTGCTTTGTTTTTTTTTCCAAGACAGTGTGTTTGTTGCCCAGGCTGGAGTGCGGTGGTACTTCCCACCTAGATCTCTTGGGCTCAAGAGGTCTTTTTTTATTTTTCTTTCTCAAGAGAGAGTCTGGTGGTGACACCCAGGCTGGAGTGCAGTGGTGCATTATCAGCTCACTGCAGCCTTCCCCTCCCCGGTTCAAGTGATTCTTTCACCTCAGCCTCCCGAGTAGCTGGGATTACAGGTGTGGGCTACCACACCCGGCTAATTTTTGTATTTTTAGCAGAGACAGGGTTTTACCATGTTGGGGAGGCTGGTCTCAACTCCTGTCCTCAAGCGATCCACCTCCCTTGCCTCCCAAGTACTGAGATTACAGGCGTGAGCAACTGCGCCCGGCCTCAAGTGGTCCTCTTAAGTCAGCCTACCAAGTTTTGGGACTACATGGGGCATGCCACCACACTTGGCTAAGTTTTTAATTTTTTTTTTTTTTTTTTTTTTTTTTTTTGAGACGGAGTCTCACTCTGTCGCCCAGGCTGGAGTGCAGTGGCAAGATCTCGGCTCACTGCAAGCTCGGCCTCCGGGGTTCACGCCATTCTCCTGCCTCAGCCTCCCGAGTAGCTGGGACTACAGGTGCCCGCCACCACGCCTGGCTAGTTTTTTGTATTTTTAGTAGAGACGGGGTTTCACCCTGTTAGCTAGGATGGTCTCAATCTCCTGACCTCGTGATCCACCCGCCTCGGCCTCCCAAAGTGCTGGGATTACAGGCGTGAGCCACCGCGCCCGGCCGATAGTTTTTAATTTTTGATAGAAAGGGAATCTCTCTTGCCTAAGATGGTCTCAACTCCTGAGCTCAAGGGATCCTAAAGGTGTGAGCCGCCTTGTCCTGATGACCCATTTCAAACGTAGCTGACATGGCCAGGCATCATGGGGCACACAGTCCCAGCTACTGCAGAAGCCGGGGTGGGAGGGTCCTTTGATTTCCAGGCTATACCATGTGCTGATCACACTTTTGATCCCGAGTAGCTGGGATTACAGGCAGCCACCGCCAGGCCGGCTAATTTTTATTTATTTACTTATTTTTTCAGACGGTGTTTCCCTCTTGTTGCCCAGGCTGGAGTGCAATGGCATGATCTCGGATCACTGCAACCTCCACCTCCCTGGTTCAAGCGATTCTCCTGCCTCAGCCTCCCGAGCAGCTGGGATTACAGGCATGCATCACCACGCCCGGCTAATTCTTTGTATTTTTAGTAGAGATGGGATTTCTCCATGTTGGTCAGGCTGATCTTGAACTCCCAACCTTAGGTGATCCACCCACCTCGGCCTCCCAAAGTGCTGGGATTACAGGCATGAGCCATTGTGCCCGGCCCATTTCATTTATTTTTATGTGTGCTGCTGAAGCAAGCACTTATGTGTAGGAATTGTTCTTCCTGTGAGCATATGTTGGCCAGCCTGGACCACATACCAAGATCCCATCTCTTTAAAAACACAGATTACGTGGCACCTGGCACCTGGTCCCAGAGACTTCATTTGGGTTGGTCATTTGAAACACTAGCCTCCCATCAATTTAGTGTAATCAATCCAAATCATGTGTCCTTCATTAAGAGACTAAGAACGCCTCCACGTCTATCCAGTCTATTTTGTAATCCCCAACGGTTGTCAATATTAATAAAATTTCTTTTCTTTTTCCTATTCATTTGTGTCTTTAGTTTTTCTTCCCCAAAAACTTGCCATCATTTCTCGGAATAGACCTGCTTTCTCTGCAGGAAGGGTGTGGTTGATTCAACCCTTACCCACTAATGCCAACCCCAGTGAGTTCTTTTATCCTATTTTCTATGGGTAACGATTCCAAGGTACCATTCCACCGGGCAAAAGCTCACATCTAAGTGTCAGTTGCTCGGTAAGATGTGAAATGTTTGCTGTGGCTAATATAAGAAACAAACTATTGTAGACAAGATGAATCTCAGTGGCAGTGATAAATGTCGCACAAGACAAAACCACAGATCCTTTTTTTTTTTTTTTTTTTTTTTAGACAAAGTTTCACTCTTGTTGCCCAGGCTGGAGTGCAATGGTGCGATCTCGGCTCACTGCAACCTCCGCCTCCTGGAGGCGATTCAAGCGATTCTCCTGCCTCAGCCTCCCAAGTAGCTGGGATTACAGGCATGCACCACCACGCCCAGGTAATTTTGTATTTTTAGTAGAGACGGGGTTTCGCCATGCTGGTCAGGCTGGAACTCCTGACCTCAGATGATCCTCCCACCTCAGCCTCCCAAAGTGCTGGGATTACAGGCGTGAGCCACTGTGCCCGGCCAACCACAGATACTTTCACGAAAGCCTTTAGGGCCCTAGAAGGGGCTCCCTAGTAACAGGTGGGATGCGAGGCAGCTCTCGTTGTTGCCGTAGTGAGCGATGCCTGTTCGTCCAGCCCTCAACACCTTTTACTCCGTGGAAGTTATGCCTGCACTGGTTTACAGAACCTCCCTTGACTTGGGTTGAGGTAGAGCTGAAGGGAACCTCAGTGTCCCTTGCAGGTGGGATGTGCACTGCTTAGCAAGAGCACGGAGGTGGAGTGCATGGGCTTTGAGTTTTTATTGGGAAAATGAAGCTGAAATGTAGGGCGCATGACCACATCATAAATGCACATTTGATTTAATTTTTCTATTTTATTTTTATTTATTTATTTTGAGATGGAGCCTCGCTCTGTTGCCCAGGCTGGAGTGCACTGGCCTGATCTCGGCTCACTGCAACCTCCACCTCCCGGGTTCAAGCAATTATTGTGCCTCAGCCTCCCAGGTAGCTGGGATTACACGCATGCTTCCACGCCCGGCCGATTTTTGTATTTTTAGTAGAGACGGGGTTTCACCATGTTGGCCAGGCTGGTTTCAAAATCCTGACCTCAAGTGATCCGCCCGCCTCGGCCTCTCAAAGTCCTGAGATTACAGGCGTGAGCCACCATGACCAGCCTAATTTTTCTATTTTAGAGACAGTGGTCTAGCTATGCCACCCGGGCTAAACTAGGCTTTAGAGATCTTCCTGCCTCTGCCCCTCCACGGTCTCTGGTAGTTTGGACTACAAATGAACATTAGCATATTTGCAACCACCACCACTCTAGTTTGGAAGATTTTTATCACCCCAAAGAAGCTTATACCCATTTGCCTTCAGTACCCACCCCCCTCTTCCACTCAGACCCTGGCAACTACTCTACATCTCTCTAGCTCTGGATTTGCCTCTTGTGGGCATTTCACAAAAACCAGTCTTGAATGGGTGGCCTGTTGTGACCACTTTTAATATAATGGGTTGGTTCTGGTTGTCTGAAGTGTGAATCTTGCCAATGAAGGATGGTCCCTGGATGGAAGCAGGAGGCTGGGAGAACTGGGCGGAACATCCTTTCGGAATGGAGTGGGGTGGGCACACCCTGATGTCTGGGAAGCTCACAAGGGTGGAAGAACCCATCTTCCTCTCTGATAACTGCAAGGTGACCCTCCTGGGGCACTGGATGGAGTGAAGGCATCTGGACTGGGAACACCAGGGCATTGCACTGGTGCAGGCAGGATGAGCCGAGGGGAAAGGAGTGCCAGGCATCATTCTCTGGTGACAGTTTGGGTTTGATCTGGATGGAGCAGGTGTCTTCTGGTAGAGAGAGTCCCTGGGATTTTTGCTCTGCTCCTGGCTGTCTTTCAGTCATGGAATCTGATGACAAAGGCTCCCACTCTGGGCCACTTCATTTGGTTTCTGGAGCCCAGTGGTCCTTTCTGCCCGGACTCAGGATCTTTTGGGGAAATTTGGGACCTCGCAGGACATCTGCACAATCCATAGAAATCCCTGAGAGCCCCTTCCCTTTGCTGACATCTCCGTATTCCTACCTATTGCCTTCCAAAAAAAGACCCTTATCTGAATTGCCAAAGGGGGCTTCCCAGAGCAGGGAAACCCGGTTAAATTTGTATTTCAGATTAACAGCATATCTAGAATCTACTCGAACAAGAAGTGATTTGTTGTTTAAGTGTGAGAAATTTTTTTCCCCTAATTTTAAATACGGAACCCATCATGAATTTGGCTGTCACCTTTGCGCAGGGGCCGTGGGAACCTATCATTTCATTGTTTAATGTGTGCTGCCAAAGCAAGCACTTAAGTGTGGGAATTATTCTTCACGTGAGGATACAATAGATGGAACGTTATTACTTTTTTCTTTCATAATTGAGATTTTATTGGTTGAAGATCGGTACAGACATTTCAATTTGTACACAATTCTTAACATACGTACCGAAAATCTAAAAAGCCATGTATTGTAAATCGTTTTGTTTTGTTTTGTTTTTTTGAGACAGAGTTTCGCTCTTGTCACCCAGGCTGGAGCGCAATGACGCAATCTCGGCTCACCGCAACCTCCGCCTCCCGGGTTCAAGCAATTCTCCTGCCTCAGCCTCCCAAGTAGCTGGGATTACAGGCAAATGCCACCATGCCCGGCTAATTTTTGTATTTTTTTTTTTTTAAGTAGAGACAGGGCTTCTGCCTGTCGGTCAGGCTGGTCTCGAATTCCCGACCTCAGGTGATCTGCCCGCCTCGGCCTCTTAAAGTGCTGAGATTACAGGCGTGAGCCACCGCACCCGGCCATGTATTGTAATTCTTCTACAAAGTTATTCCGGCGACTTTCCAGCTTAAAATTTGGAAGCACATTTTCCTTAAGAGGCTATCAAGTACCAGTATCTTCACATGTTGATCAGCTGTTACGGACGTCCCTCCAATTCACAACTAAAAATAGCATGTACCCTACATATTCAAATTTTTCATCTTTCACAACGCAGAAACAAACTTATTAGGAGAACAGAACTACCACAATCAAAGATGTTACAGAGTCCACACAATTCTAACAGGGAGAGCCATGGTCAGGGAGTGGTTTTCTTTAGGAAACAATTCCAAAATACGACAGGAGAATAGAAGTAATTTAAAATGTTCAAGACACTAAATGCAGAGCTGATTCCATGCTGCCATTTAATATGCTTTGTATTATAGGATATAAACACGAACCCTGGCCGGGTGCAGTGGCTCACGCCTGTAATCCCAGCACTCTGGGAGGCCGAAGTGGGCAGATCACCTGAGGTCAGGAGTTCAAGACCAGCCTGGCCCACATGGTGAAACCCCATCCCTACTAAAAATATGAAAATTAGCCAGGCATGGTGGTGCGCGCCTGTAATCCCAGCTACTCCGGATGCTGAGGCATGAGAATCGCTTGAACCCGGGAGGTGGAGATTGCAGTGAACTGAAATCACGCCACTGCCCTCCAGCCTGGGCGACAAGAACAAGACTCTGTTTCAAAAAAAAAAAAAAAAAAAAAGTTTCTGGAACTACTAAAAAACTTGCATTTACAAAATAGTTGATAAAAAGATTCCTCTGGGTTTTACAAGAAGCGAGACAGGGAGCACTGATGAGACGTGGTATACGGTGAATCAGACTGGGCATCAGAGGCTGGGCCTCCTCAGTTTTCCTTTCCCCATTTTCTGCAGATAAATCTTTAGTTTCTTGGTTAGCCACTTCTGCCCGTTTTCCCTTTGCTCCCCTTTGCCCTTCTGTTCACACTTTTTTGTCTGAAGATGTATCCTTCGTTGCTGCCTTTTTCGGCTTCATTTCCACTGGTTTTTTTGTTTTGTTTTGTTTTGTTTTGTTTGAGACGTAGTTTCACCCTGTTGCTCAGGCTGGAGTGCAATGGCGTGATCTCGGCTCACAGCAACTTCTGCCTTCCGGTTCAAGCGATTCTCTTGCCTCAGCCTCCCGAGTAGCTGGGCTTATAGGCGCGCACCGCCATGCCCGGCTTATTTTTGTATTTTTAGTAGAGACGGGGGTTTCACCATGTTGGCCAGGCTGGTCTCGAACTCCTGACCTCAGGTGATCCGCCCGCCTCAGCCTCCCAAAGTGTTGTGATTACAAGCGTGAGCCACCGCACCCGGCCTTGCTTCCACTTTTGCAGGAGCAGGTTTAGCTGACAACCGTGCGATCTCCTCGTGGGCTCTTCCTTGGCGGCCCCTATGGCGGAGCTAACCTGCCTCTTGGGCATCCTGGTGGCGGAGAGGGCGCGTGCCGGCTGTCTGCGGGCCGCGGCTGCCGAGAGCCTTGGCGAAGCTGGGCTGCCTGGCGGCTGCGGCTCCTCCCGCCGCCCGAGCTGCTGAGACCCACAGCGGGGTCGGTGGGAGAACCGAATGGAACCCGAAACTTTCTTATTTTGAGACAGGATCTGGCTCTGTCACCCAGGCTGGAGTGCTTGGCTCACTGCAACGTCTGCCTCAAGTGATCCTTCCACCTCAACCTCCCAAGTAGCTGAGATTACAGGCGCGCGTGCCACTATGCCTGGCTAATTTTTGTACTCTTTGTAGAGATGGGGGTCTCGCTATGTTGCCCACGCTGGTCTTGAACTCCTGGGCTCAAATGATCCTCCTGGCCTGGCTTCCCAAAGTGCTGGTTGTAACGCCAGCAGTTTGGGAGGCCACAGTCGGCGGGATGGATTAGCTAGCAACAAACATTCCAGGCAGAGAATGGTGCTCTCTCAACTCTCAGTCAGCAAGGGGCTAGTATATATTGAAGGGGCTCAGGGCATGTCACCCCAAAGTCATCGCGTCAGCATATGGATTATTTCGACCTGGAAGCCTGTGGGAAAAAGCAGATGCATCTGACCTCCCCCTTCCTACGTAAAAGTAGATTGTAAAATTTATCAAGAGGAAAACGCCCTTCCTGCGCCAGGAAGAGAAGAATGTTCCTATCAGCAGGGGCCAGGAGTCCATATGCTAAACAACTCAGCTACTAACCCTTATCTTCCTTAAGTTCCCCACTGTTTCCTGGTCACTTCCCCTAGCCCAAGCCTCTTTGTCTTGTCACATCCCCACAACTTATCATTCCTTTTTTTTTTTTGAGGTGGAGTTTAGCTCTTGTTGCCCAGGCTAGAGTGCGATGGCGCAATCTTGGCTCACTGCAACCTCTGCCTCCCGGGTTCAAGTGATTCTCCTGCCTCAGCCTCCCAAGTAGCTGGGATTACAGGCGCCCACCACCACGCTCGGCTGATTTTTTGTATTTTTAGTAGAGATGGGGTTTTGCCATGCTGGCCAGGCTGGTCTTGAACTCCTGATCTCCGGTGATCCGCCCGCCTCAGCCTCCCAAAGTGCTGGGATTGATTACAGGCGTGAGCCACCGCGCCCGGCCATCATTCTCTTTTTTGTTTTGTTGTGGTTGTTGTTGTTTGAGACAGCGTCTGGCTTTGTCACCCAAGCTGGAGTGCAGTGGCGCCATCTCAGCTCACTGCGACCTCTGCCTCCCGGGTTCAAGCAATTCTCATACCTCAGCCTCCCGAGTAGCTGGAACCACAGGCATGAGCCACCATGCCCGGCTAGTTACAGGGTTTTCCTATGCTCTCCAGGCTGGAGTGCAGTGGCGCAATCATAGTTCACTGCAGTCTTCAACTCCTGGGCTCAAGCAATCCTCCCACCTCAGCCTCTTAAACTGCTGGGATTACAGGTGGTAGCCATCATGCCCTGCCCCAGAGAAGTCTTTAGGCTTCAGCCAGGCACGGTGGCTCAGGCCGGTAAACCCAGCACTTTGGGAGGCTGAGGTGGGAGGATCGCTTGTGCCCAGGAGTTGAAGGCTGCAATCAGCTATGACTGCACCACAGCACTCCAGTCTGGGCAACAAAGTGAGACCCTGTCTCAAAAAACAACACCGTAGGCCCAGCACGGTGGCTCCTGCCTGTAATCCCAGCACTTTGGGAGGCCAAGGCAGGTGGATCACTTGAGGTCCAGAGTTCAGGACCAGCATGACCAACATGGTGAAACCCCGTCTCTACTAAAAATATACAAATTAGCCAGGTGTGGTGGCAGACACCTGTAATCCCAGCTACTTGGGAGACTGAGGGAGGATAATTGCTTGAACCCGGGAGGCGGAGGTTGCGGTGAGCCAAGATCGCGCCATTGCACTCCAGCCTGGTTGACAGAGCAAGACCCTGTCTCAAAAAGAAAGGAAAAGAAAAAGAATACACCAGAAGGTACCCAGAGAGGCCAGTGTGGATGTACAGCCAGCACATAAGATGCTGGTTAGGGACAGGCGCAGTGGCTCACGCCTGTAATCCCAGCACTCTGGGAGGCCCAGGCAGGGGGATCACCTGAGGTCAGGAGTTCAAGACCAGCCTGGCCAACATGGCGAAACCCCGTCTGTACTAGCAAATACAAAAATTACTTGGGCGCGGTGGCACGTGCTATAATCCCAGCTACTCCGGAGGCTGAGGGTGGAAAATTGCTTGAACCCGGGAGGCTGAGGTTGCAGTGAGCCGAGATCGCACCACTGTACTCCAGCCTGGGCAACAAGAGCGAAACTCCGTCTCAAAAAATTAAATAAATAGGCCGGGCGCGGTGGCTCACGCCTGTAATCCCAGCACTCTGGGAGGCCGAGGAGGGCGGATCACGGGGTCAGGAGATCAAGACCATCCTGGCCAACATGGTGAAACCCCGCCTCTACTAAAAATACAAAAACTTCGCCCTGTATGGCGGCACACGGCTGTATTCCCAGCTACTCGGGAGGCTGAGGCAGGAGAACGGCTTGAACCCGGGAGGCAGAGGCTACAGTGAGCCGGGATCACACCGCTGCACTCCGGCCTGGGCAGCAAGAGCAAAACTCTGTCTCAAAAAACAAAAAACAGAAAAACAAAAAGAATCAAGTAAGTCGAAGCCACACTGATAACAGCCAATTTTTGTGAACCAAGGGAGTGTCAATTCAAGAATTTACATAGATGTCTACTTTTGCTATCTCCTATGTGCCAAGCAAGATACAGGCTCTGGGCAATCAGAAACAAAAGAGACTCACTCGTTCCTCTCACAGTACTCAGTCCTTACTGAGATAAGGACAAAAGAAAATGTCCTGTCTGGAATGCAGGGAAACCAGAACTTCAGGTCAGGGGACATTTCCATTGAATTGTGTGGAGTTGAAGCTGAAAATACTTTTTTTTTTTTTTTTTTTTTTACATCACGGCATGGTTTATTACGTGATTTTTTTACTATACAAACAAAAAATACAGAAATGCAATATGTGAATACAGCTAAATGCAGAATGGTGACTTTTTTCTCTTCAAGAGGCCATGATTCCCATTTCTAGTAAAATAAAGAGACCGCATACAGGTTGGTTGTGAGATTCACAATTTTGCCTAGAAATGATCTATAAATGCATTTTTCCCCCCTGCTACCTACCGTAAATCGTAAAAAGGGAGTTAAAGCAAAGTTTCCTTGTTGGTTCCTACCATATGGAAGATGCTATATTCTATTTTAGCAGGGTCAATATTTGGAAAATATCTAAATTAAATATTATTACAAAAATGAAGCTGTAATGAGATTCTGGCTAAAGAGGGCACTAAATGAGAATAATATATATTTAAAGAATCCAAAACAAACAAACAAAAAGAGGTTATTATAAAAAGCTCTAGGTGCACTGTAAGCATATAGGGTTTTTTTTTCATGTGTTTTTTTTTAAACAATGGAAGTGTCAAAAATAGGGTCAACTGTGTTAGACTAAATTACATTATTGTATATGCTGCATTGAATGGAACCTTTGTATTATAATTATCATAGAGAAGCACAGTTTGCATCATATTATGGCAATTCATCGTCAATGAAAACCTTCCAGAGTCCTTTTATTTTGGAATCTCCTGTAAACTATCAAACCACCAGAACATGACTGTACAACAGTAAAATGTTCTCTTGCATTAAACTGAAGAGACCTGTTTAATAAAAAAAGAAAAAGAAAATGTAGGAAAGGTACTTAGAGCTGTTACTTTCTAAGTACACAACACCCTAGACAATTCGAGGCATCTTAATCTCCATCAAGAACAACAACAACAAAAATAATTTTTGTCATGTTGTTAAATCCATCATTATGGATCAAACTGGTGCAACTTGGTCAAATGAATCCAACAAACACTGATGTCCAAGCTGGCATATTGGCAACTAATACACAACTGGTGGTCAATAGAGAGTTTAAAAGATCTTCCCTTTCTTGTTGTTCTTTTCCAAGGTTCTCAAAGAGTTCTGTTGCTCTAAAATACGTTGTTGAGCTTCCCAGTTTGCTTTCTCATCCTCAAACTGACGACGTTTCTCCTCTAATTCTTTGTGCCGTGCTCCCAAATTCTTTTTCAGTTGCACATGGCACTGCTGGAGCTAAATCACAGCACAATATATACCCCAAGGATACTGCCTTCCTCTGACCCTTTTTCCATTAACTTCAGTGATAATATCACTACCCACCACAGCAAGAGGTAAACGGTCCTTTATCTTTTTAACACGTTTCTTTTCTTCTTCATCATCTGTTTCTGGAAATTCATATATTTTAATTTTATGTTCTTGGATTTCTTTCATTATCTGTTTTGTAAACTGTTGACATTCCTCTGGTGTGAGTGTGTCTGCTTTGGCAGTAAGTGGGATGATATTCACTTTTTCATGCAAATGTTTCATAAACTCAACATCCAGTGGTTTAAGTCTCAACAAAAGGCAATGTCAAGTAGTTACAAACATGCACTACCCAATCCTGCCTGAAGGTGGGAGTCTTCAGTTATGTAATGGTCCTGTTATCAGGCATCTGACGTCTGCTCACTCGCGATTCTGCATTTAGGTAGTCCTCAAATTTACTATCAATGTAATCGATAACAGGCTGCCAGCAATTACTACTATCCACTGCATCTCCAAATCCTGAGGTATCAACTATCCTGAGCAGCAACTAAACACCACCTTCTTTGATTAAAACTTTGGATTGTTCCATCCAGGCTTCTATTTTCCCATAGAGGTCCAAAAAACGCCCTTGTTTGTTAAGTTGATATATGTAAACCTTTTCTCCAGGCTGTTCCTTGAGGTTTACATAATTGGGAACTCCTTCAAGCATCTGTAAATAAACCTTTTCAGCTGTAGATCTCTCTATTTTCAGTTAATTTGCAGACCACCAACTATAGGAGCCAAGTTGAAAGAGAAAAAAGTTTCTCTTCCCAGCACTTTCTTTAGGATGCTTTTCATTGCTTCCCAACTGGAGGCCTCGCCCCTCCACCCACCTGCCCTAGTCCTCAGCTGCCTCCAGTTCTGTCCACTTAAATACAGACTCCCGGTAGTAGAGAACTTTTTTAAAATTTTATTATTATTATTATTATTATTATTGACACAGTCTTACTCTGTCGTCCAGGCTGGAGAGCAGTGGCACAATCTCAGCTCACTGCAGCCTCTGCCTCCTGGGTTCCAGCGATTCTCCTGCCTCAGCCTCCTGAGTAGCTGGGATTACAGACACCCGCCACCATGCCCGGCTAATTTTTGTATTTTTGGTAGAGACGGGGGTTTCACCATGTTGGCCAGGCTGGTCTTGAACTCCTAACCTCAGGTGATCCTCCTACCTCGGCCTCCCAAAGTGCTGGGATTACAGGCGACAGCCAATGTGTGCACGGCCCAGGTATTAAGGAATTCAATCTCTATTTCTCACCAATGAATTAGGCTCTGGAAGTTAGTAGATTTTAACAAATACTTGTTAAGCTAAGTTCTTCTCAAAGGTCTTTAGGAATATTCAGTAAAAGAGGACTCTGTTAACTGAAAACCAGTTCTGTTCCAGTAAATCCTCAACAGATGGAGAAAATGAGACTATGCCCCACCCTTTCCCCTTAGGGCCTCCACATTGATTAGAGGAGGAATTCTCCTTTTAATGACTGACTGAGCTATCACTCCTCTCTGTCAGTAAAAACAGCAGCAAAAAAAATGTCTTGGCTGGGCGCAGTGGCACATGCCTGTAATCCCAGCTCTTTGGGAGGCCGAGGTGGGCAGATCACCTGAGGTCAGGAGTTTGAGACCAGCCTGGCCAAAACCCCGTCTCTACTAAAGATACAAAAATTAGCCGGGCATGGTGGCAAGTGCCTATTGTTGTACCTGAGCGAGTTAGAAAAACGCCACACTTTGAGACGAATTAAGAGTCCTTTATTAGCTAGCGCCTGAGAGACGTCTAAGGCTTAAAATTCTCTCAGCCCGGAGGAAGGGGCTTGATTAACTTTTATACCTTGGTTTAGGAAGGGGGGGGCGTCCAGTTAAAACAATTTTACAGAAGTTAAGTAATCAAAAAGTTAAAAGGATAAATGGTTACAGGAAAGTAAAACAGTTCCAGGTGCAGGGGCTTTAAGACTATTACAAGGTGATAGACGCGGGGCTTTGGGCGTTATCAGTCAGACGAATTCTTGGGGACTGCGGATATAGCTTGCCACAGTATCTTATCAGTTAATTGCATTCTTGGATGTGCTGGAAGTCAGCTTGCACAAGTTAAGTCCTTGAGGAAGGGACTGCCAGTGAAAGAGCCAAGATGGAATCTGTCTGGCTTTCTTAGCTTAGGGAGAGTCAGTTCAGGTGGAAACAAGGCTAGGTGATTAAAGGAAAAGGGAGAGTCTAAAAACAGGGTTAGTAAAAACCAGGTTGGGTATTACACTATAATCCCGGCTGCTTGGGAGGCTGAGGCGGGAGAATCGCTTGAACCTGGAAGATGGTGGTTGCAGTGAGCCGAGGTCGTGCCACTGCACTCCAGCCTGGGTGACAGAGCGAGACTCTGTCTCAAAAAAAAAACAAATTTCTTGGCCAGGTGCTGTGGCTCATGCCTATAATCCTAGCACTTTGGGAGGCCCAGGCCGGCAGATCGCTTGAGGTCAGGAGTTCGAAACCACTGTGGCCAACATGGTGAAACCCTGTCTCTACTAAAAATACGAAAAAGTTAGCTAGGCGTGGTGGCAGACGCCTGTAATCCCAGGTCCTCGGGAGGCTGAGGCAGGAGAATCGCTTGGACCCGGCAGGTGGAGGATGCAGTGAGCAGAGATCGCACTACTTACTGCCCTCCAGCCTGGGCGACAGAGTGAGACTCTAACAACAACAAAAAAAAAAAGAAAAAGAAAAAGTAAAAGAAAATTCTGACATCAAGCTCATTGAAATGTATTCTTCCCTTTCCTCAGCTGCTGCCAAGGTGCTCGGTCCTTCCGAGGAAGCCAAGGCCGCGTTGCAGTGAGGCCCTCACTTCATCCCGCGACTAGCACCACGTCCGGCAGTGCCAGCCCCACACTCGCCCGCGCCATGGCCTCTGTCTCCGAGCTCGCCTGCATCTACTAGGCGCTCATTCTGCACGACGATGAGGTGACCGTCACGGAGGATAAGATCAATGCTCTCATTAAAGCAGCTGGTGTAAATATTGAACCTTTTTGACCTGGCTTGTTTGCAAAGGCCTGGTCAATGTCAACATCGGGAGCCTCATCTGCAGTGTAGAGGCTGGTGGAGCTGCTCCAGCTGAGGAGAAGAAAGTGGAAGCAAAGAAAGAAGAATCCGAGGACGGTGATGATGACATGCGCTTTGGTCTTTTTCACTGAACCTCTTTTTATAAAGTGTTCAATAAAAAGCTGAACTTCAATTTAAAAAAAAAAGAAATAAATGTATTCTTTGCATCTGGCATAGTGTGCCCAGCGCGTGTGATCCCAGCTATGCAGGAGGATCATTTGAGTCCAGGAGTTCCAGTCCAGCCTGGGTTAACAGGTAGAACCCCTTCTCTGGAAAGAAAAAAATGTAAAAAGGCATTCTTTGTGTATTATTTTTTTGAAACAGGGTCTCCCTCTATACCCCAGACTGGAGTGCCTTGGTATCATCACAGCTTACTACAGCCTTGACCTCCTGGGCCCAAGCAGTCCTCCCACCTCAGTCCCCGGAGTAGCTGGGACCACAAGTATGCACCACCATGCCCGGCTAATTTTTTATTTATTATTCTCTTTCTCTTTTCTTTTTTTTTTTTTTTTTTTGAGATGGAGTTTTGCTCTTGTTGCCCAGGCTGGAGTGTAATGGCGTGATCTTTGCTCACTGCAACCTCCGCTTGCTGGGTTCAGGTGATTCTCCTGCCTCAGCCTCCCGAGTAGCTGGGATTACAGGCACCTGCCACCGTGCCCAGCTAATTTTTGTATTTTTAGTAGAGACGGGGTTCCACCATGTTGGCCAGGCTGGTCTTGAACTCCTGACCACAGGTGATCCACCCGCCTCAGCCTCCCAAAGTGCTAGGATTATAGGAGTGAGACACCATCCCCAGCCTAAATAATTCTTTTTTTTTTTTGAGACAGAGTCTTGCTCTGTCGCCCAGGCTGGAGTGCAGTGGCCCTATCTTGGCTCACTGCAACCTCTGCCTCCTGGGTTCAAGCGATTCTCCTGCCTCAGCCTCCCAGGTAGCTGGGATTACAGGCGTCTGCCACCGTGCCCGGCTAATTTTTATATTTTTAGTAGAGACAGGGTTTCACCATCTTGGCCAGGCTGGTCTCGAACTCCTGACCTAGTGATTCACCTGCCTCGGCCTCCCAAGGTGCTGGGATTGCAGTGTGAGCCACCACGCCTGGCCATATATTTTTATATATATGTATATATGTGTGTGTGTCTGTGTGTGTGTATATATATATATATATATATATATATATATATTTTTTTTTTTTTTTTTTTTTTTTTTTTTTCTAAAGATGAGGTCTCCCCATATTGCCCATGCTGGTCTCAAACTCCTGGCCTCAAGCCATCCTCCCACCACGGCCTCCAAAAGTGCTGGGATTACAGATGTGATCCGCTGCATAGGGCCAAAAAACCCCACCTTCTTTTGGGGGTTAATAGGCACCTGAAGCCAATAATAATAAAATAATAAAAATAAAAAAGAAACCAATAATAATAGGTCGGGCACGGTTGCTCATGCCTGTAATCCCAGCACTCTGGGAGGCTGAGGCAGGGGGATCACCTGAGATCGGGAGTTCGAGACCAGCCTGACCAACATGGAGAAACCTCATCTCTACTAAAAATACAAAAAAGTTAGCTGGGTGTGATGGCGCATGCCTGTAATCCCAGCTACTCGGGAGGCTGAGGCAGGAGAATCGCTTGAACCTGGGAGGTGGAGGTTGCGGTGAGCCGAGATCGCGCCACTGCACTCCAGCCTGGGCGACAGGAGTGAAACTCCATCTCAATAAATAAATAAATAAATAAATAAATAAATAAATGGGCACCTGAAATCTCTTTTTCCGAAGTTGCGAATTATCCAATTCATGCCTTAGAATTTAGTCACATTTCCAGGCCTGTCCCCTGACTTCCGTTTCCATTTCCTCAGTGATGTCCCCCAACCTCTCTGCAGATCCAAGCCTCTTCATTGAGGCCATTTTACACATCAGCACCATCCAACAGAACTTTTTTTTTTTTTTTTTTTGAGACGGAGTCTTGCTCTGTTGCCAGGCTGGAGTGCTGTGGCGCAATCTCGGCTCACTGCAACCTCTGACTCCCTGGTTCAAGCGATTCTCCTGCCTCAGTCTCCTAAGTAGCTGGGATTACAGGCACATGCCACCATGCCCAGCTAATTTTTGTATTTTTAGTAGAGACGGGGTTTCGCTATGTTGGCCAGGATGGTCTCAAACTCCTGACCTTATGATCCGCCTGCCTTGGCCTCCCAAAGTGCTGGGATTACAGGTGTGAGACATCGTGCCCGGCCCATCCAACAGAACTTTATATGCAAGGATGCACCTGTTCTGTACCTGCACTATTCAATATAGTCCTGATGTGGGCCAGGTGCGGTGGCTCATGCCTGTAATCCCAGCACTTTGGGAGGCTGAGCTGGGCAGGTCACTTGAGCCCAGGAGTTTGAGACCAGCCTGGGCAATATGGTGAAACCCCGTCTCTACAAAAAATACTAAAATTATCTGGACATGATGGTGGGTGTGTGTAGTCCCAGCTATTCAGGAGGCTGGAGGTGGGAGAATCTCTTGAGCCCAGGAGGTCAAAGCTACTGTGAGCCGTGATAGTGCCACTGCATTCCAGCCAGGGTGACAGAGTGAGACCCTGTTTTACAATATATATATATTTATATTTTATATATTATTATATGTAATATAAAAATATATATTTATTTATCCTAACCTCCGAAAGTGCTGGGATTACCGTCATGAGCCCCCAAGTCCAGCCTAATTTTATTTTTATTTTACATTTATTTATTTATTTACTTATTTATTTATTTTTTGAGACAGAGTGTCGCTCAGGCTAGAGTGTAGTGGCACAATCTCGGCTCACTGGAACCTCCATCTCCCAGGTTCAAGCAATTCTCCTGCCTCAGCCTCCTGAGTAGCTGAGATTACAGGCACACACCACCGCGCCCGGCTAATTTTTGTATTTCTACTAGAGATGGGGTTCTACCATGTTGTCCAGGCTGGTCTCCAACTCCTGACCTCAAGTGATCCTCCCCCTCAGCCTCCCAAAGTGCCAGGATTACAGGCATGAACCACTGCACCTGTCATATTTATTTATTTTCTTAGAAAGAGTCTCACTCTGTCACCCAGGCTAAACTGCAGTGGCTTGATCTCAGCTCACTGCAACCTCCGCCTCCCTGGGTCAAGCGATTCTCATCCTCAGCCTCCCCAGTAGCTGGGATTACAGGCTCCTGCCACCATGTCTGGCTAATTTTTGTATCTTTAGTAGGGCGGTTTCACCATGTTGGTCAGGCTGGTCTCGAACTCCTGACCTCAAGTGATCTGCCTGCCTTGGCCTCCGAAAGTCCTGGGATTACAGCTGTGAGCCACTGGGCCTCACCTTTTTTTTATTTTTCTTTTTCAGACAGAGTCTCACTCGGTCGCCCAGGCTGGAGTGCAGTGGCCTGATCTTGGCTTACTGTAACCTCTGCCTCCTGGGTTCAAGCGATTCTCCTGCCTCAGCCTCCCAAGTAGCTGGGATTACAGGCTCCTGCCACTACGTCCAGGTAATTTTTTTTTGTATTTTTAGTAGAAACGGGGTTTCACCATATTGGCCAGGCTGGTCTCAAACTCCTGTCCTCAAATGATCTGCCCGCTTTGGCCTCCAAATGTGCTGGGATTACAGGTGTGAGCCACTGTGCCCAGCCCTGTCCACATTTTCTAGCAAGCACTCTATCAGCCATAACTCTTGAGCATGGAACCCAAATATAAATTGTATGGCTCTGAGTGTCTGGCAAGGCAGGCTCTAGAAGAAGGCAGCTGGAAGATGGTGTTCTTGACCACTGCAGGGTTCGGCCACTTTAGAGATAATTGATAGTTCCAGTGAGGACTTATTCAATAGAAATATAAAAAGCAGGCCAAGTGCAGTGGCTCAAGTCTATAATCCCAGCACTTTGGGAGGCTGAGGCGGGAGGATCGCTTGAGCTCAGGAGTTCAAAACTTGCCTGGGCTATGTAGCGAGACCCTTTCTCTACAAAAAATAAGAAAATTAGGCATGGTGGAGTGCACCTGAGGTCCCAGTTGCTCAGGGGGCTGAGGTGGGAGAATCACTTGAGCCCAGGAGATTGAGGCTGCAGAGAGCTGTGACAGAGTCACTGTACTCTAGCCCGGGCAACAGAGCAAGACTCAAAATGAAGAAACAGATTTTGGCTGTGCGTGGAGGCTCATGCCTGTAATCCCAGCACTTTGGGAGGCCAAAGTGGGTGGATCATGGGTGGTCAGGAGTTCAAGACCAGTCTGGCTAACATGGCAAAATCCCATCTCTACTAAAAATACAAAAGGTAGCTGGACATGGTGCTGGGTGCCTTAATCCCAGCTACTTGGGAGGCTGAGCCAGGAGAATCTCTTGAACCTGGGAGGCGGAGTTTGCAGTGAACCCAGATAGCACCACTGGACTCCAGCCTGAGCGACAGAGAGTGAGACTCCACCTCAAAAAAAAAAAAAAAAAAAAGCTGGCCCCGAGCACGGTGGCTCACTCCTGTAATCCCAGCACTTTGGGAGGCCGAGGTGGGCAGATTGCCTGAGGTCAAGGGTTCGAGACCAGCCTGACCAACATGGAGAAACCCCCCTACTAAAAATACAAAAATTAGCTGGGTGTGGTGGCGTGTGCCTGTAATCCCAACTACTCGGGAGGCTGAGGCAGGAGAATCGCTTGAACCCGGGAGGCGGAGGTTGCAGAGAGCCGAGATCCCGCCATTGCACTCCAGCCGGCAACAGAGAGAAACTCCGTCTCAACAAAAAAAAAAAAAAAAAAGAAAAGAAACAAATTTGGAGCATATACCTTGACAGACTCCCCCCCTTGACCAAACTTTACACAGGCTGTCCTGAGCCCTCCTGACTAGGCCTGGGCCTTGGCTGCTATCTTATCTTTGACCTTACCAGCCCACTCTTAGCAGAGATTCCTGCTGAGTTATCTCTTGACTCTTCCCATCTAACTGCCCCTGATATCTGATGAAGTGCCTCATCCACCACCTTTGATGTAGGAGGCCTTGGCCCACCTTTAGCAAGAATCCCGTTAGGCCAGTTGAAGCAGAAATCCTCTGTCCAGGGTGCCTCCTTTGTAATTTTCCATCCATGAACCCATCTCTCTGTTCTTTGGCTAAATCCCATTTTTGCTTCTTCTTTTTTTTTTTTTTGAGACGGAGTCTCGCTCTGTAGCCCAGGCTGGAGTGCAGTGGCGCGATCTCGGCTCACTGTAACCTCCGCCTCTCCAGGTTTAAGCAATTCTCTGCCTCAGCCTCCAGAGCAGCTGGGATTACAGGCGCGTGCCACCATGCCCCGGGAATTTTTTTGTATTTTTAGTAGAGACGGGGTTTCTCCATCTTGGCCAGGCTGGTCTCGAACTCCCAACCCTGTGATCCACCCACCTCGGCCTCACAAAGTGCTGGGATTACAGGCGTGAGCCACCGCGTCCGGTCTTTTTTTTTTGAGACAAGCTGGAGTGCAATGGCATGTTCTCAACTCACTGCAACTTTCGCCTCCCAGGTTCAAGCGATTCTCCTGCCTCAGCCTCTCGAATAGCTGGGATTACAGGTGCTCGCCACCACACATGGCTAAATTTTGTATTTTTGGTAGAGACGGGGTTTCGCCATGTTGGCCATGCTGGTCTTGAACTCCTGACCTCAAGCGATCTGCCCACCTCAGCCTCCTAAAGTGCTGGGATTACAGGCGTGAGCCACCGCAGCCTTTGTCCACTCCTTGCCTCGATACTGAGGTCAGCAAACATTTTCTCTAAAGAGCTAGATAGTAAATGGTTTAGGTTTTGTGGGTCACGTGGTCTCTGTCACAATTTCTCAACTCTGCAATTACTATAGCAAGAAAGTGGCCATAGGGTCAGGCTCTGGCTCTCCTGCAATTCCCACGCTTTGGGAGGCCCATGCATGAGGATCACTTGAGCCCAGGAGTTTGAGACCAGCCTGGGTAGCATGGCAAAAACCCATATCTACTACAATTGCAAAAAATTAGCCAAGTGTGGTGGCACAAGCCTGTAGTCCCAGCTACTAGGGAGGCTGAGACGGGGTTGCTTGAGCCCAGAAGTTCAAGGTTACAGTGAGCCATGATCCAGCCACTGCACTCCAGCCTGGGCTACAGAGGAAAACTCTGGCTCTTTATGAAATAAAAATGAATAAATAGGGTGGGGGGCTAGGGGAGGGAAAACATTAGGAGAAATGCCTAATGTAGGTGACGGGTTGATGGGTGCAGCAAACCACCGGGGCACATGTATACCTATGTAACAAAACTGCACGTTCTGCACATGTAACCCAGAACTTAAAGTACAATAAAAATAAATAGATAATTTAAAAATGAATAAATAAATAAGCAGAGCCCAGAGGCTCTTTTCTTTCTTTCTTTCTTTTTTTTTTTTTTTTGAGACGGAGTTTCTCTCCTGTTGCCCAGGCTGGAGTGCAATGGCGCGTTCTCAGTTCAGTCTCTTCCCTTTAATCCCACATACTCAGGAGGCTGAGATGGGAGGGATACTTGAGACCAGGAGTTTGAGAACAGCCTGGGCAACATGGCCAAGACCCTATCTCCAGTTTAAAAAAAAATGCCACCACGCCTGGCTAGTATGTATATATAGTATTTATTTTGTAGAGACAGGGTTTCAGCATATTGCCCAGGTTGGCCTCAAACTCCTGAGCTCAGGCAATCTGCCACCCTTCACCTCCCAAAATGCTGGGATTATGGGCTTGGGCCACCACGCCTGGTCTAATCTTTCTTATACAATGTCCCCCCCACACCCCCGAATCGAGGATGGACGCCAGCACCTTTTAGGTGTTCCACATATTAAACCATGTGTATTAAATCTTGGAGTGTTAAGAACACAGGCAAACAAAATAAGCAGCCATTAACCGGGGAAAGGTTTAATCTAGTCTGGCAAGAATCTTTCCTTCCTGAACTCATCCCATTGCAGAAAAGATGGATAAAATGGTAAATTCTCCTTAATGTCATAAGGAGGTTTATCATGCACCCACCCAAAGTCTGTAGATAAACAGTGACTGAGAGAAAAATGGGATTACAGGAACGAATATTGTACATAAAAGGATTTCTCAAACTGTTAGGCTGTTTACAAAAAAAAAAATGCTAATCTCATTGTTATGGGGAGCTGGGGCAGATTATGCAAAGGGCTGGGTTTCAGGGTGAGGATTCAGGGTGATTATCATGACAAGGAGGTCTATTGGTTTGCAAACGATGACCTTTCAGCTCAGCAGGAAGAACTTCTGATTAGGCAAAATTTCCTCTATCTGTCCGCTCCTCCCAAGAAGCACGGGCTATGAAATCTCATGTCCTAAATATTTGGGATTTCTGATTCCTTCTGTTATTTTATGTATTTATTTATTTTTTGAGACGGAGTCTCACTCTTGTTGGCCAGGCTGGAGTGCAGTGGCATCATCTGGGCTCACTGCAACCTCCGTCTCCTCGGTTCAAGCGATTCTCCTGCCTCAGCCTCCCAAGTAGCTGGGATTACAGGCATGCGCCACCACACCTGGCTAATTTTGTATTTTAGTAGAGATGGGGTTTCGCCATGTTGGCCAGGATGGTTTGGAATCCCTGACCTCAGGTGATCCACCCACCTCAGCCTCCCAAAGTGCTGGGATTACAGGCTCGAGCCACCGCGCCTGGCTGTCATTTTTTTTTTTTCAAAGAGCTCATTTAAGAGTAAAGATAAATTGACACTTAAAGTTCACTAATAGTTAATACAATTATTACAATTTGAGGCTTTACGTTAAATATGTGTGTTGAATTACCGCAATAATACAAGACCAGATCAACTATACTTGTCAGGTCAGAATGAAAATCTAAGAAGCGCATCTTGAATTTTAAATTTTTTTCAATTTGATTTTTCTTGTCAAGCCTGGTTGTGGGGGGGGAAGGTCAAGTCTTAAACTGGTCTCACCACCAATGTTATCAATTGTCAAAAAAAAAGTCAAATTGGGCCAGGCGTGGTGGCTTATGCCTGTAATCCCAGCACTTTGGGAGGCCAAGGTGAGAGGTTCGCTTGAGCCCAGGAGTTTGAGACCAGCCTAGGCAACAAAGCAAGACCAGCATCTCCCTCTCTCTCTCTCTCTTCTCTCTCTCTCTCTCTCTCTCATATATATATATATATATATGTATTTTTTTTCTTTCTTTCTTTTTCTTTTTTTGAGACGGAGTCTTGCCCTGTCACACAGGCTAAAGTGAATGGTGTGATCTCGGCTCACTGCAACCTCTGCCTCCCAGGTTCAAGCATTTCTCCCTGCCTCAGCCTCCCGAGTAGCTGGGATTACAGGCGCCCACCACCACACCGGGCTAATTTTTGTATTTTTTAGTAGAGACGGGGTTTTCTTATGTTGACCAGGCTGGTCTTGAACTCCTGACCTCAACTGATCCGCCTGCATCAGCCTCCCAAAGTGCTGGGATTACAGGAATGAGCCACTATGCCCAGCCCATCTCTATATTTTTAAACAAATTATACAACAAAAAAGTAAAATATCACATTGGATATTTTTTCTTTATTCTTTGTTTTTTTTTTTTTTTGAGACAGAGTTTTGCTCTTGTTGCCCAGGCTAGAGTGCAATGGCGCGATCTCGGCTCACCACAACCTCCGCCTCCCGGGTTCAAGCGATTCTCCTGCCTCAACCTCCTGAGTAGCATGCACCACCACCCCGGCTAATTTTGTATTTTTAGTAGAGACGGAGTTTCTCCATGTTGGCCAGGCTGGTCTTGAACTCCCGACCTCAGGTGATCCGCCCACCTCGGCCTCCCAAAGTGCTGAGATTACAGGTGTGAGCCACCGTGCCCAGCGGATCTTTTTTCTTTTCTTTTTTCTTTCTTTCCAGGGATGGGGTCTTGCTCTGTCACCTGGGCTGGAGTTCAGTGGCAGGATCAGGCCTCACTGCAGCCTTGAACTCATGGGCTGAAGAGATCCTCCCACCTCAGCTTTCCAAATTGCTGAGATTACAGGCTTGAGCCACTGCCTGCAGTCCTCTTTCAAATGCACTTAAAAATCGTCTTTGACTATACTCTTTGTTGAATGTTGATTAAATTCAATTGCACTAATAACATTTTTTATATTCAAAAATACAAACGTTGGCCGGGTGCGGTGGCTCACGCCTGTATTCCCAGCACTTTGGGAGGCCGAGGCGGGCAGATCACCTGAGTTTGAGAGTTTGAGAACAGCCTGACCAACATGGAGAAACCCCGTCTCTACTAAAAATACAAAATTAGCCGGCGTGGTGGCACATGCCTGTAATTTCAGCTATTCGGGAGGCTGAGGCAGGAGAATCACTTGAACCTGGGAGGCGAAGGTTGTGGTGAGCCGAGATCGAGCCACTGCACTCCAGCCCGGGTGGCTGAGGGAGACTCCGTCTCAAAAAAAAAAAAAAAAAGTCAGCAATGAACTCGCTGTGCTGGCCCAAGGGCAGGAGAAGAAAGCCGCCCTTAAAGGAGAAATTTGCAAAGACAAAATGAGGTGATGAGAAAAAGCCGAGTTCTAGGAAATACCCGAGAGATCATCCAGGTGGTTCACAAATAGCAGAAAATCCAGGTGCAGTGTGAGAGGAGTGAGTAGGTTAGATAGGAATCTGGATGGCTGAGCTGTAAGGACATAAGCACTGACCTCCCGCAACCTTGACAAAGATCAAAGCAAGAATTTTTTTTTTTTTGAGATGGAGTCTGGCTCTATCACCCAGGCTGGAGTGCAGTGGCGTGATGTGAGCTCACTGCAACCTCTGCCTCCTGGGTTCTAGCGATTCTCGCCAAACATGCTATTTGCTGTCTCATTTCTATCTCTCGCCATCCTTTGCAGCAAATGCTGTACATTTTCATTGATGAAGGAACTAGGTTTAACCAGAAAGGTTGAGCACGTACTCCCGCAGCTGGCTAGGATTACAAATGGGAAGGAAACCCTGGCCTCCTGGGGCCCCAAGTCTTCCCCTTCCTTGAGTCATTCATTATTTTGAGCACTTACCATTTTCAAGCCCCTCCTCACCTCTCCAACACCCACCTTTTTGAGTTCCTCTCTATGCCTCAAGGTCAAAGGAACTCTAGTGGTTTCATTAAATAAAATCAGAAATGTTTCCGCTTTTTTATCAAAGTTGCTCTCAAAAATGTTCACTGCCGCACTGTTTTTTTCTTTTCTCCCTCTCTTTTTTTTTTTGAGACTAAGTCTCACTCTGTCGCCCAGAATGGAGTGCAGTGGTGTGATCTCGGCTCACCGCAACCTCCACCTCCAGGGTTCAAAGGATTCTCCCACCTCAGCCCCCTGAGTAGCAGGGATTATAGGTGTGAGCCACACCGCACCCAGCTTTTTTATTTTTTTAAAATTTATTATTATTATTTTTGAGATGGAGTCTCACTCTGTCACCCAGGCTGGAGTGCAGTGGGGCGATCTTGGCTCACTGCAACCTCTGCCTCCTGGGTTCAAGCAATTCCCCTGCCTCAGCCTCCCGAGGAGCTGGGACTACAGGTATCCACCACCACGCCGAGCTAATTTTTGTATTTTTAGTAGAGACCATGTTGGCTAGGATGGTCTCGATCGCTTGACCTCGTGATCTGCCTGCCTCGGCCTCCTGAAGTTCTGGCATTATAGGCATGAGCCACTGTGCCCAGCCTATTTATTTATTTTTTGAGACACGGTCTCACTCTGTCCCCAGGCTGGAATGCAGTGGCACAATCTTGGCTCACTGCAACCTCTGCCTCCCGGGTTCAAGCAATTCTCTTGCCTCAGCCTCCCAAGCAGCTGAGATTACAGGTGCACACCACCATGCGTGGGTAATTTTTGTATTTTTTTGGTAGAGACGGGGTTTCGCCATGTTGCCCAGGCTAGTCTCGAACTCCCGGCCTCAAGTGATCGTCCGCCTCGGCCTCCCAAAGTGCTGGGATTACAGGTGTGAGCCACTGCGCTCTGCCAAAATACTATATTTAAATATTTGTTGAGTGGATGACTGGTGGAATGATTTTCTTCTGGTTATTTCTCTGTGTTTTCCAATGTATTTATAACGAATACATGTTGGCGTTACTAGTAATAGGGATCACCTAATTTCTATTTGAATCAGTGTTTGAAAAAGTTTATGAAGGTGTGTCTGACTAAGGCAAGCTAGGATCAAAGGGAGCAGGGTGGCTTGGGGCGGAGACCAGGGGGAATGAGAGGGTGGGAAGGGGTGGGCTTTAATCCTATCAAAGTTGAGTGGGCTCTCACCCTATATAAGAACGCAGCTGCAGTGAACCTTGTTCTTTCTGGCAGACCTGAGGTGTGGACGTATCATTGGCCTCTGTGAGTATTGCTATGTTATTTTATTTTCTTTCATTTTACTTTATTTTTTAGGGTCAGGATCTCACTGTCGCCCAGGATGAAGTGCACAGGTAGGATGATGGCGCCTTGCAGCCTCGACCTCCTGGGACTCACCCTTTTAGCCTCCAGTAGCTGGGACCACAGGCGCGCACCACCATTCCCATGTGCGTTTTTCTGCTTTTTTTTTTTTTTTTTTAGGAGAGATGGGGTTTTCTATGTTATCCAAGCTGGTCTCGAACTCCTGGGCTCAAGAGCAATCCTACCACCGTAGCCTTCCGAGTAGCTGGGACTACAGGCTTGAGCCACTCCGCCCAGCCGGGCTGTACTTTTGTTCTATTTCTGTGATTTTTTTTCAGTCTTAAGGACGAAGGCCCCACTGTCCCTCACACGTGTTCCTTCCTACTTGCATTGTACTCAGTCCTCATGGCTTGCATCTGGAGGCTATGGGCGGGGGAGTGCTTTGAATATCTATACGTGGAAAGCCTTGTTTTTTACTTTTTAAGAAAGGGTCGTTAAATTCGTGCTTTGTAGACCTTCAACAGCTCATCAAGGGCTACTCTCCACCTCCTTGCTTAAAAGCCTCTTCTGATGGGTAAGTGCTTCCACTTGCGATCGCCGCCTTGCCGCATCCCCTCAGCCTGTGGCACTCAAACTGTGGGGGCACTTTCTGCTCTCTGGTGAAAGTGCCGCCATCTTTTGAGTGTTACCGCTTGAGAAGACTCAACCTGCGGAGAAGATACCATTTTGATTGGGTGAGGGGGCGGGTAGCAGGATGGCCCTAGACCCTGCCTATGGCCGTTTCCTCGTGATATAAATTTCTTGGCCGGGGCTCTTGCAGATGGAGCTGCTCACCCTGTGGGCCTCAAATGTGGAGCACTATTCTGATGTCCAAGTGGAAAGTGCTGCGACATTTGAGCGTCACCGGTGACGCCCATATCAACGGATGCCGTGGAGCTCGGTCTTCTGCAGGAACTAAAGAGCCTGTGGTTTCGATTCCCAGCCGGAAACTGTCTTGGGTACAGGTCCCTTACAGCGTCTGGCTGTAATGGCTCCGGAAAACCTGGGGAAGGGAAGGGGGCCTCCTGGGCTCTCACCTGACACAACTAAGGGAATCTGGGTTAGATGGTGAAAGGAAGAGAAGGTTCAGAGGGCGGCTGTGCGCCTGCGCCGGGCGCGGCGGCTCACACCTGTAATCCCAGCACGTTGGGAGGCCGAGGCAGGCGGATCACGAGGTCAGGAGATCGAGACCATCCTGGCTAACACGGTGAAACCCCGTCTCTACTAAAAATACAAAAAATGAGCCGGGCGTGGTGGCGGGCGCCTGTAGTCCCAGCTACTTGGGAGGCTGAGGCAGGAGAATGGCGTGAACCCGGGAGGCGGAGTTTGCAGTGAGCCGAGATCGCGCCACCGCACTCCAGCCTGGGCGACAGAGCAAGACTCATTCTCAAAGAAAAAAAAAAAAAAAAACAGCAGCTGTGACCAAGGGGCTGTATGCACAAAGAAAGGAATGCTTTTTGCTGTTGGTGTTATAATTGATATGTAACTTTCCTCTTCCCCCATAGCAAGCAAGTTTATTGCTGACATTTAACATGTGCTTGGATGATTGGAGGCCAACCTCTTGTAGGCAAGAAAGTCACAGTGATGGCAGATCCTCGCGAGGAGCTCATACTGGGATACTCAAAATGGGGGCGCTTTCCTTTTTGTCTGTACTGGGAAGTGCTTCGATTTTGGGGTGTCCCTGTTTGAGTAGGGCATCACGAACCATCCTGCTTCAAGGGAGCCTGCGGGTCTGACTGCAGCTTCAGCTATGACCTGGAGTTCCCGGGCTTCTCTGCGGGGCACCAGTCTGTATGCTCCATTTTAGATAATAAAAATTGGCATATTCTGGGGTGGGCAGGATACGGGGTTCACCTGCAGATGAACAGGGCAGGAAAAGCTTGATGGGGTGTCGGGGGAATCTGGTTGGCCTTAAAGGGAATTTGGGGTCCTGTTCCTGAATTTGGTAGGCAGCATGCATGTAAGGCTTGAAGTGGGTTTGGCCAGAGCATGGGCTGGAGTGCTTCCACCCTGCTACACGGACAATGCCACAGTCTCACTTTTCCTAACTTTTTTTTTTAATAAAATGTGAACAACATCATGTGTTTCTGGTCTATTGGGTTCCTCTGCCACCCACAAGTGCTGGGATTACAGGCATGAGCCTCATGTCTGGCGTTACTGAACCTTCTTCTATGACCCAAGTACATTGCCTAAAAATACTTGTCAGTATTTTGTGCTTCCCTTCTACCCCTGCTAGAACTTAGAGTTATGCTCTTTGAGAGTTCTGCTCTTTAAACTTCAAACAAGTTTAAAAAGTAAGGCCGGGCACAGTGGCAGCACTGCCGAGGCCGACGCAGGCTGATCATGAGGTCAGATCAAGACCATCCTGGCTCACACGGTGAAACCACATCTCTACTAAAAAATACAAAAACATTAGCCGGGCATGGCGGTGGGTGCCTGTAGTCACAGGCTGAGGCAGAAAGGGCATGAACCCGGGAGGTGGAGCTTGCAGCCAGCCGAGGTTGTGCCACTGCACTCCAGCCTGGGTGACAGCGATAACTGTCTCAAAAAATAAAAACCACCCAGGCTGAAGTGTGGTGGCACCATCACAGCTCCCTGCAGGCCTGAGCTCCCTAGATCAAAAGATCTTCCCATATAAGCCCCCCCTCACCCCACCCTTAGTAGCTGGCACCACAGGAGTGTCCCCGCCATGCTCCACTAATGTTTAGTAGAAATTGGGGTCTCATACATTGGCCAGCTTGGTCTGAAACTTAGGGGGAATCAAACATCCCTCCTTTAGTAGAGATGGGGCTTTACTGTCTTGCCCTGGGTGGCCTCCCTGGGATGATGGGTGTGAGCCACAGTGCCAGGCCTAAGTTCATATTTGGAAGGTTTTTTTGCTTCAGATGGTCTCGTGCTCTCGCTCAGGTTGGAGCGCAATGGCGCAATCTTGGTTCACTGCAACCTCTGCCAGCTTAAGCGATTCTCCTGCCCCCGCCTCCCAAGTAGCTGGGATTACAGGCATAAGCCACCACGCCTGGCTAATTTTTTGCATTTTTTAGAGATGGGATTTCTCCACGTTGGCCAGGCTGCTCTGGAACTCCTGACCCCAGGTGATCCACCCACCTCGGCCTCCCAAAGTGCTGGGATTATAGGCGTGAGCCACCACGTGGGGCCTTCAGTAGGTTCTTAGTTGCTGTTTGCCCTATCACTGGTTTCCGGGTCTGCTGGCCACTATCCCCTGTAAGTTTTCCTATCCCCTGTAGGTGTTCCAAACCCTTGCGGCTGCTTTGCCCACTCCACAGTATCTGAACTGAAGTAAGATCTCAAATTCAAGGGAGTTTTGTTTTGCTATTTGTACCCGCAATTCATAAAGCAGTTGTAGCCTCTGTCCCAATACCGCCACCACTGGTGGGGAGTCCGCCACGGTAACCAGTAAGACTTCTCTTTATATTTGACCTACCTGGGCCTCCTGTCATCTTTTCTACGGGCAGCTTGGGGATTGTTAGTTGAGGGTTTTTTGTTTTTGTGTTTTTTTTTTTGTTTTTTTTTTTTTTTAAAGAGATGGAGTCTCGCTCTGTCGCCAGACTGGAGTACAATGGCATGATCTTGGCTCACTGCAACTTCCACCTCCCAGGTTCAAGCGATTCTTTTGCCTCAGCCTCCCGAGTAGCTGGTATTATAGGCACCCACCACCATGCCCAGCTAATTTTTTTTGGATTTTTAGTACAGATGGCGTTTCCCCATGTTGGCCGGGCTGGTCTCACTAAACTCCTGACCTCAAGTGATCCACCCACCTTGGCCTCCCAAAATTCTGAGATTACAGGTTTGAGCCACTGCGCCCAGCCTTTAGTTGAGTTTCTTAAGCTTGTTTAGGGTTTAGCCTGTATGGCCAGCAGGGTGTAGGTGGGGGTGGTTTGTAAGCAGGGCTGTTTGCTTCAGAAGCAGCTGTGGAAACAGGACTGAATGCAGACATATAAAGAATATTGGGTAAATAACTTTTTAAAAAATTTAGAGATAGGATCCCACTATGTTGCCCAATCTGGTCTTGAAACCTAAACAATCTCTTATCCCAAAGTGCTGGGATTGCAGAAAGCTTAAGGCACAGTTTTACGTGGTAATGGTGGGCCATTTTTAGTTTCTTTTTTGTAGACGATCATGTCATCTAGGCTGGAATGTAGCGGTTCTGTCGAGCTAGGTGTAGCCTCCACTTCCTGGACTCAAGCATTTTTCCTCAGCTTCAGTAGCTGGGTCTATGCATGAATACCCCTTCTGGGGTAGATAGATAGTAGTACATAGAGTAGATAATTTTTTTGTGTTCAGGCGGCACCTTAAGGTTGGTGTAAAAATTCTTGGCCTTCTAAAGAGCTGGAATTAGACATGAGCTGTTGCACCTGGCCAATGGGACAATTATGTCTACAGGACTGAATCAGTATCTGATCTCTGGAGTTGTAAGGTCACTTTTTCTGAAACTGCCTCAGTCTCCTTGCAGGTTCTGGTCTGTAGATCTCCAGTGTGTGGGCTGAGCACAGCATGGGGACCTGATTTCCCACCGGGCAGTGACATAGTTTAAAGATTCTTAGTTCGAATTCCTAATAATGGGAATATAGGTTTCTGTGTATTGAAATGGGAATATGCATTTTTTTTTTTTTTAGAGTCTTGCTCTGTCACTAGGCTGGAGTGCAGTGGCACAATCTCGGCTCACTGCAACCTCCGCCTCCTGGGTTCAAGTGGTTCCCCTGCCTCAGCCTCCTGAGTAGCTGGGACTACAGGCGCCCTCCACCACGCCCTGCTAATTTTTTGTATTTTAGTAGAGACGGGGTTTCACCATGTTGGCCAGGATGGTCTTGATCTCCTCACCTTGTGATCCACCCGCCTTGGCCTCCCAAAGTGCTGGGATTACAAGCGTGAGCCTCTGCACCCAGCCAAGGGAATATGGATTCCTCTTTTTTTTTTTTTTTTTTTTTTTTTTGAGACGGCGTCTCTATCACCCAGGCTGGAGTGCAATGGCGTGATCTCTGCTCACTGCAACCTCTGTCTCCCGGGTTCAAGTGATTCTCCTGCCTCAGCCTCCCGAGTAGCTGGGATTACCCGCATGTGCTATCACGCCTGGTTAATTCTATATTTTTATTAGAGACAGGGTTTCTCCATGTTGGTCAGGCTGGTCTTGAACTCCCGACCTCAGGTGATCTGCCCTCCTTGGCCTCCCAAAGTGCTGGGATTACAGGTGTGAGCCACCACACCCTTTTTTTTTTTTTTTTTTTAAGATGGAGTCTCGCTCTGTCGCCCAGGCTGGAGTGCAGTAGTGCGATCTCGGTTCACTGCAACCTCTGCCTCCCAGGTGCAAGCGATTCTCCCGCCTCAGCCTCCCCAGCAGCTGGGACTATAGGTGCATGCCACCACACCCAGCTAATTTTTTGTATTTTTAGTAGAGATGGGGTTTCACTGTGTTAGCCAGGATGGTATTGATCTCTTGACCTAGTGATCCGCCCGCTTCGGCCTCCAAAGTGCTGGGATTACAGGCATGAGCCACCGTGCCCAGCCTAATTTTTGTATTTTTAGTAGGTTTCACCATGTTGGCCAGGCTGGTCTCGAACTCCTAACCTCAGCTGATCTGCCTGCCTTGGCCTCCGAAAGTATTTGGATTACAGGCATGAGTCACCGCATCTGGCGGTATTTTTGTTGAAAGCACAGTGTATAATAGGTTATGGCCAGCCTACACGTGGCCTTGTAGGTGTCAGTTCTTGGCAGGGCCCAGTGAATTCCAGGCAGGGGGCCATCCTGACATGCCTGCCACGTTAAGATTTCAGACATTATCCCCTCCAGCAAGGGAGGATCAGGGCTGTTGGCATAACAAGCATTCTGAGGGTTAGCTTGCATACCAGTCTCTTCCCAAATGCTGAGTTGCCCCATGTATCCTGTGACATTTGAGAATAGGCTTTCCTCAACTTGGCACAATTTGCCTTTGGACCAAGTGCTTTGTCCTGTGCATTCCTTGCTGGATGTTGGCATGCATTCCTAGTGTCGTCCACTAGATGGCAGTGGCACCCACCCCAGAGCTCAAATATTACTATGTTCCGATGCAGCCAGGGCTTGGCAGGGCTGGGTGGCCTCTGAGGGCCCCTACTGGCCATTTTTCACCGTCTCCCTCTGTTGCCCAGGCTGGGGCGCAGTGATGCAATGACAGCTCACTGCAGCCTCGACCTCCTGGGCTCAAGCGATCTTCCCACCTCAGTCCCCAGAGTAGCTGGGACTACAGGCATGTGCTGCTACTCCTGGGTAATTAATTGTACTAATTAATAGTAGTTGGCTAATTAGTAACAGTGGAGTCTTGCTATGTTGCTTAGGCTGGTCTCTAACTCCTAGACTTAAGCAACCCATCTTGCCTCCACCTTTGAAAGTACGGGGGTTACAGGCGTGAGACACCGCACCTGGCCCCTGTTGGGATTTACCCCTCCTGTTAGGGGCCATCAAACCTCTCTTAGTTGGTCATCCCTTAAAGCTCCGTCAAACTTTTTTTTTTTTTTTTTTTGAGATGGAGTCCCACTCTGTCGCCCAGGCTGGAGTGCAGTGGCGCGATCTCGGCTCACTGCAACCTCCACCTCCCGGGTTCAAGCGATTCTCCTGCCTCAGCCTCCTGAGTAGCTGGGACTACAGGTGCCCGCCACCATGCCTGGCTAATTTTTTTTTATTTTTAGTAGAGACAGGGTTTCACCATCTTGGCCAGGCTAATCTCAAACTCCTGACCTCGTGATCCACCTGCCTCGGCCTCTCGAAGTGCTAGGATTACATACATGAGCCACCACGCCTGGCCAGCTCTGTCAAACATTAATTTGATCCCAAGCAGAGGGACTTTTGATCTCAATCTGCATGAGTCTGTCTCTAGGAAGGAGGCTGATCATTATGCTGGGGGGGTGATGAGCACCCTCCCATCTTCCTCTGTCCAGATCTCAGGGGAGAGCCAGCAGATAGGACCATTCAGCAGCCAATGTCCAAATAAGGTTTTGTTACTCGAAGCGCTGCCAACCTACTGTGGGTCATTTTATTCAGGTCCATCCCAAATAACCTGTGGACACAAGAGTTGATATTATTCCAGTGTACTACTGTGGCATTCAATTAATAAGCCTTAAGTATCTATTGTGCACTACCGTGGTAAGATAATTCCATGATCCTCCAGAAATTCCACCCAACGCTGCTGGAAAGTAGGCTTACTACATGCTACATGCAAGTCCCCAAGCTGTGTTAACTGCATAATTTTTTTTTTTTTGAGACACAGTCTCATTCTGTCACCCAGGCTGGAGTGCAGTGGTGCAATCTCAGCTCACTGCAACCTCCACCTCCCAGGTTCAAGCGATTCTCCTGCCTCAGCCTCCCCAGTAGCTGGGACTACAGGCGCCCACCACCACGCCCGGCTAATTTTTTGTATTTTTAGTAGAGACAAGGTTTCACCCGTGTTAGCCAGGATGGTCCTAGTCTCCTAACCTCGTGATCCGCCCACCTCGGCCTCCCAAAGTGCTGGGATTACAGGTGTGAGCCACCACACCTGGCCAATTCATAATTTATCATAGCCTTATGAAGATGCAACTATGTTCTCCATTTTTTTTTTCTTTCCCCAAGATGGAGTCTTGCTCTGTTGCCCAGGCTAGAGTGCAGTGGCATGATCTCAGCTCACTGCAACCTCCGCCTCCTGGCTTCAAGCGATTCTCCTGCCTTAGCCTCCCAAGTAGCTGGGATTACAGTCACGTGCCACCATGCCTGGCTAATTTTTGCATAGAGCCACCCGCTCCCAGCCGTAAGTTTTTGTATTTTTAGTAGAGATGTGGTTTTGCTATGTTGGCCAGGCTGGTCTTGAACTCCTGGCCTCAAGTGATTTGCCTGCCTTGGCCTTTTTTTTCTTGAGACAAGTTCCTGCTGGGTCACCCAGTGGCGTAATCATGGTTCACTGCAGCCTTGAACTCCTGAGCTCAAAGGATCCTCCCACCTCAGCCCCCTGAGTAGCTTTGATTAGAGGTGTGTGCCACCATACCTGGTGTGTGCGTGTGTGTGTGTGTGTGTGTGTGTGTGTGTAAAGAAAGCAATTTTCCTAACTCAGCCTGTCAAAGTACTGGGATTACAGGCGCCATCCCCTGCACCCAGCCTAAACTTTGATTGCATCACTGCACTCCAGCCTGGGCCACAGCAAGATCCTGTCCAAAAAAAAAGCAATTGGAGTTTGAACCCAGGCAGAGTAATTCTAGATTCTCACTCGAATCACAGTGACCTCCAATGCAATTGGTGAGCCACGATGGTCCCCTTCAACAGACAAGGAAATTTTTTTTTTTTGAGATGGAGTCTCACTCTGTCACCCAGGCTGGAGTGCAGTGGTGTGATCTTGGGTCACTGCAAGCTCCACCTCCCGGGTTCACGCCATTCTCCTGCCTCAGCCTCCTGAGTAGCTGGGACTACAGGCGCCCGCCACCACGCCCGGCTAATTTTTTGTGTTTTTATTAGAGACGGGGTTTCGCCATTTTAGCCAGGATGGTCTCGATCTCCTGACCTCGTGATCCACCCGCCTCGGCCTCCCAAAGTGCTGGGATTATAGGTGTGAGCCACCGCGCCCGGCCTCAGACAAGGAAATTATCCAAGGTCACACAGCCAGTAGATGACATAGCTAATATGTGGCCTCATCTGTATGCCCCCTAATTGCATACACCAGTGCATAACGTATTTGTCCATCCAGCTTATCTACCCTCATGCTCCCAGCCCAATGTCCAGCCTCCTCCAGAAAGAACTGGTCATCATCCCTCACCAGAGGACTCGGAGTTTGCAGCCAGGATGGCTCAGCCGCTTGCAAAGCAGTCGGACACCTGTGTCCCCTAGGGCGTTGTTGGTCAGGTAAAGGTCGGTCAAGGTCTGGTTGATCCCCAGGGTGAAGTAAAGATTCTCACAAGCCTTGGCTGTGAGGCCACAGCTATCCAGCCTGGTGAAGATAAGGAGTTGGTTAAGGTAACACCAGGGGCTACTTATGTTATTCGGAGGCAGTGTCTCACCCTGTCTCCCAGGCTGGAGTACAGTGGTGAGATTTCTGTTCACTGCAACCTCCGCCTCCCAGGTTCAAGCGATTCTCCTGCCTCAGCCTCCTGAGTAGCTGGGATTACAGGTGTGCACCACCACCAATTAGCATGGCTAATTTTTGTATCCTTTTATTTTTGTTTTGTTTGAGATGGAGTCTCCCTCTGTTGCCCATGCTGGAGTGCTGTGGCATGATCTCGGCTCACTGCAACCTCTGCCTCCCGGGTTCAAGTGATTCTCCTGCCTCAGCCTCCCCAGCAGCTGGGACTACAGGCGAGAGCCACCACACCCAACTAATTGTTGTATTAGTAGAGAGAGGGTTTCACCTTGTTGGCCAGAATGGTCTCAATCTCTTGACCTCGTGATCCGCCCGCCTCAGCCTCCCAAAGTGCTGGGATTACAGGCATGAGCCACTGTGCCCGGCCGTAATTTTTATATCTTTAGTGGAGAGGGGATTTCACCATGTTGGCCAGACTGGTCTCAAACTCCTGACCTCAAGTGATCCACCAACCTTGGCCTCCCAAAGTGCTGGGATTATAGGCGTGAGCCACTACGCCCAGCCTCTGAAACATTTTAAAAAATTATCTGGGTTAGGCCGGGCGTGGTGGCTCACGCCTGTAATTCCAGCACTTTGGGAGGCCGAGGCAGGCAGATCACCTGAGGTCGGGAGTTCAAGACCAGCCTGACCAACATGAGAAACCCCGTCTCTACTAAAAATACAAAATTAGCCGGGGTGGTGGCGCATGCCTGTAATCCCAGCTACTCGGGAGGCTGAGGCAGGAATTGCTTGAACCCGGGAGGTGGAGGTTGCAGTGAGCCAAGATCGTGCCACTGCACTCCAGGGTGACAGGGAGACCCTGTTTTAAAAAAAAAAAAAATCCCAAATAAACTAGATGATGCCTCATCCCATTCTAAGTCCTTCAGATTAGGGCTACAGCTGGCCTGGCAGAAAGGTGAGGGAGAAAGTCACAATTAACATTTGATTGGAATTTACAGAGCACCAGATTGAATTATTATTTTTTTTTCTCGAGATGGAGTCTTTCTCTGGCACCTAGGCTGGAGTGCAATGGTGTGATCTCCGCTCACTGCAACCTCCACCTCCTGGGTTCAAGTGATTCTCCTGCCTCAGCCTCCTGTGTAGCTGGGATTACAGACACCCACCACCACGCCAGGCTAATTTTTGTATTCTTAATAGAGATGGCCATGTTGGCCAGGCTGGTCTCAAACTCCTGACCTCATGATCTGTCCGCCTTGGACTCCCAAAGTGCTGGGATTACAGGCATGAGCCACTGTGCCCGGCCTGAATTATTATTTTTGAGACAGAGTCTTGCTCTATCACCCAGGCTGGAGGGCAGTGGCATGATCTCAGCTCACTGTAATCTCGCCTCCCAGGTTCAAGTCATTCTCCTGCCTCAACCTCCCGAGTAGCTGGGATTACAGGCATGCGCCACCACACTGGGTTAATTTTTGTATTTTTGTAGAATGGTGTTTCACCGTTTTGGCCAGGCTGGTCTCGAACTCCTGACCTCAGGTGATCCACCCGCCTCGGCCTCCCAAAGTGCTGGGATTGCAGGCATTAAGCTACCGTGCCCAGCCTCTTTTGTAATTTTTAAATTTTAATTTTTTTTTTTTTTGAGACAGAGTTTCACTCTTGTTGCCCAGGCTGGAGTGCAATGGCATGATCTCGGCTCACTGAAACCTCTACTTCCCAGGTACAAGCGATTCTCCTGTCTCAGCCTCCCAAGTAGCTCGGATTACAGGCATGTGCCACCAGGCCCGGCTATTTTTTTTGTATTTAGTAGAGACAGGGTTTCACCGTGTTAGGCTGGTCTTGAACTCCTGACCTCAGGTGATCCACCCACCTCGGCTTCCCAAAGTGCTGGGATTACAGGCATGCGCCATCGCGCCTGGCCTTAAGTTTTTAAAATTTTAAGTCGGGTAGCACCCCCAAATCAGAATAAGTTCAGAGAGACTTCCTGTCTTTTCTTTCCACCTCTCTTCTTGCTACCTGAATCTTTTGTAGTGAAGCAGGATAGTTCATAAATAGAAAAATGAAGGATGAGAAGGCGCTTCCACTGTCCAAACGTGACCACTGCCACCCCGTCACTCCCCGATGCTCACCACAGTTTCTGGAGTCTGCAGGCGGGATGTTGCAGCCCCTCAGCCAGCAACCACAGGCCCCAGTCTCCCAGGTCGTTGAAACTCAAGTCCAGCTCCCGGAGGTTGTGGTTGGCCTGGAGCACCACAGAAAGACCCTCACAGGCGGCAGAGCCCAGCCGGCAGATGCCCAACCTGCAAAGACAGGATGCTAGGGCGGAGTGGGAGGCATTCCTCCTGCAAAATCTGCTGGGAGGGCCCTGTGCCAAGCCCTGTGCTGGTTGCAGACAGAGGGACAGACTCAATCTCTACCCTTGAGAGACAAAAAGAAAAAGACGACAGAAGTAGGAAGATGAGAGGAAGGGAGGAATAAGAGAACAGAAGGAAGCAACTAAGAATCAGGCCAGGTGCCCTGGCTCATGCCTGTCATCCCAGCATCTTGGGAGGCTTGAGGCTGGAGGGTTTTTTGAGGTCAGGAGTTTGTGACCAGTCTGGACAACCAATAACTTGTCTGTACAAAAAAAAATTTTTTTTCTTTTTGCGATGGCGTTTCCCTCTTGTTGTCCAGGCTGGAGTGCAATGGTGCAATCTCGGCTCACTGCAACCTCCACCTCACAAGCTCAAGCGATTCTCCTGCCTCAGTCTCCCAAGTAGATGGGATTACAGGCATGTGGCAACATGCCCGGCTAATTTTTGTATTTTTAGTACAAGCGGGGTTTCACCATGTTGGTCAGGCTGGTTTCGAACTCCTGACCTTAGGTGATCCACCCGCCTCAGCCTCCTATCTACAAATTTTTTTTTTTTTTTTTTTTGAGACAGAGTCTTGCAATGTCGCCCAGGCTGGAGTGCAGTGGCGTGATCTTGGCTCACTGCAACCTCCGCCTCCTGGGTTCAAGTGATTCTTCTGCCTCAGCCTCCTGAGTAGCTGTGACTACAGGTGCACACCACCACGCCCAGCTAATTTTTGTATTTTTAGTAGAGACGGGGTTTCACCAGTTGGCCAGGATGGTCTCCATCTCTTGACCTCGTGATCCACCCGCCTCAGCCTCCCAAAGTGCTGGGTTTACAGGCATGAGCCACCGCGCCCAGCCGCGTGTGTGATTTTTTGTTTTTTGTTTTTTGCTGGTGCCTTGATAAAAAAAATACACAAAGTGTGTTTTTTGAGCACTTCTACCCACGTCTTATACTAGTCACTAGGAGATACAGTTGGCATAGCTCCTATGCTTGTGGAATGCCACCACACACACATATACACAAATTACAAATTTTTCTTTTTTTTTTTTGAGATGGAATCTCGCTCTGTCATCCAGGCTGGAGTGCAGTGGCAAAATCTCAGCTCACTGCAACCTCCGGCTCCCGGGTTCAAGCAATTCTTCTGCCTCAGCCTCCTGAGTACCTGGATATCAGGCGTCCGCCACCATGCCTGGCTAATTTTTATATTTTTAGTAGAGACGGGGTTTCACCATGTTGGCCAGGCTAGTCTTGAACTCCTGACCTCAGGTCATTCTCCCACCTTGGCCTCCCAAAGTGCTAAGATTACAGGTGTGAGCCACCGCATCCTGCCTTCAGATTTCAATAAATGATGCTGAGGGGGAAGTATGAGGTCACATAGGATCATAAATCTAGGAACCCAGATTTTAGCTAGGGATTAGAAAGGGTGTCCAGCTGGGTGTAGTGGGTCACACCTGTAATCCCAGCACTTTGGAAGGCCAAGGCCAGAGGATCTCCTAAGGCCAGGAGTTTGACACCAGCCTAGGCAACAAATCGAGACCTTGTCCCTACAAAAAATAAATAAAAATTGGCCAGGCGCAGTGGCTCACGCCTGTAATCCCAGCACTTTGGGAGGCCGAGGCAGGTGGATCATGAGGTCAGGAGAGAGAGACCATCCTGGCTAACACGGTGAAACCCCATCTCTACTAAAAAAATGTTTTTAAAAATTAGCCGGGCATGGTGGCGGGCACCTTTAGTCCCAGCTACTCGGGAGGCTGAGGCAGGAGAATGGTGTGAACCCGGGAGGTGGAGCTCGCAGTAAGCTGAGATCGCGCCACCGCACTCCAGCCTGGGCGACAGGGCAAGACTCGTCTCAAAAAAAAAGTAAAAATTAGCCATCTGTGGTGGCATGCGCTTGCAGTCCCAGCTACTCAGGAGGCTGAGTTGGGAGGATGGCTTCAGCCCAGGATGTCGGGCTATGATCACACCACTCCACTCCAGCACTGGTGACAGAGCAAGACCCTGTCTCAAAATACAAAGTAAAGAGTGTTCAGAAGAAAAATTGAACTTCTCCAGGCAAAGAGGGGACAGAGAGCAGAAGGCATGCCAGGGAATAAGAATTGCTTGTGCAAAGGGCCGTGCGTCAGAAAACCCCCCCCTTTTTTTTTTTTGAGACGGAGTTTCGCTCTTGTTGCCCAGACTGGAGTGCAATGGCTCCATCTCAGCTCACAGCAACTTCCACCTCCCGGGTTCAACGGATTCTCCTGCCTCAGCCTCGCGAGTAGCTGGCATTATAGGCATGCACCACCATGCCTGGCTACTTTTGTATTTTTAGTACAGATGGGGTGTTTCTACATGTTGGTCAGGCTGGTCTCGAATTCCCCACCTCAGGTGATCCTCCCACCTCGGCCTCCCAAAAGTGCTGGAATTAAGGTGTCAGCCACCATGCCCGGCCAGAAAAATCCTTTTAAAAAGGCTGATGTAGGCTGGGTGCAGTGGCTCAAGCCTGTAATCCCAGCACTTTGGGAGGCCAAGGCAGGCAGATCATGAGGTCAGTAGATCGAGACCATCCTGCTAACATGATGAAACCCTGTCTCTACTAAAAATACAAAAAATTAGCTGGGCTTGGTGGCGGGCGCCTGTAATCTCAGCTACTTGGGAGTCTCAAAAAAAAAAAAAAAAGGCTGATGTAGTAGCTAGAGTTTAGGAGCAGAGACAACCTGGCCTCCGTGGTCCCAGGTGAGAGGGCTGCGTTCATGGATTGGGACTCCTAGCGTGGTGAGCAAAACGGGACTCACCGCAGGGTCTGGAGCTTGCACGTGGGATGCCTGAGGCCCTCACACAGCAGCAGCACCCCGAGGTCCCCCAGCTCATTCAGGCTCAGGTCCAGCTCTCTCAGGCTCTGGTTCACACTGAGAGTTGAGGCCAGCTCGTCACAGGCAGCAGCAGTGAGGCGGCAGATCTTCAGCCTGCACAAAGTCCAATTCAACAAGCATTATGGAGGCTTTCCTTTCTTTTTCTTTTTTTTTTTTTTTTTTTTTGAGACAGAGTCCCACTCTGTTGCCCAGGCTGGAATGCAGTGGTGCAATCTCGGCTCAGCTGCATCCTCCACCTCCCATGTTCAAGCGATTCTCCTGCCTCAGCCTCCTGAATCGCTGGGACTACAAGCGTGTGGCATCACGCCTAGTTAGTTTTTGTATTTTTAGTAGAGACAGGGTTTCTCGCCATGTTGGCTAGGGTGGTCTCGAACTCCTGACCATGGGTGATATGCCTGCCTCAGCCTCCCAAAGGACTGGAATTACAGGCGTGAGCCACTGCGCCTAGGCCCCCAATCTTAACAGTAATGCATTTTCAGACAATCTAATTTAAAAATGGGCAAAAGGGCCCGGCCTGGTGGCTCACGCCTGTAATCCCAGCACTTTGGGAGGCCGAGGCTGGCAGATCACCTGAGGTCGGGAGTTTGAGACCAGCCTGACCAACATGGAGAAACCCCCTCTCTACTAATAATACAAAATTAGACTGGGCACAGTGGCTCATGCCTGTAATCTCAGCACTTTGGGAGGCTGAGATGGGTGGATCACCTGAGGTTGGGAGATGGAGACCATCCTGGCTAACATGGTGAAACCCCGTCTCTACTAAATACAAAAAATTAGCTGGGCGTGGTGGCGCATGCCTGTAATCCCAGCTACTTGGGAGGCTGAGGCAGGAGAATCACTTGAACCCAGGAGGCGGAGGTTGCCGTGAGCTGAGATCACGCCATTGCACTCCAGCCTGGGCAACAAGAGTGGAACTCCATCTCAAATAAATAAATAATAAATAAAAATAAATGAGCAAAAGGCTTGAATACACATTTCTTCAAGGAAGGTGTACAAATGGCCAAAAAGCACCTGAAAAGATGCTCAATCTCAATAATCATTGGGGAAATACAAATGAAAACCACGATAAGATAGCATCTCATACCCATTAGGATGCCTACTATTAAAAATAAATAGAATGCGGCCGGGCATGGTGGCTCACGCCTGTAATCCCAGCACTTTCGGGGGCTGAGGCGGGCGGGTCACGAGGTCAGGAGATCGAGACCATCCTGGCTAACACGGTGAAACCCCGTCTCTACTAAAAATACAAAAAATTAGCCAAGCGTGGTGGCAGGCGCCTGTAGTCCCAGCTACTAGGGAGGTCGAGGCAGGAGAATGGTGTGAACCCGGGAGGCGGAGCTTGCAGTGAGCAGAGATCACACCACTGCACTCCAGCCTGGGCGACAGAGCAAGACTCTGTCTCAAAAAAAAAAAAGAAAACTGGGGAAGATGGTACATTTTATGTTGCATGTATTTTACCACAATTAAATTTACTTTTTATTTTATTAGGGACAGGGTCTCACCCTGTCACCCAGTCTGGGGTACAGTGGCTTGATCACAGCTCACTGCAGCCTTGGCCTCCGAGGCTCCTGAATAGCTGGGACTCCAGACACATACCACCCACCCCAGCTAATTATGTTTATTTTTTGTAGAGATGAAGTCTCACTGGTTCCCAGGCTGCTCTTGAGCTCCTGCACTCAAGCCATTCTCCTGCCTTGGCCTTCCAGAGGGTTGTGATTACAGCTGTGAGCCACCGCGCCCTGCCCTTCTGAATATTTTTGATCCATGGTTGATGAAATTCACGAATGCAGAACCCGTGGACACAGAGGGCTGACTGTGGCTCAGTGGCATGAAGTAGTTTCACGCTACTGGGAAATCATCACTGCTATCCATCTCTGGAACTTTTTTTTTTTTTGAGACGGAGTTTCGTTTTTGTTGTCCAGGCTGGAGTGCAATGACACAGTGTTGGCTCACCACAACCTCCGCCTCCCAAGTTCAAGTGATTCTCCTGCCTCAGCCTCCCGAGTAGTTGGGATTATAGGCATGTGCCACCACGCCTGGCTAATTTTGTATTTTAGTAGAGACGGGGCTTCTCCATGTTGGTCAGGCTGGTCTCGAACTCCAGACCTCAGGTGATCTGCCCACCTCGGCCTCCCAAAGTGCTGGGATTACAGGCGTGAACTACCGCACCCGGCCCATCTCTGGAACTTTTTCATCTTCCGAAATGGAACCTCTGCTCCCGTTAAACGGTAACTCCCCATTTCTTCCTGTTCTAGGCCTTGGCAGCCACTATTCTACTTTGTTTTTTGAGATGGAGTCTCACTCTGTCACCGTGGCTGGAGTGCAGTGACGTGATCTCAGCTCACTGCAACTTCCGCCTCTCAGGTTCAAGTGATCCTCCTGCCTCAGCCCCCTGAGTAGCTGTGATTACAGGCGTGTGCCACCACATCCAGCTAATTTTTGTATCTTTAGTAGAGAGGGGGTTTCACCGTGTTGGCCAGGCTGGTCTCGAACTCCTGACCTCAGATGATCTGCCCTCTTTGGCCTCCCAAAGTGCCGGGATTACAGGCGTGAGCCACTGCGCCCGACCTGTGGATGCATTTTTATACCATCATTCAATATGAAGAGATTTGCCATTTTATTATAGTTGACCCCAGGAAGAACTCACCACAAAGTCCGTAGTCTGCAGACTGGGTGCCTCAGTCCCTGGCATAGTAACCTCAGGCCCAAATCCTCCAGTGCATTTCCTGTCAGGTCCAACTCAACCAGATGTGGGTTGGTGCCGAGCACAGAAGCCATCTCCTGACAAGCCCCGGACTCCAGCTGACACTTCCTCAACCTTGGGAGGAAGGAGAGGTTGAAGGGGACGCCATCTTGCTTTTCTATGTCGTGATCACTCATGCTCCAGCCTGTTATTTTATTATTTAGGAACAGGTTGTTGCTCTGTCACCCAGGGTGAAGTTCAGTGGAGTGATATCAACTCGCTGAAGCCTCGACCTCCAGGCTCCCGTGATCCTCCTGCCTCAGCCTCCTGAGTAACTGGGAATACATGTGTGCACCACCACACCTGCCTAATTTTTTTTGTTTGTTTGTTTTTTGTTTTTTTTGGGTTTTTTTGTTTTTTTTTTTTTTTGAGGTAGAACCTCATTCTGTCACCCAGGCTGGAGTACAGTGGCGTGATCTTGCCTCACCGCAACCTCCACCTCCTGGGTTCAAGTGATTTTCATACCTCAGTCTCGAGTAGCTGGGACTACAGGCTGGGCTACAGGTGTGTGCCACCACGCCCAGCTAAGTTTTGCATTTTTAGTAGAGACGGGGTGTTTCTCCGTGTTGGCCAGGCTGGTCTCGAACTCCTGACCTCAGGTGATCCGCCTGCCTTGGCCTCCCAAAGTGCTGGGATTATAGACGTGAACCACCGCTCCTGGCCCATACCTGGCTAATTAAAAAAAAAAAATTTTTGTAGGTCGAGTGCAGTGGCTCACACCTGTAATTCCAGCACTTTGGGAGGCCAAGGTGGGTGGATCATTTGAGGTCAGGAGTTCAAGACCAGCCTGGCCAACGTGAGGAAACCCCATCTCTACTAAAAATACAAAAAAGTTAGCTGGGTGTGGTGGTGGGTGCCTGTAATCCCAGCTACTTGGGAGCCTGAGGCAGGAGAATCACTTGAACGCAGGAAGTGGGGGTTGCAGTGAGCCGAGATTGTGCCACTGCACCCCAACTTGGGCAACATAGCAAGACCCCGTCTCGGGAGAAAAAAAGAAGAGGTGGGGGATGGCCCCAGGGACTCTTCATCATGTAGAATTGAGTGTGGAGTCAGAGGAGGGCAGAAGCAGGTCTTCCAAAGTGCCTAGAGTCCAGGGCCAGGGTCTTAGGTCATGGGGTTAAGGGCCAGCCCTGATTTAAAGGTGGAGATTTGGGGATTACCAGCATTTTGTGATATTTCATGCCCCAGGAGACAATGAGCTTAAGAAGTTGCTCCCGGGGATAGAGACTCACTGAATCATCTGCAGCCTGCACTGGGGATGCCGCAGGCCCTCGCAAAGCAGCATCATGCCTGGGAATCCAACGCCGTTGCCACTGAGATCCATCCTTGTCAAATTCTTATTGGCTATGAGAGCTGCAGAGAGGTCCTCGCAGGCTGAGCTGGAGATGCGGCACCTCTTCAGCCTGGGGTGGAAAAGAGGAGAAAGGAGCTGGTCATTTCTTTTGCTCCAGTTTTGTGGATTATTTTCTTTTGCTTTTTTTTTTTTTTCTGAGACAGAGTCGCTCTGTCACCCAGGCTGGAGAGCAGTGGCATGATTTTGGCTTACCACAACCTCTGCCTCCTGGGTTGAAGCAATCCTCCTGCCTTGGCCTCCTGAGTAGCTGGGCTTACAGACGTGTGCCACCATGCCTGGCTCATTTTGGTATTTTTAGTAGAGATGGGGTTTCACCATGTTGGCCAGGCTGGTCTTGAACTCCTGGGTCAAGTGATCCTCCCCATCTGGGCCTCCCAAAGTGCTGGAATTACAGGCGTGAGCCATCATACCTGGCCAATATATTTATTTCAAAATATCATGTTATATATGATAAATTTTACCTGTCAAGAAAAGCAACAAGAACAATATAAAATGTTTTGATGCTTTGTAGTCAAATACATTCACAAAGGTTGCCCTTAAAGAAATTCAAGGCCATGTGCGGTGGCTCAAGCCTGTAATCTCAGCACTTTGGGAGGCCGAGGTGGGTGGATCACCTGAGGTCAGGAGTTTATGACCAGCCTGGCCAACACAGTGAAACCCCATTTCTACTATAAACACAAAAATTAGCTGGGTGTGGTGATGCACCCCTGTAATCCCAGCTAATCAGGAGGCTGAGGCAGGAGAATTGCTTGAACTCAGGAGGCGGAGGTTGCAGTGAGTCGAGATCATGTCACTGCACTCCAGCCCAGGCTACAGAGCAATACTATCTCAAAAAATAACATATGAAAAAAATTTGGCTAGGCACAGTGGCTCACACCTGTAATCTCAACAGTTAGGGAGGCTGAGGAAGGAGGATCACTTGAGGCCAGAAGTTTGAGACCAGTATGGGCAGCATGGTGAAACCCCATCTCTCCAAAACATACAAAAATTAGCCTGGTGTGGCTGGGCACGGTGGCTCAGTCTGTAATCCCAGCACTTTGGGAGGCCGAGGTGGGTGGATCACGAGGTTAGAGATTGAGACCATCCTGGCTAATATGGTGAAACCCCGTCTCTACTAAAAATACAAAAAATTAGCTGGGCATGGTGGCACCTGCCTGTAGTCCCAGCTACTCAGGAGGCCGAGGCAGGAGAATCGCTTGAACCCAGGAGGCAGAGGTTGCAGTGAGCCGAGATCACGCTACTGCACTCCAGCCTGGTGACAAAGCAAGACTCCGTCTCAAAAAAAAAAAAAAAAAAAAAAAAAGAAATTAGCCGGGTGTGGTTGCACATGCTTGTTTTCCCAGCTACTCGTGATGCTGGAGCAAGAGGATCGCTTGAGTCCAGGAGTTTGGGGCTGCAGTGAGCCATGATTGTGCCACTGCACTCCAGCCTGGGTGACAGAGCATATCAGTGTCTCAAAAATTTAAAAAAAAAAAAAGTAAAAAAAAGAAAAAAATTTGGAGACCCACACAGCAGGATGACCATGTGAAGACAGAAGGCAGTGATCTGCAGGCCCAGGACAGAGGCCTCAGAAGAACTTAACCTGCCCACTCCTTGTCTTGGACTTCCAGCAGCCCCCCACCTGCCTTGAGAAAATAGATTTATGTGGTGAAGCCACCCAGTCTTTGGCACTTTTTTCCCCCCTGAGATGGAGTCTCACCGTATCACCCAGGCTGGAGTGCAGTGGCACAATCCCGGCTCACTGCAACCTCCGCCTCCCAGGTTCAAGCGATTCTCCTGCCTCAGCCTCCCAAGCAGCTGGGATTACAGGCGCCCGCCACCACACCCTCCTGATTTTTGTATTTTTTGTAGAGATGGCATTTTGCCATGTTGGCCAGGCTGGTCTCAAACTCCTGACCTCAAGTGATCTGCCCGCCTTCACCTGTCAACATACTGGGATTACAGACGTGAGCCACGGCACCTGGCTTTGTGACACTTTTTTATGGCAGCCGTAGCCAACGAATACACCATCCCGTGATAGAACCTTTGTGACTGATCCCCATGAGAGGCCACGGTGGGGACCACCTGAAACGCCCAGACCAGCCTGCACTCACCTCAGGTTCTGAAGTTTGCAGTTGGGGTGTCTGAGTCCTTGACAGAGCAGCTTCACCCCCCGGCTGCCCAGGGCATTTCGGTACAGAGACAGCTCTATCAGGTTTGGATTGGTGCACAGGGCCGCTGCCAGATGTTCACTGTAGGCGTCCAGCAGAACGGTCCTCTCTGGTCTGCTTGAAGGAAAGACAGGCCACTCTCTGGTGTTACTGGTGCTTGACAACTATGGCCTTTGCATGTCATTTCACCGTTTATGAAGCATGCTATCCTTTTTTGAGACGGAGTTTCGCTCTTGTTGCCCAGGCTGGAGTGCAATGGCGCAATCTCAGCTCACCACAACCTCCGCCTCCTGGGTTCAAGCGATTCTCCTGCCTCAGCCTCCAGAGTAGCTGGGATTACAGGCATGAGCCACCACGCCCAGTTAATTTTGTATTTTTAGTAGAGATGGGGTTTCACCGTGTTGGCCAGGCTGATCTCGTACTCCTGACCTCAGGTGATCTGCCCGCCTCAACCTCCTGAAGTGCTGGGATTACAGGCGTGAGCCACCACATCCGGCCAAAGCATGCTATCTTTTCATTTTTTTTTTTAGAGGGCCTTGCCCTGTTGTCTAGGCTGGAGTGCATGGTGAGATCATGGCTCACTGTAGGCTTGACCTCCCAGGCTTAAGCAATCCTCCCACCTCAGCCTACTGAGAAGCTGGGGCTACAGGTGTGCACCATCATGACCAGCTAATTTATTTTATATTTTTAGAGATGGGGATCTCATCATGTTGTCCAGGCTGCACCTGGCTCTATCTGACGCTCCTAATCATTGATAGTTGGTTTACTTGTTTCCCTCTTTATTATCTGTCTCCGTTCTCATTAGGATGCGTGCTCTCTTGGGACCATTGGCTTATTCACACAGTCTTCTGTCTACAGAAGATTGTTGGGTCCACCGATAAAAGGGATATAGAGGCTGGGTGTGGTGGCTCACACCTATAATCCCAGCACTTTGGGAGGCTGAGGCCGAGAGTTTGAGACCAGCCTGGCCAACATGGTGACACCCCATCTCTACTAAAAAAATACAAAAATTAGCTGGGTGTGGTGGCACACTCCTGTGGTCCCAGCTGCTCAGGAGGCTGAGACACGCAAGGTGGAGGTTGCAGTGAGCTGAGATTGTGCCCCTGCACTCCAGCCTTGGTGACAGAGCCACACTCTCTCAAGAAAAAGGGACTTAGTAATATTTGTTGATTGAATAAATTCTCCCAGACATCGACCTCAATTTAGTCCCAATGGGTGTTGTTTAGTCTTTGTGGCACTATTGACACTTTGGGGCCAGAGGGACTGTCCTGTGTACTGTAGGATGTTTGCAGCATTCCCGGCCTTTATCCACTAGATGTCAGTAGTATTATTTGCTTCCCAGTTGTGACCACCAAAAACGTGTCTCCAAACATCGCCAAATGTCAGAGCAAAATCACCCCCAGCTGAGAGGCACTGGTTAAGAGCATGAACCTCAAGGCCAAGGTGGGTGGATCACTTGAGGTCAGGAGTTCAAGACCAGCCTGGCTAACACAGCGAAACCCCATCTCCACTAAAAATACAAAAATTATCCTGGCATGGTGATGGGCACCTGTAATCCCAGCTACTCAGGAGGCTGAGGCAGGAGAATCGCTTGAACCCGGGAGGCAGAGGCTGCAGTGAGCCAAGATTGCGCCACTGCACACCAGCCTAGGAGACCAAGAGAGACTTAGTTTAAAAAAAAAAAAAAAAAAAAATCGTGGGCCGGGTGCAGTGGCTCATGCCTGTAATCCCAGCACTTTGGGAGGCCAAGGCGGGCAGATCACGAGGTCAAGAGATCGAGACCACCCTGGCCAACATGGTGAAACCCTGTCTCTACTAAAAATACAAAAATTAGGTGGGCGTGGTGGCGTGCACCTGTAGTCCCAGCTACTTGGGAGGCTGAAGCAGGAGAATCTCTTGAACCCGGGAGGCGGAGGTTGCAGTGAGCTGAGGTCACGCCAGTGTACTCCAGCCTAGGCAACAGAGCAAAAAAAAAAAAAAAAAAAAAAAACACACGAACCTAAGCAGCCCCAGGGGATACCCCAGGGATACTTACAGCTGCACCAACAGCGTGTGCGCTCCTGCGGAGCACCTCGCGCGGTCTTCCCCGTCCGCGCTGTAGGTGGCGCCATACAAGTGCAGCACCTGGGCGCTCCTGCAGCGCTTCAGACAGAACGAGGAGACCATGTGCTCCATCTTGGAGGCAATGTTGCTGACCACGATCACCTGGAAGTGGCTCAGGGCCTGCTGGATAAACTCCTCCTCCTGGATCTCGTACAAGCAGCTGAAGAACTCCAAGGAGCCCTGCTGCAGGGTGGAGCCGTCGCTCTGAGCTTTGCTTTGGATCCACTGCAACAGGTCCATCTTGATGTGCGGCGAGACCTTCCAGCAGAGACTCTTCTCCAGGTGGCTCCTGGTCTCCTCGTTCAGGAGTCCAAACAGGAAGCGGCTGGTGAGTGCCAGGAAGCTCCTTTCAGAAAACGCGTACTCGGTCAACAGCCTGGTCACGTCCTGGTCTGGGCCTGCCCCGCCCTCCCCCTCGTCCAGGATATAGTACATAGCTGCAAAGAATTCCTGGAAACTCAAGTGGATGAAGCTGTAGTACCTCTCACAGTTGATGTCCTTCTGGAAGATGTTCATGTTGAGGAAGGCAGAGACGTCTTCCCCGTCTAGGCCGTGCTTCCGGAGGTCCTGCTCCTCAAATAGGATTTTCTGATTCCAGAGCCCATCTGCCGCCAAGGAGCACAACCCTCTCTGGTTGGGTGGGGGCTGGAGGCGCGGGGCCCCCGGCTTGGGTTGCATCAGACTCAGCAGGTAGAGCATGTACACTGCAGTGGTGGTCCTGGACGTCTGTCTCAACAGCCCCCCACCCTCCAGCTGCTGCTGGAGGCAGGTACACACCACCCAGCACACCAGGGGGACGAAGCACATGGTGAAGAGAGGCTCGTTGTCCCTCACGTAATTGAAGACTTGGCCCGCCTGCTCTGCATTGTGGAAATACTTGTAGAAGTATTCCTTCCTTTCTGCCTCAGAGAAGCCCAGGATCTCCACATGCCTGGGGTGCTCCAGCAGACGGTGGAGCTTCTCCAAAGCCGTGGGCCGTGTGGTGATGAGCAAAGATAGCTCAGGGAGCAGCTTCTTCCGAATTAAGCTGTTAAGAAGCAGCTCCGTGGGCCGTTTCTCCTCCCAGCAGAGGCACCAGGGTCCCTGAGGATCGTGGAAAGAAGGCTTGAGCTCATCGAAGCCGTCGATGATGAAAAGGAGGCGCTCGGGAACTCGGATGAGCTCCTGGAGAGGCGCGCTGGGCTCAGGCCAGCAGCTGAAGATGAGGTCTTGCATGCTGCATTCCGTGGCACTCTGGTTCATCTCCCTGCAGTTGATGTAGAAGAGATAATCAAATCTGCCTTGGAAGAGCTTCCCGTCCGCCCAGTCCAGCATCACCTTGTGTGCCAGCATGGACTTGCCTATCCCTGCCGCGCCTTGCATGACCACGGTGCGCGGTGGCTCGGGGCGCTCCTCGTCTGGCTCAAAGAGGGTCTCTATCTTGATGGGGCTAGCCTGGTGTCCCACGGTCCTCGCGTGTCCCCGGCCTGTGTCCAGAAGCTGCTGCTGGACCTGCATGGGGTTTGAGTGCTCCTTCACCAGCAGGAGCCGGGTGTACCGGTGGCTGAGGTTGACACATTCCCCTAGGCGCGCATTGCGGTCTTCCATGAGCCGGAATTTCCTGCGGACATAGTCCCTGTAGGTTTCCTGGGGATCTAGGGGAGAGGAATGAAGGTTTTGTGGAAGACTCATCAGCAGCCTCTAATGAGTTCACGAGGTAAAGCGCTCCTCATGTGGCTCAAAGAAGGTGTGTGCCTGTAGTTCCAGCTACTCAGGAGGCTGAGATGGGAGAATCACTTGAACCCCTGAGGTGGAGGTTGCAGTGAGCTGAGATCGCACCACTGCACTCTAGCCTGGGCAACAGAGCCAGACTCCATCTCAAAAAAAAATTTTTTTTAATTAAAATAATTTATTTGTTTTGAGACTAGGTTATAAGACTGGCTAATTTTTTTTTTTTTTAGATGGAGTCTCGCTCTGTTGCCCAGCTTGGAGTGCAATGGTGTGCTCCCTGCAACATCCACCTCCTGGGTTCAAGTGATTCTCCAGTCTCAGCCTCCCGAGTAGCTGGGATTACAGGCACATGCCACCAGGCCTGGCTAATTTTTGTATTTTTAGTAGAGACGGGGTTTCACTATGTTGGCCAGGATGGTCTCGATCTCTTGACCTCATGATCTGCCCACCTCGGCCTTCCAAAGTGCTAGGATTAGAGGCATGAGCCACTGTGTCCAGCCCCACAAAGTGACTTTCAGCAAAGGATTTATAGAACGGGTACATTACCAGATAGTGCAGACATGAATCTGCCTTTTTTCAAAGGGGGCACAAGCCAGGTGCGGTGGCTCACGCCTGTAATCCCAGCACTTTGGGAGGTCCAGGTGGGAGGATCGCCTGAACTCAGGAGTTTGAGACCAGCCGGAGCAACATAGTGAGACCCTGTCTCTATAAAAACAAAAGAAAGAGAAAACAAAGGGGGCACAGAAAACTTGGGAGCAGTGCTTCTCAAACTTTTTTTTTTTTTCAGTACAGACAGGGTCTTGCTGTGTTATCCAGGCTGGTCTACAACTACTAGCCTCAAACAATCCTCCTGCCTGAGCCCCGCAAAATGCTGAGATTACAGGCATGAACCACCATGCCTGGCTGTGCTTCTCCAACTTTAAGACGCATACATATCATGCAGCAATCTTGTTAGAAATGCAGTCCCTGGGCTAAGTGCAGTGGCTCACACCTGTAAGAGATCGCCCCACTGCACTCCAGCCTGGGCGACAGCGTGAGACTCTGCCTCAAAAAAAAAAAAAAAAAATCTAGAACAATGTTCTTAATTGGGGTGACTGTGTCCCCTAGTTCCCCAGGGGACATTTGGCAACGGGACAAGTGGGTTGGTTGTTACAACTGGGAAAGTACTACTGCCACATAGTGGATAGAGGCCAGAGGTGCTGCTCAACATCCCAGGAACCACAGGACGACCCCATAGCAAAGAACGCTCTGGCCCCGAAATGCCAACAGTGCCAATGTGGAGAAACCCTGGTCTGGATACAAATGCATCCCTTGGTATTGGATGCCAGCAGAGGCCCATGATAGCTGCCTGAGAGAAGCTTAAAAAAAAGAATCTGAGTTTGATACTAAAATTTTCAAAACAAATATGTGTACTTTTAATTATAGTGACATACACATAAAATTTACCATTTTAACCACTTTAAAGCGTACAACTCTGTGACACTAAGTTCACGATGTTGTGCAATCATCAATATCTCTTTTTTTTTTTTTTTTTGAGACAGAGTGTTGCTCTGTCCCCCAGGCTGGAGTGCAGTGGCATGATCTAGGCTCACTGCAAACTCCGCCTCCCAGGCTCAAGTGATTCTCCTGCCTCAGTCTCCTGAGTAACTCGATTTACAGGTGCTCGCCACCACACCCAGCTGATTTTTGTATTTTTAGTAGAGACGGAGTTTCACCATGTTGGCCAGGCTGGTTTCGAACTCCTGACCTCAAGTGATCTGCCCGCCTCGGCCTCTCAAAGTGCTGGAATTACAGACGTGAGCCACTGTGCCTGGCCGCCAATGTCTATTTCCAGAATGCTTTCAGCATTCTAAACAGAAACTCCATATCCATTAAATATTAACTCATAATTTCTCCTCTCCCTGGCAACTGCTATTCTTTTTTTTTTTTCTTTTCTTTTTTTTTTTTTTTTTTTTTGAGACAGAGTCTTGCTCTGTCACCTGGGCTGGAGTGCGGCGGCACGATTCGGCTTACTGCAAGCTCCGCCTCCCAGGCTCACACCATTCTCCTGCCTCAGCCTCCCAAGTAGCTCAGACTACAGGTGCCTGCCACCACGCCTGGCTAATTTTTTTGTATTTTTAGTAGAGACAAGGTTTCACCGTGTTAGCCAGGATGGTCTCGATCTCCTGACCTCATGATCTGCCCGCCTGAGCCTCCTAAAGTGCTGGGATTACAGGCGTGAGCCACCATGCCGGGCGTGGCAACTGCTGTTCTACTTTCCGCCTCTGAATTTGACTACTCTAGGTGCCTTAGATAAGTGGAATCATACAATATTTGTACCCCTCTCCCGCCTTTTTTTTTGAGACAGGGTCTTTCTCACTCCCCCCAGGCTGGAGTGCAGTGGCGTGACCTTGGCTCACTGCAACTTCAACCTCCTGGGCTCAACTAATCCTCCCACCTCAGCCTCCTGAGTAGCTGGATCTACAGGCACAAGTTTCCATGCCCAGCTAATGTTCGATTTTTTGTTTTTTTTTGTAGAGATGGGGTCTTGCTTGTTGCCCAGGCTGGTCTCAGAGCCTGGCCTCCCAAAGTGCAGGGATTACAGGCGTGAGCCACCTTGCTCAGCTGGTGAACCCACTCTTATTCTACTTTAGTAGAGCTGGAGACTAGATTCATTTCATGCTCCCCTTGAAAAAAATAGCCAGAAACATTTGTGGCATTGTTAACAGTGTTGCTGTCTACCCAGCAGACTGTACCCCGGTTTCTTCCCTGCCAGCAAACCTGATTCTGTTTGGTTGGTGGATGCTGATTCATGACTCGAGTGAGTGGTGAATCCTGCCCCTTCACAAGCCTCAGAGGATGAATTATGGTTTTGCTAAATCAGTCATGAGTAACCTCGTTCCCCTCTGTCAGTGGTTGCTCTGAGAATGGGCAGATTCCCCAGTACTGACCAGTGGGTTACGTGGATGTGACTGGTAACAGGGAGGAAGAAGGCCTTTACCCTTCCTTTCTTTGCTTTTTTTTTAAGAGATGGAGTCTCACTCTGTTGCCCAGGCTGGAGTGCAGTGGTGCAATCTTGGCTCACTGCAACCTCTACCTCCCAGGTTCAAGTGATTCTTCTGCCTCAGCCTCTGAGTAGCTGGGACTACAGGTATGCTCCACCACACCCTGCTAATTTTGTATTTTTAGTAGAGACGGGGTTTTGCCATGTTGTCCGGGCTGGTCTTGAACTCCTGACCTCAGGTGATCTGCCCGCTTTGGCCTCCCAAAGTGCTGGGATTACAGGCGTGAGCCACTGTACCTGGCCTCTTAGCCTTCCTTGTTGCCCCTGCGTGTATGAGATGGTTTGGTAGCCATCTTTCAGCCAGGAGATGACACGTGTCAGGACAAAATGCTGACGTGGAAAGGTTGATGAGTTGAAACACAGGAGGAAACTGCCCCTTTGATGGTGTCATTAATCCACCCCACGAATTCCTCAATCACGCGTTTGTGGTTGGCCTACACTCCGTGGGGTCAGCTGCTCTGTGTAGATGAATACATGTAGGTACATGGCTTGAGGCTCACCTTTTCTTGGAGTGACAAGAGAGACTTCCAGAAGGCATGTTGACTGGTTCCCAAGTGAGGACGGGCCACCAGGTGGGGTATCTGGAAGAGAAATTGTGGAAGATGAGCTAGCACGCATCTGGCTAGTAGCACCGCGTCATATTAGCTGCGATTACGTCGAAATGCCTGCATAACTCCCTGGTCACCCGCACCCCAGAATGTTCAGTAGTGACTGCATAGGCCGTGTGTGGGAAATAGCTCATCCCTTGTTCCTTGTAGCGCACCCTCCTCCCTGGGTCCCCCTCATGGTCATTGGCACCTCCATCCATCCAATCAGTCTTTTTTTTTTTTTTTTTTTTTGAGACGGAGTCTTGCTCTGTTGCCCAGGCTGGAATGCAGTGGCATGATCTCGGCTCACCACAACCTCCACCTCCTGAATTCAAGCGATTCTCCTGCCTCAGCCTCACGAGTAGCTGGCATTACAGGTGTGCGCCACAATGCCTGGCTAATTTTTGTATTTTTAGTAGAGACGGGGTTTCACTATGTTGGCCAGGCTGGTCTTGAACTCCTGACCTTGTGATCCACCTGCCTTGGCCTCCCAAAGTGCTGGGTTTACAGATGTGAGCCACTGCACCTGGCACCAACCAATCTTTTTGACTGGGAAGTTCTGAGTCAGTCTGGACTCCTCCCTTGTCAGCTCTGGGCCACATCTCATCCATTATCTTTTCTTTTTTCTTTTCGAGACGGAGTCTGGCTCTGTTGCCCAGGCTGGAGTGCAGTGGCACAATCTTGGCTCACTGCAACCTCTGCCTCCCGGGTTCAAGTGATTCTCCTGCCTCAGCCTCCTGAGTAGCTGGGACTACAGGCATGTGTCACCACGCCCGGATAATTTATTTTGTATTTTTAGTAGAGACAGGGTTTCACCATGTGGGTCAGGCTGGTCTTGAACTCCTGACCTCGTGATCCACCCAACTCGGCCTCCCAAAGTGCTGGGATTACAGGCGTGAGCCACTGCGCCTGGCGACTCTGTCTCTTAAAAATATTTTAATTTTTTTTTTTTTTTTTGGTAGAGATTAGGTCTCAGTATGTTACCCAGGCTGGTCTGGAACTCCTAGCTTCAAGCAGTCTTTCGACCTTGGCCTCTTGAAGTGTTGGAAATAGTGGTATGGGCCATCGTGCCCAGCCCAAAAAAGGCCTTCGTTTGGATATATCATAAGATTCTACACATCGAGTCCTTCCTTGGCATCTTTGGTCCTCAGAAGGCCCCCCAAAGTCCTAAGTGTGAGTTCCTTTGCTCTCACTCCATGAGAAAGTCTTCCCACCTGGCTAGTTCTCCCATCAGCTGAGCCAGCGGCACCCCATCTGGTCCTCACTCTGATAAGTTTTCACCTCCCTGCTGGTTGCTAGTCCATGAAATGATTCATGAAAGCAAAGAACATCCTTTTGAAGGAGCCAGGAGGCACCCCACCCTCTTGTTACTACACAGCCCGCCCCCCCCAACAGTCTCTGTAGCTTCATGTGACCCTCTTGGCATATGGGGACACCTTCCCTGTGAGTCTGTGTGACTAATAAACTGTTGTCTTTCCTCTGTTCAGTGCTGGCTCTGGTAGATTCAGTCATCTGGCACCATTTTATTTATTTATTTTTATTTATTTGAGACAGTCTCGCTCTGTCGCCCAGGCTGGAGTGCAGTGGCGCGATCTCGGCTCACTACAATCTTCACCTCCCAGGTTTAAGTGATTCTCCTGCCTCAGTCTCCCGAGTAGCTGGGACTACAGGCACCCATGACCACGCAGGTGGTGGTAAAAATACAAAAAAATAATTTTTGTATTTTTAGTAGAGATGCGGTTTGACCATGTTGGCCAGGCTGGTCTTGAACTCCTGACCTCAGGTGATCTGCCTGCCTCGGCCTCCCAAAGTGCTGGGATTACAGGCGTGAGCTACTGCACCCGGCCACTCAAAAATTTTTAATTGGAGAAGGTTATCATTGAGAGGAAAGGGGAAAATAGGGAATTGTTTAATGGGTATCGAGTTTGTTTTGCAAGATGAAGAGTTCTGCAGATTGAATGCACATCAGTGTAAATGTACAACACTCAGCAGCACACTTAAAAATGGTTAAGAGGGCCAGGGCGCGGTGGCTCACGCCTGTAATCCCAGCACTTTGGGAGGCCAAGGCGGGTGGATCACAAGGTCAGGAGATCGAGACCATCCTGGGTAACACGGTGAAACCCCGTCTCTACTAAAAATACAAAAAAAAATTAGCTGGGCATGGTGGCAGGCACCTGTAGTCCCAGCAATTTGGGAGGCCGAGGCAGGTGGGATTACCTGATGTCAGGAGTTCAAGACTAGCCTTACCAACGTGGTGAAACCTTGTCTCTATTAAAAATACAAAAATGAGCCAGGCATGGTGGCGCGTGCCTGTAATCCCAGCTACTCGGGAGGCTGAGGCAGGAGAATCGCTTGAACCAGGGAGTCAGAGGTTGAAGTGTGCTGACATCGCATCATTGCACTCCAGCCTGGTGACGGAGCGAGACTCCATCTCAAGAAAGAAAAAGTGGTTAAGAGGAGGCTGGGCGCGGTGGCTCATGCCTGTAATCCCTGCACTTTGGGAGGCCAAGGTGGGTGGATTACCTGAGGTCAGGAGTTCAAGACCAGTCTGACCAACATGGAGAAACCCCATCTCTACTAAAAATACAAAAATTAGCTGGGCGTGGTGGCAGATGCCTGTAATCCCAGCTACTTGGGAGGCTGAGGCAGGATAATTGCTTGAACCCATGAGGCAGAGGTTGCAGTGAGCCGAGATCGCGCCACTGCACTCCAGCCTAGGCAACAAGAGTGAAATTCCATCTCAAAGAAAAAAAGAAAAAGAGGGCAAATTTCATGTTTTGTGTATTTTAGCACTATTTATTTATTTATTTATTTATGAGACAGAGTCTCACTGTGTCGTCCAGGCTGGTGTGATGTTGGCTCACTGCAACCTCTGCCTCCAGGGTTCAAGTGATTCTCCTGCCTCAGCCTCCGGAGTAGCTGGGATTACAGGCATGTACAACCACGACCAGCTAATTTTTGTATTTTTAGTAGAGACAGGGTTTCACCATGTTGGCCAGGCTGTTGTCAAATTCCTAGTCTCAAGTGATTCACGTGCCTCAGCCTCCAACATGCTGGGATTACAGGCATGAGCCACTGCAGCTGGTTGGCAATTTTTTTTTTTTTTTGAGAGAGGGTCTTGCTCTGTTGCTCAGGCTGGAGTAGTGTGGCATGATCTTGGCTCACTGCAGCCTTCACCTCCTGGGCTTAAGTGATCCTCCCATCTCAGCCTCCCAGGTAGCTGGGTCTGCAGGCATGCACCACTGTGCCTGGTCAATTTTGTAGAGAAGGGGTTTTGCCATGTTGCCTAGACCAGTCTCAAACTTCTGGGCTCAAGTGATCTGCCTGCCTCAGCCTCCCAAAGTGCTGGGATTATAGGTGTGGCCACATTTTTTTTTTTTAAAGGTAATCCAGGCCAGCGCGGTGGCTCACGCCTGTAATCCCAACATTTTGGGAGGCTGAGGTGGGTGGATCATGAGGTCAGGAGATTGAGACCATCCTGGCTAATATGGTGAAACCCCATCTCTACTATAAATACGAAATTAGCCGGGCGTGGTGGCGGGTGCCTGTAGTCCCAGGTACTCGGGAGGCTGAGGCAGGAGAATCGCTTGAACCCGGGAGGCGGAGGTTGCAGTGAGCCGAGAACGCACCACTGCACTCCGGCCTGGGTGACAGAGTGAGACTCCGTCTCAAAAAAATAAATAAATAAAAATAAAAAAGGTAATTCTTGAAAATTGCAGCTGAAAAAGGCCTCAGAGATGTTCTCCCTCAGTGTTTCCTAGGCATGCCGCGAGAACCAGCCACATCAAAATGCAGATTCCTGTTGCCTAAGACCTGCTGATTCAGAATCACGGGTTGAGGGTCTTGGATTCCCCATTGGCCACAAGTGTCTCGAGAGACTCTTACGCACAGTAACATGAGAACTGCCGATCTTGCCTGATGCCCTTGTTTTACAGATGGAGATGGAGGCCCAGGGGCATATCGATTCTCCAGCATCACACAGACAGAAAGAGCAAAGCTAGACATCTGTCTCCTTGGGAACGCTGAGCTGCCTCTCAGTAGACTAAACGGATGCAGTCCGGGGAAGAACGCTCGGCAAATGGTTATGCATTGTCAATGCTGGGAGAGATTTAGGCGGAAGAGGGAGAAAAGTGGGACTTTACTTTTGATTCTATATTTGTACATTATTTCCATTTCTTAAAATAACTATGTAACACTTCCATTTAGATATAATTATACAATATGACAAGTAAGTAAATTGATACTTTTTTCTTTCTTTTCTTTTTTTGAGATGGAGTCTCGCTTTTGTCATCCAGGCTGGAGTGCAGTGGCGTGATCTCGGCTCACTGCAACCTCCGCCTCCCGGGTTCAAGTGATTCTCCTGCCTCAGCCTCCCAAGTAGCTGGGATTACAGGCGTGTGCCACTACGCCTGGCTAATATATATATATATATATATATATATATATATATATATATATATATATGTGTGTGTGTGTGTGTGTGTGTGTGTATATACATATGTGTATATATATGTATACATATGTGTATATATGTGTGTATGTATACGTATATATATGTATGTATACGTATATATATGCGTATATATGTATGTATACGTATATACGCATATATATGTATGTATACGTATATACGCGTATATATGTATGTATACGTATATATATACACATGTATACATATATGTATGTATACATATATATACACACACACACACGTATATATATATGTATGTATGTATATTAAGACGGAGTTTTGCTCTTCTTGTCCAGGCTGGAGTGCAGTGGCGGGATCTTGGCTCACCACAACCTCCGTCTCCTGGGTGGTGGAGAAAAGGGAAAGAGAAAAAGAGAGGAGAGGGAGAGAAAAGAAAAGAAAGGAAGGAGGGAAGGAAAGGGAAAAGAAGGGAAAAGAAGGAAGGAAGGAGGGAAGAAAGGCTACAAACAAGTGTCTTTGGTTTTTTCAGTCATTAAAGACTTTGTTTTTTACAGAGATGTTTCCCAGCACACTACTACTGGCACACCTCATTAACGACGAGTCATTAAGCTTTGCAGAAGTGACTGTGTATATCCAGTTATTGGCAGGGCTTGCTTACTCATTCAGCAAATGTTCACCAAAGTTTGCTCGGTTCCTAGCCCCAGCCAGACACTGGAATCGCAGAGAATCACACAGGGGAGTCAAGACTCTTTCTGCCTTTGAAGGCGTCCATGTCACAGTAGAGAAAACAGGTGAGAAATTACATTAAAAACCACAGCTCAAGCAGGGTGCAGTGGCTCACGCCTGTAATTCCAGCATTTTGGGAGGCCGAGGTGGATGGATCACCTGAGGTTAGGAGTTCGAGACCAGCCTGACCAACACGGTGAAACCCCGTCTCTACTAAAAATACAAAAATTAGCTGGGTGTGGTGGCACGCACCTGTAGTCCCAGCTACTCAGGAGGCTGAGGCAGGAGAATCACTGGAACCCGGGAGGCGGAGCTTGCACTGAGCCAAGATTGTGCCACTGCACTCCAGCCTGGGCGACAGAGTGAGACTCTGTCTCAGAAACAAAACAAAACAAAAAACCACAGCTCAAATGGGGCTCTGTGGTGCACACCTGTAGTTCCAGCTGTTCAAGAGGCTGAGGCAGGCGGATCACTTCAGCCCAGGAGTTTGAGTCTAGCCTGGGCAACATAGTGAGACCCTATCTCTAAAAAATAAATTATTTTTTTTTTTTTTGAGACGGAGTCTTGCACTGTCACCCAGGCTGGAGTGCAGTGGCACAATCTCAGCTCACCGCAAGCTCTGCCTCCCAGGTTCACGCCATTCTCCTGCCTCAGCCTCCTGAGTAGCTGGGACTACAGGCGCCCATCACTGCGCCCAGCTAATTTTTTGTAAAAAATAAAAATATTTTTAAAAAAACAATTCCACAGCTCAAGTGCCATCTCTGCCACTTCAGCAATAGCCTATATTTGCTGAGCACTTGCTACCTGCTCTGAATTGTGTTAAGCACTTTGCATGTATTATCTCTTGAGCTTATGCCTGAGTATAAATCATATTTTTTCTTTTTTTTTTTTTTTTTTTTTTGAGACAGAGTCTTACTCTGTCACCCAGGCTGGAGTGCAGTGGCTTAATCTTCGCTCACTGCAACCTCCACCGCCTGGGTTCAAGTGATTCTCCTGTCTCAGCCTCTAGATTAGCAGGGATTACTGGCGCCCGCCACCACACCCGGCTAATTTTTTTGTATTTTTAGTAGAGACAGGGTTTCACCATGTTGGCCAGGCTGGTCTCGAACTCCTGACCTCAGGTGATCCATCCACCTCAATCTCCCAAAGTGCTGGGATTACAGGCGTGAGCCACCGCACCCAGCTCATTGTGATTATTTTATGAGATAGAAGATATAATAAAAGAAATCATGTTGGCTGGGCACGGTGGCTCACACCTGTAATCACAGCACTTTGGGAGGCCGAGACGGCTGGATCATGAGGTCAGGAGATCGAGACCATCCTGGCTAACATAGGGAAACCCCGTCTCTATTAAAAATACAAAAAATTAGCCAGGCATGGTGGCGGGCACCTGCAGTCCCAGCTACTCGGGAGGCTGAGGCAGGAGAATGGCGTGAACCCAGGAGGTAGAGCTTGCAGTGAGCTGAGATTGCGCCACTGCACTCCAGCCTGGGCGACAGAGCAAGACTCTGTTTCAACAACAACAACAAAAAGAAATCCAAGAGTGCTAAGGAGGCACAGAAGTGGGGTTTCTGAGCCAGCCAGAGTGGTGGGAGCGAGGAATCAGAAGGAGTGGGGGAAGAGGAGTAAATACTTTACTTTAGAGAAGGTAGTGGCTTCAAGGTTTCAGTAAGTAATACTTTTCCAGGCAAAGAAGATGGAGAATATTCCAGGCAGAACACAGCATGAACAAAGACCAAAGGGATGAAATTAGAATTCTGTACACAGTCATAAAAAAGAACAAAATCATGTTCTTTGCAGTAACATGGACGCAGCTGGAGGCCATTATCCAAAGCAAACTAATGCAGGAATAGAAAACCAAAGACTGCATGTTCTCACTTATAAGTGGAAGCTAAACATTGGGTTCTCATGGACAGAAAGATGGGAAGAAGAGACACTGGGGACTCGTGGCGGGGAGAAATCTCACCATTGGGTACTATTACTATGTTCAAGTACCTGCATGATAGGATCAATCTTACTCTGAATCTCAGCATCACTCAATATACCCATGTAACAAACCTGCACATGTACCCCTTGAATCTAAAAGTTGAAATTTTTATATAGATATAGATGTGTGTGTACGTAAATTAGAATTCCAGATCTCCCAGGCTCAGGGATTAGTATGAAAGAAAAGGGAATTGGTGGCCAGGCAGTGGTCATTCATGCCTGTAATCCCAGCACTTTGGGAGGCTAAGGTGGAAGCTCGCTTGAGCCCAGGAGTTCAAGACCAGCCCGGGCAACATAAGGACACCTCATCTTGGCCGGGCACAGTGGCTTATGCCCGTAATCCCAGCACTTTGGGAGGCTGAGGTGGGTGGATCACGAGGTCAGAAGTTCAAGACCAGCCTGGCCAAGATAGTGAAACCCCGTCTCTACAAAAAATACAAATACAAAAAATTAGCCAGGCATGGTGGCAGGTACCTGTAATCTCAGCTACTCGGGATGCTGAGGCAGAAAATTGCTTGAACCTGGGAGACGGAGGTTGCAGTGAGCGGAGATTGCGCCACTGCACTCCAGCCTGGGCAACAGAGCGAGACTCAGTCTTAAAAAAAAAAAAAAAAAAGGATACCTCATCTCTTTCTTAATTTATTTTTGAGATGGGGTTTCACTCTGTTACCCAGCCTGGAGTACAGTGGTGCAATCTCAACTCACTGCAATCTCCACCTCTCAGGTTCAAGCGATTCTCCTGCCTCAGCCTCCCATGTAGCTGGGACTATAAGCGTGTGCCACCACGCCTGGCTAATTTTTGTATTTTTAGTAGAGACAGGGTTTTGCTATGTTGGCCAGACTGATCTCGAATTCCTGACCTCAGGTGACCCACCCGCCTTGGCCTCCCAAAGTGCTGGGATTATAGGTGTGAGCCACTGCACCTGGCTACCTCATCTCTTAAAATATATATACACACACACATATACACACACATATATATACACATATATACACATATATATACGTGTGTGTATATATATATAAATTCCAGATCTCCCAGGCTCAGGGATTTTATATATATGTATTTTAAATATTTATTTTAATAATATATGTATTAAATATTTAATATATAATATTTATTATTTATATATATTTATATAATATACCATATTTATATAATATAGTATATTTATATAATAAATATATACTATATTTATATATAATATATACCATATTTAATATATATTTAATAATATAATTATATACATATTTTAAATATATATTTAAAATATATGTTTTAAATATATATATTTAAAATATATGTTTTAAATATATATTTTAAATATATATTTAAAATATATATTTTAAAATATATTTATTTAAAATATATATTTAAAACATATATTTTAAATATATATATTTTAAAAAAATATATTTTAAATATTTGAGGCAAGGTCTCGTTCTGTCACCTAGGCTGGGGTGCAGTGGCAGGATCATAGCTCACCGCAGCCTCGACCTTCTGGTCTCAAGTGATCCTCCCACCTCAGCCTCCTGAGAAGCTGGGATCACAGACGTATACCACCACACCTGGCTAATTTTTTTTATTTTTGGTAGAGACAGAGCCTCACTATGTTGTCCAGACTGGTCTTGAACTCCTCACCTCAAGTGATCTGCCCTCTTCAGCCTCCCAAAGTGCTGAGATTACAGGTATGAGTCACTGGACCCGGCTGGCATTCTAGCCTTGCCTGTCCCGCCACCTCCTTACCCCTCACCAGGTCCTCTCTCTGTCCTCTCTCCCACAGGTCCTTCCTGTTTATCCGCTCAAAGGTGCTGAGAGCCAACCTCCAGGCCTCCTCTGGCCCGAAGTGGGTGATGAGCAGCTGGGCCATTTCCAGGGGACCGGCCTTCTCCATGCTTCCCCAGGGGATCTTGCCTTCTCCCAGCTCTGTCGCGGTCCCCAGGTATAACTTGAACTTCTTCAGTTCCACAGCCTCGAGTTCTTCCAAGTAGGTGGACAGGCGACAGAGGCCGTCCCTGCCTGCGGTTCGTAGCATGGGGGTGCCGTGAGCCCCAAAGGAGAGGACCTGGAGGCTGAGATGCTCCTATGCACGGGACACAGGGCGACCCCAGCACACCTTCCATTGCATCATTCACAGGCAGCGGGCGGAGAGGCTGAGCCAGTGGTTGGAGGAGAGAGCAAGGGAGGAAAGACCTTTTGCTGAAATAATGCTTTCTCACTCTTCAGTTCCCTCCTGCCCTGCCCCACTCACCAATGGCTGTTCTGGGTGGAGAAGAGGAAGTTCGGGGGGAGATTAAGAAATCCGAGGAGCCACTTGGCTGATGAAAAAGATTTTCACTTCTGCTGTCTCTTCCTGGATCTCTTGACAAAACAGTCACTCTCTTTCCGCTTTCCTCTTGTTTTCCTCATTTCACTAGTGTGTGTGGTAGAGTGTATTATCAAAACTGCGACTGCGCCTCTTCCAGGGAGAATTTTTTTTTTTTTGAGACAGAGTCTTACTCTGTGGCCCTGGCTCTGCGATCTTGGCTCACCGCAACCTCTGCCTCCCAGGTTCAAGCGATTCTCCCACCTCAGCTTCCCTTGAGTAGCTGGGATTACAGGCGCCGGACACCACACCCAGCTAATTTTTGTGGTTTTAGAAGAGACAGGGTTTCACCATGTTGGTCAGGCTGGTCTCGAACTCCTGACCTCAGGTGATCCACCCGCCTCAGCCTTCCAAAGTGCTAGGATTACAGGTGTGAGCCACCGTCCCTGGCTTTTTTTTTTTTTTTTTTCTTTGAGTCAGAGTCTCACTCTGCCACCCAGGCTAGAGTTCACTGGCGTGATCTCAGCTCACTGCAACCTCCGCCTCCCAGGTTCCAGCGATTCTCCCACCTCAGCCTCTCAAGTAGCTGGGACCACAGACATGCGCCACCATGCCCAGCTAAGTTTTTGTAGTTTTGGTAGAGACAAGGTCTTCTTATGTTGCCCAGGCTGGCCTTGAACTCCTGAGCTCAAACGATCCGCCCACCTCAGCCTTCCAAAGTGCTGGGATTACAGGCATGAGCCACTGAGCCCAGCCTCAGGGAGAATTATTAAGGACCTCACGTAGGTCTGCTATTTTTTTTCTGTTCTCTCAGTCACAAGAGTGGCATGAGAGGGACTTTGCGGTAGGCAGGATGATGGTCCCCAAAGATATTCATGTCCTAATGGCCAGAACCTGTGACATTTCACCCTACATAGCAAAAGAGACTTAGCATATGTGACCAAATGAAGGCACTTCAGATGGGGACATTATCCTGGTTATCTGGGCAGGACCCATGGAATCACAAGAGTCTTTTTTTTGAGACAGAGTCTTGCTCTGTTGCCCAGGCTGGAGTGCAGTGGCACGAACTCGGATCACTGCAAGCTCCGCCTCCCAGGTTCACACCATTCTCCTGCCTCAGCCTTCCGTATAGCTGGGACTACAGGTGCCCGCCAACACGCCTGGCTAATTCTCTTTTTTTTGTATTTTTAGTAGAGATGGGGTTTCACCATGTTAGCCAGGATGGTCTTGATCTCCTGACTTCGTGATCCACCTGCCTCAGCCTCCCAAAGTGCTGGGATTACAGGCGTGAGCCACCGCACCCAGCCACAAGAGTCTTTATAAGAAGAAGACAGGAGGGTTAGTGTAAGAGGAAGATGTGACTGGGTGCAATGGCTCATGCCTGTAATCCTAGCACTTGGGGAGGCCAAGGCAGGTAGATCACCTGAGGCCAGGAGTTTCACACCAGACTGGTCAACACAGTGAGGCCCCATCTCTACAAAATATGTGTTAGCAGAATTTATGAATTCTGATGGAAGAGCAAGTTTATAATTCCCTCTGTCTCCTGCATCATGCCAACTTTGTTTCATGCTCCTAATCAATTAAGACCCCTCAGACACACACACACACACACACACACACACACACACACACACACACACACAAAAGCCTTCATAGCCAGGCGCAGTGGCTCACACCTGTAATCCCAGCACTTTGGGAGACTGAGGCGGGCAGATCACCTGAGGTCAGGAGTTTGAGACCAGCCTGGCCAACATGGTGAAACCCCGTCTCTACTAAAAATACAAAAATTAGCCGGGCTTGGTGGCACGCACCTGTAATCCCAGCTACTTGGGAGGCTGAGGCAGGAGAATCACTTGAACCCGGGAAGCAGAGGTTGCAGTGAGCCGAGACTGCGCCACTGCACTCCAGCCTGGGCAACAGAGCGAGACTCTGTCTCAAAAAAAGAAAAAAAAAATTAGCTGGGGTTTGGTGGCGGGTGCCTGTAGTCCCAGCTACTCAGGAGGCTGGGGCAGGAAAATCACTTGAACTCAGGAGGCGGAGGTTGCAATGAGCCAAGATCCCGCCATTGCACTCCAGCCTGGGTGACAGAGTAAGACTCCGTCTCAAAACAAAACAAAAAAAACCTTCACAGCTTTTTATGAGACATTCTCCCACATCCAGTCCCTTCCAGGACTAATATTCTGTTGCATGGCATGCAGCAGTTTTGAGCAGGGGAGGGATGGAGTCAGGTCTGGGTTAAGGAAGATTCCTCAAGGCCCTTGTGGAAGGCAGACCAAACAGAGGAGGCCTGGATTGGGAGAGCGAGAAGCTGAAGCCTTCATGTTTCAGGAGATGGAGATAATGCCTGAGTAAGGGCAGGCGGTGGGTGCATCCTGGGAGTGTGGGGATGGCAGTGATCATTAGAGGGGAGGAGAAAGGTTTGGCAAACCTGAACTACCTACAGACCCCATCTGAGCTTCCTCAAGTGGCTCACGACGCAGGCTCCTTCCACGCCACTGCTGCAGGTGGTGGTAAAACTAATTTCTAGGAATTCGGAAGCGAGGCTTGGGGGAAGCTGAATCCACATCTGTCTACTTCATGCTTCCACTTTCAAGATAGAACTTTCTCATGGGGAAAGAAGAGAATTGGCAACTTCTATAGCTGCTTCTGGGCTTAGTGCCATTTCTGGAAACACAAGAATGAATCTAAAGACAAGGAATGCCATTTTCCTTTTTTTTTCTTTTTTTTTTTTTGTTTTTAGTAGATGGGGTTTCACCATGTTGCCCAGGATGGCCTTCAACTCCTGAGCTCAAGCGATCCTCCCACCTCGGCCTCCCAAAGTGCTGGGATTACAGGCATGAGACACCGCACCCAGCCCAATTTTCCTTTTTTAAAAAATTTTTTTGCTGGGTGCAGTGGCTCACGCCTGTAATCCCAGCATTTTGGGAGGCTGAGGCGGGTGGATCATTTGAGGTCAGGAGTTCAAGACCAGCCTGGCCAACATGGTGAAACCCCATCTCTACTAAAAATACAAAAATAACCTGGGTATGGTGGTGGGCACCTGTAATCCCAGCTACTTGGGAGGCTGAGGCAGAAGAATCACTTGAACCCAGGAGTGGAGGTTGCAGTGAGCCGAGATCACATCACTGCATTCCAGGCTGGGTAACAGAGACACCATCTCAAATAAATAAATAAATAAATAAATAAATAATAGAAGTTGTCACCACCACCTGCTTGCCACTCCCTTGAATTCTTTCCTGTGTGAAGCCAAGAACTATCCCGGGGTAAGCCCTGTTTTGGGGCCTCACTTGCCTAGCATCACAAGGATAAACCCATTCAAAGCAGGTGCTAATTTGCCCTGTTGGTTTTCAACTAGAAGAGAAATTATTATCATCAGGGACATTTATAAAAATTATATATAGAAGGCTGGGTGTGGTGGCTCACGCCTGTAGTCCCAGCACTTTCGGAGGCCAAGGTGGGCAGATCACTTGAGGTCAGGAGTTTGAGACCAGCCCGGCCAACATGGCGAAACCCCGTCTCTACTAAAAATACAAAAATTAGCCGGATGTGCTATCGCGCACCTGTAATTCCAGCTACTCGGGGGGCTGAGGCACGAGAATCACTTGAACCTTGGAGGTGGAGGTTGCAGTGAGCCGAGATCACGCCACTGCACTCCAGCCTGGGTGACTGAGTGAGACTCTGTCTCAACAACAACAACAAATTAAAAATAAAAAAATAAATAAAAATACAAAAATTATCCAGGCATGGTGGCGTGTGCCTGTAATCCCAGCTACTCGGGAGGCTGTGGCAGGACAATCTCCTGAACCTGGGAGGCGGAGGTTGCAGTAAGCCGAGATCACACCACTGCACTCCAGCCTGGGCCACAGAGTGAGACTCCGTCTCAAAAAAAAAAATTATATATAGATGAAATATTTTATATACATTACAATAAGAATTATAAATATATAAATATGTATATGAAATTGGTCCCTCTCTAGACTTCCTGAATCAGGATCTTGGTGGGGCAGGGGCCATCAAACATATGTTTCTTTTTCCTTTTTTTCTTATATTAATTTTTTGAATAGAGATGAGGTCTCACTATGTTGCCCAAGCTGGTCTGGAACACCTGAGCTCAAGTGATCCTCCCACCTCAGCCTCCCAAAGTGCTGGGATTACAAGTGTGAACCACCACGCCTGGCTAAATACATGTTTTTATAATATAAAGCTCCCCTAGTGATTCTGCTGAGAAACATTTCTCTGTGTTAGTACTAGAAAGGCACAGAGAAATGCTTGTTTTTCTATCAGCAGAATTTCCCTTTTGCCATTCCGGAAGAGACCTGTTTCCTTTGAGGGAATACTTTGAGAAGTCACTTGAGTATGAAATCTGTTAACTGGAGAAATTTTGCAGTATGGTGTTTGCTTGTTTGCAGGTAAAACTAAATCATTCAGGATAAAAAGGCATTTTAGAAGCCACGTGGGGAAAGGCAGAAGGAAAGGAAATAGGAGGTGTCAGGTGCCTGGGAAGAACATTTGGAGGGTTTATGGAGATGAGTAATAGGAATTTAAATTGCTTTACTATATGGTGTACGATGAAAACTGTCTTCTACCCCAACCAAACCCATCATCAGTAAAACCTATGCTGCTCGCTAGCACGTTGTGAACATGGATTTGCTGCGTTTTTTTGTTTTGTTTTTTTGCTTTTTCTGAGACAGTTTCGCTCTTTCTGCCCAGGCTGGAGTGCAATGGCGCCATCTTGGCTCACTGCAATCTCCTCTTCTCGGGTTCAAGCGATTCTCGTGCCTCAGCCTCCAAGTAGCTGGGACCACAGGCGCGTGCCACTACACCCGGCTAATTTTTGTATTTTTAGTAGAGACAGGGTTTCACTGTGTTGGTCAGGCTGGTCTCAAACTCCTGACCTCAGGTGATCTACCTGCCTCGGCCTCCCAAAGTGCTGGGATTACAGGCGTGAGCCACCATGCCTGGCCTGATTTGCTTTTACAGGCAGTGTGACAAAATGGTGTCTCTAACTGGCATTGAATGACTGTCCCGTGGGAGGCCACATCTGAGGTTTCTGTGCCTCTTTGTTGTCACATAGAGAGGATACCGAGTGCTACCCACTGTTCCCATGACCATCACCAGCATCACTAGCTCACCACGAACTGGCTAGAAAATGGAAATCATCATTCTCCACCTATGAATGGGGAAACTGAGGCTGAGAGGGAAGCTCTGAGTGTGTGGCCTACACAGCAGTGCTGGAAAATGATGGAGACGACTCTGAAAGCCAGTTCTGGCTCCAAACTTCAAGCAGCTAAAATCCTCATCAGCTTGTACAATGAGGCCAACCCTCCAATTTGAAAGAGGGATAGACTGAGGTCCAAAGTAGCAAAGTCACCTGCAGACCATCATATAGCACTCAAAAGTTGCCCAGGGGCTGCTAGGATGCAGTCTTCTTCTTCCTTTTTTTTTTTTTTTCTAATGAGATGGAGTCTTGCTCTGTCACAAGGCTGGAGTGCAGTGATGTTATCTCAGCTCACTGCAACCTCCACCTCCTGGGTTCAAGCAATTCTCCTGTCTCCGCATCCCGGGTAGCTGCGATTACAGGCACCTGCCACCACTCCCAGCTAATTTTTGTATTTTTAGTAGAGACGGATGATCTCGATCTCCTGACCTCGTGATCCACCCGCCTCGGCCTTCCAAAGTGCTGGGGTTACAGGCGTGAGCCACCGCGCCCAGCCACAGTCACTTTCATCAGGGCCTGAGTGTAGGGGTTGTGAAACTTCCTCCCCTGTGAGCTATGTCCTCACTTTTACCACAGACCCTGGCAGGAAACATCCTGGCTGTGACTTTCCCTGTGGGTTTTAGGAACAGTTGCACAGGGTCCAGCCCCACCACAGGCTCCACTACCCTTGCCCTGATCAATCGGGAAGATTCAGCCACAGCTGATGGTACTAAAACTTTGGTTTTTTTTTTTTTTTGAGATGGAATCTCACTCTGTTGCCCAGACTGGAGTGCAGTGGTGCCTTCTCAGCTCACTGCAACCTCCGCTTCCCAGGTTTAAGTGATTCTCATGTCTCAGTCTCCGCAGTAGCTGGGATTACAGGCACCCACCACCATGCCCGGCTAAGTTTTGTATTTTTAGTAGAGATGGGGTTTCACCATGTTGGCCAGGCTGGTCTCGAACTCCTGACCTCAAGTGATCTGCCCGCCTTGGCCTCCCAAAGTCCTGAAATTACAGGCATGAGCCACCTCACTCAGCCGGATGATACTTAAAACTTAGTATCAGGGAGAAGTAGGTGGCACTTAAAGAAAATGTATTATGTTCCTTCCTTCTCAGACCAATAATCTCCCTCTGTATTAGCTAAGTTTCCTCAGAGAAACAGAATCAATGGAAGGGAGACATCCACACACAGAGAGTTAGAGAGAAAGGGATTTATTATGGGGACTGGCTCACAGGCATGCAGAGCCCTAGGAGTTGCACCATCTGCCAGCTGCCAGCTGTAGAAGCAGGAAAGCTGGTGTGGAATTCACTCCAGGACCAAAGGCCTGGGAACCAGGAGCTCCGATGTCCTAGGGCAAGAGAAGATGGACTTTCCAGTTTAAAAAAAGAGGGCAGGCTGGGCGTGGCAGCTCACGCCTGTAATCCCAGCACTTTGGGAGGCCGAGGTGGGCAGATTACCTGAGGTCAGGAGTTCGAGCTCCACCTGACCAACATGGAGAAACCCCATCTCTACTAAAAATACAAAATTAGCTGGGTGTGGTGGCACATGCCTGTAATCCCAGTTACTCGGGAGGCTGAGGCAGGAGGATCGCTTGGACTCAGGAGGCGGAGGTTGCGGTGAGCCAAGATAGCACCATAGTACTCCAGCCTGGGCAAAAAAAAGGGCAGGCCGGGCGCAGTGTCTCAAACCTGTAATCCTAGCATTTTGGGAGGATGAGCCAGGAGGATTGCTCGAGCCCAGGAGTTTGAGACCAGCCTGGGCTGTCAGGCCTCTGAGCCCAAGCCAAGCCATCGCATCCCCTGTGACCTGCACGTATACGCCCAGATGGCCTGAAGTAACTAAAGAATCACAAAAGAAGTGAATATGCCCTGCCCCACCTTAACTGATGACATTCCACCACAAAAGAAGTGTAAATGGCCGGTCCTTGCCTTAACTGATGACATTACCTTGTGAAAGTCCTTTTCCTGGCTCATCCTGGCTCAAAAAGCTCCCCCACTGAGCACCTTGCGACCCCCACTCCTACCCACCAGAGAACAAACCCCCTTTGACTGTAATTTTCCTTTACCTACCCAAATCCTATAAAACGGCCCCACCCTTATCTCCCTTCGCTGACTCTCTTTTCGGACTCAGCCCACCTGCACCCACGTGAAATAAACAGCTTTATTGCTCACACAAAGCCTGTTTGGTGGTCTCTTCACACGGACGCGCGTGAAATTTGGTGCCGTGACTCGGATCGGGGGACCTCCCTTGGGAGATCAATCCCCTGTCCTCCTGCTCTTTGCTCCGTGAGAAACATCCACTTACGACCTCAGGTCCTCAGACCGACCAGCCCAAGAAACATCTCACCAATTTCAAATCTGGTAAGCGGCCTCTTTTTACTCTCTTCTCCAACCTCCCTCACTATCCCTCAACCTCTTTCTCCTTTCAATCTTGGCGCCACACTTCAATCTCTCCCTTCTCTTAATTTCAATTCCTTTCATTTTCTGGTAGAGACAAAAGAGACACGTTTTATCCGTGAACCCAAAACTCCGGCGCCGGTCACGGACTGGGAAGGCAGCCTTCCCTTGGCGTTTAATCATTACAGGGACGCCTCTCTGATTATACACTCACATTTCAAGGGTGTCAGACCACGCAGGGACGCCTGCCTTGGTCCTTCACCCTCAGCGGCAAGTCCCGCTTTCCTAGGGGGCAAGAACCCCCCAATCGCTTATTTCCGCACCCCAACCTCTTATCTCTGCGCCCCAATCCCTTATTTCCACACCCTGACCTCTTATCTGTGTGCCCCAATCCCTTATTTCCGTGCCCCAACCCCTTCTCTGCTTTCCTGGAGGGCAAGAACCCCCCACCCCTTCTCCGTGTCTCTACTCTTTTCTCTGGGCTTTCCTCCTTCACTATAGGTAAGTTTCCACCTTCCATTCCTCCTTCTCCCTTAGCCTGTGTTCTCAAAAACTTAAAACCTCTTCAACTCACACCTGACCTAAAACCTAAATGCCTTATTTTCTTCTGCAATGCCGCTTGACCCCAATACAAACTGGACAGCAGTTCCAAATAGCCGGAAAACGGCACTTTCAATTTTTCCATCCTGCAAGATCTAAATAATTCTTGTCGTAAAATGGGCAAATGGTCTGAGGTGCCTGACGTCCAGGCATTCTTTTACACATCAGTCCCTTCCTAGTCTCTGTGCCCAGTGCAACTCGTCCCAAATCTTCCTTCTTTCCCTCCCGCCTGTCCCCTCAGTACCAACCCCAAGCGTCGCTGAGTCTTTCTAATCTTCCTTTTCTACAGACCCGTCTGACCTCTCCCCTCCTCGCCAGGCCGAGCTAGGTCCCAATTCTTCCTCAGCCTCCGCTCCTCCACCCTATAATCCTTCTACCACCTCCCCTCCTCACACCCGGCCCGGCTTACAGTTTAGTTCCGCGACTAGCTCCTCCCCACCTGCCCAAGAATTTCCTCTTAGAGAGGTGGCTGGAGCTGAAGGCAGTCAGGGTACATGTACCTTTTTCTCTATCACGCCTCTCTCAGATCAGTCAACGTTTAGGCACTTTCTCATCAGACCCCACTAAACATATACAGGAATTCCAATATCTAACTCTGTCCTACAACAACCTGGAGTGACTTAAATGTCATCCTGACTTCTACCCTCTCCCCAGATGAACGGGAAAGAGTTTGTTCTCTAGCCCAATCTCATGCTGCTAACCACTGGCTTCATGAGCCAGACCTCCAGGAAGGCATTAGAGCAGTTCCCCGAGAGGATCCCCAGTGGAACTACCAGGCAAATTCCCCAGGTATAGCTAGGCGAGATTACATGGTTTCCTGCCTAGTTGAAGGGCTTAAAAAAGCAGCTTACAAAGCTGTTCATTATGACAAACTTAAAGAAACTACCCAAGGTAAAGATGAAAACCCAGCCCAGGTCATGGCTCGTTTGGCAGCAACCTTTAGACGCTATACCGCCCTAGACCCTAAAAGGTCAAAAGGCCGTCTTATTCTCAACATACATTTTATTACCCAATCTGCTCCCGACATGAAATAAAACTCCAAAAACTGGAATCTGGCCCTCGAACCCCACAACGGGACTTAATTAACCTCACCTTCAAGGTGTGTAATAACAGAAAAAAGTTGCAATTCCTTGCCTCCACTGTGAGACAAACCCCAGCCACATCTCCAGCACACAAGAACTTCCAAATGCCTGAACTGTAGCAGCCAGGCGTTCCTCCAGAACCTTCTTCCCCCAGGAACTTGCTACACATGCTGGAAATCTGGCCACTGGGCCAAGGAACGCCCGCAGCCCGGGATTCCTCCTAAGCCGCGTCCCATCTGTGTGGGACCCCACTGAAAATCGGACTGTTCAACTCACCTGGCAGCCACTCCCAGAGCCCCTGGAACTCTAGCCCAGGGCTCTCTGACTGACTCCTTCTCGGCTTACCGGCTGAAGACTGATGCTGCCTGATCGCCTCAGAAGCCCCGTAGACCATCACGGATGCCGAGCTTTAGGTAACTCACAGTGGAGGGTAAGTCTGTCCCCTTCTTAATCAGTACGGAGGCTACCCACTCCACATTACCTTCTTTTCAAGGGTCTGTTTCCCTTGCCTCCATAACTGTTGTGGGTATTGACAGCCAGGCTTCTAAGCCTCTTAAAACTCCCCCAATTCTGGTGCCAATTAGACAATACTCTTTCAAGCACTCGTTTTCAGTTATCCCCACCTGCCCAGTTCCCTTATTAGGCTGAGACACTTTAACTAAATTATCTGCTTCCCTGACTGTTCCTGGACTACAGCTATATCTCATTGCCGCCCTTCTTCCCAATCCAAAGCCTCCTTTGTGTCCTCCTCTTGTATCCCCCCACCTTAACCCACGAGTATAAGATACCTCTACTCCCTCCTTGGCGACCGATCATGCACCCCTTACCATCTCATTAAAACCTAATCACCCTTACCCCACTCAACGCCAATATCCCATTCCGCAGCACGCTTTAAAAAGATTAAAGCCTGTTATCACTCGCCTGCTACAGCATAGCCTTTTAAAGCCTATAAACTCTCCTTACAATTCCCCCATTTTACCTGTCCTAAAACCAGACAAGCCTTACAAGTTAGTTCAGGATCTGCACCTTATCAACCAAATTGTTTTGCCTATCCACCGCGTGGTGCCAAACCCATATACTCTCCTATCCTCAGTACCTGCCTCTACAACCCATTATTCTGTTCTGGATCTCACACATGCTTTCTTTACTATTCCTTTGCACCCTTCATCCCAGCCTCTCTTCGCTTTCACTTGGACTGACCCTGACACCCATTAGGCTCAGCAAATTACCTGGGCTGTACTGCCGCAAGGCTTCACAGACAGCCCCCATTACTTCAGTCAAGCCCAAATTTCATCCTCATCTGTTACCTATCTGGGCATAATTCTCATAAAAACGCACGTGCTCTCCCTGCCAATCGTGTCCTAGTGATCTCTCAAACCCCAGCACCTTCTACAAAACAACTCCTTTCCTTCCTAGGCATGGTTAGCGTGGTCAGAATTCTTACACAAGAGCCAGGACTGCACCCTGTAGCCTTTCTGTCCAAACAACTTGACCTTACTGTTTTAGCCTAGCCCTCATGTCTGCGTGCAGGGGCTGCCGCTGCATTAATACTTTTAGAGGCCCTCAAAATCACAAACTATGCTCAACTCACTCTCTACAGTTCTCATAACTTCCAAAATCTATTTTCTTCCTCATACCTGACGCATATACTTTCTGCTTCCCGGCTCCTTCAGCTGCACTCACTCTTTGTTGAGTCCCACAATTACCATTGTTCCTGGCCCGGACTTCAATCCAGCCTCCCACATTATTCCAGGTACCACACCTGACCCCCATGACTGTATCTCTCTGATCCACCTGACATTCACCTCATTTCCCCAAATTTCCTTCTTTCCTGTTCCTCACCCTGATCACGCTTGATTTATTGATGGTGGTTCCACCAGGCCTAATCGCCACACACCAGCAAAGGCAGGTTATGCTATAGTACAAGCCACTAGCCTGCCTCTTAGAACCTCTCATTTCCTTTCCATCGTGGAAATCTATCCTCAAGGAAATAACTTCTCAGTGTTCCATCTGCTATTCTACTACTCCTCAGGGATTATTCAGGCCCCCCTCCCTTCCCTACACATCAAGCTCGAGGATTTGCCCCACTCAGGACTGGCAAATTAGCTTTACTCAACATGCCCTGAGTCAGATAACTAAAATACCTCTTAGTCTAGATAAATACTTTCACTGGATAGGTAGAGGCCTTTCCTACAGGGTCTGAGAAACCACCGCAGTCATTTCTTCCCTCCTGTCAGACATAATTCCTCAGTTTAGCCTTCCCACCTCTATACAGTCTGATAACAGATGAGCCTTTATTAGTCAAATCAGCCAAGCAGTTTTTCAGGCTCTTAGTATTCAGTGAAACCTTTATATCCCTACGGTCCTCCGTCTTCAAGAATATTAGAATGGACTAAAGGTCTTTTAAAAACACACCTCACCAAGCTCAGTCACCAACTTAAAAAGGACTGGACAATACTTTTACCACTTTCCCTTCTCAGAATTCAGGCCTGTCCTGGGAATGCTACAGGGTACAGCCCATTTAAGCTCCTGTATAGACGCTCCTTTTTATTAGGCCCCAGTCTCATTCGACACCAGACCAACTTAGACTGTGCCCCAAAAAATACTTGTCATCCCTACTATCTTCTGTCTAATCATACTCCTATTCACCATTCTCAACTACTCATACATGCCCTGCTCTTGTTTACACGGCCGGTTTACACTGTTTTTCCAAGCCATCACAGCTGATATCTCTTGGTGCTATCCCCAAACTGCCACTCTTAACTCTTGAAGTAAATAAATAATCTTTGCTGGCAGGACTATGCTGAATCTCCTTAGGCACTCTCTAATCAGATATCCTGAGTCATCCCAATTCTTAGACCTTTTATACCTGTTTTTCTCCTTCTGTTATTCCATTTAGTTTTTCAATTCATACAAAACCGTATCCAGGCCATCATCAATCATTCTATACGACAAACGTTTCTTCTAACATCCCCACAATATCACCCCTCACCACAAGACCTCCCTTCAGCTTAATCTCTCCCACTCTAGGTTCCCACGCCGCCCCTAATCCCGCTTGAAGCAGCCCTGAGAAACATCGCCCGTTCTCTCTCCATACCACCCCCCAAAAATGTTCGCCGCCCCAACACTTCAACACTATTTTGTTTTATTTTTCTTATTAATATAAGAAGGCAGGAATGTCAGGCCTCTGAGCCCAAGCCAAACCATCGCATCCCCTGTGACCTGCACGTATACGCCCAGATGGCCTGAAGTAACTAAAGAATCACAAAAGAAGTGAATATGCCCTGCCCCACCTTAACTGATGACATTCCACCACAAAAGAAGTGTAAATGGCCGGTCCTTGCCTTAACTGATGACATTACCTTGTGAAAGTCCTTTTCCTGGCTCATCCTGGCTCAAGAAGCTCCCCCACTGAGCACCTTGCGACCCCCACTCCTACCCACCAGAGAACAAACCCCCTTTGACTGTAATTTTCCTTTACCTACCCAAATCCTATAAAACGGCCCCACCCTTATCTCCCTTTGCTGACTCTCTTTTCGGACTCAGCCCGCCTGCACCCATGTGAAATAAACAGCCATGTTGCTCATACAAAGCCTGTTTGGTGGTCTCTTCACACGGACGCGCATGAAATGGGCTACATGGAGAAACCCCATCTCTACAAAAAATACAAAATTAGTTGAGCATGGTGGCACAGTCCCAGCTACTCGTGAGGCTGAGGTGGGAGCATCACCTGAGCCCAGTAAGTCAAGGTTGCAGTGAGCTGTGATCGCACCACTGCACTTCAGCCTTGGCAACAGAGTGAGACCGTGTCTAAACAAACAAAAACAAAACAAAAAAACACCCAAAAACAGAAAGGGCAAATTTGCCCTTGTTCACTTGGCCAAGGTCACACAGCCATGAGGTACAGGGGCAAACAATGGACTTGGGCCACACTAATCGCAGCCGTCACCCCTACTCTGTCACATACAGGCATCTGTGTAAAAATAAAATAAAATTACAATTACAAAAATAAAGTAGGGCCAGGTGCGATGGCTCATGCCTGTAACCCCAGCACTTTGGGAGGCCGAGGCGGGTGGATCACAAGGTCAGGAGTTCAAGACCACCCTGGCCAATATGGTGAAGCCCCGTCTCTACTAAAAACACAAAAAAATTAGCCGGGTGTGGTGGCGGGCACCTGTAATCCCAGCTACTCAGGAGGCTGAGGCAGGAGAATCACTTGAACCCAGAAGGCAGAGGTTGCAGTGAGCCAAGATCGTGCCACTGCACTCCAGCCTGGGCGACACAGTGAGACTCTGTCTCAAATAAGTAAATAAATAAAATAAAATCAAAATAGACCTACCATTTGATGCAGCAATCCCACTCCTGGGTGTCTACCCAGCGGAAAAGAAGTCATTATACAGAAAAGATACTTGCACACACATGTTCATTGCCACAATTTGTAATTGCAAAAATATGGAACCAGCCCAAATGCCCATCAATCAACGAGTGGATAAAGAAAATGTGGTATATATATATATATATATGCCATGGAATACTATTCAGCCATAAAGAGGAACAAAATAATGGCATTCACAGCAACCTGGGTGGAATCCGAGGCTATTATTTTCAGTGAAGTAACTCAGGAATAGAAAACCAAACATCACATGTTGTTACTCATAAGTGGGAGCTAAGCTATGAGGTCGCAAAGGCATAAGAATGATACATTGAACTCTGGGGACTTGGGGAAAAGGTGGGAGTAGGGGTGATGGATAAAAGAGTACACATTTGGCATAGCGTGCCCTGCTCGGGTGATGGATGCACCAAAATCTCAGAAAACACCACTAAATAACTTATTAATGTAACCAAACACCACTTGCTCCCTAAGACTCTATTGAAATAAAAAATAAGGGCCAGGCATGGTGGCTCTGTGGGGAAAAGCAAGAGAGATCGGATTGTTACTGTATCTGTATAGAACGAAGTAGACATAGGAGACTCCATTTTGTTCTGTACTAAGACAAATTCTTCTGCCTTGAGATGCTGTTAATCTATGCCCTTACCCCCAACCCCATGCTCTCTGAAACATGTGCTGTGTCCACTCAGGGTTAAATGGATTAAGGGCGGTGCAGGATGTGCTTTGTTAAACAGACGCTTGAAGGCAGCATGCTCCTTAAGAGTCATCACCACTCCCTAATCTCAAGTACCCAGGGACACAAACACTGCGGAAGGCCGCAGGGACCTCTGCCTAGGAAAGCCAGGTATTGTCCAAGGTTTCTCCCCATGTGATAGTCTGAAATATGGCCTCATGGGAAGGGAAAGACCTGACCGTCTCCCAGCCCGACACCCGTAAAGGGTCTGTGCTGAGGAGGATTAGTAAAAGAGGAAGGCATGCCTCTTTGCTGTTGAGACAAGAGGAAGGCATCCGTCTCCTGCCCGTCCCTGGGCAATGGAATGTCTCGGTGTAAAACCTGATTGTATGTTCCATCTACTGAGATAGGGGAAAACCGCCTTAGGGCTGGAGGTGGGACATGCGGGCAGCAATACTGCTCCGTAAGGCATTGAGATGTTTATGTGTATGCATATCTAAAGCACAGCACTTAATTCTTTACCTTGTCTGTGATACAGAGACCTTTGTTAACGTGTTTATCTGCTGACCTTCTCTCCACTATTATCCTATGACCCTGCCACATCCCCCTCTCTGAGAAACACCCCAAAATGATCAATAAATACTAAGGGAACTCAGAGGCCGGGGGATCCTCCGTATGCTGAACGCTGGTCCCCTGGGCCCCCTTATTTCTTTCTCTATACTTTGTCTCTGTGTCTTTTTCTTTTCCAAGTCTCTTGTTCCACCTAACGAGAAACACCCACAGGTGTGGAGGGGCAACCCACCCCTTCATGCTCACGCCTGTAATCCCAGCACTTTGGGAGGCCGAGGTAGGCGGATTACCTGAGGTCAGGAGTTTGAGACCAGCCTGACCAGCATGGAGAAACCCCGTCTCTACTGAAAATACAAAATTAGCTGGGTGTGGTGGCGCATGCCTGTAATCCCAGCTACTAGGAAGGCTGAGGCAGGAGAATCACTTCAACCTGGGAGGCAGAGGGAGTGGTGAGCCGAGATCGCGCCATTGCACTCGAGCCTGGGCAACAAGAGTAAAACTCTGTTTAAAAAAAAAAAAAAATTAAGGCCGGGTGCGGTGGCTCACGCCTGTAATTCCAGCACTTTGGGAGGCCGAGACGGGCAGATTACCTGAGGTCAGGAGTTTGAGACCAGCCTGGCCAACATGGTGAAACCCTGTCTCTATTAAAAATACAAAAATTAGCCCGGCGTGGTGGTGGGTGCCTGTAATCCCAGCTACTCGGGAGGCTGAGGCAGGAGGATTACTTAAGCCCAGGAGACGGAGGTTGTAGTGAGCCGAGATCGTGCCACTGCACTCCAGCCTGACCGACAGAGTGAGACTCTGTCTGAAAAAAAAAAAAAATTATATAAATCAATACAAATAAAGTTAATGTATTTTATTTAACCCACTATATCCAAAACATTATTATTTCATGCAATCAATATGAAAAGGTTATTCACGAATTACTTTTCATTCTTTTGTTCTTGTTGTTTTTAAATTAATTCTTTTTTTATTTTTATTTTTTTTTGAGATGGAGTCTTGTTCTGTCGCCCAGGCTGGAGTGCAGTGGCGCGATGTTGGCTCACTGCAATCTCTGCCTCCCGGAATCTAGCGATTCTCCTGCCTCAGCCTTCTGAGTAGCTGGGATTACAGGTGTGCGTCACCATGCCTGGCTAATTTGTTGTGCATTTTTAGTAGAGATGGGGTTTTGCCATGCTGGTCAGGCTGGTCTCGAACTCCTGACCTCAGGTGATCCGCCCGCCTCAGCCTTCCAAAGTGCTGGGATTACAGGCGTAAACCACCGTGCCTGGCCTAAATTAATACTTTAAATTAATTAAAATGCTTTTAAAAAGTCCAGAACAGGCCGGGAGCGGTGGCTCAAGCCTCTAATCCCAGCACTTTGAGAGGCCGAGTTGGGCAGATCACCTGAGGTCAGGAGTTCGAGCCCAGCCTGGCCAACATGGTGAAACCCCGTCTCTACTAAAAATACAAAAATCAGCTGGGCTTGGTGGTGCATGCCTGCAATCCTAGCTACTCGGGAGGATGAGGCAGGAGAATCCCTTTAACCTGGGAGGCAGAGGTTGCAGGGAGCCGAGATTGTGCCATTGCACTCCAGCCTGGACGACAGAGCAAGACAACATCTCAAAAAAAAAAAAAAAAAAAACAAGAAAGAAAAACTAAAATGGTACCATGTTTTGCGTTTTTATTTTTTTTATTCTTAGTTGTTTTTTTTTTTTTTTTTGAGACATGATCTCACTCTGTCACCCAGGCTGGAGTACAGTGGTGCAATCATGACTCACTGAAACCTCAAAACTCCTGGGCTCCAGCCATCCTCCTGCCTCAGTCTCCTGAGTAGCTGGGGTTTCAGGCACGTACCAGCACATCTGGCTAATTTCTTTTTTTAATTTTTAGTAGAGATGAGGTTTCACTATGTTGCCCAGGCTGGTCTCAAACTCCCGGGCTCAAGCAATCCTCCCTCCTTGGCCTCCCAAAGTGCTGAGATTACAGGCGTGAGCAACTGTGCTTGGTCCAAATTGGTATTACGTTTTCAATTCAGGCTTCAGATAGAAGGTACCCTAGTTTTATTGCCAAGAAGAGATATAATTTCTATAAAACAACTCTCCTATCTAGCTAGTTTTAGGAACACTCCTACTGGTCAAAGTATATAAAACTAAGGGGACCAGAGTTAGCTGTAACGACCTTGGGCTCCACATATGCCTGTACTTAAGAAAATTAATGAACATTCTTGGAAGGTGGAATGCATCTTTTACACCTGAGCAAATTGAGGCTTGGGTTACACAGCTCTGCCTGGCGCATGTGATTTATTTTCTCTCTCTTTTTGTTTTTAAGACCTAGTCTTGCTCTGTTGCCCAGACTGGAGTGCAGTGGCATGATCTCAGCTCACTGCAACCTCTGCCTCCCGGGTTCAAGCAATTCTCCTGCTTCAGCCTCCCGAGTAGCTGGGATTACAGGCGCCCGCCACCATGCCTGGCTAATTTTTTTGTATTTTTAGTAGAGACGGGGTTTCACCATGTTGGCCAGGTTGGTCTTGAACTCCCAACCTCAGCTGATCCGCCCTCCTCGGCCTCCCAAAGTGCTGGGATTACAGGCGTGAGCCACCGCACCCGGCCTGGGCAAGTGATTTCTTTCTGCCTAATTGTCTAGTCATTAACCGGTAACTGAAAATCACAAACAATTTCAATCTTAGGACTGATTGCCCAGCAGTCAATTCATGCAAGATACTTTTTTTTTTAAATTGAGGCTTCCGTGGATGGTGAAAATCAAAATTGGAATGATTTTCATATGGAACAATGAAAAGCGCCCCTTTCTGAGTTTTCTAGACTGACCTCTGACCTCTGTTTCGGAGGGCCCGGCTAGGGCTGGCCTGGGACTGCAGAGGATTTTGTTTTATTTCCTGTGGACTAAATTATGATAGGATTTTAGGCACCAGTAGAGGGCGCTGAGACACAGGTGGGCGAGCAGAAGACAGGCTGTTCGAGGGGAAGTAAACCTAATCGCGTTCCCTTTAAACTTTGTAATGACTCACCACGGAGTCAACTGAGGAAGTAAAACTTAATAGGAATAGTCTCAGTGAACAATGCCATAAATTGACACGCAGCCAAGTGCCAAGTTCTGATAACAAATCAGTAAGAAATGCAAGTTAAAGGAATGCCATTGTTCCCTTAGGGGGAAAAAAACCTCTTCTTTGTTAAAGCCAGTGATGACCAGCAGAGGGTAAAGCCAGTTCAGAAGGTCAACCGGCAGTTTTAGAAATTAATATGGTCTCACGCATGAATATTCTTACAGTAATTCTACTTGGGTGATTCAACTCTGACAAAAATAGCAGAGATGTTTTCTATTATTTATTTAATTTACTTACCTTTTTGAGACAAAGTCTCGCTCTGTCGCCCAGGCTGGAGTGTAGTGGCGAAATCTGGGCTCACCGCAACGTCTGCCTCCCGGGTTCCAGCGATTCTCCTGCCTCAGCCTCCCGAGTAGCTGGGATTATAGGCACCTGCCACCGCGCCCAGCTGATTTTTGTATTTTTAGTAGAGACGCGGTTTCACCATGTTGGCCAGGCTGGTCTCGAACCGCTGACCTCAGGTGATCCACCTGCCTCTGCCTCCTAAAGTGCTGGGATTACAGGCAAAAGCCACCGTGTCCAGCCACAAACTGTCTTATCAATGGCAACTGTCTCCTGATCTGTTGGCCTCACAATAACTGAATAATAAAGCTTACGTTTTGCCAGGCGCAGTGGCTCACGCCTGTAATCCCAGCACTCTGGGAGGCCGAGGCAGGAGTATCACCTGACGTCAGGAGTTCGAGACCAGTCTGGCCAACATAGTGAAACCCCGGCTCTACTAAAAATACAAAAATTCGCCGGGTGTGGTGGCAGGCGCCTGTAATCCCAGCTATACAGGAGGCCAAGGCAGGAGAATCGCTTGAACCCGGGAGGTAGAGGTTGCAGTGAGCAAAGATTGCGCCACTGTACTCCAGCCTGGGTGACAGAGCTAGACCCTGTCTCAAAAAACAAACAAACATACAACCCCACCCCCCAAAAGACCCTACATCTTAAAACAAGAGGCAAAATTGCCCTCCGTTGAGAACCACTGTTCTAGACTTAATCTGTTAGAGTCATTTATTTATTTTATGCACAGAATAACTTTGCAAAGAGGAATGACTTTTTATTTGTTCCAGATTCTAAAATAATCTATGCAGTCTTCCGTGCAGGTTGAGATACTTAAAACTCTATCGGCAAAGGCCGGGTGTGGTGGCTCATACCTGTAATCCCAGCACTTTGGGAGGCTGAGATGGGCGGATCACGAGGTCAGGAGATCGAGACCATCCTGGCTAACACAGTGAAACCCGGTCTCCACTAAAAATACAAAAAATTAGCCTAGGAGGCAGAGCTTGCAGTGAGCTTGCAGATCATGCCACTGCACTCCAGCCTGGGTGACAGAGTGAGATTCCATCTCAAAACAAAACAAAACAAAACAAAAACTATCGGCAAAGTCACAGCCATGGCTAATTATCATACGTTTGTTCAGCAAATTCACCTTCTTTTTGCAAACATAATTTACACCGTTTAATCGGGAATTTTACACAAAAAAAAAGATTCTAGAAAACATAGCTGTCCATAACTGTCATGGTTTCCAGGTTGCAAGTTCATAATCATTTGAATTATTCAAATGAGTCTCTAAATGCTACAAAAATAATGTCTTCTACAATGACAAGTTATGGAATAAATATATAGTTGATCCTAATTTCAGGACACTTGGTATGTAAATATTTGCTCACGTTTTTCTTTGATACGTACACAAAGACTAATGAGTAAACCTGTGCTCACTTATGTCATAGCTGCTTGAAGGTTTTTGTTTTGTTTTGTTTTGTTTTTTTTGAGACCGAGTCTTGCTGTGTCACCCAGGCTGGAGTGCAGTGGCATGATCTCGGGTCACTGCAAGCTCCGCCTCCTGGGTTCACACCATTCTCTTGCCTCAGCCTCCCGAGTAGCTGGGACTACAGGTGCCCGCCACCACGCCTGGCTTTTGTGTGTGTGTGTGTGTGTGTGTGTGTGTGTGTGTGTGTGTGTGTGTTAAAAGAGACGGGGTTTCACCATGTTACTCAGGATGGTCTCGATCTCCTGACCTCGTGATCTGCCCACCTTGGCCTCCCAAAGTGCTGGGATTACAGGTGTGAGCCACCGTGCCCAGCCGAAGTTTTGTTTTTTGTGTTTTTTTTTAATTTAAGCAAACATATGGTTTTTGTTTTTTATTTATTTGTTTTTGAGACAGGGTCTTGCTCTGTTGTCCAGGCTGGAGGGCAGTGGCAAGATCACAGTTCACTGCAGCCTCAACCTTCCAGGTTCAAGCAATCCTCCCACTTCAACCCCCCAGCTGGCTGGAATTACAGGTGCACACCACTATGCCCAACTAATCTTTGTATCTTTTTGTAGAGACGGGGTCTTACTATGTTGCCCAGGCTGAAATATATGTATTTTAAGGAAAGGATGAAGTAAATAGTATTTTAGTATATAAATAAGAGTTGAGTATCCTTTATCCAAAATGCTTGGGGCCAGAAGCGTTTCGGATTTCTGATTTTTCAGATTTTGGAATAATTGCATATAACCACAACAACCAACATTTACTGAGCACCACGTACTGTGTGTCAGGCAATGATCTGAGCCCTTTACATGCATTAAGTTACGTAATCACTCAACAACCCACGAGGTGTGTATTGTCATCAGTTTCGGTCCACAAAGGGGAAGCAGAGCGGAGAGGAAACCTGCGCAGGAGTGCGCCCAATACCTTTTGCTGTGTAACAAGCCTTCCCCTCCTGTGAAAGGGCCCTATGTGCAAAGCAGCCCCCAAATACACATGGAGTTAAGAAACTGAAGAATGAGGCAAATCCAGGTTATCAATATAAAGTTTCATTTTCTTCTTCTTTATTTGAGATGGAGTCTTGCCCTGACGCCTGGGCTGGAGTGCAATGGTGCGATCTCGGCTCACTGCAACCTCCACCTCCCGGGTTCAAGAGATTCTTCTGCCTCAGACTCCTGAGTAGCTGGGATTACAGGCGCCCACCACCACGCCCAGCTAATTTTTGTATTTTTAGTAGAGATGGGGTTTCGCCATGTTGGCCAGGCTGGTCTCGAACTCCTGACCTCAGGTGATCCGCCCCGCCTCGGCCTCCCAAAGTGCTGGGATTATAGGCATGAGCCACGGTGCCCAGCCCCTCCCTCCTTTCCTTCCTTCCTTCCTTCCTACCTTCCTTCCCTCCCTCCCTCCCTTCTTTCTCTCTTTCTTCTTTTTGTGGAGAAGGAGTCCTGCTCTTTTGCCCAGGCTGGAGTGCAATGGCGCGATCTTGGCTCACTGCAACCTCCACCTGCCAGGTTTGGCGATTCTCCTGCCTCAGCCTCCCGAGTAGCTGGGACCACAGGCACCCACCATCACGGCACGGCCAACTAATTTTTGTATTTTTAGTAGAGATGGGGTTTCACCATATCGGTCAGGCTGGGTCTGGAAATCCTGACCTTGTGATCCGCCCGCCTCGGCCTCCCAAAGTGCTGGGATTGCAGGCGTGAGCCACTGCGCCCGCCTAGTTCCTGTTCTGAAGTTTTTAATAAACTTTCACTAATGCTCTAAAGCTTGCCTTGGTCTCTCCTGCCTTATTCCCCCAGTGGAATTCTTTCTTCTGAAGAGGCAAAAATGGAAGTTGCTGCAGACTCATACGCATTCTCCGCTGCTAACATACTTTGGTGCTCTGTGACTCAGATACTTTCCCTACTGACATTCAAGTACAATAAATAAAATAAAATAAAATAAAAGAATGGTAGGTCTCATCCGAAGGCTCTAGGAGAAAATCAGATTAAAAAAAGAAAGAGGCCGGGCGCGGTGGCTCACGCCTGTAATCCTGTAATCACTTTGGGAGGCCGAGGCGGGCAGATCACGAGGTCAGGAGATCGAGACCATCCTGGCTAACACAGTGAAACCCCGTCTCTACTAAAAATACAAAAAAATTAGCCGGGCGCGGTGGCGGGCACGTGTAGTCCCAGCTACCGGGAGGCTGAGGCAGGAGAATGGCGTGAACCCGGGAGGCGGAGCTTGCAGTGAACCGAGATTGCACCACTGCACTCCAGCCTGGGTGACAGAGCGAGACTCCGTCTCAAAAAATAATAATAATAAATAAATAAATAGAAAAAAGAAAAAATAGGCCGGGTGTGGTGGCTCACACCTATAACCCCAGCACTTTGGGAGGCCAAGGCAGTCAGATCACTTGAGGCCAGGCGTTCAAGACCAGCCTGGCAAACATGGTAAGACCCTCTGCTAAAAATTTAGCCAGACATGGTGGCATTCACCTGTAATCCCAGCTACTTGGGAGGCTGAGGCCCCAAATCGCAGGAGGTGGAGGTTGCAGTGAGCCGAGATCGTGCCACTGCACTTCAGCTTGGGCAACAGAGCCAGACCCTACCTAAAAAAAAAAAAAAGTTGATATTCTATGTATAATATACTATATTCTTACAATAAAGGAAGCTAGAGAAAAGAAAATGTTATCAAGAAAATCAGTGTGCGGCCGGGCACAGTGGCTCACGCCTGTAATCTCAGAACTTTGGGAGGCCGAGGTGGGTGGATCACGAGGTCAGGAGTTCGAGACCAGCCCTTATCAACATGGTAAAACCCCATTTCTAATAAAAATACAAAAATTAGCTGGGCCTGGTGGCACGCGCCTGTAATCCCAGCTACTCAGGAGGCTGAGGCAGGAGAATCGCTTGAACCTGGGAGGTGGAGTTTGCAGTGAGCTGAGATTGCGCCACTGCACTCCAGCCTGGGCCACAGAGTGACACTCCATCTCAAAAAAAAAAAAAAAAAAAAGAAAGAAAATCATAAGAAGGAGAAAGTAGTATATTCACTGTTCATTAAGTATAAGTGGATCATCATAAAGGTGTTCATCTTCATCATCTTCAGGTTGAGTAGGCTGAGGAGGAAGAGGAAGAGGAAGGCTGTCTCCGGGTGGCAGAGGAGGAAGAAAATCCCTGGATAAGTGGACCCACGCAGTTCGGACCCGTGTTGTTCAAGGATCAACTGTATACACGCTTATATTTCTCAAAAACACCCTATGAGTTCAGAGCTTGCCAGATGTAGAGGACCTCACAGTTGACAACCTGAGTGACAGCTGTCAACTCATGTGTCCTATGTCTCCCCGGTATTTATGGAGAGCCCAGCTGGGCTCCATAACCCAGTCCTTGGGGATCTGTTTCCCAAATGCCTCTCTCCAAACGTTGCCGGCTGCCAGATCTCATGTTTTACTCCTCTTCCCCTCGTTCACTCTCCTCCAGCACAGCGTTCATTTTACTCTTTTTAGAACAGGCAAAACACACTCCCACCTCCAGGCATCCGGATCTGCTATTCCCTCCACCAGAGATGCTCTCCTTGGAGGCATGCGGGCCCCACATCAAGCACTGTCTCTGGAGAGGCTTTCTCTCGTCACCTCTCCTAGAATTGCATTGGTTACTCCTGCTCTCATGCCCAGCTTTTTTTCTTTATCACACACGTCACTGTCTGACATAGTGTGACATGTCTGTGTGTTCCTGTGGGTAATTATTGGTCTTCCCTTAAAGTGCAGGAATGCCATGAGGACAGGGACTTTTTTTGTTTTTGTTTTAAGACAGGGTCTGTCTCTATCACCCAGGCTGGAGGGCAGTGATGTGATCACTGCTCACTGCAGCCTTAACTTCCCTGGGTTCAAGCAATTCTCCCATCTCAACCTCCCGAGTAGCTGGGACCACAGGCACATGCCATCATGCCCGGCTAATGTTTGTATCTTTTTTTTGTAGAGACAGGGTCTTGTCATGTTGGCCAGGCTGGTTTCGAACTCCTGGCTTCAGGTGAACCACTGCCTCGGCCTCCCAAAGTGCTGGGATTACAGGCATGAGTCACCATGTCTGGCTAAGGGGACTTTGTTCTTTTTTTTTTTTTTTCCGGAGACAGTCTCACTCTGTCACCCAGGCTGGAGCGTGCAGTGCTGTGATCTCGGCTCACTGCAACCCTCTGCCTCCCGGGTTCAAGCGATTCTCCCGCTTCAGCCTCCCGAGTAGCTGGGACTACAGGCGTGCACCACCACACTCAGCTCAGTTTTTGTATTGTTAGTAGAGACGGGGGTTTTGCCATGTTGCCCGGGCTGGTCTTGAACACCTGGGCTCAAGTGATCCTCCCACCTCGGCCTCCCAAAATGCTGGGATTACAGGTATGAGCCACCACGCCCGGCCTAGAGGACTTTATTTTCTTCATGGCTGTATCTGCAGTGCCCGTCTGTAACAGGGCACAATGCACTCTAGGATACTTGCCGAGTGAGGGAATTTCCCATTAGCTAGTGTAGCTTCATTTCTCCTGCTGCAGCCCATGCAAGACCACCAGCATCTTTCCCAAGGACCCTCGTCTTCTGTACCCTGTTCACTTGACATCCTCATCAAGTTGATATCTTTCCGCCACCCAGCAAGATTCTTTTATTTATTTATTTATTATTTATTATTTTTTTTTGAGGCGGAGTCTCGCTCTGTCGCCCAGGCTGGAGTGCAGTGGTGCGATCTCGGCTCACTGCAAGCTCCGCCTCCCGGGTTCACGCCATTCTCCTGCCTCAGCCTCCCGAGTAGCTGGGACTACAGGCGCCCACCACCACGCCCAGCTAATTTTTTTGTATCTTTAGTGGAGACGGGGTTTCACCATGTTAGCCAGGATGGTCTCGATCTCCTGACCTCATGATCCGCCCACCTCGGCCTCCCAAAGTGCTGGCCATCGCGCCCGGCCTAAGATTCTTTTAAAAACAGAAACCAGATTGTGTCATTTCCAATCCTAACAACCCCTAATTGCTTCCTTTTCCACTTTGAACAAAAGCCAGCTTCTTTACGGTGTCCTAAAACGCCTTCCATGATCTGGATCCTGTTAGCCTTGGCTGCTTTCCTTCCTACCTCCAGGTTCCTCAGCTCTCCCTGTCTGATCCACCCCATTAGCCGCTGCGCTGTTTTTCATACACCAGAAAGGATGCCTTTACTCAGGGCTCTTACGCTAACCCTTCCCTGTGTTGTAACATCCAGGCTTCCTTAGGATCTCCAGGTAGCCCCTCCTCCTCATTCTGTAGTTCTCAGCTGAGACATTACAACCGCAGCTTCCTCAAAAAATTAAAAATAGAAACGTCATGTGATCCAGCAATCCCACTGCTGGGTACGTTTCCAAAGGAAATGAAATCAGTATGTGGAAGAGACGCCTGCACTCCCGTGTTTATGGGAGTACTGTTCCCAGTCGCCAAGATGTGGAATCCACCTAGGTGTCCACCAATGGATGAACGCACCAAGAAAATGGGGTGTGTACGCACAATGGAATACTAGGCAGCCTTAAAAAAGAAGGAAATCCTGGCAGGGCGTGGTGGCTCATGCCTGTAATCCCAGCACTTTGGGAGGCCGAGATGGGCGGATCATGATGTCAGGAATTCGAGACCAGCCTGGCCAACATAGTGAAACCCTGTCTCTACTAAAAATACAAAAGTTAGCCAGGCATGGTGGCGCACGCCTGCAGTCCCAGCTACTCAGGAGGCTGAGGCAGGAGAATCGCTTGAACCCGGGAGGCGGAGGTTGTGGTGAGCTGAGATCACACCACTACCCTCCAGCCTGGGTGACAGAGCTAGGCTCCATCTTAAAAAAAAAAAAAAAAAAAGAAGAAGGATATCCTGTCATTTGGAACAGCATGGATGAACCTGAGGACATACGTTAAATAAAGTCAGCCAAGCACAGAAAGACATATACTGCATGATGGCACTCATATGTGGAATCTGAAAATGTGGCACTCATAGAAGTAAAGAGTAGAATGGGGGTTCCCAGGGGCTGGAGGGAGTCCGGGGGTGGAGGAGGAAGAGAGGGAATGGGAAGTTCTTTTTTGAGACGGAGTTTCGCTCTTGTTGCCCAGGCTGGAGTGCAATGGCATGATCTCAGATCACCGCAACCTCCGTCTCCCGGGTTCAAGCCATTCTCCTGCCTCAGCCTCCCAAGTAGCTGGGATTACAGGCACGCACCACCATGCCTGGCTAATTTTTGTATTTTTAGTAGTGATTCACCATGTTGGCCAGGCTGGTCTCGAACTCCCAACCTCAGGTGATCCTCCTGCCTTGGCCTCCCAAAGTGCTGGGATTACACATGTTAGCCACTGTGCCAATGGGAAGTTCTTAGTCAGAGAATACAATGTTTCAGGCTAGGCACAGTGGCTCACACCTGTAATCCCAGCACTTTGGGAGGCCGAGGTGGGTGGATCACGAGGTCAGGAGTTCAAGACCAGCCTGACCAACATGGTGAAACCCCATCTGTACTAAAAAAAATAAAAATAAAAAAATTAGCTGGGCGTGGTGCTGCGAGCCTGTAATCCCAGCTACTCGGGAGGCTGAGGCAGGAGAATCACTTGAACCTGGGAGACAGAGGTTGCAGTGAGCCGAGATCGTGCCATTGCACTCCAGCCTGGGCAATAGAGTGGGACTCTGTCTCAAAAAAAAAAAAAAAAAAAAAAAAAGAACCATATTCTTGAAAACCACTGACAATAGATTTTAAGTGCTCACACCATAAAGAAATAAGTATGTGAGGCAATGCACGTGTTCAACAGCTTGATTTAGCCACTCCACAATGTATACATATAGCAATACATTATGTTGTACACCATAAATACATACACTTTTCTTTTTCTTTTTTTTTTTTTTGAGACAGAGTCTTGCTCTGTCGACAGGCTGGAGTGCAGTGGCGCCATCTCGGCTCACTGCATCCTCCACCTCCCGGGTTCAAGCGGTTCTCCTGTCTCAGCCTGCCAAGTAGCTGGGATTACAGGTGTGTGCCACCACACCTGGCTAATTTTTTGTATTTTAGTAGAGACGGGTTTCACCGTGTTGGCAGGGTGGTCTTGATCTCTTGACCTCGTGATCTACCTGCCTCAGCCTCCCAAAGTGCTAGGATTACAGGCATGAGCCACCGAGCCCGGCCAACACATACACTTTTCATTTGTCTATTTAAAAAAATCACTACTGGCCAGGCGCGGTGGCTCTTGCCTGTAATCCCAGCACTGTGGGAGGCTGAGGCGGGCGGATCACTTGATGTCAGGAGTTTGAGATCAGCCTGGCCAACATGGTGAAACCCCGTCTCTACTAAAAATATAAAAATTAGGTGGGCATGGTGGGCGCCTGTAGTCCCAGCTACTCGGGAGGCTGAGGCAGGAGAATCGCTTGAACCCAGGAAGCGGAGGCTGGCAGTGAGCCAAGATCGCGCCACTGCACTCCATTCTGGGCAACAGAGCAAGAATCTGTCTCAAAAAAAAAAAAAGGAAAGAAAAAAGAAATCCTTGCCAATCCTGATATCCCAGAGATGTTTCCCAATGCCTTGCTCTTGAATATTTATAGTTTTATCTTTCACACTTAGACATGTGAACCATCTAGAAATGTATTTGGGGTACGGTGTAAGGTCGGGGTCCTGGACCGAATACAGCTCCACAAAAATGTCTGTTCTCGACTGCAAAAAAGCAATGTGACTTTGTGCACAGATCAAGTGCATCTGTTTCTGAAATCTGTAGTGTTCTGTGTCATCAGCCTGCATTTCCATGGTTGCGACAATACCACATTATTTGCCTCATTTCCTACCGCAGTTCCTCAATCACTCTGAATTCAGCGGCACTAGCCTCATTGCTCTCGGATGAGCACACCTATTGTGTACCACTCAGGGCGCCTGTGTCTGGACTGGCAGCCTTTCTTAGATGCTTTGGGTGGTGGTTCTGTCTTATCCTTCAGCCAGCAGCTCAGAGTCCTCCCCTCAAAAGGCCTTTCCCTGACCACTCCATCTAAAGTAGCTCACCCCAGCCTCCTATATCTTTTTTTTTTTAATAATGCAACAGAGAAGGTGATATAGGTGCATTGACAGGCCTTCTTTTATTAGCTTGAGCCATTATTATTATTATTATTATCTGAGATGGAGTCTTGCTCTGTCACCCAGGCTGGAGTGCAGTGGCACGATCTCGGCTCACTGCAACCTCTGCCTCCCAGGGTCAAGCAATTCTCCTGCCTCAGCCTCCTGAGTAGCTGGGATTACAGGCGTACACCACCATGCCCGACTAATTTTTGTAGTTTTAGTAGAGATGGGGCTTCACCATGTTGGTCAGACTGGTCTCGAACTCCTGACCTCGTGATCTGCCTGCCTCAGCCTCCCAAAGTGATGGGATTACAGGCGTGAGCCACCGTGCCCAGCCTTCTTCTTCTTCTTCTTCTTCTTCTTATCATCATCATTTTGAGATGGAGTCTCTACCTGTCACCCAGGCTGGATTGCAGTGGGGCGATCTTGGCTCACTGCAACCTCCGCCTCCCAGGTTCAAGCAATTCCCCTGCCTCAGCCTCCTGAGTAGCTGGGACTTGTATTTTTTAGTAGAGATGGGGTTTCCCCATGTTGCCCAGGCTGGTCTCAACTCCTGACCTCAGGTGATCCACCTGCCTCGGCCTCCCACAGTGCTGGGATGACAGGCATGAGCCACCACGCCCAGCCACCAGTCCCCTATATCTTATGTTCTGGTACATTTTGCTATACAAAAACAACTTATGTGTGTGTTTGCTGACTCATTGTCTCTCTCTTGCATGTGTGAACAGAGCAGCAGCAATAATGTTTGCATGTCTTGTTCACTGGCCATGTCCCCTGGGCATAGCATACGGTAGGGAATTCACTTTGGATGAAGAAAAATGATCCTCTTGCATCCATTCAGGATGAATGCATTCTACCCTCAGAGTCCTCTAGGGGGCACCCGCACATGAATGCGCCCCTGCAGGGCACAGTTCTTGAGTTGTTTTTGTTTAACTGGCCTGCACCTGTTATTTTGTTTGTGTGTGTGTTTGGGTTTCTTCTTCTTCTTCTTTTTTTTTTTTTTGAGACGGAGTTTTGCTCTTGTTGCCCAGGCTGGGGTGCAATGGCGCGATCTCAGCTCACAGCAACCTCCGCCTCCTGGGTTCAAGTGATTCTCCTGCCTCAGCCTCCTGAGTTGCTGGGATTACAGGCATGTGCCACCACACCCAGCTAATTCTGTATTTTTAGTAGAGATGGAGTTTCTCCATGTTGGTCAGGCTGGTCTCGAACTCCCGACCTCAGGTGATCCGCCCACCTCGGCCTCCCAAAGTGCTGGGATTACAGGCATGAGCCACTGCAACCAGTCTTTTTTTTTTTTTTTTTTTTTTTTTTTTTTTAAGATGGGGTCTTGCTCAGTTTGTCCAGGCTGGAGTGTAGCAGTGCAGTCACAGCTCACTGCAGCCTCGCACTCCTGGGCTCAAGTGAGCCTCCTGCCTCAGCCTCCTGAGTAGCTGGAACTATAGGCACAACCACCTTGCCTGGCTAATTAAAAAAAAAATTTTTTTTTTAAAGAGTCAGGGTCTTGCTATATTGGCCAAGCTGATCTCAAATTCCTGACCTCAAGTGATTCTCCCACCTCAGCCTCCCAAAGTGTTGGGATTCCAGGCATGAGCCACCATGCACCAGGTCTGGCCTACAGCTTTTAACTACACATTTAGAAAGAGAAACCACAAGTGGTAAAAGCCTGGGTTCTGCCCTAGATTACCCGAAATGAGCTATTTTTATAGAAGCCTCCTGTGTGCAGGGGCTCATGCTAGGCCCCAAGGGCAGGCAGAGGTTGTTTTTTGTTTTTTGTTTTTTAATTTGTTTCTTTTTGAGACAGGGTCTCACTCTGTCGCCCAGGCTGGATGCTGTGGTGCAATCTCAGACCTGCAACCTCTGTCTCCCAGGTTCAAGGAATTCTCCTGCCTTGGCCTCCGGAGTAGCTAGGACAACAGGCACGCACCACCACGCCCAGCTAATTTTTGTATTTTTAGTAGAGACGGGGTTTCACCATGTTGGCCAGGATGGTTTTGAACTCCTGACCTCAGATGATCTGCCCGCCTCAGCCTCCCAAAGTGTTGGGATTACAGGCGTGAGCCACCGCGCCTGGCCTAAGGCAGAGGTTGTTGACTGGTCTCAGTTGCTGCTTGGAAGGGCCCCAGTCTCCTGCAGGGAGGGAGGGAGGATCCCACTATGGCTCCCAGAACTTTGCTTCCCAGCAAGAGGCACTAAATCAATCCCATGCTTGAGGATGGTGGGCCCTGAGAGAAATGAATCTTGGCCTCCAAGTGTTCAGACTGTGTGGGGGACACCTGCTATTTACATTTGTGAAATGGGGCTGGTGACCTTGGCTCAGCGATGGGCTCCATCTCATCTCCTCCTGGAAGCTTGATGGAGGAAAAGCATCTACAGCCATTTGTTATCACTGGGCTCCTTGCCTGAAAGATTATAAATACTTCGTTAAAATACATACATCCATAGTGATGTGTTTTGACTTGGTAATAGATTTCAGGGTAGACGCAAGCCTCCTCAGCCACCCCTGTTTTCCAGTTGCCCAGAGTTCCTCCCTTTCTGTTTTTACTGATTTCTTCTGTATCTTTCTGGAAATATCCATTGCATATATATACACACACAGATATATATATATATGCATGTATAAATGTGTGTGTATATATATATGTGTGTGTGTGCCGATATAAGACATTGTTTTAAGTATTTTACGTGCATTGAGTCATGTAATATAAATATACTTTTATATTGCTAATACATTAATATGTTTAAAATAAGAAAATTATACAGGCCAGATGCAGTAGTTCACACCTATAATACCAGAGCTTTGAGAGGTCGAGGCAGGAGGATCACTTGAGGCCAGGAGTTCGAGACCAGCTTGAACAACATAGGGAGACCCCTGTGTCTACAAAATATAAAATAAAATATAAAAAATAAAACCCGGCTAGGCACAGTGGCTTACACCTGTAATCCCAGCACTTTGGGAGGCTGAGGTGGGCGGATCACAAGGTCAGGAGTCCAAGACCAGCCTGGCCAACATAGTGAAACCCTGTCTCTACTAAAAATACAAAAAAAAAAAAATTAGCCGGGCATGGTGGTAGGCACCTGTGATCCCAGCTACTCAGGAGGCTGAGGCAAAGAGAATCGCTTGAACCTGGGAGGTGGCGGTTGCAGTGAGCCGAGATCACGCCACTGCACTCCAGCCTGGGTGACAGTGTGAGACTCCATCTCAAAAAATGAAAAATAAAAATAAATAAATTAAGCCCGCCTGGCGTGGTGGCTCATGCCTATAATCCTAGCACTTTAGGAGGCCGAGGCAGGCAGATCACGAGTTCAGGAGTTCGAGACCAGCCTGGCCAACGTAGTGAAACCCTGTCTCTACTAAAAATACAAAAAATTAGCTGGGCGTGGCAGCATGCGCCTGTACTCCAAGCTTCTTGGGAGGCTGAGGCAGGAGAATTGCTTGAACCTGGGAGGTGGAGGTTGCTGTGAGAGCCGAGATTGTGCCACTGCACTCCAGTCTGGGTGACAGGGTGAGACTCTGTCTCTAATAAATAAATAAATAAGTAAAACAAACCCTAGCCAGGGAGACAGCTGTGGTCCCAGCTACTCAGGAGGCTGAGGTAGGAGGATCTCTCAGACTTAAGAGGTCAAGGCTGCAGTGAGTCGTGATCATACCACTGCACTCTAGCCTGGCAACAGGGTGAGACCCTGTAATAAAATACATAAACAGTGATGTGTTTTGACTTGGTAATATATTTCCGGGTAGACTGTAAGCTTCTCATCCATCCCAGTTTTCCCATTTTCCAGCGTTCCTCCCCTTCTGTTCTTATTGATGTCTTCTGTATCTTTTTGGAAATATCCATGGCATATATATATATATATATATATATATATACACACACACACACACACACACACACACACATATACACACATATACATGTGTGAATATACATGTGTGAATATATATGTACTGATACAAGGCATTATTCTAAGAATTTTACTTTTATTTTTATTTTTATTTTTTTGAGACAGAGTCTCACTCTGTTGCCCAGGCTGGACTGCAGTGGCTGAGGCTCACTGCAACTTCCCTCTCCCAGGTTCAGGCAATTCTTGTGCCTCAGCCTCCTGAGTAGTTGGGATTACAGGCACCAGCCACCACACCCAGCTAAATTTTGTATTTTTAGTAGAGAAGGGATTTCACTATGTTGGCCAGGCTGGTCTTGAACTCCTGGCCTCAGGTGATCCATCTGCCTCAGCCTCCCAAAGTGCTGGGATTACAGGCATGAGCCACCGCACCCAGCCTATTCTAAGAATTTTATATGCATTGAATCATGTAATATAGATATAATTTTTTTTTTTGAGACTGAGTTTCATTCTTTGTCCAGGCTGCAATGCAATGGCATGATCTCAGCTCACTGCAACCTCTGCCTCCCAGGTTCAAGCAATTCTCCTGCCTCAGCTTCCCAAGTAGCTGGGATTACAGGCGCCTCCACCACGCCCGGCTAATTTATTGTATTTTTGGTAGAGATGGGGTTTCACCATGTTGGCAAGGCTGGTCTCAAACTGCTGATCTCAGGTGATCCCCTGCCTTGGCCTCCCAAAGTGTTGAGATTACAGGCATGAGCCACCATGCCCAGCCTGATATAATTTTATAAAGCTAATACATTAATATGTCTATTTTTTATTTTTTATTTTTTTGAGATGGAGTTTTGCTCTTGTTGCCCAGGCTGGAGTGCAATGGTGCGATCTCGGCTCATCACAACCTCTGCCTCCCAGGTTCAAGCGATTCTCCTGCCTCAGCCTCCTGAGTAGCTAGAATTACAGGCATGCACCACCACCCCAGCTAATTTTGTATTTTTAGTAGAGATGGGGTTTCTCCATGTTGGTCAGGCCGGTCTCGAACTCCCGACCTCAGGTGATATGCTGGCCTTGGCCTCCCAAAGGGCTGGGATTACAGGCGTGAGCCACTGCGCCCAGCCAATATGTTTAAAATAGAAAAATTATACAGGTCGGGTGCCAAATTTTTTTGTAGAGACAGGGTCTCACTATGTTGCCCAGGCTGGTCTTGAACTATTGGCTTCAAGCAGTCCTCCTGCTTTGGCTTCCCAAAGTGCTGGGATTACAGGCATGAGCTGCCCTGTCCGGCAGGCTCCTTTTAACAATCAGCTCTCATGGGAACAAATAGAGCAAGAATTCACTCATTACCCTGAGAAGAGCGCCAAGCTCTTCATGCAGGATGGGCCTCCACGACGCAAACACCTCCCACAAGGCCACAGGCCTCCAACATTCAGAATAAATTTTCTTTTTTCTTGAGACAGAGTCTCACTCTCTTGCCCAGGCTGGAGTGCAGTGGCGCAATCTCGGCTCACTGCAACCTCCACCTCCCAGGCTCAAGCGATTCTCCTGCCTCAGCCTCCTGAGATCACAGGCGCTCGCCACCATGCCCGGCTAATTTTTGTATTTTTAGTAGAGAGGGGATTTCACCATGGTGGTCAGTCTGGTCTCAAACTCCTGACCGCAGGTGATCCACCCACCCTGGCCTCCCAAAGTGCTGAGATTACAGGTGTGAGCCACCGTGCCCAGCCCAGGATCAATTTTCAACATGAGATTTGGAGGGGACAAATAGGTAAACCATATAAATATCCTTATTTTTATGTTTTCTCACCTGTAAGATTGCATCCTCATGCATCATTGTTCACTTAGGACTTCCTCCTAGAAAGCTTTTCATTTAGGTAAACAGAGCTTCCTCATCCTTTTAAGAAGATACAGACATGTTTGCATTATTGAATCTGCCATCGTTCATCTCACCAGTCCCCTATAAGATGGAGTCTTGATCTATTTCCAGTCTTAGAAGTACATTCAGCAGGGGAGTTTTACAAATCAAATAGATTTCCTTCGTCGTTCCCCCAAAAATGCAGCCTACGTCTTCAAAACCGAAGACTTCAGTCTATTTTGCTTAAGGATGACAAAAGTCACCATCTGTTAATCCAATCTGCATCAGGAGAAAAACGAAAATCATCTCATGCGCATGAAACCTCCTCTTGGGCTATGTGAAGGGGAATTCCTGAGGGTCTCTTGCCATGCAGCAGGGAGAGCCTCTGGCTGTGGTGGCTCTTGTTTGGATCCAAGAAGCAGAGGAGGAATGTGTTGAAGGACTTTGAGTAAAAGCAAAAGAGCCGGGCGCGGTGGCTCACGCCTATAATCCCAGCACTTTGGGAGGCCGAGGCGGGCGGATCACGAGGTCAGGAGATCGAGACCATCCTGGCTAACATGGTGAAACCCCGTCTCTACTAAAAATACAAAAAATTAGCCAGGCGTGGTGGCAGGTGCCTGTAGTCCCAGCTATTTGGGAGGCTGAGGCAGGAGAATGGCCTGAACCCGGGAGGCAGAGCTTGCAGTGAGCAGAGATAGAGCCACTGCACTCCAGCCTGGGTGACAGCGAGACTCCCTCTCAAAAAAAAAAAAAAAAGCAGAAGAGCCACGACCTGGCTCATGCCTATAATCCCAGCACTCTTGCGAGGCTGAGACAGGTGGATCATCTCAGGTCAGGAGTTTGAGACCAGCCTGGCCAACATGGTAAAACCCCATCTCTACTAAAAATACAAAAAAAAAATTAGCCGGGCATGGTGGTGCATGCCTGTAATCCCAGCTACTCGGGAGGCTGAGGAAGGAGAATTTCTTGAACCCAGGAGGCAGAGGTTGCAGTAAACTGAGATCGTGCCACTACACTCCAGCCTGGGTGACAGAGCAAGACTCTGTCTAAAAAAAAAGCAAAGGATACATGGAAAGGCTACGGAATCCGGCTCAGGAATGTGGCAGGAGGCCAAGAATAGACAGCAGCAAGAATGTTCCTAATATCAGATGCAGCCACACCCCGGTGGGGAAGCCACCATTACCACCACCACCACTGGGCACTGCCCTCCTGACATTGACTAGTGACACCTTTGCCCTTGCCACTGTACTTTAATTTTCTTTCTTTCTTTTTTTGAGACAGAGTCTCACCCTGTTGCCCAGGCTTCAGTGCAGTGGTGCGATCATAGCTCACTGCAGAATTGAACCCACGGGCTAAAGAGATCCTCCTATCTCAGCCTCCCAAGTAGCTGGGACCACAGTTGTACATGACCACACCCAGCTAGTCAGTGTTTTTCTAAAAAAAAAATTCATAGAGCCAGCCGAGGTGGCTCATGCCTGTAATCCCAGCACTTTGGGAGGCCGAGGCAGGCGGATCACGAGGTCAGGAGTTTGAGACCAGCCTGGCCAAACCCTGTCTCTACTAAAAATACAAAAAAATTAGCTGGGCATGGTGGCCAGAGCCTGTAATCCCAGCTACTCAGGAGGCTGAGACAGGAGAATCGTTTGAACTCGGGAGGCATAGGTTGCAGTGAGCTGAGATCACACCACTATACTCCAGCCTGGGTGACAGAGCAAGACTCCATCTCAAAAAAAAAAAAAAAACCCAAAACCAAAAAACATAGATACTAAATTTTGTCAAATATTCTTTTAGCATATATAAGATGATCATACTGATTTTTTTTTTACTTTGTTAATATGATAAAGCTCATTAATGGTTTTTGAATATTAGCCATTCTGGGCTGGGCACAGTGGCTTACGGGTGGTTTTGGGAAACTGAGGCAGGAAAATTGCTTGAGCCCGGGAGTTCAAGACCAGCCTGGGCAACATGGCAAAACCCTGTCTTTACTAAAAACACCATGCTGGGCATAGTGGTACACACCTGTATTCCCAGCTACTCAGAAGGCTGTGGAGGGAGGATCGCTTGAGGCCGGGAGGTTGAGGCTGTAGTGAGCTGTGATCACGCCACTGTGATCACGCCTCTGCACTCCAGCCTAGGAGACCCAGAGAGACTCTGTCTCAAAAAAAAAAAGAAAAAGAAAAAGAAAAAGAAAAAAAAGCCATTTTGGCATTTCTGGAATAAACCCCAGTTGGTCACAATGTATTTTTTTTTACTCTACCGCTGGAGTCTGAATGCTAATACAGGCTGACACACTCCAAAACCCAGAGCTCTATTCTGAGCCTAAGGAGTCCACACGAAATGAAGGCTGTGCTACCGTGCCATAGCCACAAAGAGCACTTGAAACCTGGCTAGTGAGACTGAGAAACCGAATTTTAAATTTTATTATTATTATTATTATTTATTGAGACGGAGTTTCGCTCTGGTTGCCCAGGCTGGAGTGCAATGGCGCGATCTTGGCTCACTGCAACCTCTGCCTCCCGGGTTCAAGCGATTCTCCTGCCTTAGCCTCCTGAGTAGCTGGGATTACAGGCAGGCATCACCACGCCCAGGTAATTTTGTATTTTTAGTAGAGCCGCGGTTTCTCCATGTTGGTCAGGCTGGTCTCACACTCCCGACCTCAGGTGATCCGCCCGCCTCGGCCTCTCAATGTGCTGGGATTACAGGCGTAAGGCCCCCGCCCGGTCTATTATTATTATTATTATTATTATTATTATTATTATTGAGACAGAGTCTCGCTCTGTCGCCTAGGCTGGAGTGCAGTGGCGTGATCTCTGCTCACTGCAATCTCTGCCTCCTGGGTTCAAGTGATTCTCCCACCTCAGCCTCCTGAGTAGCTGGGACTACAGGCATGAGCCTCCACATCTGGTTAATTTTTGTATTTTTATTAGAGATGGGGTTTCATTATGTTGGCCAGGCTGGTCTCGAACTCCTGACCTCAAGAGATCTGCCCGCCTCAGCCTCCCAAAGTGCTGGGATTACAGGCATGAGCCACCGCGCCCAGCCAATAGAGTTTATTTTTAAAAGCATTTTTAGGTTCACATAAAAATTGAGCAGAAGGTACAGAGATTTCCCTGTCCCCACACATGCACAGCCTCCCCAACTACCACCATCCCCAGCTAGTGGTAGATTTGTTACAGTGGATGAACCTCCGCTGATTTGACATGTCATCTTCACCCAGGGTCCACGGTTTACACTGGGGTTCACTTGGTGTCATAGAATCTATAGGTTCATACAAATGTATAATAATCAGTATTTACCACTATGGTGTCATAATACAGTTTCATTCTCCTAAAATATCTCTTACTCTGCCTATTCATTGCAACCCCAACTCTCCTGACTTTTTTCTTATTTTTTTTTTAAACTTTTTAAAAATGTTGCTACTACTTCTTTGGGAGACTGAGGCAGGTGGATCGCTTGAACTCAGGAGTTCAAGACCCGTCTTCGTAACTGAGTGAGAACCAGTCTCTACCAAAAAAAAAAAAAAAAAAAAAATTAGCCTGGCATGGTGGCGAGCACCTGTAGTCCCAGCTACTCTGGAGGCTGAGGCAGGAGGATTGCTTGAGCTCTGGACGTCGAGGCTGCAGTGAGCCGAGATCACGCCACTGCACTACTCCAGCCTGGGCGGCAGAGCGAGACCCTGTTTCAAAAAAAAAAAAAAAAAGGAAGCAGAAATGCATTCACAGGCTTTGCTGCTAGGTGGTTATTATTTTTTGTTTGTTTGTTTGTTTTTTGAGAGAGAGTCTCAGTCACTCTGTCGCCCAGGCTGGAATGCAGTGGTGTGATCTCAGGTCACTGCAAACTCTGACTCCCAGGTTCAAGTAATTCTTCTGCCTCATCCTCCTGAGTAGCTGGGATTACAGGCATGCACCACCATACCTGGCTAATTTTTGTATTTTTAGTAGAGACAGGGTTTCACCATGTTGGCCAGGCTGGTCTTGAACTCCTGGCCTCAAGTGATCCGCCTGCCTCAACCTCGCAAAGTACTGGGATAACAGGCGTGAACCACTGCACCTGGCCAATCACTACTTTGTGTGTCCAGAAAATTTTCTTCCTCCTAAAAAGAAATCTTCTACACTTGTATCATCCCCATCCCTTGAGTGTGGGAGGAACGTGTTACTTTCTTCTAACCAATACGGCATGGCAAAGGTGGTGCTTATATGTTGTAGAAGATTTCTTGCTAGCTGACACACCCTAGAGTCTCTCATCACTGACTTTGAAGGAGCATGCACTGATGAGTTGATGAGGGTTTTTTGTTTGTTTTTTTGTTTTTTTTTGAGATGGAGTCTCGCTCTGTCTCCCAGCCTGGAGTGCAGTGGTGCGATCTTGGCTCACTGCAAGCTCCGTCTCCCAGGTTCACGCCATTCTTCTGCCTCAGCCTCCCAAGTAGCTGGGACTACAGGTGCCCACCACCACGCCCGGCTAATTTTTTGTATTTTTAGTAGAGACGGGGTTTCACCGTGTTAGTCAGGATGGTCTCGATCTCCTGACCTCGTGATGTGCCTGTCTCAGCCTCCCAAAGTACTGGGATTACAGGCGTGAGCCACTGTGCCCGGCTGAGTTCTTTTTTTTTTTTTTTTTTGAGACAGGGTTTTACTCTGTCATCCAGGGGCTGGAGTGCAGTGGCGTGATCTCGGCTCACTCCAACCTCTGCTTCCCAGGCTCAAGTGATTCTCCAGCCTCAGTCTCCCCAGTAGCTGGGACTGCAGGTACCACCAATACCTGGCTAATTTTTGTATTTTTATAGAGATGTGGTTTTGCTATGTTGCCCAGGCTGGTCTCCTGAGCTCAAAACAATCTGCCCTCCTTAGCCTTCCAAAGTGCTGGGGTTACAGGTGTGAGCCACCGTGCCCAGCCCCTGATGAGTTCTAAAGTCACAAGGAAACAAATTCTGCAGCAAGCTGAGTGAATTTAGAAGCACGTCCTTTCCCAGCGGAGCCTTCAGATCAAAACTCAGTGCCGGGCCGGGCGTGGTGGCTCACGCCTGTAATCCCAGCACTTTGGGAAGCCAAGGTGGGCAGATCACTTGAGGTCAGGAGTTCAAGACCAGCCTGGCCAATGTGGTGAAACCCTGTCTCTACTAAACATATGAAAATTAGCCGGGGTGATGGCATGTACCTGTAATCCCAGCTACTCAGGAGACTGAGGCAGGAGAATCGCTTGAACCTGTGAGGCAGAGGTTGCAGCGAGCCGAAATCGTGCTACTGCACTCCAACCTGGGCGACAAGGTGAGACTCCATCTCAAAAACAAACAAACCAACAAACAAAAAACACAAAAACAAACAAACAAACAAACAAACCCAAAACTCAGTCCTGGCCAATACCTTGATTACAGCCTCACAGAGAACCTGGCTAAACTGTGCTAAGCTCCATAGAAACTGTGAGATAATAAATGCACACATATATATGCATATATATGATATGTGTGTGTGTGTATTTTAAATCCAACGAAATATTCTTTGAGTAGGAACATTGACTATCAAAAAGAGAAGAATTGTAACAGCAATAGTAAGGTTATGAGAAGAATGTCTTTAGAGATGAAAAAGAGGAAAAGAATTGACGGCTGGGCACGGTGGCTCACGCCTGTAATCCCAGCACTTTGGGAGGCCGAGGCAGGTGGATCACCTGAGGTCAGGAGTTTGAGACCAGCCTGGCTAACAGAGTGAAACCCCATCTCTACTAAAAATACAAAATTAGCCGGACGTGGTGGCCCATGCCTGTAGTCCCAGCTATTCGGGAGGCTGAGGCAGGAGAATTGCTTGAACCCAGGAGGCAGAGGTTGCAGTGAGCAGAGATCGCACCACTGCACCCCAGCCTGGGTGACAGAGTGAGACTCCATCTTAAAACATAAATAAATAAATAAAAAGAAAAGAATTGACCTGAGATGAAAAAAACAACTTATTTGTTTTTAGAGGACAGTCCTAGAAATGTAGCCAGGTGGCTGGACGCGGTGGCTCATGCCTGTAATCCCAGCACTTTGGGAGGCCGAGGCAGGTGGGTCACCTGAGGTGGGGAGTTTGAGACCAGCCTGACCAACATGGTGAAAACCCCGCCTCTACTAAAAATACAAAAAAATTTAGCTGCGTGTGGTGGTGGGTGCCTGTAATCCCAGCTACTGGGGAGACTGAGGCAGGAGAATCGCTTGAACCTGGGAGGCAGAAGTTGCAATGAGCCAAGACCACCTCTTTGCACTCCAGCCTGGATGACAAGAGCGAGACTCCGTCTCAAAAAAAAGAAAAGAAAAAACACACACATTGGTGTCAGACGTGTTGCGAGTGGAAACCACTTCGTAATCTTTATCCCAAGTGAACTCTCCCCCTAAAACCTCTATTACAGGGAATGCTATGATGCCATGTGGTAGATCAGATGACCACTCTGAGGATCTGGATCAGCCTCCTTCCCTGGCATCCTCAGGGCTTGCTCCATAGGTTCAGGAGCAAAGTGGCCGAGGTGGACTACACCACCTACGTCACTGATGAATGCCCACCTAGCTGGCAGTAGCAAGTGCTGATCCCCCAGTGTGGTACAGTTTCCTAGGAAGACCAAAAAGCCAAATACCTGGGCCCGTGAGGATTACACTGGAGCCCTTTCATCCTGGGCTGGGCAGGGAGTTTTTCCTCCCTCGAGTAAACAACTCTGGGCTTGTTATTTGCTTTTCTTGCCCTTTGCACTTCTGCCAACAGCAGCATCTGTGTATGCACTGAATGGCCCTATTCACCCTCATGTTAACCCGCACAGTATTGCTTCTGATCAAGGAGCTCCATATATTAGGAAGTCAGTGGGGGGCAGTCCATGTACCCCATTACCCCAAAGCAGCCAGCCTCATGGAACAGCACGGCCTGTTTGAGACTGGGTTACAGGGCCAGTTTGGAGTCATCATCTTTGGGGTCGGGGTGCTGTTACAGGATGGGTAACCACTCTGAACCAGGGGTACATGCCAGATGATCCCAGATTACAAAGACCTGTGAACTCAAGAGTGCCATTTCTTTCTTTTATTTTTCTCTCTCTTTTTTTTTTGAGACGGAGTTTTGCTCTTGTTACCCAGGCTGAAGTGCAATGGCATGATCTCAGCTCACTGCAACCTCTGCCTCCTGGGTTCAAGCGATTCTCCTGCCTCAGCCTCCCAAGTAGCTGGGATTACAGGCACATGCCACCCCGCCCGGCTAATTTTTTGTATTTTTAGTAGAGACGGGGTTTCACCATGTTGGCCAGGCTGATCTCGAACTCCTGACCTCAGGTGATCCACCCACCTCGGCCTCCCTCCCAAAGTGCTGGAATTACAGACATGAGTTGCTGCATCGGCCAAGAGTGCCATTTCTTAGGACCACACCCGATGACTCACTCTTCAAATTTTTATTTGTTTTGTTGTTATTTTTTGTTTTGAGACAGAGTTTCGCTCAGTCACCCAGGCTGGAGTGCAGTGGCAATCTTGGCTCACTGCAACCTCCACCTCCCGGGTTCAAGCCATTCTCCTGCCTCAGCCTCTGGAGTAGCTGGGATTACAGGCGGCGCCACAACGCCTGATTAATTTTTTTGTATTTTTAATAGAGACGGGGTTTCATCATGTTGGCCACGCTGGTCTTGAATTCCCGACCTCAGGTGATCTGCCTGCCTTGGCCTCCCAAAGTGCTAGGATTACAGAGGTGAGCCACCGTGACCGGCCTTCACTCTTCAAATGTTTGCTTCCTGTTCCTGCTACCCTGAACCCTGCTGTTGAGGGGTTCTAGTGTCTACAAGGGAACCGCTGCCACCACGAGGAATAACACAGTAAGTTGTGTAAGTGGAGACCACCTCTGGGCCGTTTGGGGTACCTTGAGTGTGTCACTATGGGGTTAGGCAGTGACTAATTTAGGCAGGAAGGGGAAAGATTTGCTGCTACACTTGGGGCCAAGGAGGCCTGTGAATAGAACCTAGAGGCGTCCCAGGGGAGTCTCCAACTAACACCATGTCCCGACTCCCTATCTGTCCACAGCCCTCCCTCCTTGGACAAGGACAAGGCCTGATCTGGGTGCACTGAGACCTCCCTCCCCTATGCAGGGCCCAGAGTGACAAAGAGGGTCTGTGTCCCCTTCCCTTTGCAGAAGCACATCAAGCCCGCACACAGGCTCTACCTTCCTCTACCCAACCCCCTCTCCACTCCTGCAGACCCCCGCCTTCCTGCAGGTCCCCCTCCGGCCCCTCCCTGCTCCGTAGGGCACGTAGACCCGGATCCCCAGCTCCCGGACCCCTTCCGACTGCTCCCTTCGCCACTCGCGCGGCTTCCACTCCTGGACTCGGCCTCCACCCCTGGGCTTGGCCTCAAAGCCTCCTCAGTTGTCGGCCCTGGAAGGTGCCCAGCGGCGGCAGCGCCAGACGCGCCCCGTTAGCTCAGCGTCGCTGAGCATCCGCAGCCGCCACCAGGCCCCGCCCAGCGGCCGCAGCCAGCCAGGCCGCGCCCGGGACGACTGCAGAGCGCGGTGAGTGAACGCGGCCAGAGGGAGGGACTCAGGCGTCCCAGGTCCCCGCCCTGCCCCTCCCCGGGGGCCCGACATCCCGACCCTCAGCTCCCTCTTTTTCTTTTGGCTCCGGCAGTCCGTTTTAGGGCCGCAGAGCCGCCTTTTAAAAACACACCCTGCATCCCTTCCCTGCCCTGGGGCTTCGGGCCCACCAGCCCCTTGGATCCCTTCCCCTCTTGCAGGATCCGTGAATCCAGAGCCCCAAGCCCCAGCCCCAGCCCCATCCTCATTAAAATTCTGAGTCCCTCCCTCCATCCAGGAGTCAGGAATGTAGGCCAAAAATATCGCTGCCTTCCAGACCCAGGCGGCTAGGCTTGCAACACCTGCTCGGAAAACCCGAGTCTGAGCTTTAATGGTTCTATTATGATGATCATGATGATTTATTTTTAATAGAGCAGAGTCTCCTTATGTTGCCCAGGCTGGTCTCGAACTCCTGGGCTCAAGGGATCCTCCCTCCTCAGCCTCCCGAAATGCTGGGATTACAGGCGTGAGCCACCGCGCCCAGGCCTGATTGTTCTTTTGAGCCAAGAATCTGGGCCTCAGCCTAGGCATCCTGTGGAGCCCAGGAATCCGGGCCCCCAACTGCTACCGCGCTAGCTCCCAGGAATTTTGCCCCCAACACACCCCACCCCTATCCACTGTGATATCTGAGACCTGCGTCCAGCCCGAGTCCCTTACCCTGCGGCGCCCGGTGCCAGTGGGTACTAGGGGAGCATTTTGCCGCCCCTTCAAGTCCTTAAATACAGGAATCTAGCCTCTGTTTCTTGGGGAGACCCATCAGTCAGGGATCGTAGCCCAGAACCACCTAAAGCCCAGGAATACTGCTCTCAATTCTGCTCTCCCTCAGGGCTCCAAGAGACAGAGATCCTAGCCCCCCCATTGAACTGAGGGGCCTGGTCCCCCAATCCGCTGCGACCCAGGTGTCTAAGGTTTCATCCGGCAAGGAAGGGGTGGGGGCGGAACAGACCAGGAAGGAGGGGGTAGGAAGGGAGCGGAAGAAAGGAGTGAGGTGAGACGGGGGCGGGGACCTGAGCTGGGGGGCTCTGCACTAAACAAACCCTAAACATGCGGGGTTTCTATGGTAACGGTCTTCCCTGGCCTACCCGGGAGACTCCTCTAGGGCTGTGTCGAGGAGGGCAGCCCCCAGGAGTCTCCACGCCGCCAGCTGTTGTGTCTTCCTGTTTTGTCACCACGGCAACCGTGACCTCAGCCCTCCACCCTGCTCACTGGGGTGGGGCGGGAGCTCCACGCTACTTTTACTCTGGGGGGCGTGGTCTGCTCTTGGCCCCGCCTCGGGGCGGGGCTGGGATAGCCCAGACTCGGGGAAGTCCCTGTCCACCGCCCTAGCCGGAGCTGCGCCCCGCCCCGGCCCCGCCCCCGTCCCGCCCGCGCTGGCTCCCCAGCCCTCCAACCCCACCCAGCCCTCAGACCCTTCCAGCTGCCGCTGTCGTCTTTGCTTCAGCCGCAGTCGCCACTGGCTGCCTGAGGTGAGGTTGTGGGGACCCCAGAGGGCATAAGCAACAGTCTAGGGTCTTTATGGCCAGAGAGAGGAATGGGCTGGGTCTCAGAATGTCTGGGTCCCTAGAAAGACTGGGGCTGGGCCAGGATTCTTGGGGTTCTGCAGAGGAGAGGGCTGAGGACCTGGACTGTGGAGGTCATACGTCTGGAAGAGTGGGGAAGGGGACCTGGACTCCGGGGTCTGAGGGAGGAGGGGCTGGGGGTCTGGACTCCCGGGTCCGAGGCAGGAGGGGCTGGGGGGTCTGGACTCCTGGGTCCGAGGGAGGAGGGGCTGAGGGCCTGGACTCCTGGGTCTGAGGGAGGAGGAGCTGGGCCTGGACTCCTGAGTCTGAGGGAGGAGGGGCTGGGTCTGCGGGAGTAGAGAGATGGGGACTCGTAGGTGCCCTAGTTGGAGGCTGGAATCTGGTACGTGGAGGTCCTTTAGGAGGGGAAGCGCTTAGGGTTAGGTGTCCTGGGTTTGGGAATGAGAATGGAAGGAATTCAGAATTACTGACCCCTCCCCATCCAGGGGACAGACAGAATCGGAACTTTGGGCTCCTGAAAGGCCGAGGGAGGGGGGTGTTAAGATCCAGCCCCGTGCTTCCGAAGTGCAGAAGGAGCTGGGAAAGGAGGAGAAGACAGGGCTGCGTCCCGCACCTCTGGGTGCCGAGAGCCGAAGCTGGGGTTCCGGGGCCCGATTCTCAGCGTGAGCGATGGGTGTGGCGTCTGGAGTGGACGAGGGAGGACACTGAGGGGCTGGGTGTGGCCCGGAGAGTCGGGTGCGCTGCGAGGAATCCCGGAGGGGTGTTTCCTCACCCTCCAGGGTCTGGCTGCGCATTCCTGAGCTCTGATCTCGGGCGATGGCTGGAGGCCCTAAGGGCGGGGTGGACCCCTCCCCTCCCCTCCCCTCGGCGCGCCCCCCTCCCCTGCGCGCCCCCCTCCGCGGCTAGCCCACCTTCCGCGGGGGACAGAATGAGTGACGCCCTCGCTCGTCCTCCTCCCCTGCTTGGGACGGGGCAGTAGCCCGCCTTCTAGAGCACGGGACGCTGGGCCAGTCCCGATTTCCTTCTCCTTCGAGGGTCCTGGAGGGGCGTGGGGGCAGGCAGTGTCTGGCTCCGGGTGGAGCCTCCCAGGTGCTCCCGCAAGCCCCGAATGGCGATTAGGGAGGCCGTGGGAGGCGTAGCTGGGCCTCGGGCCTGACGCCAGCACCGCGTGCAGTTTCCGGCCTGGAGCCTGAGCCCCTCAGAGGCCCGGGTCCCTGCCCACTCCGGTCTTAGAGATGCTCTTGGGGGGGCTCTCAGCCCATGTTTATAGGGATCCAGAAATGCAGGCCTCCAACCCTGAGAGTCGGGGTCCCCACCCCCCGGAAATCCGGGAGAGGGCGGGCAGCCCCGGAGGCGGGCGGGGGTCCGGGCACCGCCTCCTGGTCCCTGACACATTCCAGATGCCTGGGCCGACTCGAAGCCCTTATAAGGCGCGGAGACACCGGCTCTGGCTGGGCCGCCCGCCTCCACAGCCGCCGCCCAGGGTTCTCCCGCCACTGCCGCCCGCACCCCCGCCCCCGCGGGGTTAAGATCACACACGCGCCCACGCCGGCCCGCGGGGCGTGCACTTTCGCTGGGTTCCGTCCGCCGCAGCCCAAACAGTTAACTGAACGGGGAGGGGAGGGGGCGGGGCTTACCCGGGGTCACCGCCAGGGCCCTGCTGGGTTCCACGCCACGTTCCTGTCTCCGCAGGGCGTTCGATCCCTAGAGGGAGGAGCCTGTCCAAACGGACGCTAACGGCCTACCTCCCCCTCAGGTGCTCTTACAGCCTGTTCCAAGTGTGGCTTAATCCGTCTCCACCACCAGATCTTTCTCCGTGGATTCCTCTGCTAAGACCGCTGGTGAGTAGGCAGCGGGCCTGGACTCCGGGGTCCGAGGGAGGAGGGGCTGGGGGCCTGGACTCCGGGGTCCGAGGGAGGAGGGGCTGGGGGCCTGGGCTCCTCGGTCCGAGGGAGGAGGGGCTGGGGGCCTGGGGGCCTGGGCTCCTGGGTCCGAGGGAGGAGGGGCTGGGGGCCTGGGCTCCTGGGTCCGAGGGAGGAGGGGCTGGGGGTCTGGACTCCGGGGTCCGAGGGAGGAGGGGCTGGGGTCTGGACTCCTGGGTCCGAGGAAGGAGGGGCTGGGGTCTGGACTCCTGGGTCCGAGGAAGGAGGGGCTGGGGGCCTGGGCTCCTGGGTCCGAGGGAGGAGGGGCTGGGGTCTGGACTCCTGGGTCCGAGGGAGGAGGGGCTGGGGTCTGGACTCCTGGGTCCGAGGGAGGAGGGGCTGGGGGCCTGGACTCCGGGGTCCGAGGGAGGAGGGGCTGGGGGCCTGGACTCCGGGGTCCGAGGGAGGAGGGGCTGGGGTCTGGACTCCTGGGTCCGAGGGAGGAGGGGCTGGGGGCCTGGGCTCCTGGGTCTGAGGGAGGAGGGGCTGGGGGCCTGGGCTCCTGGGTCTGAGGGAGGAGGGGCTGGGGTCTGGACTCGTGGGTCTGAAGGAGGAAGGATTAGGTCCTGGGCTCCTAGATCCTGGGAGAAGGACCAGGAAGCTTGGGCTCCAAGGAATAGGGTCCCAGACACTGAGGTATCTGAGGAAGAAGCGAGTCCAGGCCCTGGCTCCTTTGTCTCAGGGAGCTGCTGTCCTGCGACTGCCACGAAGAGGTTAAGGCCTGTGCTACTGCCCTGCAAAGTGCCTGAAGCTGAAAGGAGGAAGTTACTTTCCTGTGGCTAGGAGAGGCCTTGGGTTTAGTCCTGTGGCTGCGTTGAGACAGTTTACAGCCTAAGGAAAGAACTGGGCACCTGGTTTCTAAGAGGACGGGCACTTGATTCCTGGGGGCCATTAGGACAAGGAGGTGGAAGCTGTAGGTTTTGCAAGGACTAAAGAAGCAAATTGGTTTTCTGGAGTCTGGGGCATCTGGGATCCTTCAGGCTAAGGGTCCAGGGCCAGAGGTCTGACCCCTTATAACAGGACGGTGATGGCCAGGCGCAGTGGCTCATGCCTGTAATCCCAGCACTTTGGGAGGCCAAGGCGGGCGGATCACTTGAGGTCAGGAGTTTGAGACCAGCCTGGCCAACATGGCGAAACCCCATCTCTACTGAAAATACAAAAATTAGCCGAGCATGGTGGCACACACCTGTAATCCCAGCTACTCAGGAGGCTGAGGCAGGAGAATCGCTTGAATCCGGGAGGCGGAGGTTGCCGTGAGTCAAGATCGCACCATTGCACTGCAGCCTGGGTGACAGAGCGACTCCATGTAAAAAAAACAACAACCAAAAAACAGGATTGTGAGGCCTAGAGAGAGTTCAGTGGAAGGGCCTGGGGTTCCTACTGGACAGTTGGAAATCTGGGGAGCTGAGTTTCCCAGAAGCTGGGGGACCAGCTGGCTGGGTTTTGGGGAGAGAAGGTGGAGGTAGATGGACTCAGTATGCAGGAGTGTGGAGGGGGAGGCTCAAACTAGCTTTTTTGGGTTGCAGTACTCCAGTCCTAAATCTCAGGTGGGAGTTAGACTGAGAGTGAAGGTTGCTAATCTCCAAGGTGGGGGGTAGGGAGAGGAGGAGGCCGCTAAGAGTTTAGGCTCCTTGTCAGAAGGGAGGGGAGATCTCTTGGTTTTCCACGGCTGGGATCTCTATGAGAAGATATCCTTTATCGGGAGGTCGGAGCTCTTATTAGATGTGGGTCCCTGAGAGTGGAAGCCTGGGGAGGTTGGGCCGTTTAGAGGCTGCAAATGTCTAGGTCACTGTTCGATGGAAGAAGGAAGTTTGCTCACAGGGTCTGGGGTGCAGAGCTCTGAATACTGAAAGAAAAGGAAGTTGAGAGATGGGGTTTTCAGAGCCTGTGGAAGACAAGCGTTTTGTTCTGACACTTGGGTTGTGGCAGGAGGCAGAAGGAGGATGCTTTATTTTTTATTTATTTTATTTATTTTTATTATTTTATTTTATTTTTTGAGATGGAGTTTCACTCATGTCACCCGGGCTGGAGTGCAGTGGCGCAATCTCGGCTCACTGCAACCTCCACCTCTAGGGTTCAAGCGATTCTCCTGCCTCAGCCTCCCAAGTAGCTGCGATTACAAGCGCCCACCACCACACCCAGCTGATTTTTGTATTTTTAGTAGAGACGGGGTTTCACCATGTTGGTCAGGCTGGTCTTGAACTTCTGACCTCAAGTGATCTGCCAGCCTCGGCTTCCGAAAGTGCTGGGATTACAGGCATGAGCCACTGCGCCCAGATTATTTTATTTTTTTTGAGGCGGAGTGTGGCTCTGTGGCTCAGGCTGGAGTGCAGGGGTTCTATCTTGGCTCACTGCAACCTCTGCCTCCTGGGTTCAAGTGATTCTCCTGCCTCAGTCTCCCGAGTAGCTGGGATTGCAGGTGCATGCCACCACGCCCAGATAATTTTTGTATTATTAGTAGAGACCGAGTGTCGCCACGTTGGCCAGGCTGGTCTCCAACTCCTGACCTCAAGTGATCCACCCACCTTGGCCTCCGAAGTGCTGGGATTACAAGTGTGAGCCACCACACCCGGCCTATTTGTAATTAAAAAAAATTTTTTTTTTTTGAGTCAGGGTCTCACTCTGTCTCCCAGGCTGGAGTGCACTGGTGCATCACAGCTCACTGCAGCCCTGACCCCACAGGCTCAAGCAATCCTCCCACCTCAGCATCCCGAGTAGCTGGGACCACACGCACACACCACCACACCCAGCTAATTAAAAAATTTTTTTTTGGTAAATGAGGTCTCCCTAAGGTTGCCCAGGCTGGTCTCCAACTCCTGGGCTCAAGCAATCCTCCTGCCTCAGCCTCTTGGAGTGCTGGGATTACAGGCATCAGCCACACCTGTGCCTGGCCAGAGGGGTGGTGCTATAGAGTACAGAGTGCTAAATGGCTGAGCTACTGAGTCCCTTGGGGAGGGAGGGAAAGAGGGAAGCACGGTATCTGGAGTGGGAAGCAAACAGTGTAGTTGTACAGTAGTTAGGTCTTGAAAGAGAGAAGAATCTCTTGAGAAGGAGGAAAATAGGGGCCTAGACTCCTGGATTCTGATACGAGTAGGGGAGGAGTGAGCCTTGAACCGGAGGGGACAGGCTCATCCCTGTATGCCCAGGACTGTCCCCATTTGAAAACCCAAGGCTGGGCCCGGTGGCTCACGCCTATAATCCCAGCACTTTGGGAGGCCAAGGCCAGCGGATCATGAGGTCAGGAGATCGAGACCATCCTGGCTAACACAGTGAAACCCCGTCTCTACTAAAAATACAAAAAAATTAGCCGGGCGTGGTGGCACATGCCTGTAATCTCAGCTACTCGGGAGGCTGAGGCAGGAGAATCACTTGAACCTGAGTAGCAGAGGTTGTAGTGAGCTGAGATTGTGCCAATGCACTCCAGCCTGGGCCACAGAGCAAGACTCTGTCTCAAAAAAAAAAAAAGAAAAGAAAACCGAAAGCCCCACATCTTGGGAACTCCCTAATTAGAGCTCATATTAATTTGTCCCTGGGGTAGGCAATGGCTAAGGGACCTGGATTCTTATGTTTGTGACTGTATAAGGACACTGTCTTTCCCCTTTTTGCAGCCATGCCAGTGACGGTAACCCGCACCACCATCACAACCACCACGACGTCATCTTCGGGCCTGGGGTCCCCCATGATCGTGGGGTCCCCTCGGGCCCTGACACAGCCCCTGGGTCTCCTTCGCCTGCTGCAGCTGGTGTCTACCTGCGTGGCCTTCTCGCTGGTGGCTAGCGTGGGCGCCTGGACGGGGTCCATGGGCAACTGGTCCATGTTCACCTGGTGCTTCTGCTTCTCCGTGACCCTGATCATCCTCATCGTGGAGCTGTGCGGGCTCCAGGCCCGCTTCCCCCTGTCTTGGCGCAACTTCCCCATCACCTTCGCCTGCTATGCGGCCCTCTTCTGCCTCTCGGCCTCCATCATCTACCCCACCACCTATGTCCAGTTCCTGTCCCACGGCCGTTCGCGGGACCACGCCATCGCCGCCACCTTCTTCTCCTGCATCGCGTGTGTGGCTTACGCCACCGAAGTGGCCTGGACCCGGGCCCGGCCCGGCGAGATCACTGGCTATATGGCCACCGTACCCGGGCTGCTGAAGGTGCTGGAGACCTTCGTTGCCTGCATCATCTTCGCGTTCATCAGCGACCCCAACCTGTACCAGCACCAGCCGGCCCTGGAGTGGTGCGTGGCGGTGTACGCCATCTGCTTCATCCTAGCGGCCATCGCCATCCTGCTGAACCTGGGGGAGTGCACCAACGTGCTACCCATCCCCTTCCCCAGCTTCCTGTCGGGGCTGGCCTTGCTGTCTGTCCTCCTCTATGCCACCGCCCTTGTTCTCTGGCCCCTCTACCAGTTCGATGAGAAGTATGGCGGCCAGCCTCGGCGCTCGAGAGATGTAAGCTGCAGCCGCAGCCATGCCTACTACGTGTGTGCCTGGGACCGCCGACTGGCTGTGGCCATCCTGACGGCCATCAACCTACTGGCGTATGTGGCTGACCTGGTGCACTCTGCCCACCTGGTTTTTGTCAAGGTCTAAGACTCTCCCAAGAGGCTCCCGTTCCCTCTCCAACCTCTTTGTTCTTCTTGCCCGAGTTTTCTTTATGGAGTACTTCTTTCCTCCGCCTTTCCTCTGTTTTCCTCTTCCTGTCTCCCCTCCCTCCCACCTTTTTCTTTCCTTCCCAATTCCTTGCACTCTAACCAGTTCTTGGATGCATCTTCTTCCTTCCCTTTCCTCTTGCTGTTTCCTTCCTGTGTTGTTTTGTTGCCCACATCCTGTTTTCACCCCTGAGCTGTTTCTCTTTTTCTTTTCTTTTTTTTTTTTTTTTTTTTTTAAGACGGATTCTCACTCTGTGGCCCAGGCTGGAGTGCAGTGGTGCGATCTCGACTCACTGCAACCCCCGCCTCCTGGGTTCAAGCGATTCTCCTGCCCCAGCCTCCCAAGTAGCTGGGAGGACAGGTGTGAGCTGCCGCACCCAGCCTGTTTCTCTTTTTCCACTCTTCTTTTTTCTCATCTCTTTTCTGGGTTGCCTGTCGGCTTTCTTATCTGCCTGTTTTGCAAGCACCTTCTCCTGTGTCCTTGGGAGCCCTGAGACTTCTTTCTCTCCTTGCCTCCACCCACCTCCAAAGGTGCTGAGCTCACATCCACACCCCTTGCAGCCGTCCATGCCACAGCCCCCCAAGGGGCCCCATTGCCAAAGCATGCCTGCCCACCCTCGCTGTGCCTTAGTCAGTGTGTACGTGTGTGTGTGTGTGTGTGTGTGTGTGTGTGTTTGGGGGGTGGGGGGTGGGTAGCTGGGGATTGGGCCCTCTTTCTCCCAGTGGAGGAAGGTGTGCAGTGTACTTCCCCTTTAAATTAAAAAACATATATATATATATATTTGGAGGTCAGTAATTTCCAATGGGCGGGAGGCTTTAAGCACCGACCCTGGGTCCCTAGGCCCCGCCTGGCACTCAGCCTTGCCAGAGATTGGCTCCAGAATTTTTGCCAGGCTTACAGAACACCCACTGCCTAGAGGCCATCTTAAAGGAAGCAGGGGCTGGATGCCTTTCATCCCAACTATTCTCTGTGGTATCAAAAAGAAAAAAAAAAAAAAAGAAGGAGTCGGGGCCGGGCGTGGTGGCTCACGCCTGTAATCCCAGCACTTTGGGAGACCAAGTCAGGCAATCATCTGAAGTCAGGAGTTCAAGACCAGCCTGGCCAACATGGTGAAAGCATGTCTCTATTAAAAATACAAAAATTAGCCGGGCGTGGTGGCGGGCGCCTGTAATCCCAGGTATTTGGGGGGACTGAGACAGGAGAATCCCTTCAACCCGGGAGGTGGAGGTTGCAGTAAGTCAAGATGGCACCACTGTGCTCCAGCCTGGGGGACAGAGCGAGACTCCATCTCAAAAAAAAAAAGGAATCGGACGAAGAACCACAGGATGTTGAAGACAACTGTCTGAAGTATTTGTGAGGGACAGCGATGTGGCCCTCTGTGTTAAGAATAACGTGTCCTGCTTTGGCAGAGAGAAGAAAATAGCCACTGCCCGCTTTCAAGGCAAGATCGACCTTTTCTGTTTTGTTTTGTTTTTCTTTCTTTTTCCTGGCCATGAGGACAAAAATTACTGAGTGGCCCTTAAAGAGGGAAGTTTGTTTTCAGCTGTTCTCTTTTGCCCGTAGGTGGGAGGGTGGGGATTGCTGCGTCCTAGCTAGAGGAATGGCTTTGCTTGAATGTGTAGTGCACACGCACGGGTGTTTCTGTGTGCTAGTTGCTTCTTGCTGCTGCTTCCTGCTTGTCTGGGACTCACATACATAACGTGATATATATATATATATATATAAATGTATAAATATATATTTTATTTTTTTTTAAATCCCTGGAGCTTCTGGTTCCTATCAGTTCCTGTTGTTAATCGTAGAACCGTTGTCCCTTCCCCCATTCCCGTATCCATCATGTTCTTTTTCTTTTAAATATCAATATAAAGGTAAAAGAAGGACTTGTGCTTTCTTAATGAGGAGGGCGGCCGAGCACGGCGGGCGGATCACTTGAGGTCAGGAGTTTGAGACCAGCCTGGCCAACATGGTGAAACCCCGTCTCTACAAAAAAATAAAAAAGAAAAGCGGGGGAGGACTCTCGGAGAGGGGCAAGGGCCAGATTCTTGGGTCTAGTGGGAGAATAGGGTTGGTGCCAAGACAACCTTGGCCTCATCAGAAGATACTAGCTGGATCTAGGTCTTCTAAATGACTTCCTCAAACCAGGAGGGCTGGGTGGGATAGAAATGAACTAGACTTCTCCCTCCTTGGAGTCTGTCCCCTGAGCACCTCACAAATACAACGTCCTAATTTGAGTGAAGGAGCTTTCCTCCCCAGTCACCTCGTCCTCCCAGGTCCCCCCATTTCAGTAATAGCCTCTCAGAGCTGAGAACCCAAGCACATGGTGGTACCTTCCCCCCGTCTACTCAAGTCAGTCCCTCATCAAACACTGTCTATTCTTCCCCCTAAATACCATTTCTACCGCCCTCTTCTCCAGGTTCCTGGTCCAGCTCAAGTTCCATTTTGTTTCACCTGAGCTATTGCCCCAGCCTCCTTCTCCTCCATCCCACCCTGGCTCCAGAGGGATTCTTTCATCATGCAGATCTGATCCTGCCCTTCCCTGCTGAAGTCCTTCCGTAGCCCATTGCCTATAGGCACTATCAAAGCCCCTGGGTCTGGCCTTCATGATCTGATCCCGCCTCCATTCCCACTATCAGCTCCCTCCTTACCCTCCAATCTAAGCCTCTGAATATACCTGGTCAACAGAAGACCTTCATAAAGATCAAATGAGCTACTGCAACCAATCTCTGTCCCACAGAAGGCCATCTTGTCCATTTCTGTAGGCTCCAACCCTATGGGGCTTAGCAGGTGTTCTCCCCATGTGCAGAGATGAGAGATTGTAATAAATAAAGGCACAAGACAAAAATAAAGAGAAAGCAGCTGGGCCCAGGGGACCACTATCATCAAGACGCAGAGACCGGTAGTGGCCCATAACGGCTGGGCTCGCTGATATTTATTGCATACAAGACAAGGGGGCAGAGTAAAGAGGGTGAATCTTCGAAGTGATTGACAAGGTGAAGCAAGTCACGTGATCACGGGACAGGGTGCCCTTCCCTCTTAGGTAGCCGAAGCAGAGACAGAAGGCAGCATACGTCAGTGTTTTCTTCTATGCACTTCTAAGATCAAAGACTTTAAGACTTTCACTATTTCTTCTACCGCTATCTACTATGAACTTCAAAGAGGAACCAGGAGTATGGGAGGAGAATGAAAGTGAAGGAGGAGTGTAAGCATTGAAGCACAGCACCACAGGGAGGGGTTTAGGCCTCGGGATGACTGCGGGCAGGCCTGGATAATATCCAGCCTTCCACAAGAAGCTGGTGGAGCAGAGTGTTCCCTGACTCCTCCAAGGAAAGGAGACTCCCTTTCGTGGTCTGCTAAGTAACGGGTGCCTTCCCAGACACTGGCGTTACCACTTGACCAAGGACCCCTCAAGCGGCCCTGATGTGCGCGTGACAGAGGGCTCACCTCTTGCCTTCTAGGTCACTTCTCACCATGTCCCTTCAGCACCTGACCCTATACCTGCCGGTTATTCCTAGCTTACATTAGTAATGCAGCAAAGAGTAATATTAAAAGCTAATGATTAATAATGTTTATAATAATGATTGATAATTGTCCATGATCATCTCTACATCTAATTTGTATTATGACTATTCTTATTCTAACTATTTTGTTTATTATACTGAAACAGTTTGTGCCTTCAGTCTCTTGCCTGGGCACCTAGGTAATCCTCCGCCTACATATTTCCCGGACCTCAGGAGAATCACAAATACACAAATAAATATAAGCCCTACAAAATTCCCAGATCAGGCCCGGCGGGTGGCTCACGTCTGTAATCCCAGCACTTTGGGAGGCTGAGGCGGGTGGATCACGAGGTTAGGAGATCGAGACCATCCTGGCCAACATGGTGAAACCCCGTCTTTACTAAAAATACAAAAATTAGCCGGGCGTGGTGGAGGGCACCTGTAGTTCCAGCTACTCATGAGGCTGAGGCAGGAGAATCGCTTGAACCTGGGAGGCGGAGGTTGTAGTGAGCCGAGATCGCGCCACACTGCACTCCAGCCTGGGAGACAGAGCGGGACTCCGTCTGAAAAAAAAAAAAAAAAAAAAAAAAAAAAAATATATATATATATATATATATATATATATATATATATATATTCCATGATCAGCCGGCGCGGAGGCTCACGCCTGTAGTCCCAACACTGGGAGGACAAGGCGGGAGGATCGCTTAAGCCCAGGAGTTCAAGACCAGCCTGGGCAACACAGCAAGACCTCGTCTCTATTTAAAAAAAAGTTTTAAAGAAAATTCGATGATCACAGAACCCGCTATCTGCATCTACATCCGCAAAAGCAATTGGGGAGAGATACCGCAAGGGAGGGAAGGGTTCCCCTGGAAGGGGAGAAGGAAAGGCCAGCTGGGGCACACACTGTCGTTGGATGAGGAAAGGCCTCCTTTTCATTTCTGCAGCGTCCACTCTTGAGCTCCAACCCACTCCATCGCTGTCTTCTTAAAGGACGCCTCGCCCACCCTTCTCTCCCATCCCATGCCTGAATCCCTTCTGGAAGGCATCCGAAAGAACAGCTATAGAACTCTGGGGTGATACGTTGGTTAACTCGGGAAAGAACTCAAGGACACTGGACTAGAACGTGGTGGGATTCCTAGGTCGGTTTCGGGGCCATCCCCGCCGCCTATCCTTCGCCCTAGGTCACCTGGAGGTGGCTGGAAGGCCAGTGGACTCCACATTTAGGGAGAGTGGTTACAAGAGGACTCGGATTCCCCCACCTTCCCTTCGGCTTTGGGAATCCCAGGAAACCCGCCCCGAACCCCTGAAAAGTCCCAGAGAAGGTAAGCTGGGCGTCCAGAGTCCCTCCCAGGCGCCGCCGCAGCGTCCCGCCCAGCCTCGCGGGGCACGCCGGGAGGCGGAGTTCTCGGTCGTGTCCCGAGAGTGGCTGGTCCGCAGGCTCGGACTACCAGTCCCAGAATGCACTGCGCCCGCAGCCCGGGGCGGGCCGTGGTTGCCCCTGGCAACAGAGAGGGTCTCCCGGGAGCGGGGACTGGGAAGCGCTCCCGAGCCGGGGAGGCGCAGAGCCCGACCAGAGAGAGGCGGGGACGCGGGTAGAGCGACCAAGAGGTGTGGAGGCCGGAAGAGACTGACCGCGCCGGCCCTTGGAGAGACCCCTTTCCTGAGAGGGGGCGCACAGAGAGGATGCCGAAGCCAGCGAGATCTAGAGAGAGGGAGACAGGGATTGAATCACAGAGACACTTAGAGGGAGGGAGAGACCTCAAAGACAGAGAGATTCACAGGGCCAGAGAGACACGTAGAGTGGGTCAGAGAAGAGGACAGAGGACAGAGACATAGAAAAGACAGGAGGGAGAGAGACTGAATCACAGAGACACAGGGAGAGAGGGAGAGACCTCAGAGATGGAGAGAGACTCACAGGGCCAGATAGACACATGGAGTGGGTCAGAGAAGGGGACAGAGAGAGAGACACAGAAAAGGGAAGAGGGAGAGAGACTGAATCACAGAGACACAGAGAGGGAAGTCTCTATCTAGAGACCCTCGACAGAGATTCCTAGAGCCAGAGACAGAGATTCAGAGAGCCAGAGACACAGAGAGATTCATAGAGACATATAGAGAGATTCAGAGAGCCTGAATCACAGAGATTCACAGAGCCAACGAGACAAACAGAGAGATTCATAGAGCCAGAGACACAGATTCGGAGAGTCAGAGAGACATAGAAAGATTCATAGAGCCAGAGACACAGAGATTCAGAGAGTCAGAGAGACATAGAGAGACATTCATAGAGCCAGAGACACAGAGAGATTCATAGACATATAGAGAGATTCAGAGAGCCTGAATCACAGAGATTCACAGAGCCAAAGAGACAAACAGAGAGATTCATAGAGCCAGAGACACAGAGGGATTCGGAGAGTCAGAGAGACATAGAAAGAGATTCATAGAGCCAGAGACACAGAGATTCATAGAGACATAGAGATTCATAGAGCCAGAGACACAGAGATTCAGAGAGTCAGAGAGACATAGAAAGACATTCATAGAGCCAGAGACACAGAGAGATTCAGAGTCAGAGAAACATAGAGATTCATAGAGCCAGAGACACAGAGAGATTCAGAGTCAGAGAGACATAGAGAGACATTCATAGAGCCGGAGACACAGAGAGATTCAGAGTCAGAGAGACATAGATTTATAGAGCCAGAGACACAGATTCAGGGAGTCAGAGAGACATAGAGAGACATTCATAGAGCCGGAGACACAGATTCAGAGTCAGAGAGACATAGACATTCATAGAGCCAGAGACACAGATTCAGAGAGTCAGAGAGATGAATAGATTCAGAGAGCCAGAGACACAGGGAGAGTGAATCACAGACACAGAGGGACGGGGAGATCCCCAGAAACAGAAAGAGATTCATAGAGCCAGAGAGACAAATAGAGATTGGGTCAGAGAGAAAGGGACAGAGACAGAGACAGAGAAGAGAAGAGGGAGAGAGATTGGGTCAGAGAGAAAGGGACAGAGACAGAGAAGAGAAGAGGGAGAGAGAGACTGAGTCATAGACAGGAGAGAGACCCCCCTAGCATCAGAGAGAGAGAGAGAGATCAACAGAGCCAGAGAGGGACAAGTACAGAGAAACAGATGGAACCAGAGAGATATAGGAAGAGACAAACAAAAACAGAGACGGAGTTGCAGAACCGGAGGAAGGGAGAGAGACAGAGACAAAGGCATTTATAAAGACGGGTGGAGGTGAGGAGAGAGAGGGAGAGACAGGGGCAAGCATTTAGAGAGTGACTCCCAGAGAGGAAGACAGAGACGGACTCCCAAAGAGATCAAGTTGCAGAGGGAGGGGGAGACAGAGTCACAGCCTGAGAGAGAATAGAGATTCACAGAGCCAGAGAGACAAAGACAGGGAAAGAAACAAACTCAGGGAGACAGAGGCGGAAGAATTTATCAGACGTAGAGGGAGAGACAGAGGGAGACTGATTCACAGTGAGGCAGACCAAGACCCCGAGAAGAACCACGACACCAAGACCCAGAGATGGCGACAGATACAGATGGAGACACACAGCAGAGGAAATAGAGAAATAGAAAGAAATAGAAACAGCATTTCTCGGAGACAGGGAAAAGAAAACAGATCCACTGAGAGGCAGAAACAGAGACACATCGAGAAAGCTCGCTCCAGGAATAGAGGGAGAGGGACAGAGGTCACAAGAAAGACACACGCAGGCAGAGAGCTACACAAATAATGGAGAGGCCAGGGGAGGAAATAAAGACTCAGCCGGCATCGGAGAAAGTGAGAACCTTAGCGCCCTGCCTGTCCACTGCTGGACCCCTAGCGTGGAGCATAAAGTTTGTTGAAGGAAGGAGAGGGGCAGGGTCAGACACAGGGACCCCAGGGCGCCCACAGGACACACGAGGCACCCTAGTGGGGGAGGAACGCGGGGCAGGATGACAGATTGCAGGGTGGTGGGGGGGAGCCAGGCTCAGAGGATGCCCCTCCCTCCAGCCAGCCCCCGGAGTGGGTGTGTGCACGTGTGGGGGGCGGGGAGGGAGGACATTTGTCCCGTGTCTCCGGGAGGGGAGCGCCTTTAAGCCGAAACCCCGCCCTCTCGGTCGTCCTGGCAACGCCTCCCCCAACCCGGGGCTCCCACATTTCAGCAGGTGCCGGAGCTGGAGCTCCCACCGCCGCCGCCCGTGCCTCCGGCTGCCGGCGCCCCTGCCTTTGGCTCTTCCTCCCCACTCGCCCGCTCCCCCTGGCGGAGCCGGCGCGCCCGGGGTGCCGCTCCCTGCCTGGCGCGCTCCGCACCTGGAGGTGCCTTGCCCCTCTCCTGCCCACCTCGGAATTTCCCTGTGGCTCCTTTGATCCTTCGAGTCTCCAGCTCCTCTCCCTTCCACCTGTTTCCCCCAAGAAAGGCAGGATCCTGGTCCCTGCTACGTTTCTGGGGCCATGGCTGGTCTGGGCCCCGGCGTAGGCGATTCAGAGGGGGGACCCCGGCCCCTGTTTTGCAGAAAGGGGGCCCTGAGGCAGAAGGTGGTCCACGAAGTCAAGAGCCACAAGTTCACCGCTCGCTTCTTCAAGCAGCCCACCTTCTGCAGCCACTGCACCGACTTCATCTGGTGAGGGAAGGGGGCTGGGGGACTGGGGGACGAGGGGACTAGGGGTGCAGACTCCTATCACGCCGACCCCTGTGGAAGGAAGAAGGAGGGGGCTGTAGTCCCGACTCCCAGGTTCTAGGATGGCCAGGGAACGCTGGGAGCTTCGACTCCTGGGTTTCAGTGAGGAGGAGGCTGGTTCCTGGAGTGCTGGGTCCGAGGGAGGAGGAGGCTGGAGGACAGAGGTCCTGGAGTCTTGGGTCTGAGGGAGGAAGGGCCTGGGGGGCTGGGAGCCTGGATTCCTGGGTCTGAAGGAGGAAGAAACTGGGGGCTGAACTCCAGTCTAAGGGAAGAAGGGCTGGGGGCCAAAATTTCTGGGTTCTAGAAAGAGGAGGTGGCCGGGGCTTGGACACCTGGGCCCTGCGGGAGGAGGGTCAGAGAGCGCAGGCCCCCTGTGGCTCGCAGAGGTTGGGGGTCCAGGTACCCCTTTCTGCACTGACCTAGGATCCCTGACTCTTCCAGGGGTATCGGAAAGCAGGGCCTGCAATGTCAAGGTAAGAGCTGGGGACCGGGGCTCCTGGGACCCTCAGGAGGGTGGAGGCTGGGGCCCCACAGCTGAGGCTGCTTGACACACGTGTTCTCTGGTCCCCAGAGAGGCGCGGGGGAGCCCGGGGCGGGGGGTGTGGCAGAGACACAGCCTGTGGTGGGGAGGGAGCTTTGATGGTGGGGCCACCGCGGAGGTGGTGCTGGGGGCCCCTCCCTCGGCCGGCTCCAGGTGGGGACAGATATTTGGAGAATCTGTTGCCATGGGAACATGGAGATTTGGAAAAGGGGAGCTGAAGGGGGGAAGGGGGAGGGGGCTGGAGATGCAAAGTCAGAGCCCCCCCCCACCCCAGGCTGCCGTCGCCATGACAACACCAGCCGTCCTAGGCAGGGGCAGGCCGGGTGGGGTCACCAATGGGCGAGTGGGGGCCGGGCGGGGCCGGCAGTTCTGGGGGGCGGGAGAGGGGGGCGAGTCCTTGAGCACCAGCTGCTACTGCTGAGAACAGAGTGAGTCAGGGTGGGGGGCGGGCCGGCAGCAGCGCCCCCAGACTCACTTCTGCCCAAGTTGCTGCTTCCTGGGCTGCGTCTGAAGATATTTCGGTTTTCGCTCTTTGAATCTGTCTGCCTCTCTCCTGGCTTTCTGATCTCCGTCCGTGGGCCTGTGTCTGTTTGTCAATGGGATCCTATTTTCTTTCTCTCTTTTTCCATCTCCCTTCCCTGAGCTCTGTGCTCTGTGTCTCTCTGTAAGTCTCTGCGTCTCTGTTTCTGACTCTGAGCCCATCTCTTGGGTTTCTGTCTCCTGCTTCTCTCTCTGGCCTCCGATTTTCTCTCTGTTGGACTCTCTGTGTTGAGATCCCTCTCTTTCTGGTTTTCTCAGTGTCCGAGTTCCGCTCTCTCTTTCCAATTTTCTGTCTGCTGGGGTCTCCCGCTGGACTAATCCATGCCTCCGTCTGTGTCTCTATGATTTTCATCTATAGTCTGCAGCTTTGTGGTTCATCGACGATGCCACGAATTTGTGACCTTCGAGTGTCCAGGCGCTGGGAAGGGCCCCCAGACGGACGTGAGTGCTCGGACACCTGGTTCTCCTCCTCGGGCCGTGCCCCCGCCCTCACCCCCTCGGCGTCCGTCCCAATTTCTCCTGCTATTTTTATGGCTGGGAGGGGAGGGGGGCTGGAGAGATAGGGGGAGCTATCTGGCCCAGATTCCTTGCCCTTGGCCTGGAAAGGGGGAATGCGAGGGGGACTGACAGGCTGGGGACACGGGTGGGGCACAGAGAGGAGGCCGGGGTGAGGAGACTGAAGATGGGTGCTGCCGGGGGTGGGCTGTGATCCAGGGGTGAAGGGATTTAAAAATTGAGAGCTGAGGGGCACACGGAGAAAAATATCAGTGCAGGTGCGGAGATGCCAACATAAGACAGAGGGAATCTCAGGGAGAGGAACAGAGACAGAAGAAGACAGAGACCTAGGAGAGACTGAAGCTGAGGCAGAGAGAGAGAGAGATGGAGCAGAGAAAGAACCAGGGAGAAAGAGAGGAATTTGGAGGCACCAAAAGATGGACAGAGAAACTCCAAGAGACGGAGACACAGACACCTGGAGAAAGAGACTAAAATAGAAAATGGTGGATACAGACAACAGCTTAGGAGATGCTGAGAGGAGACCCAGGGAAGTCCCACAGTACACTTGCACACATGTGCGTGCATGTACAGATGCCCCTGTCATCACAGATGTGCAGCACGCAGAGACACACAGCCTCTCCCCACCCCCTCTCTCTCCATCAGAGGCTCACAAGACCAGTCAACCCTGAGTGCCCATTCCCGTTCCCTTTTCTGCTTTATCTCTGAGCCTCAGTTTCCTCCTCTATAAAATGGGGCTGATGATCTAGCATTGACCAACAGAACTGTTTACAGTGACGGAAGCATTCTGTACATGCACTGTCCAATAGGCAGCCACCAGCTCCATGTAGCCAGTGAGCACTTGAAACAGGGCGACTGTGGCTGAGGATTAGAAATTCCATTTCGTGTCATTTGAATTGGCTTAAATTTTTTTTTTTTATTTTTATTTTTTGAGACGGAGTCGCGCTCTGTTGCCCAAGCTGGAGTGCAGTGGCGCAGTCTCAGCTCAATGCAACTTCCGTTTCCCAGGTTCAAGCAATTCTTCTACCTCAGCCTCCTGAGTAGCTGGGACTACAGGCGCATGCCACCACACCCCGCTAATTTTTTTTGTATTTTTAGTAGAGATGGGGTTTCACCATGTTGGCCAGGCTGGTCTCGAACTCCTGACCTTGTGATCCACCCGCCTCGGCCTCCCAAAGTGTTGGGATTACAGGCGTGAGCCACCGCGCCCGGCAGAACTGACTTAAATTTAAACAGCCACATGTAGTTAGTGGCCACCAAATGGGACAGCACACATCTGGACACTTCCAGGCTTGTTTTGAAGTCAGGTGGGTTCAGAGTTTCGCCCAGGGTTTGACACAAGATCGGAGACAGTTTTATGATGTACAGATGGAGAGAGAGGCAGAGAGAGAGAGATCCACAGAAGTCCATGAGGCGTTTTACCACCCTCTCAGCTGAAAATAACAGAAGTCTACATAGAAGATGTGACTTCATAGAACATATATTGAGCACCACTGTCTACCAGCACGTGTATGTGATTGATGACCCCCCTCGTCCACTCACCTCCGCCACCAACACCAGATAAGTCTGATGCATCCAGTGCTCATTGGGTACACTCATCAAGATTTTTTTTTTTGTTTTTTGCCTGTAATCCCAGCTACTCGGGAGGCTGAGGCAGAATTGCTTGAACCTGAGCGGCAGAGGTTGCAGTGAGCCAAGATCACGCCACTGCACTCCAGCCTGGGTGACAGAGCAAGACTTTGTCTTGGAAAAAAAAAAAAAGATTTTTTTTTGTTTTTGTTGTTTTGTTTGATTTTGGGGTATTTTTTAGATGGAGTTTCACTCTGTCACCCAGGCTGGAGTGCACTGGTGCAATCTTGGTTCACTGCAACCTCTACCTCCCAGGTTCAAGCGATTCTCATGCCTCAGCCTCCCGAGTAGCTGGGACTAGAACAGGCATGAGCCACCATGGCCGGCTAATTTTTATATTTTTAGTAGACAGGGTTTCATCATGCTGGCCAAGCTGGTCTTGCTCCTGACCTCACGTGATCCACCCACCTCGGCCTCCCAAAGTGCTGGGATTACAGGCGTGAGCCACCGCACCCAGCCGATTTTTGGGGTTTTTTGAGACAGGGTCCCACTCTGTCACCTAGACTGGAGTACAGTGATGGGATCATAGCTCACTGCAGCCTTGAATTCTCCAGGCTCAAGTGCTCCTCCTGCCCCAGCTTCTCAAGTAGCTGGGACTATAGGCACAAGCCACAACACCTAGCTAATTAAAAAAAAATGTTTTTGTAGAGATGGAGTCTCACTCACTATATTGCCCAGGCTGGTCTTCAACTCCTGGTCTCACTCGATTCTCCTGCCTCAGCCTCCCAAAATGATGGGATTACAGGCGTGAGCCACTGCACCTGGCCTCAAGTATTTTGTATACAGTATAGGTTGGATCCACACAACAGCTTATTTGGTTATTTTTCCCTGTCTATCTGGTTTGAATCCCAGCTCCACCACTTTTTGGTTCTGTGACATTTCCTGAGTTAATTTACCTCTCTGCACTTGTTGAATTCCTTGTTTGTAAAGTGGAGATGATAATTATGCTCACTATGGATTGTTTTGAAGATTTAGTGAGTCAGACATTTGGGATGGTTTCTGACACATAGCAAGAGCCAAAATATTATTTTTTATTCTTGTTAAAATTATTATTATGACCAATGAGGAAACGAGTGAATAGTGAGAAGGAGATCTTTCCTCTGCATCACTCGGGGGTTTTTTTGTTTTTGTTTTTTTTTGCTGTTGAGACAGGGTCTCACTCTGTTGCCCAGGCTGGAGTGCAATAGTGCTATCACTGCTCACTGCAGTCTTGACCTCCGGGGCTCAAGTGATTCACTGCTGGCAGTTGATCTTCTTAAAAGTAACATGCAGGCCAGGCACAGTGGCTCACGCCTGTAATCCCAACACTTTGGGAGACCGAGGCGGGTGGATCACCTGAGGTTGGGAGTTCGAGACCAGCCTGACCAACATGGAGAAGCCACGTGTCTACTAAGAATACAAAATTAGCTGGGCGTGGTGGCACACGCCTGTAATCCCAGCTACTCAGGAGGCTGAGGCAGGAGAATCACTTGAACCCAGGAGGCGGAGGTTGCAGTGAGCCAAGATTGCGCCATTGCACTCCAGCCTGGGCAGCAAGAACAAAACTCTGTCTCAAAAAAAAAAAAAAAAAAAAAAAAAAAAAAAAAAAAAAGGTAACATGCCTTGACCAGGCATGGTGGCTCATGCCTGTAATCCCAGCTCTTTGGGAGGCTGAGGCAAGCGGATCACGAGGTCAGGAGATCCAAACCATCCTGGCTAACGCGGTGAAACCCCGTCTCTACTAAAAATACAAAAAATTAGCCAGGCACGGTGGCACGCGCCTGTAGTCCCAGCTACTCGGGAGGCTGAGGCAGGAGTATCGCTTGAACCCCGGAGGCAGAGGTTGCAGTGAGCCGAGATCACACCACTGCACTCTAGCCTGGGCGACAGAGTGAGACTCCATCTCAAAAAAAAAAAAAAAAAAAAAGTAACATGGATCAAGATTTGGCAAGAATGATTTCATTTAGTCCCCAGGGAGGGCACATGCCCCCACTTTTCAAGCGGTAAATCTGAGGCTTTGAAAAGGGGCAGGCGTGGTGAGGCCACCTAGCTGGGTAGGGGATAGAGGCAAGATTTGAACTCTGATGTATGTAACCACAGCCTCCGTGCTGTCTCCTTTTTAACAGCGACGTTCACTTTTGAGAATAAGAACAGCAGCCTCTGTCTGTGGATGGTTTGTGTGTCAGGCAGCCTGCTGAGAACCTTCACACACAGCATCTTATTTAGTGCGGCAGGAACCCTTTGAGTTAGGGTCAGCGGAGATATTTAGAAGCCCAGCACATTGAAAAGGATCCTGGAAACTGCCAACACCCTCCTCTACCCAAATATATATTCAAACTAGAAACCCCACTAACATAGATGAAAATCCAAGAATGGCCTAAATGTTCACCCTGTGATAATCCTTTTAATGGATTCTTAGAATCAAGTTATTTAACAAGCAGATATTGTCCCGGGGGTAGTGGGTGGCAGGGGAGAAGGAGAAGCTTCACTGATGACCTGCATTCTTGCTTAATGGACTCTGGAAATTTAGCATTGCTTCAAAATATAGATTATTTATTTCCACTTGACAGAGGAGGATGCTGAGGCTCAAAACTGGGAATGAACTTGCCCCAAATCACACAGCTGAGAAGCGGCCTAGCTCTTACTTACATTCAGGGCTATGTAGGGACTTCAATAAAATCCCTAACAATAACCACAGTAATAGTATTGGGAGCATCTAACGTGGTAGGCACAGCTATGTTTTGTACACCAATTATTTTATTTAGGCCTCCTGGGTTCCTATTATAACTGAGAGGTCATGTTCTCCATTCCACCTGGAGCTCAGAGAAGGCATACCATATGGACACTGACAGAAGCTGCCAGTGAAGGAGCTGGGGTTCAGGGTGGCCCACAAGTCCTCAAATAATAACTTGTGGGAGTTGGGGGGATGGGAACTATGGGAGGTTGGAAGCTCCTGCCTCCTTCATGTTCTGCCCAGATATCATTTGGTCAGCGAGGCCCCCCTGCCACTCCCCCTGCACACAGTTTTGTTGTTGTTGTTGTTGTTTGAGACAGAATCTTGCTCTGTCATCCAGGCTGGAGTGCAGTGGCACAATCTTGGCTCACTGCAACCTCGGCCTCCTGGATTCAAGCAATTCTCATGCCTCAGCCTCCTGAGTAGCTGGGATTACAGGCATGCACCACCATGTCCGGCTAATTTTTGTATTTTTAGTAGAGACAGAGTTTTGCCATGTTGCCTAGCCTGGTCCGGAACTCCTGAGCTCAAGGCAATCCGCCCACCTCGGCCTCCCAAAGTGCTGGGATTACAGGCATGAGCCACCGCACCCAGCCAGGACCACCGTATTTAAAATTTCAATCCCCCAACTTCTGGTGGTCCCCATCCCTGCCTCATTTTTTCTCCAGAGCACCCATTACCAACCATCAAACTATATGTTTTATTTATTTACCATGTTTACATTCTGTATCCCTCCATTAGGAAGTAAACTCCATGTGACAAAGAGGTTTTTTTTTTTCATTTGTTTAATGCTGGGTCCCCACACCAAGAACAGTCCCTGGCACACAGCAGGTGCTCAATGATTATTGGTACATAGAGTGAAAGAGATGGAGCCTCAGGCTGACCTAGAGAGCAAGGCAGGAGGAAAAGATAAAAGGGCCCCTCCCCTGGGGTTTTAGGACCCTCCCAACGCCCCCTAAGCCAGTCTTCTCTGCCCCCAGGACCCCCGGAACAAACACAAGTTCCGCCTGCATAGCTACAGCAGCCCCACCTTCTGCGACCACTGTGGCTCCCTCCTCTACGGGCTTGTGCACCAGGGCATGAAATGCTCCTGTGAGTGACCTGGGCCTTGCCAGGGCCCTTCCAAAGCGCCCGGTCTGGGTTCCGGGAAATGCCCGGGATGGGGTGGGGGGTGGAGTCTTGGCTTGGGGGCGGGGCCTGAGGTGCTACCCGCAGCTTTCCCCTCCAGGCTGCGAGATGAACGTGCACCGGCGCTGTGTGCGTAGCGTGCCCTCCCTGTGCGGTGTGGACCACACCGAGCGCCGCGGGCGCCTGCAGCTGGAGATCCGGGCTCCCACAGCAGATGAGATCCACGTAACTGGTGAGGCCCCGCCCCCTCGCCTGGCCCCGCCCCCTCCCCAAGTGTGAGGCGGGGCTGACCCAAGGCACTTGTGCTGGCCCAGCCCTACCCCAAAGATGGGGCCACGCCTCTTTCTATGGTCACGCCCACACTCCTGACCCCACCCCAAAGGCCGAGCACACCCAGCCATACCCCTTTTGGCTCGAAGCCCCGCCTCCAACCTGGCTTCTTGCAACTTTCTGCACCTGTTAATGACTTTGACTTTCTTTTTTTTTTTGGGACGGAGTTTCGCTCTTGTTGCTCAAGCTGGAGTGCAATGGCGCGATCTCGGCTCACTGCAACTTCCGCCTCCCGGGTTCAAGTGATTCTCCTGCCTCAGCCTCCCGAGTAGCTGGGATTACAGGCGCGTGTCACCAAGCCCGGCTAATTTTTTGTATTTTTAGTACAAACGGGGTTTCACCATGTTAGCCAGGCTGGTCTCGAACTCCTGACCCCAGGTGATCCCCTCGACTCGGCCTCCCAAAGTGCTGGGATTAACAGGCGTGAGCCACCGCGCCTGGCCAATGGCTTTCTTTTTTGTTTTTATTTTATGTTTATTTTTTTGAGATGGAGTCTTGCTCTGTCACCCAGGCTGGAGTGCAGTGGTGCAATCTTGGCTCACTGCAATCTCTGCCTCCGGGGTTCAAGGGATTCTCCTGCCTCAGCCTCCCGAGTAGCTGGAATTACAGGCGCCTGCCACCACATCCGGCTAATTTTTTTTTTTTTTTTTTTTTGAGACAAGATCTCGCTCTGTTGCCCAGGCTGGAGTGCAGTAGCATGATCTCAGCTCACTGCAACCTCCGCCTCTCAGGTTCAAGCGATTCTCCTGCTTCAGCCTCCTGAGTAGCTGGGACTACAGGTGCATGACACTGCACCCAGCTCATTTTTGTATTTTTAGTAGAGACAGGGTTTCACCATGCTAGCCAGGCTGGTCTGGAACTCCTGACCTCAGGTGATCCGCCCGCCTCCGCCTCCCAAAGTGCTGGGATTACAGGGGTGAGGACCGTGCCCGGCAATGGCTTTCTGGGTATAAGGATCTTGAGAAGGGAGAGTACCTGGTTCTGAGGGAGGCTGTGGTTCAGTACTGGTGACATGGCCAGGGTCCAAACTCTGGTTCCTAATGGAGAGAAGGGCTCTGGATCTGATTTCAGGGTCACTGGTTGCGGAAAGGGCTCTATGCCCTGTCTTCTGGGTTCTGGAGAGGTAAGAAGTCATGAGAAACGAGACTGAGAGCTTGGAATTCTTTTTTTTTTTTTTTTGAGACGGAGTCTCGCTGTGACGCCCAGGCTGGAGTGCAGTGGCGTAATCTCGGCTCACTGCAAGCTCCGACTCCTGGGTTCACGTCATTCTCCCGCCTCAGCCTCCTGAGTAGCTGGGACCACAGACACCTGCCACCACGCCCAGCTAATTTTTTTTTTTTTTTGTATTTTTAGTGGAGACGGGGTTTCACCATTCACAGGATGGTCTCGATCTCCTGACCTTGTGATCCGCCCGCCTTGGCCTCCCAAAGTGCTGGGATTACAGGCATGAGCCGCCGTGCCTGGCCAAGCTTGGAACTCTTGATTGCTGACTGGAGGAGGGCTGGGAGCCCCTTCCTGGATCTCTAACCCGTCACACTCTTCCTCACTCCCCGTTTAGTTGGCGAGGCCCGTAACCTAATTCCTATGGACCCCAATGGTCTCTCTGATCCCTATGTGAAACTGAAGCTCATCCCAGACCCTCGGAACCTGACGAAACAGAAGACCCGAACGGTGAAAGCCACGCTAAACCCTGTGTGGAATGAGACCTTTGTGTTGTGAGTCTGGGGTGCAGGGAAGGCAATGACAGCTGACAGAGAATGATCTGAGGGTCCTAGTGGCCCCCAGAGAGCAGCTGATGGGAGGGGTTAGGATAGAGGGAACCCAGAAAAGGGCAGAAGAAGATGGTGGGAAAAGGGAATAGAGTGATTGAGGGAGTGGGATGGAGATACAGAAACGGAGAGACAGCCAGACCACTGTATAATTAGTCTCCATTGAAGCCCCCAACTTTAGAGTTAGACAGAGATGAGAGAGAGAAGAGAGAGTCTCAGAAGAGGCAGAAACCCAAAGAGAGACACAGATGGAGAGGGAGGGGAGAAGATGGGGGATGGCAGGGAGACAGAGATCAGTTGACAGGAAGACAGAGTGATAGAGACCCAGAGAGGAGAGAAGGGTACAGAGACTCAGAGAGAGAGATCTCGAGAGACAAGAGACAGAGATGGGAAGGGGCGGAGAATGCAGGAGGAAGGGAGAGGAAGAGCTCTCTAGGTTTACTTCAGGCCCCAAAGCCCTAGCTGGAGAGAGAGCCCGGCTGGGAAGGTCAGAGGTCGGAGACCGACAAAGCAGGAGAGGAGCCCCAGCTGGCTGGGTTTGCCCCCACCTCCAGCACCAAGGATGGGGAACCGAGGGGAGCCATGAGCTCGGCTCTGCACCCCATCCACCCCACCTTCCTGCAGCAACCTGAAGCCAGGGGATGTGGAGCGCCGGCTCAGCGTGGAGGTGTGGGACTGGGACCGGACCTCCCGCAACGACTTCATGGGGGCCATGTCCTTTGGCGTCTCGGAGCTGCTCAAGGCGCCCGTGGATGGCTGGTGAGGAGCAGGGCTGGGGCCTGGGGATGGAGCGCAATATTACCATCTCCATCTGTGTGTGGTCTCTCTCCTCCAGGCCACTGTCCTTCCCTCTGCCTCCCAGCATGCGCACACACACACACACACACACACACACACGCACACACACGCACACACCCCTCTCTCTCTATTCTTCTCTTCTTCTCCCCTCCCTTTCTCCCTCTCCCTCTCTTTTTATCTCACTCTTTCTCTCTTCCATCTCTGTGTCCGTCTCTCTGTGTCTCTTTCCTCCCTTCCAATGTCTTTGCCTCTCCCATGGGTGCCCCATCCCCGCTGCCCGCCTCTGGTCTCCGTCTGTATGTCAGGTACAAGTTACTGAACCAGGAGGAGGGCGAGTATTACAATGTGCCGGTGGCCGATGCTGACAACTGCAGCCTCCTCCAGAAGTTTGAGGTACCCAGACCCTGGCTTCCTCAAGGGAGCCCAGCCCAGCCTCCCACGGTTCAGAGCTGGCCTTTCCTTCCACCCCTGAGTGCCCGCTGGTCCTGGGACTACAGTTCCCAGAAGACCCTAGGACTCCCTCCTCTGCTCTTCTAGGGGACTCGAGCCCCAGGGTCTGATGGGAATTATAGTTCCTATCTATCGCCATGGCTTGAGGGTACTAGGGGCCACCAGCCCCTGTTCTAGGGCGATCCCCTGCATCTCTTGGGACCCTGACTCTCTCTTTCTTTTCTCCCAGGCTTGTAACTACCCCCTGGAATTGTATGAGGTGAGTAGAACCAGGGCGTTGAATGGAGGCAGTTTTTGCCTACTTCTCTGATTTCTTATTCCTCCTCTGACTTCTGTCTTCAATTCCCCACACATGAGTTGAGCACACATTTGTGCTAGGCCTGTCTTGTGCTTGCTGAATAATCCAGGATCCAGAGATGAATCTGACCCTCAAGCAACTCTCCAAGGTAGGGACACAGTCACAGATACTTAAAATACAGGAAGATGTGCTAAATTAGAGGTAGCCCAGGGCACTGAAGAGGCCTAACGGAGGCACTAATCCAGCCTGGGGGAGGGTGGTCAGGGAGGACTTCCCTGAGGAGGTGACGCCTGAATTGATTCTTGAGGTTTTTTAAAATTTTTTAATTTATTTTTATTTTTATTTTTATTTTTATTTCTGTCGCCCAGGCTGGAGTGCAATGGCACAATCTCGCCTCACTGCAACCTCCAGCTCCCGGGTTCAAGCAATTCTCTTGCCTCAGCCTCCTGAGTAGCTGGGATTACAGGTGACCGCCACCACACCCAGCTAATTTTTTTTTTATTTTTAGTAGAGATGGGATTTCGCCATGTTGGCCAGGCTGATCTCAAACTCCCAAACTCAGGTGATCCGCCTGCCTTGGCCTCCCAAAGTGCTGGGATTACAGGCATGAGCCACTGCGCCCGACCGATTCTTGAGTTTTTTATTTTTTTTTTGAGACGGAGTCTCGCTGTGACGCCCAGGCTGGAGTGCAGTGGTGCGATCTCGGCTCACTGCAAGCTCCGCCTCCTGGGTTCACGCCATTCTCCTGCATCAGCCTCCTGAGTAGCTGGGACTACAGGCGCCCACCACCATGCCCGGCTAATTTTTTGTATTTTTAGTAGAGATGGGGTTTCACCGTGTTAGCCAGGATGGTCTCGATCTCCTGACCTGGTGATCCACCCGCCTCAGCCTCCCAAAGTGCTGGGATTACAGGCGTGAGCCACCACACCCAGCCGATTCTTGAGTTTTAAAAAATCTATCAAGCATGATCATCTTAATCTCTCCATTCATTCATTCACTCACTGAATATCCTTCTTTTTCTTTCTTTCTTTCTTTCTTTTTTTTTTTGAGACAGAATCTCCTTTTGTCACCCAGGTTGGAGTGCAGTGATGCAGTCTCAGCTCACTGCAACCTCTGCCTCCCAGATTCAAGTGATTCTCCTGCCTCAGCCTCCTGAGTAGTTGGGATTACAGGAGCGCACCACCACACCTGGCTAATTTTTGTATTTTTAGTAGAGATGGGGTTTCGACATGTTGGCCAGGCTGGTCTCGAACTCCTGACCTCAAGTGATCCACCCGCCTTGGCCTCCCAAAGCGCTGAGATTAGAGGCGTGAGCGACCACGCCCAGACGAATACCCATTTTCTAGGGTGTCATAAGCCAGGCCCTGTTCTGGGAATAGAATCAGGCCATTCCCTGGTGGAGCTCTTCTTCTAGTGGAGGACAAAGTTACAAACCCAGACATTCACAACGAGGAGCAATGCTGCTGTAATGGAGACAGCCTCAGGCACTGGGGCGTCCCTGGCACAGCCTGAGTCAGAGAAAGCTTCCTAGAGAGGTGAGACCTGGTAGAAGGGCGGGATTTCCCAAAGGAGAGACCAGATTTTCAGGCAGGAGGAAGTAATGCTCTCTCCCTCATTTACCCTTTCAAAAAATACTTTACAGAGCATCTTTGTGTGCCAGGCGTGGCTCTACTCACTGGGGATATAGAGAAAGCAGGGAAAGAACAAACAAACAAACAAAAAAGTTCCTTTCCTTATGGGATTTACACCGGGAGGAAGACATTAAACAAAATATATAAGCATATGATAGACTGGGCACGATGCCTCATGTCTGTGATCCTAGTAAGGCGGGCGGATCACCTGAGGTCAGGAGTTTGAGACCAGCCTGGCCAGCGTGGCAAAACCCCATCTCTACTAAAAAATACAAAAATCAGCTGGGCATGGTGGAGGCGCCTGTAATCCCAGCTACTCGGAAGGCTGAGGCAGGAGAATTGCTGGATTCCGGGAAGTAGAGGCTGCAGTGAGCCCAGATCGCTCCACTGCACTCCAGCCTGGATGACAGAGGGAGACTCTGTCTCAAAAAAAAAAAAAAAAAAAAAGAAGACAAGAATCTTCAAGATTCAACAACAGCAACAACATGTTATAGTCTTTACTGGACTCTTACAGAAACTTTCACCAGAGTTTTTAATGTTGTGTGTGGGGGTTCACCTGCATCAGAATTCCTAGAGTGCTTGCTTTTAAAAGCACATTCCCCAGCCTTTCTGCAGACCTACTCAGTGACGATCTCTCTGATGCCTCAAATGTCTGCCTACTAAATTAATTCCTCAGGTGATCCTTTTGCAAAGTTAAGTTTGAGAATGGGCTCTGCGGCCGGGCGCAGTGGCTCACGCCTGTCATCCCAGCACTTTGGGAGGCCAAGGCGGGTGGATCACGAGGTCAGGAGATCGAGACCATCCTGGCTAACACGGTGAATCCCCGTCTCTACTAAAAATACAAAAAAATTAGCTGGGCGTGGTGGTGGGTGCCTGTAGTCCCAGGTACTCAGGAGGCTGAGGCAGGAGAATGGCATGAACCTGGGAGGTGGAGCTTGCAATGAGCCGAGATCGTGCCACTGCACTACAGCCTGGGTGACAGAGCGAGACTCTATCTCAGAAAAAAAAAAAAAAGAGAGAATGGGCTCTGCAGGAGACAAGGGTACCAGCGGGAGGACATTCTGAGCCAAAGAGGTAGAGTCTTTTGAGATCAGCAGGGATGATCCTCCCGTACAAACCCAAGAAACCCAGCAGGGCAGATGGTGGGCAAAGGCCTAGAGGCAGGGAGTGTAGGGTGGTGTGTGTGCCTGTTGTGGCTCACAGCACTCTCCCACAGTTCAGCAGGCACCACTTAATATTACCAATGAACACCAACTCTGTGCCAAGCCTTGAGCTAGGTACGGGGCTAACAACACAGCAAACAGAAACAGCCCTGATTATTATTATTATTATTATTATTATTATTATTATTATTATTATTATGTATTTATCTATTTGAGACACAGTCTCGCTCTGTCGCCCAGGCTGGAATGCAGTGGAGCGATCTCAGCTCACTGCAACCTCTGCCTCCCGGGTTCAAGCGATTCTCCTGCCTTGGCCTCCCAAGTAGCTGGGACTACAGGCATGTGCCACCATGTCCTACTAATTTTTATATTGCTAGTAGAGATGGGGCTTCGCCATGTTGGCCAGGCTGGTCTTGAACTCCTGACCTCAGGTGATCTGCCCACCTCGGCCTCCCAAAGTGCTGGGATTACAGGCATGAGCCACCGCACCCAGCCCTCAACAAATATTTATGTAGCCTCAATGAGGTAGGCAGTGTTACTGTGTCTTAGCGAACAAAGCAGACCCCTGCCTTAGGGAGCTCACAGGCAGAAAGCAGATAGTCACACAGATAGATGTAAATTACTAAGAATAAAAGTGCCAGGAAGGTGCTGTCCATGGTGACCAAGGGGTGGTAAGAGAGGCATCTGACCCAGTTTAAAAAGTCAGGCGAGGCCTCTATGAAGTGATGCTTGAGTCAAGGTCTAAAGGGTGTTTGGGAGACAACTAGGAGGGAAGGGGAGGGGAGAGCTTTACAGGAAGACCTAACGGCACATCCAGAGGCCCTGAGGTGGGAGGGAGGACAATGAGTGTCAGGCCAGGGTGGCTGGACCATGGAGCCTGGGAGAGAGAAGAACAACCTGCAGTGTCAGTCTCAGCCTGGCTCTGCAAGTCATGTGGAATAAAATCTTAACACAGAGGGAGCAGTTAAAGGGTTTACAAGCATAGGGGAGACATGACCTGGTTTATTTATTTTTAAATTGGCTCCTGTGCCTGCTGAGTAGAGAATGCATTAGAAAGGGCAGCCGTCCATGTAGAGGGACAAGTGTGGAAGCTGTGACAGCAGCTTAGTCTTGGGCCCCCTCCCTGGGGGGCCGAGGCAGGAAAAGGTAGAGAAGGGACCCTAGCTGAAAGCCAGGTGTGCTCCCTGGACTGGCAGCACCCATGTCACCCAGAAGCTTTTTACACATAACGATTCTCAGGTCCCACCCCAGATTTATAGAGTTAGAAAATCTGGCAGTGGGACCCAGCAATCTGTTTTACCAAACCCTCTAGGGAATTCCGGCTTAGAGGCTAAGAGCAACCAGATTCTAGAGCTGGACTGCTTGGGTTTCATTTCTGGCTCTGTCCTTTACCTGCTGTGTGACTTGGGGCAAGTTACTTAACGTCTCTGTGCTAGTCTCCTCTTCTGTAAAATGGAAACGATAGCAGGGTTTTCTGGAAACAGCATATGATAAGCTATCTAAAAAAAAAAAAGAAGAAAAAAAGAGCTAAGTGTTTGTTGAATAATAAATAAACCCTCCAGGCTATGGGGAGTCAGAGAAAATTAAGCCAAGGACAGGGTAGGAGGGTGGCCATTTTCCTCTGTCTAGCGATTCTCATCCTTTCCTTTCTTGGGTGCTGTGTCTCTTGGGAGCATTTCCTTATCGCTGTGTAAGGTCTAACTGCCTCTGGCTCTTTCTTTCTCCTTTCCACAGCGGGTGCGGATGGGCCCCTCTTCCTCTCCCATCCCCTCCCCTTCCCCTAGTCCCACCGACCCCAAGCGCTGCTTCTTCGGGGCGAGTCCAGGACGCCTGCACATCTCCGACTTCAGCTTCCTCATGGTTCTAGGAAAAGGCAGTTTTGGGAAGGTTGGATTCCTGGGGTTCTGGGGGAAAGGGAGGATGTCTGTGGGAAGGTCAGATTTCTGGTTCTTAGGGAGGAAGTGGGGGTGGGAAGAGACTGGGCTCCTGCATCTTCAAATATGGTTAGGTTGGGCCGTTCAGGTTCCTGGAGAGGAGAGGTTTACAGATGTGGACACTCTCCTTGAGGGGACGGGCGGCAAGTCAGGGCTGTCAGTCCCTTAAGAGATGGAGGAAGGGCCTGGGATCCCGTTTCCCTGCGTCCCTTAGGGAGGGGGCAGGTCCTGTACCACTGGGTTCCCAACATGGACTGGCCCTTTTGGAACTGTGCGCATAGGTGATGCTGGCCGAGCGCAGGGGCTCTGATGAGCTCTACGCCATCAAGATCTTGAAAAAGGACGTGATCGTCCAGGACGACGATGTGGACTGCACGCTGGTGGAGAAACGTGTGCTGGCGCTGGGGGGCCGGGGTCCTGGCGGCCGGCCCCACTTCCTCACCCAGCTCCACTCCACCTTCCAGACCCCGGTAAGGATGGAGGGGGCGGAGGCTGTCCTCCGGGCCCTGCCTTATCCAGTTCTGGACATCTGCGTTGGGATTCTGAGTTTAGGGCGAGGCAAGAGAACTTTGTGCTCTCTGAGTGGGCGAGGCCAGGCGGATTGTCTCCTCAGGGGGCGTGGCCGGGGGGGGGTCCTTGGGGGGCGTGGCCAGGCGAAGGGACTCATCGGGGGGCGTGGCCAGGCGGAGGGGCTCAACGGAGGCGAGGCCGGGTGGAGGGGCTCCTCGGGGGCGTGGCCAGGTGGAGGGACTCATCGGGGGCGTGGCCAGGCAGAGGGGCTCTTCGCGGGGCGTGGTCAGGCGGATGAAATCTTTGGGGGGGTGGTTTAGAGGGGCGGGCTTTGTCAGGCGATGGGATCATTAATAGGCGTGGCCAGGCAGATTGGCTCCTTGGGGGCGAGGCCAGGCAGACGAGATTATGAATGAGCGTATCCAGGCAGGTAGATTCTTCGGAGGGCGTGGTCGGGCGGATGAGCTCCTCGGGGGCGTGGCCAGGCGGTGAGTTCCTCGGTGGCATGGCCTGGCCAGGTGAATGGGTCCTGCGGAGGTGTCGTGAAGCGGTTGAGTTCCTTGGGGGCGTGGCCAGGTGGATGGGCTCTTGGGGGGAGTGGCCAGATGCCTGTTTCCCTGGGGAGCTTGGTCTTGAGTGGCTGTAGCCAGTGCTCTGGAATTTTCAGCAAAGGGGCACAGTGGAGGAGGGTGCCTTCCTAGTGGGCCTGCCCAGAATTGGGCTCCGAGTGACGGGGTCATCACTTTTGGATTCTGACTGAAGGACACATCAGAAACAGGACATTATTTCCTTAGGATTGCGACTTAGGGGCAGAGAGTCAGAACCTGCAAGATTTTAAGAGGGCGTGACTTTACTTCCAGGGGCTCCGAATGAGAGTGGCCAGCCACCTGGATTAAAATATATGTATGAGCAACTTTGATTCCTTTTTTTTTTTTTGAGAAGGAGTTAGCTCTTGTCCCCCAGGCTGGAGTGCAATGGCGCGATCTCGGCTCACTGCAACCTCCGCCTCCCGGGTTTAAGCAATTCTCCCGTCTCAGCCTCCTGAGTAGCTGGGATTACAGGCTCCCGCCACCACACTCAGCTGATTTTTGTATTTTTAGTAGAGACCGGGTTTCGCCACGTTGGCCAGGCTGGTCTGGAACTCCTGACCTCAGGTGATCCACCCGCTTCGGCCTCCCAAAGTGCTGGGATTACAGGCGTGAGCCACCACGCCCAGCTGCAACTTTGATTCTTAGTAGGAAGCCAGAATTGCATCTGTGTGTGAGTGGCTGTGGAAAGAGATTTTGGTGTTCCCGGATTTCGAGCGAATGGTGGGCTTCAGTCTTCAATTCTGAGAAGGCGGGGCCAGAACACGTGGTCTGATAGTTGGCGGTGGTCTGGCGGGTGGAGATTCTGAGGTAGCAGGATTAGCACCTTAGGGCCCTCCCAGGGATGTGGCTAGGTGCTCTGAATTTCTGGTTGGGTGCATCTGGAACCTTCCACGTCTGTCCTGAGTGATCAGGAAAGAAATTCTCCTACTCTGGGTAGATGGATCCCGCCTCTAAGCCCATGCACTTCTCCGCAGGACCGCCTGTATTTCGTGATGGAGTACGTCACCGGGGGAGACTTGATGTACCACATTCAACAGCTGGGCAAGTTTAAGGAGCCCCATGCAGCGTGAGTCTCGGCCAACAGAGAATGGTCGGGGTGGTGGAAGGGGGCAGGATCCAGCCACTGACCTTCTGACGTCCCCACCCACCCCGTCCTCCAGGTTCTACGCGGCAGAAATCGCTATCGGCCTCTTCTTCCTTCACAATCAGGGCATCATCTACAGGTGAGCAGCCCCAGGAATTTCCGTGGAGGAAATCACGCCCCTGGAAGGGAAGGGATTTGAATATGTGGCTCTAGACTGCTGAACTCAACACTTCTTGCAATTCCTGCCCCACACCCCTGCATCGTCCAGGGACCTGAAGCTGGACAATGTGATGCTGGATGCTGAGGGACACATCAAGATCACTGACTTTGGCATGTGTAAGGAGAACGTCTTCCCCGGGACGACAACCCGCACCTTCTGCGGGACCCCGGACTACATAGCCCCGGAGGTAACCCCAACCCTGCTGCTCTGGTCACGCTTTGAGATCCCTTAGAGGGTGTAGCTGATGGTCCAGTATTCACCACGGGTGAGGCCTGACCCTCAGACCTTGTCATGAGTTGTGGCCTTCTTACACAGCCAGTCGTTCCTCCAGCCTCCAGCACAGGTGAGCTTGGCACTGAGCCTGCCAGGTGGGCCCAGCTGGGTCTCTAAATAGGTAAGGTGGGCAGCACCTGTGGGTGAATGTTCCAGGAGAGTGGGACCAGCTCGTAGGAATTCCAAGTAGGACCTGACCCTGGATCCTTCTGAGAAGGGGCAGACGATTTCTAGTGTACTCTGAGTGGGTGTGGCCTGTCCCCTGCCAACACTGAACATGTCCGGACTATCTTCTGAATACTTTAAACTGGGCAGGGCTCTCCCTGGAGTATTCAGTTGGATGGAAGCTTATTTCCTGTGTTGTACGTGTTTCTCTGATGTAAGTGTACTGGACTTCTGTGCTGCATTTTTCAAGAGGGCAGGATCAGCTGGGCGCGGTGGCTCACACCTGTAATCCCAGCACTTTGGGAGGCTGAGGCAGGTGGATCACTTGAGGTCAGGAGTTTGAGACCAGCCTGGCCAACATGGTGAAACCTCATCTCTAACAAAATTACACAAATTAGCCGGGCGTGGTGGCATGCGCCTGTAATCCCAGCTATTCGGGAGGCTGAGGCAGGAGAATCGCTTGAACCGGGGAGGCGGAGGTTGCAGTGAGCTGAGATCACACCACTGCACTCCAGCCTGGGTGACAGAGCATAACTTCATAACTTCATCTCAAAAAAAAAAAAAAAAAAAAGCCGGGTGCAGTGGCTCACACCTGTAATTCCAGCACTTGGGAGGCTGAGGCGGGCGGATCACAAGGTCAGGAGTTTGAGACCAGCCTGACTAACATGGTGAAACTCCATCTCTACTAAAAATACAAAAATTAGCCAGGCGTGGTGGCGGGTGCCTGTAGTCCCAGCTACTTGGGAGGCTGAGGCAGGAGAATTACTTGAACCCGGGAGGTGGAGGTTGCAGTGAGCTGAGATCGCGCCACTGCACTCCAGTCTGGGCAACAGAGTGAGACCCTGTCTCAAAAAAAAAAAAAAAAAGAAAAAGAAAAAGGGCAGGGTGAGATCCCTAAGGTTCTGGGAGAGCAGATGCTGTCCTATGAGTATTTTAAGTGGGTGGGGTATTACCCGACTTTGTTAAAGGGGTGGGGCTGATGTTCTGAATGTACGTATAGATGGATAAAGCACATGCCTGTAGTCCCAGCTACTTGGGAGGATGTGCCTGACTCGTGCCCAAATAATCAATGTCAGTGATCACAAAACCTGGCTGGTAATCAGAATCATCTGTAGAAAATTTGAAAACTGAGGCCAGACATGGTGGCTCATGCCTGTAATCCCAGCACTTTGGGAAGCTGAGGCAGGCAGATCACTTGAGGTCAGGAATTCAAGACCAGCCTAGCCAACATGGTGAAACCCCGTCTCTACTAAAAATACAAAAATTAGCTGGACATGGTGATGTGTGCCTGTCAACCCAGCTACTCAGGAGGCTGAGGCAGGAGAATCACTTGAACCCAGGAGGTGGAGGTTGCAGTGAGCCAAGATTGCACCACTGCACTGCATCCTGGGCTACAGAGTGAGACTCCATCTCAAAAAAGAAAAAAGATAAGAAAATTTGAAAACTACACACATATTCCTGACTCTGACACAAATATTCTAGGTGGGTGGAACCAGTGACTTGGCCGTTAGGTAGTCTTTCTATTTGAGGCCAAATGAATGTTTGAAGTAGGTATGCTTTGTTTCCAGAATATTCCAAAAGTTAGATCGCTGGCCAAAATATTCAGAGTGGAGGCTGGGCGTGGTGGCTCACTCCTATAATCCCAGCACTTTGGGAGGCGGAGGCAGGCCAATTGCTTGAGTCCGGGAGTTTGAGACCAGCCTGGGCAACATAGTGAGGACCTATCTTCACTAAAAGTGCAAAAATTAGCCAGGTGTGGTGGTGCACACCTGTAGCCCACCTACTTGGGAGGCTGAGGTAGAAGAATTACCTGAGCCTGGGAAGTTGAGGCTGAGTGAGCCGTGATCACACTACTGTGCTCCAGCCTGGGCAACAGAGTGAGACCCTGTCAAAAAAAAAAAAAAAAAAAAAAAAAACGAAACAAAAAATCACCTGATGAAATAAATATTCAGAGTGGGAAGAGCTTGTGCTGAAAGCACTTAACGTGGGTAGCGCTCCCAGGGGGTGAGGCCAGAGGGGTCCTAGGCTTCCTAAAGAACGCATCATGATTCCCTGCCTTCCACCTCCCCTAGATCATTGCCTACCAGCCCTATGGGAAGTCTGTCGATTGGTGGTCCTTTGGAGTTCTGCTGTATGAGATGTTGGCAGGACAGGTAAGGGAAGGTGGGGAGAAGCTGGCTTGGCTAAAAGAGACAGAGAGGGGCACCTGGATCTCAGGAGGAGCCAGTTAGAAAGGAGCCCAGAAGGTTGTGCTCGAATAGCGCTGTCCATGGTTCTGAAGTGTTGTCTTAATGTAGACCAGGTGTTTTGTTTTGTTTTGTTTTGTTTGTTCTGTTACCATGGATTCTTTCTCCCTAGATGGTAAAGTAGCAGTCTGGTTAAGCCTATGGATCCCTTCTCAGAAGAATGTTTTTCAATGCACAAAATAGAATAATACATACGCAGAAAACCAAGGTTCAAATCCTCACTTTGCCACTTACTGGCTGTGTCAGCTTAGACAATTACATACATTCTAAATCAGCTTGATTGGATTCCTGGACTGCTGAGTGTACTACAACTAAAAAAATTGGTTACCACACTCTTGATCATCTTCTTAGCTGGCTATGGTAGTGGGCACCTATAGTCCCAGCTACTGGGGAGGCTGAGGCAGGAGGGTCACATGAGCCCAAGAACTCAAGGTTACACTGAACTATGAGTATGCCACTGTGTTCCAGCACAGGCGACAGAGCAAGACCCCATCTCAAAAGAACAAACAAACAAAAGAAATCAATCATTTTGAAAGATAGTCACCAAAACTTTTAAAATTTAATTGAATCTAACAACCAACTAAATTCAATGTATACAGTTGTCTAAATATTTAAAATTGGAAAATGGACATATGTGCAATTTCTTATTAATTCATTAAGTAGTAAGTTCTAATGGTAGTAAAGTAAAAAGGAGCTCTAACAGTAATTTTGATGTAGCAATGACTAATAATTTGGAATATCTGCAACTCTCATGTGATGAGAAAATACCTGTGATTACTATTGATAATGAAGCCACAAGCACTGCTGCTGCCTGCATTCATAACTGAAGGGAATGCTAAATTTTAGTTAGAAGTTAAAAAAAAATTTGGCCGGACATGGTGGCTCACGCCTGTAATCCAAGCACTTTGGGAGGCCGAAGTGGGCAGATCACTTGAGGTCAGGAGTTTGAGACCAGCCTGGCCAATATGATGAAACCCCATCTCTAAATCTTTGCCTTGGTATCATTTTTTGTAACCTCAGAAGACTGTGAACTACTCATCCAACCAGGAGAATGCTTTTAGGGTGTTTCCTGCAGTTTTTCCTCTCTTCTATTTAACTGACATGTTGCATAATTAACAGCCTGCTGATTTACATAGCAGATAAAGAGAGGCAGAATAGTACAGAGATGCACAGATCTGAGGCATCCGAGATAGGAAATGAGAGAACCTGAGAAGGAGAGAGATCAAGCTTTGGTGGTTTGGTCTGATCTCTCCTGAGGGTGTGGTCAGGTGTGCATGTGGGGCGTGTGATGGGTCAGGCATGTTCCCGGTGGGGTGAGGAGGGTGTGGAAGGTTTGGGGAAAGGCAGTTGGGCATGTCCCTGACTCTCTATCCCCTCCACTTTGATAGCCTCCCTTCGATGGGGAGGACGAGGAGGAGCTGTTTCAGGCCATCATGGAACAAACTGTCACCTACCCCAAGTCGCTTTCCCGGGAAGCCGTGGCCATCTGCAAGGGGGTGAGAGCCCCCTGACTCCCAGCTTCTCCAGGCTCACAACCACACACCCCATTGCTGTCTCTGTGCCTATTAGAAAAATGCTCCCATTCCTGAAGTCACTTTACTTCCATCTGTTGGAAAAGTTGATATGATGCATAGGTTTTGTTAGAACAATGATTTCCAGCCCTGTTGCCACGAGGCCTGGAGATGGCCTCTGTCTCATCCTTCTCTGTGACTCCCACTCCCCAGCTCCCTGCTTGCAGGAAGTGCTGAAAGTCCAGGGTGTCTGTCTGTCTAGAACTGGGTGGGTCAGGTAAACCCAACTTCTGCAGCTTTTCTTCCTGTGTGAACTTGGGTGAGTCACCAAAACTTTGTGAGCTTAACTCTCTTCAGGGGTTATGGAGTTGACACAGAAGAAAGCACCTGGCCCATAGCAGATTTTCAGCCCATGTCAGCACCTTCTGCGTCTAGCTGCTCTCTCTGCATCTCCCTGACAGTCTCTCTGGTTTCTGTCTCATGCCTCCCCTCCATCTGCATACGATGGGGCTCTCTGTGTTTCTTCCTTTTCTCTGTGTCTCCTTCTGCATCTCTGTCTACACTTTTGGGCCTTTGTCCAACCCCCCTACCCCCCATCTCTGTCCCCTCCTGTGTCCACTCTCATACACACACGCTACATCTCACCCTCCTCTCCTGCTGGCTTTCTGTCCTCCCTTTTCTCTGGGTCTCTGTCCCCATATTTGGTCTTTATTCCTCCCTCTGGGTGTGTGTTTCCTGGGTCTCTATCCTTCTCTCTTTCTGAATCTCTGTCCCCCTGGGTCTCCTCTGTCTCCTCCCTTCTCTGAGTTTCTGCCTTCTTACCTGGGGTCTCTGTACCACCCTCTGAATTTCTATTTCCCCTTTTCTCTGGGTCTGCAACCTCTCTTCCCCCATTCCCTCCCTCTTCCCCTTCATCTCCTCTACCCTTCCCTCCCTCCCCCTACCGACCTCCCTCTGTCCTTCACTCTCCCCTTCCCTCCCTCCCCCTACCCTTCCCTCTCCCCGTCCCTCTCTCCCCTTCCCTCTCTCCCCCTACCCCTTTTCCCTCTCCTCTTCTCCATCTCCCTCATGATTTGTTCTGTTTCTCTGTGTGTCCCTGGGTCTCTGGGTATGAATTTCATCTGCTATCATTTTCATGTATCCTCTCCTTCTTCCTGTCTCTCTCTCTCTCTCTCTCACTCACTCTCACCCTCTGTCTCTCTCTCTCTCTGTCCCTCTTCCTCTCTCTCTCCTCTCTGTCTCTCTCTGTCTCGCTCTCTGTCTGTCTCCCTCCTCCTCCTCCTCCCTCCTCCTCCTCCTCCTCCTCCTCCTCCTCCTCCTCCTCCTCCTTCTTCTTCTTCTTCTTCTTCTTCTTCTTCTTCTTTTCTTCTCTCTCTCTCTCCTTTCTTTTCCCTTCCTCCCTCCATTTGCCTGTTTCCCCTGGCTGTTCTTATCTCTCCGGATCTCATGCCTGTGTCTCTTGGTTCCTCCATCTGCCTGTCTCTGTCCCTCTTTCTCTGGGTCTACCTGTCCGGCACTCTGTCTGTTTGTCTGTCTGTCTCTCTCTGTGTTTCCCACAGTTCCTGACCAAGCACCCAGGGAAGCGCCTGGGCTCAGGGCCTGATGGGGAACCTACCATCCGTGCACATGGCTTTTTCCGCTGGATTGACTGGGAGCGGCTGGAACGATTGGAGATCCCGCCTCCTTTCAGACCCCGCCCGGTCAGTCACCCTCCAGGCAACAAAAACCTGGTCCCTGAAGGGGTGGGGTTCCCCTGGGCCTCAATATACCTGTATGTGGGGGTGGGGTTCCCTCTGCAGAGCCCCCCGCCCCCAACAAAAGGAGGTGCAGACACCATGAAGCATGAATAGAGATTCTGCAGGAGACAGGAGATGAGACTGGGGTACACAGAGGGACACCCGAGGAGCCCTCGGAGCTGCTTAACTTTCCCTCCCCCACGTCTCCCACAGTGTGGCCGCAGCGGCGAGAACTTTGACAAGTTCTTCACGCGGGCGGCGCCAGCGCTGACCCCTCCAGACCGCCTAGTCCTGGCCAGCATCGACCAGGCCGATTTCCAGGGCTTCACCTACGTGAACCCCGACTTCGTGCACCCGGATGCCCGCAGCCCCACCAGCCCAGTGCCTGTGCCCGTCATGTAATCTCACCCGCCGCCACTAGGTGTCCCCAACGTCCCCTCCGCCGTGCCGGCGGCAGCCCCACTTCACCCCCAACTTCACCACCCCCTGTCCCATTCTAGATCCTGCACCCCAGCATTCCAGCTCTGCCCCCGCGGGTTCTAGACGCCCCTCCCAAGCGTTCCTGGCCTTCTGAACTCCATACAGCCTCTACAGCCGTCCCGCGTTCAAGACTTGAGCGGAGCCCGATATTCTCCCTGACCTTAGCGTTCTGGACTCTGCCCCAATCGGGTCCAGAGACCACACCACTAACCATCCCCAACTCCATGGGGTTCGAGACTCCATCTTGGTAGTTCTGTGCCTCCCCCCAGACCCCGCCCCTGGGGAAATAGCCTCACGGGGTTGGCTGTTCCAGACTCAGGTTCCAGAACAGCCCTCGGCCTCCGAGGCTCCCCGCCTCCACTCTAGTTCTAGATGAGTGGGAGGCGTGCCCCCCTCCTCCAGTACGTCCCGCTGCTGTGCTCTGGGGATTTCTGGGATATATGGAGGATTCTTTCCCCAGAGGCTCCCAATCAGCTTTTGTTCTAGACTTCCCCATCCCGAAGCCATCACTTCTCCCCGCAGCCCGCCTGCCGTGCATGGCTCCTGTCTGGCTCGGACCCACCCCAACTCTCCCCAGTGCCTGCCACTCTCTGGGACTCTCCTCCTCCCCTCCTCTTCCCTTAGCCTCTCCCACCCGGCCACAGCTGCTGGAGAATAAATTTGGGATGCTGATGCTGAAGTGTTTGGATATTTTCTTGTAAGCTTGGAGAATGAACGGGGTGTGGAGGCGGGACAGTGACTGTACATAGACACAAACAGAGAAGGAAAGCACGGAGACCCACAAAGTGAGAGGGGAGACACCCACTGCAGGGGAGCAAGCAGAGAAGCGCGCGCAGACAGAGGCAGGAGACCCAGACAGACAGAGACAGGGAGAGAAAATATCACAGAGGGCACCAACGTGGACAGTGCACAGCGAGAGAGGGGCACGGAGATCACTGAGAGTGCCAGGTGGCGACCCCCGCGCAGAGACCCAGCGCGTCCGTGTTCACCAGAGCAGCCACGCAAGCTCACATGCACCCCCAGGCTCAGACACCGGGGAGAAGTCCTTCCCAAGCGGGGAGATCACAGTCTGGCCTCTTCTTGAGAGACCTAGAGACCTGATCAGAGGAAGAGACCCCCACGCCAGAGCAACCAAAAACAGCCAGAACCCGAGAGCCTAGGAATCGGCGACGGAGGCACACGGCAGGCAGACGCGCCTTCTGGGCCTCTTTCCCTTGACCCACTTGAGAGTCTGGGGAGTGCCGGGGACCGTGCAGATGGACTACATTTCCCCGCAGGCCTCGCGGCAGACCCTTCCCCCAAGTGCGGCTCCTTGCCGCCAGGGCTGATGGGAAATGTAGTCTCCGGTCAGGGCCAGACCAGTGGAGCGGTGTGCCTTGTCTGTGTGTTTGGAGGGGACTGAGCCCCAAAGCTTCGCAGTCTTCCTTGCGGACCCGGGCACGTCTTCTTCCCTGCAGTCTCCTGGGTTTCCATGACCCGGTCCGGGTGGATGCTGGGGCTGCCCCTCTCTCCCTCATCACCGCCGCGACACCCCCATCCAGTGCCCGCAGGCCCCAGCCCCCGCTCCGACCCTCGGCGGGCGGCCTGCCCCTTTAAGAGTGGCCCCGCTGACATCACGGCGGGGGGGGGGGGTGGCCCGGCTCCTGGCTCCGCGGCGGCTGCAGGACCCGACTCCGCTCTGCGCCCGCCCGCTGCTGTAGGGACCCCGGCCCGGGACGCCCCCTCCCGCTTCCTGCAGCCGTCCAGACCCCAGGCTCCGCCCCAGGCCTGGCTAGAGCCCCAGTCCTCGTCAGGGGACCCCCAGGATTGTCCCTGCTGTCTCTCCTTCTCAGAGTCTCTCTCTGTCTCTCTCTGTCTCTCTGTCTCTCTCTCTCTGCCTCTGTCTCTGTCTCTTCTCCAAGCTCAAGGTCTCTGGGTCTCAGCATCTCTCAGCCCCAGGCCTCTGGGCGTCCCCCTGTCTCTTTCTGTCTCTTCCTGGTCTCTGACCTCTCCACTTCCCAGGCCTCAGAATCTCTGCGCCTAGGTGGTGAGGGGTGGTCTTAAACTCTGTCTCTCTCCCTCTTTGTCTCTCTCTGTCTCTGTGTCTCCTTCAGTCTCCAGACCTGAGTCCCTGGATTTCTCGGCCTCAAGGTCTCGGCGTGACTTTCTCTCTCTGCCCTGTCTCTCTTTGTGCCTCTGCCCCTCTCGGGCTCTCTGCCTCTGTTTCTATTCTCTCTCCCTCTCTGCCTCCCCCATCCTCAAGGCCCATCTCCCTCCCTCGCTGCATCCTTCCCCCCTTCCCTCCCCGCCCCTCCCCTCCTCCGCAGTAGCCAATGAGCGGCCGCCGGTTCCTGCTCCCGGCTCCGTCCGCCGAGTGAGGCCGCGGCCGCGGGGGGTGGGGGGTGGGAGGCCGGGAGGGGGCCGGGACGCCGGGCTCCGGGGCGGGGGCGGGGGGCGCGGGCACCGGCGACCCCGGTGGCGGCGGCGGCGGCCGGGGGAAGCCTCGGGGCCGGTCATGCGGCTGCGGGGCCCGCGGCCCGGAGCGTCCGCCCAGCCCTGAGCGAGGTGAGCGCTAGCGGAGGGTCCTGGGAGGAAGAAGGGGCGCCCCTCGAGGTGGCTGCGAGCCGGGTTTGGGGCAACAAGGGACCCGAGTGGCTCCAGGGGTGGTGAGATCCTGGCGGTCGGGACGCCCGAATTCGAGCGGCTATGGGGGATGCAGGGACACCTGGGCCTGGCGATCCCGGAGGACGGGGTCCGAGGGTCCCGGAGTGGGAAACTGCACTCCTCGCGTCCGAGTCGCAGCGAGCGTGGGCTGGGGAGGGCAGAGGCCGGGTCCCTGAGGAAGGCGAGGTACGGGGCGAGGGCGGAGGACCCAGGCCCGGCCAGAGCAGGATGTGGGTCTGGAAAGGGGTCCCAGAAAGGGGGAGTTACGGTCTCCCGAGAGATGGAGGAGAGATGGAGTTTGGGCTTAAGACTTGCAGAAGGGGACCCCGGAGATTCAAATGCCTGAATCCGGGAAAGGGTGGGAGAAAGAGGGAGAAGAGGAGGCTTCAGGCCTGGGGGGAGGGTCCCAAAGGAGGAAAGGCTGGAGGAATAAGGAGATCTGGGCGGGCCAGTGAGAGGGAGGAGGAATTGGAGCAAGGTTGGGTTTTAAAACGGGGTGCGAGAATGTGGAGAAGGGACGAGGTCCCAGCTGAGAGTCAGAGGGGCGAAAGGGGGAAGCTGAGATCGGCTACCTGGGATGGAGGCAGCCAGGGTGGCCAGGGTGATGGTGCCCGTTTCCGAGCCCACAGGGCTGCGAGGGGACCAGGCAGCTCGCGGTCAAACCCCTGAGCCGCCAGGCGGGGGATGGGAGGAAAAGCTGGCCAGAGCGTTCCCTGACTCCGGATCTCGGAGGCCTCCAAGAGGTTGGGGGGGAAGGAGGGGGGATCTGGAGGCTGGGAGTGCGGGGTGGAGCGGGGAGGAGTGAGGGTTGTCTCAGACTCCAGAGTCTTTATTCAGGTGGAGCAGAGTTGCAAGGTTAGAAGAATTCTGGTGAAGGAAAGTGGAGTTTTATGTCTTGATTAGTTTGTAGGGGAGAATGTTGAGGGGTCTCAACCTTCATAGTTAAAAAGATCCCGGGTATTCAGGGATGTAGAGGTCTCTGGTTGATAAAGGCTAAGGGTCCCAAGTTGAGACCCCCAAATCACGGGATTGCGTGGCTTGGGGAAAAATCTTGCAGGGGTCGGGGGAGAATCGTGGGTAAGGAATTTCAAGTCCTTGAGATCTGGGTTGAGGAGCTCCCTCGCTGGAATTTCTAGGTTCCTAAGTGGAATTGGGGAGGCCACAGAGATGAACTGGGATCTCCTGTTTGGAGTCTAATGTTATGAAATCGGGACTCCATGCTGGATGTTGAAGAAGATCTGTGATTGGAAGTCCCAGCATGGGAAACCGGGGTCCAGAACCTCTGGTAGGAAGTTTCAGATCGTGTGTTAGGGGAGGGGGTTTTGGGACTCCTGCTTGAGATTTTAGAGTTCAGGGCACTGAATCCTAGTTGGAAGGATGAGAGACCGTTGTTTGACTGGGGTGCTCTGATGAGGATGCTGGATTGGTGGTGGTGGTGGGGTCCAGCTCATTCATGATTTTTTTTTTTGAGATGGAGTCTCACTCTGTCACCCAGGCTGAAGTGCAATGGTGCTATCTCGGCTCACTGCAACCTTGCCTCTCAGGTTCAAGCTATTCTCCTGCCTCAGCCTCCTGAGTATCTGGGATTATAGGTGTGAGCCACCGTGCCCGGCTAATTTTTGTATTTTTAGCAGAGACAAGGTTTCACCATGTTGGCCAGGCTGGTCTCAAACTCCTGACCTCAAGTGATCCACCCACCTCAGCCTCCCAAAGTGCTGGGATTCCAGGTGTGAGCCACCTCACCCAGTCTCAGCTCCTGATTTTGATGTTCTGGAATCTGTAATCGAGATTCTGGTTCTATGTCTCTGGGTTCCAATGTTCTGGGACTCAGCAGACTGTGAAGATGTTCCAGGATTCCAGGTCCAGGAGCCTGCCTAGATCTGGGAGGGTGGAATTAGGGTTCTGGAGCTAGGTTCTGGAGTGAGGAGGAATTGGAGCAAGATTGGGTTTTAAGACGGGGTGCAAGAATGTGGAGAAGGGACGAGGTCCCAGCTGAGAGTCAGAGGGGCGAAAGGGGGAAGCTGAGATCGGCTACCTGGGATGGAGGCAGCCAGGGTGGCCAGGGTGATGGTGCCCGTTTCCGAACCCACAGGGCTGCGAGAGGACCAGGCAGCTCGCGGTCAAACCCCTGAGCCGCCAGGCGGAGGATGGGAGGATGTCATGTGTGATGTCATCTTAAATTGGGGTATCAAATGAGGTCAAGGCACAGGATCAGAGTTAGAAGGTCATGGGTCAAGTTCTTGGTGTTAGAATTGGGTGTTAGGCTCAAGATACAAATCTTGAGTGTAAACTTCAGTGGGGGCCTCTGCTCAAAGTCTTAGATAGGGCTGAGGTCAAGGGTGTGAAGCCCTGGTATGGGGTTAGAGATCCTTGGTTAGTGACCCACTTTGGGAATTTCTGGATGTAGTTCAGAGACAGGGTGCAAGAAAATGTATCAGGGCATCAGATTAGGGCATGGAGTTAAGACTGGGTAGCCTGGGTTAGAGTTTCTGGCCAGCTCAAGTTGTAGAGCATCCAGGGTTCAAGCCCAATGCCCTGTGCTCTGGGATCTAGGTCCTGGCTCAGAGTTGAGGTTATTGATCCTTGTTGGAGTCTGGTGTTCACAACCGGGGGCTTCGATCGTCACACAGAGACAGGGCTGCAGGATGCCAGGTCCTAGAGCTGAAATCATTGATCTGCCTAATAGTTTCTGAGTCACTGATCCACACTCAAGGTTAGGGACTCTGGTGGCATCTGATTTCTAAATTAGGGTCTCAGGTCAGCAGGTGAGGTTAGGTTTTGGCAGGGGGACCTGGTTCTGGGGTTAAGAAGCTCAAATTAGAATTTCTGCTCGGAGTCACAGTATTTGGGACCCAGGTCCAAACACGGTTGGAGCCAAGATTCAATCTCTGGGCCTGGGCTGAAAGTTGTGATTAGAAATCTAATTCTGGGGTTGGGGATCTGGATCTGGAGCTAGACCACAGGCAGCAGGTTTGGGGAGCCCAGCCCTGAGGCTGAGGCTCAACAGTTGGTGTCTCTGGTCAGACTCTAGGGTTGGGGTCATGGGTCAGGCCACGGAGGTCAGATCTGAGATTTCGATTTGGGAGTCAGTGTCTCTGGCTAGGGCCCAGCATCCCGGGTTGCTGCATGGGGTCAAGCACTCTGGTCGGTCCCATGGAGCTCTGCACTGTAGCTTCCCTTCCACAGGCCCCGCAGGGCGCCCCCTGCCTCTGAGGATGAGTCACTGCAGCAGCCGCGCCCTGACCCTGCTGAGCAGCGTGTTTGGTGCGTGTGGCCTGCTCCTGGTAGGCATCGCGGTCAGCACTGACTACTGGCTGTACATGGAAGAAGGCACAGTGCTACCGCAGAACCAGACCACCGAGGTCAAGATGGCCCTGCACGCCGGCCTCTGGCGAGTCTGCTTCTTTGCAGGTACAGCCCTCACCCGTCTTCCACTCAACAGTTTCTGCCTTGCCTGGGGTCTGAGAGTCTTAGCCATAGTCCCATCCCTTGAGTTCCAGAAATCCAGAAACGGATCCTGATTCTCTCCTGGAAGTTCAAATTTCTACGTGGAGCCCCAGTGACTAGCCCTTTATTCCTGGATCTAGGAGCCCCAATGCTCCAGGCCCCTAACCCCTAAGGAATTCTGGAGCCTTCCTTTAAAGTTTGTAGTCTAGGTTTAGAACTTGTCCCCTGCACAATTTCAGTGCTGAATGGGCAAGATTAAAAAAAAAAAAATGCATGGGACGGGCGCGGTGGCTCATGCCTGTAATCCCAGCACTTTGGGAGGCCAAGGCAGGAGTATCCCTTGAGCTCAGGAGTTTGAGACCAGCCTGGCCGACATGGTGAAACCCCGTCTCTACTAAAAATACAAAAATTAGCTGTATGTGGTGGTGCACCCCTGTAATCCCAGCTACTTGGGAGGCTGAGGCAGGAGAATCACTTGAACACGGGAGGTGGAGGTTGCAGTGAGCTGAAATCACACCACTGCCACTGCGCTCCAGCCTAGGAGACAGAGTGAGACTCCATCTCACTCTCCCTAGCTCTGACTGCTGGCATGCACCTGTAGTTCCAGTTATTCAGGAGGCTGAGGTGGGAAGATTGCTTGTGTCCAGGAGTTCGAGGCTGCAGTGAGCTATGACGGTGCTGCTGTACTCCAACCTGGGTGACAGAGCAAAACCCAGTCTCTTAAAAAAAAAAAAAAAAAAAAAAAGAAAATCTATACCTCCCAGGGACCACAAAGACCAATTCATTGTAAGAATCCTGGCTCCCCAGACCTCGTCCTCTTTAGGGACCACAAGTTCTGATCTACAGCCCCTTTGTTGCTTAAGACCTAGAGTTCCAGCCTTGTCCTCCTTCAAGCAGGAGTCTCTAGGGCAGTTAGAAAGAGGAGTTCCAGGCCAGGTGCAATGGCTTATGCCTGTAATCCCAGCACTTTGGGGGGCCAAGGCAGGTGGATCACAAGGTCAGGAGTTTGAGACCAGTCTGGCCAACATGGTGAAACCCCGTCTCTACTAAAAATACAGAAATTAGCCAGGCATAGTGGCGCATGCCTGTAGTCCCAGCTACTCAGGAGGCTGAGGCAGGAGAATCACTTGAACCTGGGAGGTAGAGGTTGTGGTGAGCCGAGATCGTGCCACTGCACTCCAGCCTGGGCAACAGAGTGAGACTCCATCTCAAAAAAAAAAAAAAGAAAAAAAGAAAAAGAAAAGAAAGAGGAATCCCAGACAGACATCCACCCACCCGCTTTCCCAACACCCCTGGAGTAGTACAGCTCGTAACCCTTGGGTTAGGCCTTGCTCCCCCATCCTGGGGTCTCCCCTCTATCTGTCCTGCCCCCACCCCCAGCCTCTCTAGAGCTTAGGAGCCTCTCATCCAGCCCTGTCTGTTTCTCTTCCCCCCAGGTCGGGAGAAAGGTCGCTGTGTGGCCTCAGAATATTTTCTTGAACCGGAGATCAATTTGGTGACGGAAAACACGGAGAATATTCTGAGTGAGGGGATGTGGGGGCACCTAGGCACAAGACAGCAAGATCACAGCCGAGTCGTGGAGTCCTGGGAGGGGGCAGGACTAGGGAAAGGGTGGGGTCCAAGGGAAGGAGGGGAGGCTTGAAAGAAGGCAGAATGGGCCAGGCATGGTGGCTCACACCTGTAATCCCAGCACTTTAGGAGGCTGAGGTGGGTGGATCACCTGAGGTCAGGAGTTCGAAACCAGCCTGGCCAACATGGTGAAACCTTGTCTCTACTAAAAATTCAAAAATTAGCTGGGCGTGGTGGCGCGTGCCTGTAGTCCCAGCTACTCAGGAGGCTGAGGCAGGAGAATCGCTTGAACCTGGGAGGTGGAGCTTGCAGTGAGCCAAGATTTCACCACTGCACTCCAGCCTGGGCAACTCACAGAGTGAGACTCTGTCTCAAAAAAAAAAATAAATAAAAGGAAGGAAGAAAGAAAGAAGGCAAGGCAGAGTGGTGGTTAGGTAAGGAGAAAGAGCAAGGTTGAAGGGGTGAGGTCCGGTTGGTGAGGAGCGGTCAATCAGAAAGGGGGCGGAGTTAAGCCCAAGGAGGTGTGGCCTGTGTGAGGGGGCGTGGCAGGCTTGTGTCTGCCGAGGAAATATCAGGGGAAGGAGAAGAGTCAGTGGGGAAGGGGAGGAGTCAGTAAGGAAAGGGAGGAGCCAAACAAAAACGCAGAGGTGGTGAGAGCAGAGGTCAAGGAATGGGGAAGTGTCCCACTGGAGATTCCCCCCTCACCCCTGTCTCTCCCCATCCCCTCCCCAGAGACAGTGCGCACGGCCACCCCCTTCCCCATGGTCAGCCTCTTCCTCGTGTTCACGGCCTTCGTCATCAGCAACATCGGCCACATCCGCCCGCAGAGGACCATTCTGGCTTTTGTCTCTGGCATCTTCTTCATACTATCGGGTGAGCCTAAGGACTTGGGGGTTGGGGGGGACCATTTCCAGTTCCAGGGACCTGTGGTTCCTTTTCCACTTAGCCACTTCCTTGCTGTGTGGCCTGGGAGGAGGTGCAGACCCTCTCTGAGCCCCACTTTCCTTCTATGTGCAATGGAAATAGCAGTGCCCATTGCAAAGCGTCCTTCAGAGGACCACATTATAGCGAGGGCTTACTGGGTGCTAATTAGGTACCAGGCTCTATTCTCACACTCGCAACAACCTTGTGAGGTAAATCCTATTAATAGCCCATTTTACAGATATGGAAACAGACACTCAGAGGGATGAAGTCATTTGCTTAGGGCCATACAACTAGTGAGAGGTAGAGCTGGGAATGAAACTCACGCAATTCGCCTCCGGAGGCTGTATTTTTAACCACTGCTGATAAACTGCAATTAACAGTTTACAAGGCTGCTTATTTTCTGTGCAATATTTTGTTTTAAATTTTTTCAAATAAATGGAAAAGTCCAAAGAACTGTATAGGGAACACCCATGTAGCCACCACTTAGAGTCAACCATTGACAGGTCACTAGACTTGCATGGTCTTGCGTCTGTCCATCTGTCTATATGTCCAACCATCCATCAATCCACCTTATTGTCTAGATGCATTTCAGAGTAAGTTTCAGGCATCACTACACTTCACCCTACTTACGTCATCGTACACGTGATTAGCTAGAGTTCAATATTTGTTTACAGTTTTTTTTTCCTTCTTTTGAGGCACAAGCCTCTTTTGCATATGTGATCTCACACCCGTCTCCTAACATCGCTACCCAGGAGTTATTATTAGCACTCACTTGATAACATGGGGGTACCAAGGCCCAGAATTGCATAGAGAGTTGCCCATAAGTACCAAGGCCCAGAATTGCATAGAGAGTTGCCCAAGATACTAGTGTAAACTATTTCCAGAGGACTTCAGTGTCCAGAGTTCCAGCAATGCCTTTTTTCTTTCTTTCTTTTTTTTTTTTTTTTTTTTGACTGAGTTTTGCTCTTGTTGCCCAGGCTGGAGTACAATGGCACGATCTCAGCTCACCACAACCTCTGCCTCCCGGGTTCAGACAATTCTCCTGCCTCAGCCTCCCAAGTAGCTGGGATTACAGGCATGTGCCACTACGCCCGGCTAATTTTCTATTTTTTTTTTTTTTTTTAATAGAGACGGGGTTTCTTCATGTTCGTCAGGCTGGTTTCAAACTCCCGACCGCAGGTGATCTGCCCACCTCGGCCTCCCAAAGTGCTGGGATTACAGGTGTGAGCCCCTGCGCCTGGCTTTTTTTTTTTTTTTTTGAGACGGAGTCTCCCTCTGTTGCCCAGGCTGGAGCCCACTGGCGTGATCTCGGCCCATTGCAACCTCTGCCTCCCGGGTTCAAGCGATTCTCCTGTCTCACCTTCCCGAATAGCTGGGATTACAGGTGTGTGCCACCATGCCCAGCTAATTTTTGTATTTTTAGTAGAGATGGGGTTTTGCCATGTTGGCCAGGCTGGTCTTGAACTCCTGGCCTCAAGTGATCCTCCTGCCTTAGCCTCCCGAAGTGCTGGGATTACAGGCATGAGCCACTGTGCCTGGCCTAAAGCTTTTTTCTTGAGTGTTACTCTCCTCCAAATTTCAACTCAGTCCAATCCAATTCAGTCCAATTCAGCTAAAATCAGCCCAAATCAACTCAGCTCGAGTACATTTAACTCCATCCATCCAACCCAGCTAACCCCAATTCATTCTGACTCAATTCTTCAGTTCATTTCAAATGAATTCAACATAATTTAATTAAACTCAAATCAGGTTCTTGTAATTCAGTTGATAGTTTATGAACAAACCCCACTGCATGTCTCAGCTCCATTCTGTCCCCTGGGGCCGGCACTCAGCTCCCTCTTTTCAGTGGCTGTGCAAATCGTTGAAAAGGGATCCTCCAACTAAGCAACTAAGATCCAAAGCACCTGATCCAATATCCTCTCCTCCAGTCTCTGCTCCTCACCCAGGCTCCTCTTGGTGCAACCTCCCCCATGCCTTCAACCTAACCTGAAGAGACCTTTTCCAGGGAAAGCAGGGTGCAACCTCCGTGCAAACTTGAATCACAGCGGGTGGAGCCCAGACACTGAGCTAAAATAAGACACGGAGAATATCACGATCCTAGAGTGTGAGAGCGGAAAGGTCTCATCATTTTTCAAATGGAAAAATAGTAGCCTAGAGACAAAAAGTGGGGCAAGAGTAGATAGCATGGGGATTTTTATTCAACCTGTCAAAATCATGATAAGGAAAGTCCCATTGTTTGCGGTTCACAGGAATGGAAACAGAGGCTCGAAGAGGCGACATAGCTTGTCAATGGCAGAACTGGATTGGAATCTAGGGTATTCTGATTCCTAAATCCATGCTTATACCACCCACTGCACCAGGAACTGACTGCCCAAGGTCATGCTGAGGATCAGTGGTGCAGGCAGGCTGGAAGTCACGTCTCTAGGGTAACAATAGAGTAATTCGGAAGAGATTGAATCCAACTGCCTGAATTCCTTCCTAGCATTCATTTCACAGGCTATGACCTATGCACTCCACCCCAAGGTATCCAGGCATGTGCTGCCAAGCTTGGGGTGTATAGTGGCTGAAGGCCACATGTTGTAAACCTAGGAAGAATTGGGTTCAAATCTTGCCTCTACCACTTACGGTTTGAACCAAAGCCTTCTTTTGTGGAGTTATTGAGGGGACAAATCTTGATCAGTGGTTGGCAAGCTTTTTCTGCTTAGGGCCAGATAGCAAATATTTTAGGCTACGTGAGCCATAGGTTCTCCGATGCAACTATTCAACTCTACTGGGATGCAACTTGGCCACTGTAGTACAAAAGCTGCCAGGTGTAAGCAAATGGGAGTGGCTATGTTCCAGTGACTATTTGTGGACTCTCAAATTTGAGTTCAATGTAATTTTCATGTGCATGAAATATTCTTCTTCTTTTGATTTTTTTTTAAATCAAAAGAAGAATAATAGGTAAAAATCCTGCTTAGCTCACAAACCATACAAAAGCAGGCAATGGGCCAGGTCATCATTTGCCAACCCCTCATTTAGATCATGAATGTAAAGCATCCGACCCACTGCCTGGACTGTAACAGTAAGCACTGAACACTTGTTGTTTTAAGTAAATAAATAAATGTAGTAATGATAGTAGTACTAGCGGTGGTGGTGCTGGTGCTGGTGATAGTAGCAGTAGTAGCAGTACGAGTAGTAACAAACAATTTTTGAATTTTTATTTTACTTTTTTATTTTTTATTTTTTTGAGATGGAGTTTCGCTCTCGTCGCCCAGGCTGGAGTGCAATGGCGCGATCTCGGCTCACTGCAACCTCCGCGTCCCAGGTTCAAGCGATTCTCCTGCCTCAGCCTCCCGAGTAGCTGGGATTACAGGCATGTGCCAGTGCACCCGGCTAATTTTTTGTATTTTTAGTAGAGACGGGGTTTCACTGTGTTAGCCAGGATGGTCTTGAACTCTCGACCTCAGGTGATCCGCCCGCCTCGGCCTCCCGAAGTGCTGGAATTGCAGGCGTGAGCCACCGCACGTTGCCCTTATTTTGATTTTTTAATTTTTCTCCCCTTCTGGCCAAATTTCAAATTTTCCCAACCCAGCCTCCTCACCATGGCATTATGCTGCCCCACCAAGATTAAGATCACAAAAAAGAAGGAGATTTAAAAGGAGAAGTTAAGGACAGAAATAGTACCAATGCCTTGGGACTTGGAATGGAATAGCCTGGGGTGACTGCCTCCTGTTCGCAATGAGGAAACCAGGCCTCAGAGAGAGAAAGACAGGGATTGCCCCAGACCTGGTCATTGGTGGAGTTGCCCAGGTCTGGTCATTGGTGGAGTTGTCCCAGGTCTGGTCATTGGTGGAGTTGTCCCCAGGCCTGGTCATTGGTGGACTTGCCCCAGGCTGGTCATTGGTGGAGTTGCCCCAGGCTGGTCATTGGTGGACTTGCCCCAGGTCTGGTCATTGGTGGAGTTGTCCCCAGGCCTGGTATTGGTGGAGTTGCCTCAGGTCTGGTCATTGGTGGAGTTGCCCCAGGCTGGTCATTGGTGGACTTGCCCCAGGCTGGTCATTGGTGGAGTTGCCCCAGGCTGGTCATTGGTGGACTTGCCCCAGGCTGGTCATTGGTGGAGTTGTCCCCAGGCCTGGTATTGGTGGAGTTGCCCCAGGTCTGGTCATTGGTGGAGTTGCCCCAGGCTGGTCATTGGTGGAGTTGCCCAGGTCTGGTATTGGTGGAGTTGCCCCAGGCTGGTCATTGGTGGACTTGCCCCAGGCCCGGTATTGGTGGAGTTGCCCCAGGTCTGGTCATTGGTGGAGTTGCCCCAGGCTGGTCATTGGTGGACTTGCCCCAGGCTGGTCATTGGTGGACTTGCCCCAGGCTGGTCATTGGTGGAGTTGTCCCCAGGCCTGGTATTGGTGGAGTTGCCCCAGGTCTGGTCATTGGTGGAGTTGTCCCCAGGCCTGGTATTGGTGGAGTTGCCCCAGGTCTGGTCATTGGTGGACTTGCCCCAGGCTGGTCATTGGTGGACTTGCCCCAGGCTGGTCATTGGTGGAGTTGCCCCAGGCTGGTCATTGGTGGAGTTGCCCCAGGCCTGGTCATTGGTGGACTTGCCCCAGGTCTGGTCATTGGTGGAGTTGTCCCCAGGCCTGGTATTGGTGGAGTTGCCCCAGGTCTGGTCATTGGTGGAGTTGCCCCAGGCTGGTCATTGGTGGACTTGCCCCAGGCTGGTCATTGGTGGAGTTGTCCCCAGGCCTGGTATTGGTGGAGTTGCCCCAGGTCTGGTCATTGGTGGAGTTGCCCCAGGTCTGGTCATTGGTGGAGTTTCCCCAGGTCTGGTCATTGGTGGAGTTGCCTCAGGTCTGGTCATTGGTGGACTTGCCCCAGGTCTGGTCATTGGTGGACTTGCCCCAGGCCGGTCATTGGTGGAGTCGTCCCCAGGTCTGGTCATTGGTGGAGTTGCCCCAGGTCTGGTCATTGGTGGAGTTGCCCCAGGCTGGTCATTGGTGGAGTTGCCCCAGGCTGGTCATTGGTGGAGTTGTCCCCAGGCCTGGTCATTGGTGGAGTTGCCCCAGGTCTGGTATTGGTGGAGTTGCCCCAGGTCTGGTCATTGGTGGAGTTGCCCCAGGCTGGTCATTGGTGGAGTTGCCCCAGGTCTGGTCATTGGTGGACTTGCTCCAGGTCTGGTCATTGGTGGAGCTGTCCCAGGCTGGTCATTGGTGGAGTTGCCCCAGGTCTGGTCATTGGTGGAGTTGCCCCAGGCTGGTCATTGGTGGACTTGCCCCAGGCTGGTCATTGGTGGAGTTGTCCCCAGGCCTGGTATTGGTGGAGTTGCCCCAGGTCTGGTCATTGGTGGAGTTGTCCCAGGTCTGGTCATTGGTGGAGTTGTCCCCAGGTCTGGTCATTGGTGGACTTGCCCCAGGCTGGTCATTGGTGGACTTGCCCCAGGCTGGTCATTGGTGGAGTTGCCCCAGGCTGGTCATTGGTGGAGTTGCCCCAGGCTGGTCATTGGTGGAGTTGCCCCAGGCCTGGTCATTGGTGGACTTGCCCCAGGTCTGGTCATTGGTGGAGTTGTCCCCAGGCCTGGTATTGGTGGAGTTGCCCCAGGTCTGGTCATTGGTGGAGTTGCCCCAGGCTGGTCATTGGTGGACTTGCCCCAGGCTGGTCATTGGTGGAGTTGTCCCCAGGCCTGGTATTGGTGGAGTTGCCCCAGGTCTGGTCATTGGTGGAGTTGCCCCAGGTCTGGTCATTGGTGGAGTTGCCTCAGGTCTGGTCATTGGTGGACTTGCCCCAGGTCTGGTCATTGGTGGACTTGCCCCAGGCTGGTCATTGGTGGAGTCGTCCCCAGGTCTGGTCATTGGTGGAGTTGCCCCAGGTCTGGTCATTGGTGGAGTTGCCCCAGGCTGGTCATTGGTGGAGTTGCCCCAGGTCTGGTATTGCTGGAGTTGTCCCCAGGCCTGGTCATTGGTGGAGTTGCCCCAGGTCTGGTATTGGTGGAGTTGCCCCAGGTCTGGTCATTGGTGGAGTTGCCCCAGGCTGGTCATTGGTGGAGTTGCCCCAGGTCTGGTCATTGGTGGAGTCGTCCCCAGGTCTGGTCATTGGTGGAGTCGTCCCCAGGTCTGGTCATTGGTGGACTTGCCCCAGGTCTGGTCATTGGTGGACTTGCCCCAGGTCTGGTCATTGGTGGAGCTGTCCCAGGCTGGTCATTGGTGGAGTTGCCCCAGGTCTGGTATTGGTGGAGTTGTCCCAGGTCTGGTCATTGGTGGAGTTGTCCCCAGGTCTGGTCATTGGTGGAGTTGCCCCAGGTCTGGTCATTGGTGGAGTTGTCCCAGGCTGGTCATTGGTGGAGTTGTCCCAGGCTGGTCATTGGTGGAGTTGTCCCCAGGTCTGGTATTGGTGGAGTTGTCCCCAGGTCTGGTCATTGGTGGAGTTGCCCCAGGCCTGGTCATTGGTGGAGTTGCCCCAGGCCTGGTCATTGGTGGAGTTGTCCCCAGGTCTGGTCATTGGTGGAGTTGTCCCCAGGCCTGGTATTGGTGGAGTTGCCCCAGGTCTGGTATTGGTGGAGTTGTCCCCAGGCCTGGTCATTGGTGGAGTTGCCCCAGGCCTGGTCATTGGTGGAGTTGTCCCCAGGTCTGGTCATTGGTGGAGTTGTCCCAGGCTGGTCATTGGTGGAGTTGCCCCAGGTCTGGTATTGGTGGAGTTGTCCCCAGGTCTGGTCATTGGTGGAGTTGTCCCCAGGTCTGGTCATTGGTGCAGTTGCCCCAGGTCTGGTATTGGTGGAGTTGTCCCCAGGTCTGGTCATTGGTGGAGTTGTCCCCAGGCCTGGTCATTGGTGGAGTTGTCCCCAGGCCTGGTCATTGGTGGAGTTGTCCCCAGGCCTGGTCATTGGTGGAGTTGTCCCAGGTCTGGTCATTGGTGGAGTTGTCCCAGGCTGGTCATTGGTGGAGTTGCCCCAGGTCTGGTCATTGGTGGAGTTGTCCCAGGTCTGGTCATTGGTGGAGTTGTCCCAGGCTGGTCATTGGTGGAGTTGCCCCAGGTCTGGTCATTGGTGGAGTTGTCCCAGGACTGGTCATTGGTGCAGTTGTCCCAGGCCTGGTCATTGGTGCAGTTGTCCCCAGGCCTGGTCATTGGTGCAGTTGTCCCAGGCTGGTCATTGGTGGAGTTGCCCCAGGTCTGGTCATTGGTGGAGTTGCCCCAGGTCTGGTCATTGGTGGAGTTGTCCCAGGTCTGGTCATTGGTGGGGTTGTCCCAGGCTCGTCATTGGTGGAGTTGCCCCAGGTCTGGTCATTGGTGGAGTTGTCCCAGGTCTGGTCATTGGTGCAGTTGCCCCAGGTCTGGTCATTGGTGGAGTTGACTCAGGCTGGTCATTGGTGGAGTTGCCCCAGGCCTGGTCATTGGTGGAGTTGTCCCAGGTCTGGTCATTGGTGGAGTTGCCCCAGGTCTGGTCATTGGTGGAGTTGTCCCAGGACTGGTCATTGGTGCAGTTGCCCCAGGCCTGGTCATTGGTGCAGTTGTCCCAGGCCTGGTCATTGGTGCAGTTGTCCCCAGGCCTGGTCATTGGTGGAGTTGTCCCAGGCTGGTCATTGGTGGAGTTGCCCCAGGTCTGGTCATTGGTGGAGTTGCCCCAGGTCTGGTCATTGGTGGAGTTGTCCCAGGTCTGGTCATTGGTGGGGTTGTCCCAGGCTCGTCATTGGTGGAGTTGCCCCAGGTCTGGTCATTGGTGGAGTTGTCCCAGGTCTGGTCATTGGTGCAGTTGCCCCAGGTCTGGTCATTGGTGGAGTTGACTCAGGCTGGTCATTGGTGGAGTTGCCCCAGGCCTGGTCATTGGTGGAGTTGCCCCAGGTCTGGTCATTGGTGGAGTTGTCCCCAGGTCTGGTATTGGTGGAGTTGTCCCCAGGTCTGGTATTGGTGGAGTTGTCCCCAGGCCTGGTCATTGGTGGAGTTGTCCCAGGTCTGGTCATTGGTGGAGTTGTCCCAGGCTGGTCATTGGTGGAGTTGCCCCAGGTCTGGTCATTGGTGGAGTTGTCCCAGGTCTGGTCATTGGTGGAGTTGTCCCAGGCTGGTCATTGGTGGAGTTGCCCCAGGTCTGGTCATTGGTGGAGTTGTCCCAGGTCTGGTCATTGGTGCAGTTGCCCCAGGTCTGGTCATTGGTGGAGTTGTCCCAGGCCTGGTCATTGGTGGAGTTGTCCCAGGTCTGGTCATTGGTGGAGTTGCCCCAGGTCTGGTCATTGGTGGAGTTGCCCCAGGTCTGGTCATTGGTGCAGTTGCCCCAGGTCTGGTCATTGGTGGAGTTGCCCCAGGTCTGGTCATTGGTGGAGTTGCCCCAGGCCTGGTCATTGGTGGAGTTGCCCCAGGCCTGGTCATTGGTGGAGTTGCCCCAGGTCTGGTCATTGGTGGAGTTGTCCCCAGGTCTGGTATTGGTGGAGTTGTCCCCAGGTCTGGTATTGGTGGAGTTGTCCCCAGGCCTGGTCATTGGTGGAGTTGTCCCCAGGCCTGGTCATTGGTGGAGTTGCCCCAGGCCTGGTCATTGGTGGAGTTGTCCCCAGGTCTGGTCATTGGTGGAGTTGTCCCCAGGTCTGGGTATTGGTGGACTTGCCCCAGGTCTGGTTATTGGTGGACTTGCCCCAGGTCTGGTCATTGGTGGAGTTGGTCCCAGGTCTGGTCATTGGTGGAGTTGTCCCAGGTCTGGTCATTGGTGCAGTTGCCCCAGGTCTGGTCATTGGTGGAGTTGCCCCAGGTCTGGTCATTGGTGGACTTTCCCCAGGTCTGGTCATTGGTGGAGTTGCCCCAGGCCTGGTCATTGGTGGACTTGCCGCAGGTCTGGTCATTGGTGGAGTTGTCCCCAGGTCTGGTCATTGGTGGAGTTGTCCCCAGGCCTGGTCATTGGTGGAGTTGCCCCAGGTCTGGTCATTGGTGGAGTTGTCCCAGGTCTGGTCATTGGTGGAGTTGTCCGAGGTCTGGTATTGGTGGAGTTGTCCCCAGGCCTGGTTATTGGTGGAGTTGCCCCAGGTCTGGTATTGGTGGAGTTGTCCGAGGTCTGGTATTGGTGGAGTTGCCCCAGGCTGGTCATTGGTGGAGTTGCCCAGGCTGGTCATTGGTGGACTTGCCCCAGGCTGGTCATTGGTGGAGTTGTCCGAGGTCTGGTATTGGTGGAGTTGCCCCAGGTCTGGTATTGGTGGAGTTGCCCCAGTTCTGGTATTGGTGGAGTTGCCCCAGGTCTGGTCATTGGTGGACTTGCCTAGGGCTGGTCATTGGTGGACTTGCCTAGTGCTGGTCATTGGTGGACTTGCCCCAGGTCTGGTCATTGGTGGAGTTGCCCCAGGTCTGGTCATTGGTGGACTTGCCCCAGGCTGGTCATTGGTGTACTTGCCCCAGGTCTGGTCATTGGTGGAGTTGCCCCAGGTCTGGTCATTGGTGGAGTTGTCCCAGGCTGGTGATTGGTGGTGTTGTCCGAGGTCTGGTATTGGTGGAGTTGCCCCAGGTCTGGTATTGGTGGACTTGCCTAGGGCTGGTCATTGGTGGACTTGCCCCAGGTCTGGTCATTGGTGGAGTTGCCCCAGGTCTGGTCATTGGTGGACTTGCCTAGGGCTGGTCATTGGTGGACTTGCCTAGGGCTGGTCATTGGTGGACTTGCCCCAGGTCTGGTCATTGGTGAAGTTGCCCCAGGTCTGGTCATTGGTGGACTTGCCCCAGGCTGGTCATTGGCGGACTTGCCCCAGGTCTGGTCATTGGTGGAGTTGCCCCAGGTCTGGTCATTGGTGGAGTTGTCCCAGGTCTGGTCATTGGTGGAGTTGTCCCCAGGCCTGGTCATTGGTGGAGTTGCCCCAGGTCTGGTATTGGTGGAGTTGCCCCAGGTCTGGTATTGGTGGAGTTGCCCCAGGTCTGGTCATTGGTGGAGTTGTCCCAGGCTGGTCATTGGTGGACTTGCCACAGGTATGGCCATTGGTGGAGTTGCCCCAGGCTGGTCATTGGTGGACTTGCCCCAGGCTGGTCATTGGTGGAGTTGTCCCAGGCTGGTCATTGGTGGACTTGCCCCAGGTCTGGTCATTGGTGGACTTGCCCCAGGCTGGTCATTGGGGGAGTTGCCCCAGGTCTGGTATTGGTGGAGTTGGCATTCAATTGTGGAGAAACCAGTGGAAGGGCTCAGGCAGGAGGATTACGGTCACAGCTGCGCATTAAATGTCTCACAGGGACCTCTGCTGGGGATGGACTAGAGGGAAAGAGACTGGAAATGTACAAACTGAGGATGCTTGTGTAGTGGCCCAGGCCGTAGCAGATAAGGTCTGTGCTGGGGCTGGAGATGTGAGGAAAAGGCAATTGGATGGCCATGTGAGAGAGGGATATTGATGGAAGAATCAATAGAATCAGATGACTGACTGGATGTGGTTGGTAGAAGTGGGAGGAAGCTAGACGGGCATTGGTTTTTTTCCAGGTCATAAGAGGCATGTGCATGCCTGTCCCACATTAGCCCCTGATCATTAAACATGATCTGTGGATATGCTTATTCATTCAATCTTCAGATGTCCTGTATACCAGGCCCTGTCCTTGGCACAGAAAACACAATTAAATCTCATGTGTAGCCCATGTGCACTCACTCACAGAACAGCTCCCGACTACCTGTCAGTCAAAGCTTTTCACACTTTTTCTTAAATCCCTTCAATAGATCCCCATTACACTTAGAATACACCCAAATGCCTCAGTCTGTCCTCCAACGTCTTCTATGATTTGGCTACTGCTCAGATCTCTGACCTCATCTCCTCACCCACTAGCACTCTCCGCATTGCTTGTAACTTCAGCCACACTGGCCTCATTCTTCTCCTTGAAAATGCTAATCACAGCCTCACCTCAGGACTTCGTACACTCATTATTCCTCCCTGCTTGGAAGTCCTTTCCCCACCTCCAACTCCACCCGACCCTAATTCTCAGAAGCCTCAAACTTTTTCTCTTCAGAGTTGCTTTCTCTGACAACAGTACCTAGTATTCCCTTACCCTGGCGATACTATCACATGCTTTATTTCATATTTTTTCATAGCATTTATTGCTACTGTTGTGCCATTTGTTTTTTGTCTTCTTGTATCAGAATGTAATCTTCAAAAGGGCTGGGACAGGCCAGGTGCGGTGGCTCATGCCTGTAAGCCCAGCACTTTGAGAGGCCAAGGTGGGTGGATCACTTGAGGTCAGGAGTTCGAGACCAGCCTGGCCAACATGGTGAAACCCTATCTCCACTAAAAATAGAAAAATTGACTGGGCATGGTGGTGGGCCCCTATAGTCCCAGCTACTTGGGAGGCTGAGGCAGGAGAATCACTTGAACCTGGAAGGTGAAGGCTGCACTAAGCCAAGATCATGCCACTGCACTCTAGCTTGGTCGACAGAACAAGACTCTGTCTCAGAAAAAAGAAGAGTGAGGGGGATGCTGAGACCTTTTCTTTCCTTTTTCTTTTTTTCTTTTTTTTTGAGACAGAGTCTTGCTTTGTCACCCAGGCTGGAGTACAGTGGCGTGATCTCCTGCCTTAGCCTCCCATGTAGCTGGGATTACAGGCACCTGCCACCACGCCTGGCTAATTTTTGTATTTTTAGTAGAGACGGGATTCCACCATGTTGGCCAGGCTGGTCTCAAACCCCTGACCTCAAGTGATCCACCCACCTTGGCCTCCCAAAGTTCCGGGATTACAGGCGTGAGCCACTGCGGCGCAGCTGGGCTGAGACCTTTTCAAACATGTTCTTGTTTGTATCTTAGAGCCTAGAGGTGTTGTTTGTATGAAGTGCAAACTGAAATATTTCCAGAATGAGTGAGGGCAGAAGGGATGAGTGACAGTCTTGCATATTCTAAGAAAAGGGAAGATGCATTAACCTGACATAGTAGGGTGCTCTGGAGAGGGTGAGAGAGACCAGGGAGGGCTCCCAGGAAAAGGTGACAGCTAAGTTGATGCCGAAAGGGTCAGGGGGAAATTTTCAAGTCCAGAAAGAAAAGAGCCTGGTTTGGAGATGGGATTCACAGCATGCGATAAGGTCCTAGAAAGGAGCTAGGACAGGCCAGCCATGGTGGCTCACGCCTGTAATCCCAGCACATTGGGAGGCCGAGGCAGGCAGGTCACCTGAGGTTAGGAGTTCGAGACCAGACTAGCCAACATGGTGAAACCCCGTCTCTATTAAAAACACAAAAATTAGCCAGGCCTGGTGGCAGGCGCCTGTAATCCCAGCTACTCAGGAGGCTGAGGCAGGAGAATCGCTTGAACCCGGGAGGCGGAGGTTGCAGTGAGCCGAGATCGCACCATTGCACTCCAGCTTGGGCAACAAGAGCGAAACTCCATCTCAAAAAAAAAAAAAAAGGAAAGAAAAAAAGAAGGCAGCTAAGACAGAGGTCGACGCCAGTGCACCTGTCCATGGTCCTGAAACCCAGTTGCTCTCAAGTCAGGATGGTTCTATTCAGCTTGGAATGTAGGTGACTCTTGCCTACTGTGCTTTAAGAATTACAAAGCAGATGTAGTTGAGGGGGTGGGAGGAGAGTAAGAGAGTTGGATTGCAGAGATAGAAAGGAGGAAGGGAGGGGAGAAAAAGAGAAAGGGAAAATAAGGTTATTTTTGGAGAACCAGGGCTAATGCAAAATGGCCAGAAAGAAAAAGCAACGATAAGAATGACTTACTACAAAGAAAAAAGAAAACAAAATCTCTTCCTCGGTGGAAATATTTCTTTCTTTCTCATCAGACCCTGGTCCTGATTCTGCTTATGGAGATTGGTATTTATTTATTTATTTATTTACTTATTGAGGCAGTGTCTTGCTCTGTTGCCCAGGCTGGAGTGCAATGGTGCAATGTCGGCTCACTGCTACCTTTACCTCTTCGGTTCAAGCAATTCTCATGCCTCAGCCTCCTGAGTAGCTGGGATTACAAACGTGCACCACCATGCCTGGCTAATTTTTTTTTGTATTTTTGTAGAGACGGGGTTTCACCATGTTGGCCAGGCTGGTCTCGAACTCCTGACCTCAAGTGATCTGCCCACCTCAGCCTCCCAAAGTGCTGAGATTACAGGCATGAGCCACCGCACCTGGCAGAATGTTTGTTATTTAGAGCTGTAATGTGAAACTTGGACCTTAAGTCTGGGGTTGGAGTGAACTATGAGGCAGGTGTTGTCAGCAGGAACCAGATCACAGACAGCCTGGAACGACAGGCTGACTTGTTTCTCCTGTGGACAATGAGGAGCCAAGGAAGAGTTCTGAGCCTGGAGGGATAGAGTCTGCTTTGGGTTTCAGAAACGGAGATGAGGATTTTGGAACAATGGTACAAACATACAGAATAAGGCCTGAAGGCCGGGCACGGTAGCTCACGCCTGTAATCCCAGCACTTTGGGAGGCTGAGGTTGGCGGATCACGAAGTCAGGGGTTCGAGACCAGCCTGGCCAACATGGTGAAACCCCATCTCTACTAAAAATACAAAAATTAGCCGGGCATGGTGGCGCACGTCTGTAATCTCAGCTACTCAGGAGGCTGAGGCAGGAGAATCACTTGAACCCGGGAGGCAGAGGTTGCAGTGAGCTGAGATGGCGCCATTACACCACTCCAACCTGGGTGACACAGTGAGACTCCACCTCAAAAAAAAAACAAAAAAAAAAAAAAAAGAGAGAATAAGGCCTGAGCTGGGGCAAGGGACTTGGGGAAGCAAAAAGGGGGTTAGATTTATGAGGAATTCAGGAAGTAAAGCAGACATAATTTGATTGTCCTTCAGTGACCATCCCTGATGGATGAGAGAGAGAGAGGGAGAGAGAGAGAGGAAAAGAGGAGTGAAGCTGATTCCCCTGCATCTGAGTTAGGCACTGCAGTGAATGTGATTTTTGGGCTTCCTTCAATCTTCCTTTGCTATAAACCTGCTCATATTTCAAGACCAATCTCAGGTGCATTTTCACCATGTAATGCTTCATGATCATTCTCTTTATTTTTGTATTTTTTAATTTTTTGAGATGGAGTCTCGCTCTGTCGCCCAGGCTGGAGTGCAGCAGCATAATCTCAGCTCACCGCAACCTCCACCTCCCAGGTTCAAGCGATTCTCCTGTCTCAGCCTCCCGAGTAGCTGGGATTACAGGCGCCCGCCACCATGCCTGGCTAATTTTTGTATTTTTAGTAGACAGAGGGTTTCACCATGTTGGCCAGGCTGGTCTCAAGTGATCTGCCCTCCTTGGCCTCCCAAAGTGCTGGGATTCCAGGCCTGAACCACCACGCCCAGCCTATAATCACTCCCTTACTGCGTCTCAACATTATGGAATACTAGAAGTTGAAAGTGTTATGGAAGTTCAGAGCAAGGGAAAAGTTAATTCTTGGAAGGGATAGAGGAATGGTGGGATTTAGAGTGAATGGGCTTTTCTAGATGTTCCAGCTGCATAGCAAGTATGTTCTTCATCCATTCAAAGAGAATTGACTACTTGATGGAGAATAATAAAAAACAAGGTGGACTTGTTTCTAGCATCATGGAGTTCCTAGCATCTAACTGGGGATGGAGGAGATGTCTAATAAAAAAGTAACAAATAGATAATATAATGTTAGATGGTGCTACATGCTACAAAAAAAAAAAAAAAAAAAGCAGGTTAGGAGGAGAGTGATGGGGAGGGGTTATTATATTATCCCACCCACCTGAATAATCCAAGGTTTTTAAATGTTTTTCTCTCTATCTCTCTATCTTTCCCTCCTACCTCACCATTTTTTTTTTTTTCTTGAGACAGAGTCTCACTCTGTCACCCAGGCTGGAGTGCAATGGTGCCATCTCTGCTCACTGCAACCTCTGCCCCCTGGGTTCAAGCAATTCTTCTGCCTCAGCCTCCCGAATAGCTAGGACTACAGGCGGGCACCACTACGCCAGGCTAATTTTTTTTTAAATTTGAGACGGAGTCTCACTCTTTTGCCCAGGCTGGAGTGCAGTGGCTCAATCTCAACTCATTGCAACCTCCACCTCCCAGGTACACAAGATTCTCCTGCCTCAGCCTCCCGAGTAGCTGGGATTGCAGGTGCCTGCCACCACGCTCTGCTAATTTTTCTGTATTTTTAGTAGAGACGGGGTTTCACTGTGTTAGCCAGGATGGTCTTGAACTCCTGACCTCATGATCTGCCCACCTAGGCCTCCCAAAGTGCTGGGATTACAGGCCTGAGCCACCGCACTGGGCCAATTTTTGTATTTTTAGTAGAGATGGTGTTTCACCATGTTGGCCAGGCTGGTCTTGAACTCCTGACCTCAGGTGATCTGCCCTCAGCCTCCCAAAGTGTTGGGATTATAGGTGTGAGCCACTGTGCCCGGCCCCACCTCACTTTTTAAACACACCACACACAGATTTTTTTTGGCTTTAGCATTTGAAAGTAAATTGCATACATGTTGATAGTTCATCTCTAAAATTAAGTGTTAGTATGCATCCTTTAAGGCTAAGGGTCGGGTGCTGTGGCCTCACTTTGGGAGGCCGAGGTGGGCACATTACTTGAGCTCAGGAGTTCAAAACCAGCCTGGGCAACATGGTAAAATCCCGTCTCTCCAAAAATTACCAAAAGTCAGCCAGGCATGGGGCATGCACCTGCAGTCCCAGCTACTCAGGAGGGTGAGCTGGGAGGATGGCTTGAGCCCAGGAGGCAGAGGTCGCCATAAGCTGAGATCGTGCCACTACACTTCAGCCTGGGCAACAGAGCCAGATCTTGTCTCTAAATAAATAAATAAATAGAAGAATAATACATTCGTCTACGTAACTACAACAACATTATCAGACATGGACGTTTTATAATTCCATAATACAATTTAATACATTTTTAAACTGTCCTGGCTATTTCAAGAATGTCTTTTATAACTCTTTCCCTAGAACCAGGATTCATTCTAGGTCCATGCATGACATTTAGTTAATAAGTCTCTTTTTTGGCTGGGCGCAGTGGCTCATGCCTATAATCCCAGCACTTTGGGAGGCCGAGCTGGGCAGACCATTTGAGGTCAGGTGTTTGAGACCAGCCTGACCAACATGGTGAAACCCCATCTCTATTAAAATACAAAAAAGTTAGCCAGGTGTGGTGGTGCATGCCTGTAGTCCCAGCTACTCAGGAAGCTGAGGCAGGAGAATCGCTTGAACTCAGGAGGTGGAGGTTGCAGTGAGCTGAGATCACACCACTGCATCCAGCCTAGGTGACAGAGTAAGACTCTGTCTAAAAAAAAAAAAAAAAAAAAAAAGAAAGGAAAAAAAGCCTAATTCCACTACTATTTGTTTTTAACAACGCTGACTTTTTTTTTTTTTTTTTTTTGAGATGGAGTCTGGCTCTGTCGCCCAGGTTGGAGTGCAGTGGCACGATCTCGGCTCACTGCAAGCTCCGCCTCCCAGGTTTGCGCCATTTTCCTGCCTCAGCCTCCCGAGTAGCTGGGACTACAGGCGGCCACCACCACGCCCGGCTAATTTTTTCTATTTTTAGTAGAGATGGAGTTTCACCATGTTAGCCAGGATGGTCTCGATCTCCTGACCTCGTGATCCGCCTGCCTCAGCCTTCCAAAGTGCTGGGATTACAGGCGTGAGCCACTGTGCCCGGCCAGCACTGACTTTTTAAATATATCTCATTATTAAAATATAAAAAGAAGCCAAGCACAGTGACTCGAGCCTGTAGTATTAGCTACTCTGGAGGCTGAGGTGGAAGAATCGCTTTGAACCCAGGAGATGGAGGCTGCAGTGAGCTATGATGGTACCACTGCACTCCAGCCTGGGCAACAGAGTAAGGCCCTGTCTAAAAAAAAAAAAAAAAAAAAGAATTAAAAAATAAAATAAAATATAGAAAGAATAGTATAATGAAATTCATGGATCCTGCACTCAGTTTCAACAATTACCAACATATGGCAAATCTGTTTTTAGTCATATTGCCATGTCCTCTTCTGCATTTCACTACATTATTTTAAAGCCAGTCTCAGACATCATTTGATTCACAGATATTTCAGTATATCTCTGAGTTATAAGTAGTCTTTTATTTACTATAACCACAATCCCATGATCAAGCCCAAGCAACTAAGAATAATTACTTAATATTATCTCATATCTAGTTAATGCTCACTCTTCCCCATTGGCCTCATAAATGCCTCTTTCTAGTTCATTTGTTGCAAATCCAGATCCAAGTTCCACATGTACATTGAGTTGATAGATCTCTGAAGCCTCTTTCAACCTAAAACGGTCCCTCTCCTATTTTTTTCTGGCCATTTATTTTTTTGAGAAATTTGCATTTTTGTTATGTGGAATTCCCACATTGCAGTTTTCCAATGGAATCTTCTGTTGTCGTTTAATATGTTCATCTATTTCAGTGTTTTCTTTTCTCTCTCCTTTTTTTTTTTTTTTTTGAGACTGAGTTCCGCTCTTGTCGTCCAGGCACTGCAACCTCCGCCTCCCAGGTTAAAGCGATTCTCTGGCCTCAGCCTCCCGAGTAACTGGGATTACAGGCATCTGCCATCACGCCCGGCTAATTTTGTATTTTAATAGAGATGGGGTTTCGCCATGTTGGCCAGGCTGGTCTCAAACTCCTGACCTCAGGTGATCCGCCCGCATTGGCCTCCCAAAGTGCTGGGATTACAGCACTTTGTGCGTGAGCCACTGAGCCCAGCCTTTTCTTTTTTTGAGACAGAGTCTCACTCTGTCACCCAGGCTGGAGTGCAGTGGTGCAATCTCGGCTCACTGCAACCTCCACCTCCTGGGTTCTGCAACCTCCACCTCCTGGGTTCAAGTGATTCTCCAGCCTCAGCCTCCTGAGTAGCTGGGATTACAGGTGCCCGCCACCACGCCTGGCCAATTTTTTTTTTTTTTTTTTTTTGAGATGGACTCTCGCTCTGTCACCAGGCTGGAGTGCAGTGGTGCGGTCTCGGCTCGCTGCAACCTCTGCCTCCCAGGTTCATGCAATTCTCCTGCCTCAGCCTCCTGAGTAGCTGGGACTATAGGCGCCCAACACCACACCTGGCTAATTTTTGTATTTTTAGTAGAGAGGGGGTTTCACCATGTTTTGGACAGGCTGGTCTCAAACTCCTGACCTCAGGTGATCCACCCGCCTCAGCCTCCCAGAGTGCTGAGATTACAGGTGTGAGCCACCACACTCAGCCTATTCCTGTGTTTTCTTGTAAGCCAAGATCTAAAAGAAGCTTAGATGGATGCAGGTTTGATTTTTTTTTTTTTTTGGCAAGAACACTTTATACATAGGTGGTGCTATTCACATCCTGCTGTGTCTATTACATCAAGAGACACAGATTGTCTGATTGTCTCTCTTTTTGAGATATTAGAGTTGATCACTGGTTTGAGTGTCATTAGCTTGCTCCATGTCATCGTTTTTCTGAAGACTGAGGGACAGGGTATCCTGGTGAATGTCCTGCATCTTGGGTTTATTGTTTAATTTTTATTTATTTATTTATTTATTTTTGATACAGAGTCTCGCTTTGTCACCCAGGCTGGAGTGCAATGGCGCAATCTCAGCTCATTGCAACCTCCATCTCCCGGGTTCAAACAATTCTCGTGCCTCAGCCTCCCAAGTAGCTGGGATTACAGGCCTGCACCACCACGCCCGGCTAATTTTGTATTTTTAGTAGAGACAGGGTTTCTCCATGTTAGTCAGGCTGGTCTCAAACTCCTGACCTCAGGTGATACACCCACCTCAGCCTCCCAAAGTGCTGGGATGACAGGCGTGAGCCACTGCTCCCAGCTGCATCTTGAATTTATTTGTTTCTTCATGGTAACACTTCATTTGTTCCTCTTTCCTTGTATTTTCTGTAACCTGGAAGTTCTGTCTAGACTAGAGGCTTGATAACATTCACGTTAAACATCATTGGCAAGAAAAGTCAGAGGTGCCGCTGCATACTTTGTATCACGTTACTCCAGGGAGCAAATAATGTCAGGTTGTCCCACAGTGAGTGGTACCAGCTTGAACCCTTGGTAAAGATGGTGTCCATCAGAGCTCCCCATGGAAAAGGTAGGTTTTTCTTTTTACAATGAAAAAGCAAGGCCAGGCACAGTGGCTCATGCCTGTAATCCTAGCAGTTTGGGATTCCGAGGCGAGAGGATTGCTTGAGCCTAAGAGTTTGAGACCAGCGTGGTCAACATTGAGACCCTGTCTCTTAAAAAAAAAAAAAAATTAGCCAGGTGTGGTGGCGCATGCCTGTTGTCCCAGCTACTCCAGAGGCTGAGACAGGAGGATCACTTGAGCCCAGGAGTTTGAGGCTGCAGTGAGCCATGATCATGCCATTGCACTCCAGCCCGGGCCATAGAGCGAGACCCCATCTCAATAGATAAATAAGTAAATGAAATACTAGTGTGCAGGTAATACTTTAGCATTTTGAAAAAAAAAAATCTTGGTTTGGGATACTCGTATTTTACATTTTTTATTTTGGAGAAAATTTAAGACTACAGGACGCTTGTAAAAATAATACAATGAACTCTCATATCCTTCACCTAGCCCAGTTTTTCAACATTTTACAACATTTGCCTTTCTGTCTCTCTCTCTCTCCATATATATATATAGATCTATATACACATATATGTATACACATATTACATATACATATATACCTATGTATACACACGTTATATATACATATATACACACAAATATATGCATATGTGTGCACAAAAAATATATATGTACACACATTGGTGCAACCACTTGAATATAAGTTGCAAACACTTCACTAGTTCAGCAAGTATTTCCTAAGAACAAGGGCATTCTTTTACCTAACCACAGTACAATAATCAAATTCAGGAAGTTTAAGGTCTATAAAATACTATAGCTAATATCTAGTCCTACATTTAAATTTCACCAATGTCCCAATACTGTCTTTTTTTTTTTTTTTAATTGAGACAGTCTTGCTTTGTCACCCAGGCTGGAGTGCAGTGGCTCAATCTTGGTTCACTGCAACCTCTGCCTTCTGGGTTACAGGGATTCTTGTGCCTCAGCCTCCCAAATAGCTGGAACTACAGGCTAATGCCACCACGCCTGGCTAATTTTTGTGTTTTTAGTAGAGACAAGGTTTCACCATGTGGGTCAGGCTGGTCTCAAACTCCTAAGCTCAAGTGATCCACTCACCTCAGCCTCCCAAACTACTGGGATTATAGGCGTGAGCCACCGCCCCCACCCTCCAATACTGTCTTTTTTTTTTTTTTTTTTTTTTTGAGTTGGAGTTTTGCTCTTGTACCCAGGCTGGAGTGCAATGGCGCGATCTCGGCTCACTGCAACCTTCTGCCTCCTGGGTTCAAGCGATTCTCCTGCCTCAGCCTCCCAAGTAGCTGGGATTACAGGCACCCACCACCATGCCCAGCTAATTTTTGTATTTTTAGTAGAGACAGGATTTCTCCATGTTGGCCAGGCTGATCTCGAACTCCTGACCTCAAGTGATCCACCTGCCTTGGCCTCCCAAAGTGCTGGGATTATAGGCGTGAACCACCACGCCTGGCCTAATGCTATCTTTTTACTGTTACTTTTTCCTGATTCAGAATCCAATCTAAGATCACGCTTTGCATTTCCCTATTGTGTCTCTTTAGTCTCCTTTCATTTTTTTTTTTTTTTAATACGTGGAGGATGCCATGTGAACCTTTCATTTTTTATGGAGCTCTGCTGCCTTTTTTTTTCTTTTTCAATCTTTCATGTTGACGTTTTTGAAGAGTGCAGCCAGTTGGGCTGTAGAGTGTCCCACTGTCCTCATGAGTGGATTCAGGTTACGCATTCTCAGCAGGAACACGACATAAAGGAGGGAGTGGTTTGCTCAGCTCTCTTCTCTGGAGGCCCGTGGTGTAGGTCTGCCCTGTTGCTGGTGATGTTAACTGCGATCACTTGGTTAAGGCAGTATCTGCCAGGTTCTTTCACCATAAAGGAAGCTTTTTATCTCTGTAATAATTAATAGATCTTCTGTGGGGAGATTCTGTCATCCAGCAATCGAGCATCCCCTCGTGACTCTTGCCTGAATCTAACATTACTACTAGGATTGCAGAATGGTGTTTTCTTCTAACTCTATTATTCCACCTACATGGATAAATTGGTGTGCTACTGAAAAGAACTTTCTCTTTTTTCTTATTTTAAATATGTATCAGTGTGGACTCATGTATTTTATTCTATTTTGTTTTTAATTTAGTTTTTGTTTTTTTGAGACGGAGTCTCACTCTGTCGCCCAGGCTGGATTGCAGTGGTGGGATCTCGGCTCACTGCAACCTCTGCCTCCTGGGTTCAAGCAATTCTTGTGCTTCAGCCTCCCAGGTAGCTGGGATTACAGGCACCCACCACCATGCCTGGCTAATTTTTGTATTTTTAGTAGAGATCAGGTTTCACCATGTTGGCCAGGCTGGTCTCAAACTCCTGACCTTAAGTGATCTGCCCACCTTGGCCTCCCAAAATGCAGAGATTATAGGCATGAGCCACCGTGCCCAGCCTAACTTAATTGAGTTTTTTGAGACAGTCTCCCTCTGTCACCCAGGCGGGAGTGCAGTGGTGCAGTCATAGCTCACTGCAGCCTTGAACTCCTAGGCTCGAGGGATCCTCCCTCCTGAGCCTCCCAAGTAGCTAAGACAACAGGAACTAATTATTTATTTTTAGTAGAGATGGGGTCTCACTATGTTGTCCAGGCTGGTCTTGAGCTGCTGACCTCAAGTGATCTGCCCACCTCGGCCTCCCGAGGTGCGGAGATTCCACTCATGAGCCACGGTGCCCAGCCTCCATTATTTTTCAACGGCAAGTCATGCTGCGATAAATCAGCCTGTGCATGTGTGGTTTCCCATCACGGGAGAGATATCCTCAGGATAAATTCCTGGAAGTGGGATTGCTGGGTTAAAGGACAGATCCGTGTGTGATTTTGTTAGATGCTACTAAATCCCCTTTCACGTGGCGGCACCGTTTTGCATTCCCACCAGCAATGTAGAAGAACGTCCATTCTCTCAGCCTCCCCAAAAGAGTGTGCTGTGAAGCTTTTAAACTTCTGACTACCCGGTTGATGAGAAGTGGTAGCTCATCATATTTTTCATTTGCATTTCTCAAATTTTGAGTGAGGGAAATCTACTTTTTTCAACAGGGAGATCATAAAAGTCTCCTCCCCCCTTCCCTTCCCTCCCCTCCCCTCCCCTCCCCTCCCCTCCTTCTCGGAGTTTTGCTCTTGTTGCCCAGGCTGGAGTGCAGTGGCACGATCTTGACTCATTGCAACCTCTGCTTCCTGGGTTCAAGTAATCCTCCTGCCTCAGCATCCCGAGTAGCTGGGGTTACGAGTGTGTGCCATCGCACCCAGCTAATTTTTGTATTTTTAGTAGAGACGAGGTTTCACCACGGTGGCCAGGCTGGTCTGAAACCCCTGGTCTCAAGTGATCCTTTCACCTGGGCCTCCCAAAGTGCTGGGATTACAGGCTTAAGCCACTGCGCCTGGCCCATAGAAGGTCTTTCTAAAGAGGCAACAAGTGAGGAGAGATCTAAGTGACAGAAATAGACATGGGGAAATCTGGGGGAAGAGCATTCCAGGTAGAAGGAATGGCAAGACCAAAGGCCCTGAGGCAGAAGTGAGCTTGAGGAGTTCAAGGAAGAGCAAGAAAGTTAGGTGTTCTAGGCCGAGTGTGGTGGCTCACGCTTGTAATCCCAGCACTTTGGGAGGCCAAGGTGGAAGAACTGCTTGAGCTCAGGAGTTCGAGACCAGCCTGGGCAACATGGGGAGACCCTGTCTCTACAAAAAAATGCAAAAGTTAGCCCCGCATGGTGGTGCATGCCTGTTGTCCCAGCTACTCATGAGTCTGAGGTGTGAGGATTGCTTGAGCCAGGGAGGTGGAGGCTGCAGTGAGCTATGATTGCACCAATGCACTCCTGCCTGGACAACAGAGCAAGACCCTGTCCCAAAAAGAAAAAAAGTAAAGAAAGTTAGGTGGTCTAAGAAAAAGAAACAAGGAGAAACTGATCAGAGATGGTGTGGGCAGGTACCGGACCATTTATATACTGCAGTCTAAGAGGTCAGCGAAGTTTTCTGTAAAGAGCCAAATAATAAATACCTTCAGCTTTATTGGCCACCCAGTCTCTCTTGTAACTGCTCAGCCTTGTGGTTGTAGCAAAAAACCAGTCACAGGCAATATGTAAACAAATGGGTGTGGCTGTGTTCCACTATCATTTGTAGAAACCAAAATTTAAAATTAATGTACTTTAAAAAGTTGAGATATAAAGCCAGGCACAGTGGCTCACGCCTGTAATCCCAGCACTCTGGGAGATGAGGTGTGCAGATCACTTGAGATCAGGAGTTCGAGACCAGCCTGGGCAACATGGCAAAACCCTGTCTCTGCAAAAAATACAAAAAATTAGCCGGGCGTGGTGGTGTGCACCTGTAGTCCCAGCTACTAGGGAGGCTGAGGTGGGAGGATCACTTGAGCCTGGGAAGTGAAGGCTGCAGTGAGCCATGATTGTCCCAGTGCTCTCCAGCCTGGGTGACAGAGCAAGACCCTGTCTTCAAAACAAAACAAAACAAAACAAAAAAGGCCGGGTGTGGTGGCTCACACCTGTAATCCCAGCACTTTGGGAGGCCAAGGTGGGCAGATCACTTAAGGTCAGGAGTTTGAGACCAGCCTGGTCAACATTGTGAAGCCCTGTCTCTACTAAAAATACAAAAATTAGCCAGGCATGGTGGCGGGTGCCTGTTAATTCCAGCTACGCAGGAGGCTGAGGCAGGAGAATCGCTTGAGTCCAGGAGGCAGAGGTTGCGGTGAGCCGAGATTGCACCACTACACTCCAGCCTAGGTGACAGAGCAAGAATCTGTCTCAAAAAATTCCAAAAAACAAAAAACAAAATTGAGATGTAATTCACATACTATAAATTTCATATAATTCAGTGATGTTTCAGTACATCCACAAGGTTGTGCAACCATCTCCATTAGCTAATTTCACAACATTTTCATTATTCTCAAAAGAAACCTCACACACCTTAGCAGCCAGACACAATTTCCCCCTCCATCCTATTCCCTGGCAACCACTAATCTACTTTCTGTCTCTGTGGATTTGCCTATTCTGGACATTGCATATAAATGGAATCACACAATATGTGATATTTTGCATCTGGCTTCTTTTAGCTTGCTTTCTAGGTTCATCCCTATGGTAGCATGAATCAGTATATCGTTCCCTTTTTTGGCTGAATAGTATTCCTGTATATGGATATACCACATTTTGTTTATCCATTCATCAGCTGATGGGCATTTGGGCTGTTTCCGCTTTTTGGCTATTACGCATAACGCTGTTACAAACATCCGTGTATGCGTTTTTGTATGAACATATGTTTCCACTTCTCTTGGGGACATACCTAGGAGTGGAATTGCTGGGTCATATGATAATTCTATCTTTAACTTTTTGAGGCGCTGCCAAATGAAATTCATATACTTTTTATGTGCCACAAAATACCAGTCTTGTTTTGATTTTTAACATCATTTACTTATGTGAAAGCCATTCTTAGCTGGTGGGCCATACACAATGAGGGGGTGAGCTGGGTTTCGTCCATGGACCATGGTTTGCCGACCACCGGTGTAGACAGTGGAAGGAATTTGGGCTTATTCTGTGTGTGGCACACAGAATGTAGGATTCTAGGGGAAGAGGTTGATAGGGATTAGTTAGATACATTTAAGGCAGGGAACTTTATAGCCTCCTTAAGCCACTCTTGGCATGGTTACTGTTTAGAGGAAATTTCATCTGGAGAAAATGATAATCGCCTCTTAGAAATTCTCAGATTGGACCTCTCCTCTGCACACTGTCCGTATGCTCTATTTCCTCAATTGTAAATGGTGTTAAAAATGTACCTCCTTCAAAGAGGTGTTGTGAAGTTTGAATGAATGTATATATATACACAACACCAAGAACAGTGCCTGGCACAGACCAAGACCTATATAAGTCGTTGCTATTATTATTGCTATTGTTGCAATTATTATCCACACAGCCTCAGCTCAGGCCTCATCCTCTTCGCCCTGGAATATGTCTCCCTCCAGTCTGTTCCCAGCATCAACCAGCCCCCAAAGTTTCTTCTAACACTGGGATCTGGCCCTGTCCTTCCTCTGCTACAAACTTTGTGTAGCTCCCTAGCACCCTTGGCGTCAACACCCAGCTCCTGGGCCCGGCATTCGAGGCTCACCATGGCTATACCTTCCCCTTTCTCTAACCTCATTTCTTGTGGCTACAGCTTATGTTACAGCTACATGGGTGGACCAGCTCTATTTTCCCTCCTTCCGAAACCTTTGCCCATGCTGTGCACTCTGCCAGTGTGCCCTTATTCTTCTCTGGGCCTCATCCTTTAAGGCCGGGCGCGGTGGCTCAAACCTGTAATCTTAGCATTTGGGGAGGCCGAGGTGGGTGGATCACCTGAGGTCAGGAGTTTGAGACCAGCCTGGCCAACATGGTGAAACCCCGTCTCTACTAAAAATATAAAAAAAAAAATTAGTCGGGAGTGGTGGCGGGCGCCTGTAATCCCAGCTACTTGGGAGGCTGAGGCAGGAGAATCGCTTGAACCTGGGAGGTTGAAGGTTGCGGTGAGCCGAGATCGGGCCACTGCACTCCAGCCCAGGCCACAGAGTGAGACTCCATTTCAAAAAAAAAAAAAGAGAGAAAAGAAAAGAAGACTTGAACAAAGAAATCTTTCCTTCATTTCTCTTGCCCCTGCCCCAGGCAGGTTTGGCACTCCTTCCAGAGTCCCACACAGCGTGCTACTTCCTTGTAGCACCTATCACCTTATATGTGACTTAATCAGTGTGTTCCTATTTTCCTTCTCCAATTGTATTGTGAGCTCCTGGATGGCAGATTTAGGGGGATAAAGGGGGAGGTGGTTGTTGATTCATCTCTGGGCTCCCTGCACCCAACCAAGGCCCAGCATACAAGGGGCTTCAGGGAAGTTAGTCCAGGACAGAATGGGGAGGAGGGGAAGGCAGTGAGGTGGGGCTGGGGCTGGGAAAAGGGGCCCACTTCTAATGGACGAGGGCACCCCCTCTGCTCCCCTAGGCCTCTCCTTGGTGGTGGGCTTGGTTCTTTACATCTCCAGCATCAACGACGAGGTCATGAACAGGCCCAGCAGCTCTGAGCAGTATTTTCATTATCGCTACGGGTGGTCTTTTGCCTTCGCCGCTTCCTCCTTCCTACTCAAAGAGGTGACGTCCGTGGGACCTAGACTCTAGAGTTCTGAATGGAGAGAGGTCTTGGGGGCCTGGTTCCTGAGTCCAGGAGGAAGGAGAGGCTGGAGATGCAGACTCTGGCGTCAGAGGGAGGTGGTAGCTGAGGGTCTAACCCCTGGGTCCTGGAGGAAGAGGGGTCTGAGAGCTCCAACTTTTGGGATCCTGGGGGAGGAGGGGTCTGGAGACTGGGACTCCTGGGTCTTGAGGGAGGGGCCAACCTGAGGGCTTGGACTCCTGAGGTCCCGGGGAAAGAGAGGGCTGGAGCCCTGATCCTGGGTCCTGGGATAGGAAGGGGCTTGGGGTGGGGACTCTGAGTCCTGGAGTGAGAGGAGATGAGTCGGGGTCCGGGGATGCGCAGGGGGGCGCCCCTGGGACTCTGACCTTGCCTTGCCGCAGGGGGCCGGCGTGATGTCCGTGTACCTGTTCACCAAGCGCTACGCGGAGGAGGAGATGTACCGTCCACACCCGGCCTTCTACCGCCCGCGTCTCAGCGACTGCTCCGACTACTCGGGCCAGTTCCTGCAGCCCGAGGCGTGGCGCCGCGGCCGGAGCCCCTCCGACATCTCCAGCGACGTGTCCATCCAAATGACGCAGAACTACCCTCCCGCCATCAAGTACCCGGACCACCTGCACATCTCCACCTCGCCCTGCTGAGGCCCGCCCCTCGGAGCTCCCCCTGCCTCCTCCTCCTCCTCGTCTTAGGGGGGTCTCCCTGCAATGCAGCGCCCCCTTCCGTCCTCGGGACTCCTCGCTCCCACCCGGAGGAGGCTGCGCCAGCTTTAGGCCCCGCCCTCCTCCCAATGGCTCCGCCCACAGACTCCCTTATTTCAATGGCCGCGCCCTCTTTTCCCGACCTCTCCTTTTCATTGGTCCCTCTCACTCCCAAATGACTCCTCCCCTTCGTTGGCCCGCCCCTTTCCTCTGGCCCCTCCTCTCCAAGAAAATTAGCTCCTCCCTCGTTCTCCACCTGCTCTGAGCTGGGAGCAGCCAGAGGCGGTGCAAGCGCCCAGCTCCCCAGAGCTCCCCAACCTCGGACCTCACCGCAGGGGCGCTGGGCTGGAGAGCAGGTTCGGGCAGCCGTCGGGAATACCGACCATCCTCTTCTCCCTTCTAACCTGGGCTTCCTTTTTCCCTGCCTAATCTCACCTCCTGACCTGCTGGGTCCTCCGGTGCAGTGGGAGGGCCGGCTTGCTCCACCCGCAGCCCCGGGGTGGCGTAGGGAAGGGGGCTGGAAGCCACGGGTACGGTTAACCTGGCCCTTCCCTCCCCATCTCCCCTACTTCCCTGGAAGGTCCCATTCTTTCTCACCGGCTGGGCTCTTTTCTGCTTCCTGAAGGTTACCTGCCTTTTAGGGGGCTCTTGTCTAAAGGATCTTCTTGCTTTCTCAGCTATCCTTGGCTTCTTTTTCGTCTTCCTCCTCCTTTAACTCTTTCTCTCCTTTCCTCCCTTCACCCGTTCGTCCCAAGCCCTTGGGTGCATCCCGCCCTAGGCGCACACCAGACGGCCAGAATGGGGACCCTAGGGTGGAGGGAATTCCCCCACGCCATCTCCGCACCTGTGCCCGCCTCTCCCCCCTCGAGGCCCCGTCGAGGGAGGGAGGGGCAGTAGCGGGGGTCGACACCCCCCCCAAACCTCTAAGTCTTCCATTTTCTGGCTCTCCTCCTCATTGACGTCCCTCTTCCCCCCTCAGAACCCCAACTCTGGCCTCTTTCAAGGGCCCGTCCGCCCCGTTGGACAGATTTTGGGGGGAGAGGAGGTCACCAGGAACTCGCCCACCCCCCCTTATTAGGGAAAGAGGGGCGAGGTAGCACAGTGCTGTACACGGAACCAGAATGGCCCCCGGGGTGGGGGGAGGGGGGCAGGGGAGGGACGGGGGCTTTTAGTTTGCATCTTAGGTGGGAGGGGGGAGGGGGGACCCGCCGCAGTTAACCTGACTTTACGCAGCGATTTTTAACGAGGCTGGGGGGAGGGGGGCACTGGGGTGGGGACAGGGTGGGGTGGGGGGCCTGGCTCTGTTATTTACCGTGTATCATATGTAAATATCGACAGAAACTTCAATAAACTTTATTTCAAACACGTCTCCGCCTGCCCGGAGGGAAGGGATTGGATAGAGGGGGCTTAGTCTGGGTCTCTGCTTCTAGGGTTGCAGGCCTAAAGTACTGCAGAATGACGTTAGATGGGTCGTTGTTAAATGACTTAATCATCATCATTATCAACGGCAGCGCTTTATACTTCAGTCCGTGTAAAGCATGCAGGACCGTAAATGATACTGGTCAGGATCAATAAACGCTTTCTCCTGGTATTATTATGACCACGTAGAGTACTGTTACTATGACTCGGCTTCCTTCGACATTCATTGCTTCTTTTAACTTTTCCCCCAAGCCTGCACGGTCAATTTATTGGCCTCATTTTGCAGATAGGTCCAGAGAGGTGAAGTGACGTATCCAAGATCACACAGGTGGAAGTTGGCAGAGCCATTTGCTAAAGCCAAGTTTAGGCCTGGTGCGGTGACTCACGCTTGTAATCCCAGCACTTTGGGAGGTCAAGCTGGGGGGATCACTTGAGGTCAGGAGTTCGAGACCAGCCCAGCCAACATGGCGAAACCCTGTCTCTACTAAAAACACAAAAAAATTAGCTGGCCACGGTGGCTCACGCCTGTAATCCCAGCTATTCGGGAGGCTGAAGCAGAGAATCGCTTGAACTTGGGAGGCGGAGGCTGCAGTGAGCCGAGTGCACTGCACGCCAGCCTGGGCGACAGAGTGAGACTCCATCTCAAAATAATAATAAAACCAAGTTTATCTGGTTCTGAAGCTCAGGCTTCCTCCCCCTTGCACTAGGCAGTGGTGGGTTTTCCCAATGCTTGGCTCAGTCCCTCTGTTAAGAAATGACTGCTACCATTTACTGCACACCTACCCTGAGCCAGACGCCTTCCTTCCTTACATGATCTCATTAGACATTCACAGCAACCCTGTATGTAGGAATTATCACCCCATTTTTGCAGGTGAAGGAGGCAGGCTCGGAAAGTGGGTGCCACAATCTGCAGTCTCACCCACTATACTGAGAGACTGAGAACAGCCTAAATGTTTGATAAGCTTATTTTTGCAGCGTATTGTAAAGGAAACACCGTGCCAGATCTTCCCTTCTTTGCCTTGTCTAGATTTGGCCTCTTAAGGATCCATCAGAATAACTTTTGCTGTTACAGTCACAACTGTTAACAACCAAGACACATTTATCAGGTCATCATTAGGGTATCAGACACCGCACTAAGCACTTTTTTAAAAAAAAATAGAGACAGGGTATCCCTGTGTTGCCCAGGTTGGTCTTGAGCTCCTGGGCTCAAGGGATCCTCCTGCCTCGGCCTCCGAAAGTGCTAGAATTACAGGCATGAGCCACCCTACCCAGCCTGCACTAGGCACTTTTGATTTATTAGCTCATTGAATCCTTCCAACCATCCTGTGAATCAGGCATCCCAATTAGCCCCATTTTATAGATGAAGAAACCGAGGCTCAGGGAAGTGAGGCCACCCAGCTGGTAAGATGCGGAGGAGAATTCATGCCCAGCCTGTCTGACCTCAGAGCCCACACTCTTAGCTGCTATAATTTACTACTATGGATTTGGTGCAAACTCATTCTGTGACCTTGAGCAAATCTTTGAATCTCTGGGGCTTCAGTTTCTTTTTCTATAAAAAAATAAAAAAATACCGAGGGCACTGGTTGGTTTAGAAGGATTCCAAATCCCTCTGGAATAGGGAGGTTGGTGGGGGTAAGTTAGCAGGAAAGAGTTCTGAATCAGCAGGACTGGACTCCCGGAGGGAAATATTCTAAGTCATTTTCAATAATTTCACCAATTTCTGGAGGTCATGCTTGAGATTCGGGATGGCAAATCATGTTTCAGCTTCGTTGTCAAAACTAAGTGATTCGTACGGGCTGCTTGGAGCCCGGTGTTAGAAGGATTCTGAACATCTGCTCAGTGGGAAAGAGTGTTGCCATTGATTGGTGCTGTCTGCCGTGCTGCTCAATTGGTGCTGTCTGCCTTGCCTGCAGGATGGGCTGTGGTGACGCAAATGCTAGATACTTGCTAACACTATGGGGAAGTTAACAACCTAAAATCCTAAGGGTTGTGTTCTTTTAAAAAATCAAGCTAGTTCTTTTGTTTATTAAACTTTGAAAATGGAATGTAATCCCACAGTTCGAGATTGGTGAGTTTTTTGATTTGTTTTAAAGAAATGCTGTGAAAAGTTCCACCTTTATTTATCCAAAGTAAGTCAGGATGTCCTAACATTCTGAAATCCTCCTCTTCCTGAGGCATTATTAGTTTTCAATGTATAATTTCAGGAATACTCTATGCATATTCAAGCATATATGCATGTGTTTAAATCCACATACAGATGAGTATGTGGTATACATATTTTTATTTTATACATTTATCATGTAATGCACATAGTTCTGGGCCTTCCAGTTTCAAATGAGAATGCATGGGGCTCATTTAGTATGTTATATAACTCTACTGTTTTCCAAGGCTGCTTAATAACAATTGTTTGCATAAATTAATTGCGTAATTTATTGAGTGCTTACATGCCAGCCACTTTGTGTTTCAGTCCTAAGCCTTTTACATTCTGTAACCTCAGGAGGTTTAGTACTCTTAGTATCATTCTCACTTTATAAATGAGATCCTGAGACACAGAGAGGGTAATTAGCTTTCTCCTGGTCACACAGCTAGTAAGCGGTCAAGCTAAAATTTGAATCCTGGGAGTCTCTTGTGTCGACAATACTTATCCGCTAAGCTGTATACCTTTGTGTGTGTGTGTGTGTATATATACTGCCCTCCTTGGCCTCCCAAAGTGTTGGAATTACAGTTGTGGGCCACCATGCCTGGCCCTCTGTGTATATTGAAGCCACCTGGTTCCATCTATTTATCTCTCTCTCTCTCTCTCTCTATATATATATATATTTTTTTTTTTTTTTTTTTTTTTTGAGATGGAGTCTTGCTCTGTTGTCCAGGCTGGAGTGCAGTGGTGCCATCTTGACTCACTGCAACCTCTGCCTTCTGGGTTCAAGCAATTCTCCTGCCTCAGCCTCCCGAATACCTAGGACTACAGGCACACACCGCCACGCCTGGCTAATTTTTTGTATTTTAGTAGAGGCGGGGTTTCACCGTGTTGCCCAGGCTGGCTGTGAACTCCTGAGCTCAGGCAATCCACCTGCCTCGGCCTCCCAAAGTGCTGGGATTACAGGCGTGAGCTACTGTGCCCGGCTTTTTTTTTTTAAACGAATCTCGCTCTGTTGCCCAGGCTGGAGAGCAGTGGCATGATCTCGGCTCACTGAAACCTCCAAGTCCTGGGTTCAAGCGATTCTCCTGCCTCAGCCCCCAGAGTAGCTGGGATTACAGGTACACGCCACCACTCCCAGCTAATTTTGTATTTTTAGTAGAGACAGGGTTTCGCCATGTTGGCCAGGCTGGTCTCAAACTCCTGACCTCAGGTGATCTGCCCTCCTTGGCCTCCCAATGTGCTGGAATTACAGGTGTGGGCCACCATGCCTGGCCCTCTGTGTATATTGAAGCCACCTGGTTCCATCTGTTTATCAATGACCTATATCTCCCTATTGCCCTTAGAAGTAAATCTAAGCTCCTCACCTATGTCCTTTTGCCAAGAGCACAAGTCTCAACATATGCCGTCCCCACTGCTGCCTCCTGCAGACTGAAGTTGTCTTCCCTACCATTCCCAGCTCCTTGCTGTTCTGAGGGTTTCCTTCCGAGGAATCCCCTTCCATCTCTCAGCCATATGGCAAAACCTCTATCCACTCTTTTTTTCTTTCTGAGACAGGGTCTTGCTCTGTCACCCAGGCTGGAGTGCAGTGGCACAATCTTGGTTCACTGCAGCCTTGACTTCCCAGGCTCAAGCCATCCTCCCACCTCAGCCTCCCCGGTAGCTGAGACCACAGGCAAGCACCACCAGACCTGGCTATTTTTTTTTTTTTTTTTGTATTTTTGGTAGAGAAGGGGTCTCATCATGTTGCCCAGGCTGGTCTCAAACTCCTGAGCTCAAGCAATCCGCTGACCTGAGCCTCCCGAAGTGCTGAGATTGCCGGCATCAGCCACCACACCGGGTTCTGTCCACTCTTGAGATTCAACTTACATGCTCCTTCCACCAGGAAGCCTTCCCTGAGCTCCCAAGCCTGCATCAGGGTCTAGCTAAATGCTTCCACCCTACCCTATACTGCCCCCCTTAGACCACACTGGTTTACAGGACAATACCACATACCAGTGCTTTTCAAAATGTGTCCTGGGGAGCTGGAACATCCCTGAGACTCATTTAGGAAGTCCACAAGGTCAAAGGCATTTTTATCGTAATACTAAGATATTTTCCTTTTTTTCATTCTTATTCTCTCATGAGTGTATAGAGTCTGGAGGCTTCACAGGAAGTAAGAACACGACTGAACACAGAAGCAGATATGAGACTGACTTTCTTCTGTTGAGTCAAACGTTAAATCTATTTTAAAAAATATAAACCAATACCATTATATAATTTTTTAATTTTGGAAACTAGTTATTTTTATTAAAGTAAGTTGCTTATGTAAATATACAATAAGCTGATTATTTTACTTAAATACATATTTTAGATTTTCTTCTCAGTTTGAATTGCAAATATGCAAAATATCGATAGACATAGCACAAATTTGAAAAGCTCTTTGGGGTCCCCTACAATTTTCTTTTTTTTTAATTTTATTTTTAGAGACAAGATCTTGCTCTGTTGCCCAAGCTGAAGTGCAGTGGGGTTATCATAGCTCATTGCAACCTTGAACTCCCAGGTTCAAGCAATCCTCCCATCTCAGCCTCCTGAGTAGCAAATACTACAGGTGAGCACCACCATGCCCAGCTAGTATTTTAATTTTTTTTTGTAAAGATGGAGTCTCAAACTCACGGCCTCAAATGATCCTCTCACCTCGGTCTCCCGAAGTGTTGGGACTACAAGTGTGAGCCACCAGCTCTCTACAGTTAAGTGTACGGAGGGATCCTGCATTCAAAGGTTTCAATGCTAATGCTGTATGTCACAGAGTTAGTAAGATTTACCTAATTCCTCTAATGACTATGTAGTGGTCCATTGCAGAGAGGTAATTTATGTGAACAATAAACTCATTTTAATTACGAATTTATTTATTTATTTATTATTCTTAATTTTTAATTTTTTTCTATTTTAAATTTTTTTCTATTTCTATAATAAATTGATTAATTTATTTGAGACGGAGTTTCACTTTTGTCACCCAGGCTAGAGTGCAATGGCACGATCTCTGCTCACTGCAACCTCCGCCTCCCAGGTTCAAGTGATTCTCTTGTCTCAGCTTCCCAAGTAGCTGGGATTACAGGCATGTGCTACCACGCCCGGCTGATTTTTTGTATTTTTAGTAGAGATGGGGTTTCACCATGTTGGCCAGGCTGGTCTCAAACCCCTGACCTCAGGTGATCTGCCCGCTTTGGCCTCCCAAAGTGCTGGGGTTACAGGAGTGAGGCACCGTGCCTGGCCCTGAAATGTAATACTCAGTCATGATTTAAAAGTTTCAGCATCAGAGAAGGGTATAAAGAAAGTAGCTTTTGGCTGGGCATGGTGACTCACGTCTGTAATCCCAGCACTTTGGGGGGCCAAGGCGGGTGGATCACTTGAGGTAAGGAGTTTGAGACCAGCCTGGCCAACCTAGTGAAATCCCATGACATAGTCTCTACTAAAAATACAAAATTAGCCGGGCGTGGTGGCACATGCCTCTGATCCCAGCTACTTGGGAGGCTGAGGCAGGAGAATTGCTTGAACCCCGGGAGGCAGAGGTTACAGTGAGCCGAGATTCAGCCTCAGCAACAAGAGTGAAACTCCGTCTCAAAAAAAAAAAAAAAAAAAAAAAAAGAAAAAGAAAAAGAGAAGAAAAAAGAAAGTAGCTTTCTCTTCACTCTTCTCAATTCCAGCCTCATTTCCCAGAGAGAGTGACTGTTCCCACTTTCTTCCTTTAGGACAGTGGCTCTCAACTGGAAGTCATGTTGCCCCCAGGTTGCATTTGGCAATGTCCAGAGATATTTTTGTTTTTGCTTTTTTTTGTTTGTTTGTTTTTTGTTTTGAGACGGAATCTTGCTCTGTCGCCCAGGCTGGAGTTCAGTGGCTCAGTCTCGGCTCACTGCAAACTCTGCCTCCCGGGTTCACGCCATTCTCCTGCCTCAGCCTCCCGAGTAGCTGGGACTACAGGCGCCCGCCACCACGCCCGGCTAATTTTTTGTATTTTTAGTAGAGACGGGGTATCACCATGTTATCCAGGATGGTCTCGATCTCCTGACCTCGTGATCCGCCTGCCTCGGCCTCCCAGAGTGCTGGGATTACAAGCGTGAGCCACCGCGCCCGGCTGTCCAGAGATATTTTTGGATGTCACAACTCAGGGCTGGGGGGAGTGAGGTGCTACGGGAACCTAGCAAGTTCTGGAATAGACCCTGAAATGTGCAGGAAGGCCACCCATGGCAAAGAATCATCTGGTCTCCGATGTGACTGGTGCGACAGTGATTGAGAAAGCCTGTGCCAGACTTTTATCTAGAAATCAATAAATAGAAATATCTTTATGAAGATATTTCTTTTGCGGCTGGGCGCAGTGGCTTACGCCTGTAATCCCAGCACTTTGGGAGGCCAAATCAGGTGGATCATGAGGTCAGGAGTTCGAGAACAGCCTGACCAACATGGTGAAACCCTGTCTCTACTAAAAATACAAAAAAAATTAGCTGGGGGTGGTGGCGGGCACCTGTAACCCCAGCTACTCGGGAGGCTGTGGCAGAAGAATCATTTGAACCCGGGAGGCGGAGGTTGCAGTGAGCCAAGATCACGCCATTGCACTCCAGCCTGGGCAACAGGGCAAGACTCCGTCTAAAAAAAAAAAAAAAAAAAAAAAATATATATATATATATATATATATATATATATATATATATATATATATATTTCTTTTTTTCTTTTTTACCTTTATTTTTATGGACACAAATGAGTTTTTCCTAAATTGATTCATAAGCTGTGATTCTTTTTTTAATTTTTATTTTGAGACAGGGTCTTTCTCTGTCGCTTGGGCTGGATGGAGTGCAGTGGCATGACCTTGGCTCACTGCAGCCTCAACCTCCTGAGCTCAAGGCATCCTCCCACCTCAGCTTCCTGAGGAGCTAGGACTACACTCCTGGTTCATTTTTTAAGAATTATTTTTTGGCCTGGCATGGTGGCTCATCCCTGTAATCCTAGCACTTTGGGAGGCCAAGGCGGGTGGATCACCTGAGGTCAGGAGTTCAAGACCAGCCTGGCCAACATGGTGAAACCCCCATCTCTACTAAAAATACAAAAAATTAGCCGGATGTGGTGGCGGACGCCTGTAATCCCAGCTACTCAGGAAACTGAGGCAGGAGATTCACTTGAACCTGGGAGGTGGAGGTTGCAGTGAGCCAAGATCGCGCTACTGTACTCCAGCCTGGGCAATAAAAGCAAAACTCCATCTCAAAAAAATATATATATTTTTTGTAGAGTCGGGGGCCTCCCTATGTTGCCCAGGCTGGGCTCAAGCAATCCTCCCGCCTCAGCTTCCCGAAGTGCTGGGATTACAGGCATGAGCCACGGCGCTCTGCCAGCTGTGATAATCTGCAGGAGATTAGGGACCTCTTGGAGAGTCAGATAAAAGCTACGGACCCCCAGGAAAAAAATACTTATACTCACAATATTCTGTACATAATATCAGGGGCTTCAGTGACATCCCATTAGCTCTGGCAGAATGCCTTGGATGTGTGATTTCGAATCACAGTCTCAACAAGAGAGAGATCACTAACGGTATCCCTCTTCCCCTTCTACAGATGAGAGAATGAGAGAAGGAAGCTGCAGTGAGAATCAAGCTTTGGATCCGGGTTCCTTGGGGAGGCAAAGAAGAGCCGGAGTTGGAACTCCAGCCACCTGGCTCCCCAGCGTTGGAATATTTCCACTTCACCCTGAATGAGGACGTTTAAGAAACGCTGATCGACGCTTCCTGGTACAGCAGGAAGACATGCCACCACCACCCTGTTCCTCTTGAGGAAACACAAAGGCCCCAGCTGTTGTTGATGAGAAACACTCGCGCACCTGGGAAAAACCACACACTCAGGATGTGAGGCAGGGAGAAGGGTTGGATAGGGACAAGAGGTTGGAACTGGCTGCGTAGAGGGTGGAGACCCTAGAATATGTATCCACTCATTCCCTGACTCATTCATTTTCTCATTCATTCGTTCATTCATTCATTCATTTGTTCATCATCCCTGGACCCGAGGGCTCCTGTCCATCAGGGCTGAGCTGGGATCTAGGGGACACGGAAGTAAATCAGACCCGTGCCTGTCCTTGAACAGCTCCGGCACCAGTGCGGAGAAGACCGACCCACATGTCAATCACAATATAGCCTTGCTGTGGCTTTAAGGAGCCAGTGCAGGCCTGGTGGGAGCACTGATGTAGACCCTGATGGAGGCTTGGGAGGTCAGGGAAGGCTTCCTGGAGGAAGGAGCGTGTAAGTTGAATCTCAAGAGTGGATAGTGCCAGGTGCAGTGGCTCTGTAATCCCAGCATTTTGGGAGGCTGAGGTGGGCGGATCGCTTGAGCTCAGGAGTTTGAGACCAGCCTGGGCAACATGACGAGACCCCCTTCTCTACCAAAAATACAAAAAAAAAAAAAAAAAAAAAAATAGCCGGGTGTGGTGGTGCTTGCCTGTGGTCTCAGCTACTGGGGAGGAAGAAGTGGGAGGATGGCTTGAGCCTGGGAAGTCAAGGCTGCAGTGAACCAAGATTCCACCACTGCACTCCAGCCTGGGTGACAGAGCAAGACCCTGTCTCAGAAAGAAAAAAAGAGTGGATAGAGGGTTTGCCATATGGCTGAGATGGAAGGGGATTCCACGGAAGAAAACCACCCAGGAAACCCTCAGAACAGGAAGGAGCTGGGAATGGTAGGGAAGACACCTTCAGTCTGCAGGAGGCAGCAATGGGGGCGGCATACGATGAGACTTGTGCTCTTGGCAAAAGGACATAGGTGAGGAGCTTAGATTTACTCCTAAGGGCAATAGGGAGACATAGGAGAATTTTATTTTATTTTATTTTTTATTTTTTATTTTTTTGAGATGGAGTCTTGCTCTGTCGCCCAGGCTGGAGTGCAGTGGCGTGATCTTGGCTCACTGCAAGCTCCGCCTCCCGGGTTCACACAATTCTTCTGCCTCAGCCTCCCGAGTAGCTGGGACTACAGGCGCCCGCCACCTCGCCCGGCTATTTTTTTTTGAATTTTTTAGTAGAGACGGGGGTTCATCGTGTTAGCCAGGATGGTCTCGATCTCCTGACCTCGTGATCCGCCTGCCTCAGCCTCCCAAAGTGCTGGGATTACAGGCATGAGCCACCGCGCCCGGCCGAGAATTTTATGTTATTATTATTTTTTGGGAGACGGAGTCTTGCTGTTGCCCAGGCTGGAATATAGTGGCACAGTCTTGGCTCACTGCAACCTCCGCCTCCCAGGTTTAAGTGATTCTTCTGCCTTAGCCTCCCAGGGAGCTGGGATTACAGGTGTGCGGCAGCACACCTGTATTTTTAGTAGAGACAGGGTTTCACTATGTTGGCCAGGCTGGTCTCGAACCCCTGGCCTCAAGTGATCCGCCTGCCTTGGCCTCCCAAAGTGCTGGGATTACAGGCGTGAGCCACTGCGCCTGGTGAGCTCTGGGTCTCACAAGGCTGAAGTTAAGATGCCGGCTGGCTGTGTCCTCTGCTGGGGATTTGGCTAGGGAGAGAACTACTTCCAACCTCCCACAGGTTGAGCAGAATTCATTTCCTTGTAGTTGTTTGGCTGAGGTCTCTGTTTTCTAGTTAGCAGTTGCCACTCACTCTCAGGTCTTTGCCATGACAAGACAGTTTGCTTCCTCAGGGTTCTCAGCAACTCCTTTGCTTTGGTTATTTCTGACGTCTTGATCCTTTCCTAAGAGATCACCTGATTAGGCCAGGCCCACCTGGGATAATTTCTTTTCTTTTCTTTCTTTTTTTTTTTGAGACGGAGTCTCACTGTTGCCCAGGTTGGAGTGCAGTGGCGCGATCTCGGCTCACTGCAGGCTCCGCACCCCCGGGGTTCATGCCATTCTCCTGCCTCAGCCTCCCGAGTAGCTGGGACTTCAGGCACCCGCTACCTTGCCTGGCTAATTTTTTGTATTTTTAGTAGAGACGGGGTTTCACCGTGTTAGCCAGGTTGGTCTCAATCTCCTGACCTCGTGATCCGCCCACCTCAGCCTCCCAAAGTGCTGGGATTACAGACGTAAGCCACTGCGCCCAGCCGGATAATTTCTTTTTTAATGAAGTCAACTGATTAGGGACCTTAATTATATTTACAAAATCCCATACCTTGCCATATAATGTCACATAATCATGGGGACTGCATCACCTCCTAGTGACAGCTCTTGTCCACACCCAAGGGAAGGAGATTCTCTTGGGTGTGTACACCAGGCGGTGGGAATCTTGGAGGTTATTTTAAAATTCTGCCTATCACAGTTGGAAGTGAGGACCGAGGACCTTCTCAAGGGAAGGGATTAGCAAACCTATCTCTAAGTCTGCAGGCTCTAGGTCTCTGGGTCAAGCCCAGCAGAGGCCTTGGCTAATGTGAAATGAATATGTGAGCAAATGTAGAAATGAGATCTTATAAAAGTCTACAACCTGCTTCTTCTGTGACACCCCTTCTGAAGGGGCCTTCCATGAGCTGAAGGAGTGATCAGTGGGTTCAATACTCCCATCCATCTATCTTTCTTTCTTTCTTTCTTTCTTTTTTTTTTGAGACAGAGTCTCACTCTGTCGCCCAGGCTGGAGTGCAGTGGCATGATCTCAGCTCACTGCAAGCTCCACCTCCTGGGTTCACGCCATTCTCCTGCCTCAGCCTCCCGAGTAGCTGGGACTTCAGGCGCCTGCCACCACGCCCGGCTAATTTTTTTTATTTTTTATTTTTAATAGAGACGGGGTTTCACCGTGTTAGTCGGGATGGTCTCGATCTCCTGACCTCGTGATCTGCCCGCCTTGGCCTCCCAAAGTGCTGGGTTTACAGGCATGAGCCACTGCGCCCGGCTTTTTTTTTTTTTGAGACAGAGTTTCACTCTTGTTGTCCAGGCTGGAGTACAGTGGCACGATCTTGGCTCACTGCAACTTCCACCTCCCAGGTTCAAGCGATTCTCCTGCCTCAGCCTCCCAAGTAGCTGGGATTACAGGCGTGCACCACCATGCCTAGCTAATTTTTGTATTTTTAGTAGAGACGGGGTTTCACCATGTTGGCCAGCCTGGTCTCGAAATCACGACCTCAGGTGATCTGCCCGCCTCGGCCTCCCAAAGTGCTGGGATTACAGGCGTGGACCACCACACCTGGTAATACTCCCATCTTTCAAAATGAAGTGAAGAGATGCTATCTCATTCCTTAAACTCATTCTACAAGTTCACTGCCAGGTATGTGCCCAAGAGATATGAAAACATATGTCTACACAAAAATGTGCACACAAATGTTCACAGCAGCATTATTTGTAATAACCAAAATGTGGAAGAAACTCAAATGTTCATTGATACATGAATGAATAAATAAAATGTGGTATCTCCCGCTATACCATGGAATGTTATTCTGCCATAAAATGGAATGAAGCACTGGCTCATGCTACAACATGGATGAACCTTAAAGACATTACTTACTTAGCCTGAAAGCAGCCAGACACAAAGAACCATACGTTGTATGATTCAATTTCTATGAAATGTCTAGAATGGGAAAATCTATACCGACAGAAAGTACATTAGTGATTGCCTAGGGCTGGAGTGGGTGCTTAGATTGGGGGTGATGGCTAAGGAGTACACAGTATCTCCTTGGACTAATGAAAATATTCTAAAAGTGATCTGAAGTTGATGATTGCACAGCTCTGTACAATTAAAAGCCGTTGAATTGTACACTTTAAGTGGGTGAATTGCATGATATGTGAATTCGATCTCAATAAAGCTGTGAAAAAAAGAGATATACTCTTTAGTTGTTGAAATAAATCATGATGTAATCATGCATCACTTAGTGTCACAAAATTACCAATAGAAGAACTAACACTTGAGGAAGAAGGGAAGGAAAAGTGAGGGCTGCATGAATTGATTTGTTATCTATTAGAGAAAAAATATCTATAAATAATGTATAATTTTGATTCCAAAAGAAAATCATTATTTAGGGATGTCAAGGCAAGTAAGAGAAGAAATAGCTAAGAATATTAATAGACGGCCGGGTGTGGTGGCTCATGCCTGTAATCCCAGCACTTTGGGAGGCCGAGGCAGGCAGATCAAGAGGTCAGGAGATCAACACCATCCTGGCCAACATGGTGAAACCCCATCTCTACTAAAAATGTAAAAATTAGCTGGGCATGTTGCTGCATGTCTGTAATCCCAGCTACTCGGGAGGCTGAGGCACAAGAATGGCCTGAACTCGGCAGGCAGAAGTTGCAGTGAGCCGAGATTGCGCCATTGCACTCCAGCCTGGCGACAGAGTGAGACTCCGTCTCAAGTAACAAGAACAAAAGCAAAAACAAGAATGTTAATAGACTTTTCCAATAAGGAAAAGGACTTGAGGTGGAACAGGCTAAATTATTTTTATTGTAGTCCCTTGTGTACCATTTGATTTTTTTTCTTTTCTTTTTTTAAACCATGAGCCTATATTGATTGGACTAGGAAATATATTTTCATTTAAAATAAAATAAAGAGGTTTCCCCCAGTTGCTAGTTCGTATAATTTAATAGTTCTCAACAGGGGCGATTTTGTTCCCCAAGGGACATTGAGCAATGTTTGGAGACATTTTTGGTTGTCCCCAAATGCTATTTTTAGGGTGCTATTTGGAGGTGCTATTGGCATCTAGTGGATAGAGGCGAGGAGTACTGCTCAGCATTCTACAATGCACAGGACAGCCTCCACCACACAAAATTATCCAGCCCAAATGTTGAGAACGTTGAGATTGGGAAACCCTGGCTTTAAAAAATTATCTTCATAGTCGTTCTCACCAGTGCAGTTGTATCAGCACAGGCTCTGGAATTTGATGTCCTGATGAATGTCCTCCAATACAACTGACCTCTCAACCTCAGTTTTCACATCTTTAAAGTGGAGGCTGCTAACAGAACCCACTTCTTTTGAAGATGGAACCAATACCCTCAGGCTCCTTGGAGTCTGTAATATTAAATGCCCAGTTTGTTTTTATTTTTATTTTTTTCGAGACGGAGTTTCACTCTTGTTGTCCAGGCTGGAGTGCAACGGTTCGATCTCAGCTCACTGCAGCCTCCACCTCCCTGGTTCCAGTGACTCTCCTGCCTCAGCCTCCCAAGTAGCTGGGATTACAAGCATGCACCACCATGCCCGGCTAATTTTGTATTTTTAGTAGAGACGGGGTTTCACCATGTTGGTCAGGCTGGTCTCAAACTCCTGACCTCAGGTGATCCGCCCGCCTCGGCCTCCCAAATTGCTAGGGTTACAGGCATGAGACACTGCACCCAGCCTAAATGTCCAGTTTATATTGGTTATCATCATTGTTTGCTGATGTATCTCCCCCCGCATCCCCCAGCAAAAGAGCAGAAAATAATCAACTTTCCTCAAACGAATGAATTCCAGACCCCTTCCCTTGGGGGCTGTGTTTCTTAGCTTCTAAACCAGGAGTGTTGGAATGCATGTCTAAACTTTCTCCCATGGGGCGGGGTGAGAATTAAGTGAAACGACCTAAAGAAATTTCAGTAGAAATGTGAGATGCTGGGGACTGAAAGATATCGCCCCTCCAAAGGAAGGAACCAGCAGGAGCAAACACTAGGTAAATAGATTTAGGGAACACAGGTTATTCCTGTTTCTGCCAGCCCCCAGGAGGGAGCAGTAAAGGTGTGCTGGGTTAAATGACTATGAATTTCACCTATTGTTGGCCGCCCTCCACCCCCATAACCCCTATTGTCTCAGAGCCTCAGGTTACTCATGGTTAATGTAGGAACATTGGTGCCCACACGGCAAAGATTCTGTAGGACTTCTGTAAGACAGCGAAGCATGCCAACAGCCTTCAATCAGCCATGGCTACTAGTTCTTAGTTTCTGATAACATTTTTACGAGGATCGGGTCTTGAGTAAACGGCTTGCCTAGAGCCACGTGCAATCCCACTTCCCATCCGCGTTCTCACTTGGTTGGAGGCAGCTTCTGTGCCCTTTATAACCAAGAGCAACTGAGTATAGAGGAGAAGAAGTGTTTTGTCCAAGGTCACACGAAGCCTTGGGAGCATCCGTGAAATTTGGACCCAAGACCGAACTTTCAGACTCTGATCTCAGACTTTCCACCTCCGATTGTTCCACTTCCCCAACCTACTAGCTAGTTCTAGAACGGACAGATCCATGCTTCTCAAAACTGTTGCATAGACCCCTACCCAGTCCCAGACAAGTTTCTTTAAGACATATTTGCACCCAAGCTTTTGGCATTCTACTCTCCTTCCCAGCCCCAGCCCCATCTCGGGGGCATCTAACTCTACCCCTTCTTCCCCATCAGGTTTGAACTAGGGGAGGGGAGGGGGATGAGAAGAGAAAAGAAAAAATTGTTGGTGAAAGTCAAAAGGCTTGTTAACGTGGTAAGTTCAATATTGTTTTATCTGGGGTGGTGGGGGGGGAATCTTTGCCCTCGCCACTTGGAGGAGGAGCGGTGGGAAGACCCCGGGAAGTTGCGCTTTCCCTTGGATTTTGGGAAAGGGGAGCATTCCTGGGGTCCTTTTGAAAAGGCCCTCCCCTCATTTCCGGCCGCCGCTGCCAGCCTTGGCTGGGCGCCTGGATCCTGTTGCTATGACGACAGGAAGAGGCGGTGGCGGCGGCAAGCGATGCTGAAGAGAGATGGAGGCTAGTGGGGGTGGGGGTGGTGGCATTGGAATGGGGGAGGGGGCAGGGATCCGGGGCTGGGGACGCGGGAGGGGGCGGGGGCAGGGGTATCCTTCATCTCTGACCTCCTCGGGGCTTCTCAGCCTCACCCCTCTCCCGTTATTTTTTCTGGGCTTCCTTCGGGTGCATCCCCAGTCTCTGTGTCTGCCTCTGTTTCTCTGGATCTCTCTCTCTTCCTGTCTCAGTCCCTCTCCGTCTGTCTCTCTCTGGGTCTCCCTCTTTTCCTGCACTTGCCTTTCTTTCCCCAGGTACCTTCTGCCATCCAGGCCCTTCTACCCTCCATTTCTTTCATTTACTATCTTGCTCCCCCGCTCCCTCTCCGCATCTTCTTCTCTCTTTAAAGCTTCCTTCTCTCTAGCAAGACCTTGCCCCCATCCCCAATTTCTCTCCCTACCCGCTCTCCATTTCATTCCCTCTCCCCCCTCTCTCCCCCATCCTCTCAGTCTCTCTCTTTCTGTCTGTCTCTCCCCATCTGTCCCTCCTCCCTCCTCTCTGGATGACTCTCTCCCTCTCTCTTCTTTCCTTCTGTTTCCCAGATCCTGACCCCCCCCACACACACACTTACCCCAGCCCTCCCCCACCCCCTCCCCCCCAGCCCCTGCGTTTCTCTCTTTGAGTCTCTGTCCCTGTCCCCTTCTCTCTCTGGATATTTCTCTGTGTGTATCTCTCCAACTTCCTTCTGCTTCCAGCCGCTGCCTCCCCCAAATTTCTCCCTCCCCCATTTCTGTTTCGCGGTCTCTGGGTCTCTCTCTTTCCGTTTCTCCTCGTCTCTCTCTGTCTCTCTCCCTCCCTCTCTGGATCTCTCTCTTCTCCTCCGGCTTCCTTCTGCCACTCGACCCTGCCCCCCTCTTTCCCTTCCCCCATCCATCTCCTCTCCGAGGCTCCCCATCCCTCAGCAGCTCCCCTCCCCCTCCCTCCCTACTCCCTCCCTCTCGTCCTCCAGCTCCGCACTTTACCCAGCGACACGAGAACCAAATTGTCTCCTCACCTTTTTTTTTTAATATATATATCCCGACCCTCACTCCCTTGGGGCCCAGGCTCAGAGCTGCCCCCCAGCCCCAGCCTGACCTCAGCACCCCCATTCCCCATACGCCTCCTCATCTCCACTCCCCGAACCAGGTCGGACGCCTGGGTCCCTCACTGCTGGGGGAGGGGGAAGCAGCGAGAATTGGGAGCCAAAAGGTTTTTCTGGGGGGGGTGCCAACAGGGGGGGCTCGACGTCCCCTCCTCCGTGCATCGGAGAGTTGACCTATCATTAACAGAGGTGAGACAGATCTTTTTATTAATCGGAGGTGGGTGGAGGTAGAATTAATGTTCTGTGATCCCCCCCCCCGAATTCTGGAGAAAAGAGCTGGTCCCCTTCCTAAGGAGAAAGGAGAGTGACCCCCTCATATCCGGAAGCTTTAGAATTGGGGGTCCCCAGCTCTCTTCTCCCTGGCAGCTGCTGAACGATGGACTAAGAGTCCCTAAAACCAGATTGTGCCCCAAATTGACAAAATGAAAAGATCTTCGAATCTTTTTTTTTTTTTTTGGACGGAAGGAGAATTTCCCTCCTTTCCCTCCTCTTCCCTTCCCCTCTTATCCCAGGTTGTTAGGGGCCTGGGGTCACAGGCTTACCCCACTGAGAGCAGATATCTGTTAAGACAGGGTAGGTGGCCCTGCTGGTGGTGAGGGGCACCAATTCGGGGAGAAGAGGCCAAGAGATCAAGAAGAGAGGAAACTCAGCATGCGGACAGAAAAGAGAGGAAGGGGCCGGCGCCCAGGCCGGGAGGCTGGGGGTTGCCCTGTCCAGCGGGCTGCTGAACTGTGGCCTGAGGAAGGGCTGTGTGTGGGCAGACGGGAGTTGAGGTGGGGGAGGGAACACAACGTGTGGGGCACTAGGCCCAGTTGCCATGGAGACACCCCCCATAGACAACCTTTTTCCACAGCCCCTCCTCGGAGCAGCCCCAGTCTGAGGCCAGCTGATGGGGGGCAGTGGAGACGGGCAAGCAATCAGGAGGCCAAGGTCACCCTGTACTGGGACCTAGGTTCTGGTTTTTGTTTTGTTTTTTTTTAATCCCCTCTTCGTCTAAGGTTTCCAGGCTCTTAACTATAGTGGGTTTGGGGGAAGAAGTTGAAGAAGCAGTGTGGAAGCAAGTAAGGAGTACATCCCCCAGAGGACAGTTGGGGTGGGGGAGACAGGCAGGGCTGGGGGCATGGTGGTCGGGGGAGAATGTGGAAGAGAGAAATGAAGGAGCCACGGGGCAGCGGGTGCAGGCTGGGAAAGTATTCCTAATTGAAAAGAGAGTTGTAGTCTTGCGGATCACATTTTTCAGAGGGACACAGTCTACTGGGGGGGCTCTTTCTGCATGTGGAAGAAGATGAGGGGCTACAGTGTGTGTTCCTGTACAGGTGAAGTCGTAGAGGGGAGTACTGGGGGGCGTTCCCAAGAAGGGAAGCCTGTGGGGGCCTGCGGAGGGGATTTTCCGGGGCAGAGGAGAACCTGGGAGCTATAGCGGTGGAGCAAGAGGAAGTGAGTCAAGGGAATTCTATATGATGAGAGAGAAGTTGGGGAGGATGCTTCCTGGTACATTGAAGAGAGAGTGGGCTTCAAAGTGAGTTAGGGGGATCTCAAGTTGGGGGAAACAGTGTGCTGAAGATCCCGTGTGATGATGAAGGGCTACGAGGAGGGGATTTGGAGGCAGTGGGAGCTGCTGTGAGTGCAGAGGGGCGGGTGGGTGGTACAGTGTGCCCCCTGCTATGGGAGTACAGGGCAGAGATTGGAATGGTCCTGAGTGGAGAGACATTTGGGGTCTGGAGGAAGCCATTCTTGCGAGTAGAAAATGCCGTGGAACTCACGGAGGAAATTTTTCTTAATGGAGGAGAAAACGATGGTTATGATATGAGTTCGTTTAAGTTGTGGGGGGGGGGGTGGCGGGGTGGGAAGATTCAGAAAACTCTTCTAAAGCAAAAGAGAGGGTGGGGGTTTTCCTGGAGTAAAGGCATAGTATGGGGTGGGGAGTGAGTGGCTTGTGGGGAGACAGTGGGGGCTGTGACAGGGAATGGGCTGGAGATGGCGGGGGGGGGGCAGCTTGCAAACCAGTGGGTCTGATGTTGGGTGCATTAGAATTCCCCAGGGAGCTTTTAAAAACTTACATGCGCAGGCCACACTGCAGACCAACCATGTCGGACTTTCTCAGGTGGGACTCAAACATCCGAATTTTTAAGGTCCTCGGGTGATTTCCAGGTGTGTTGGAGGCTGCCCGAGGCAGGAAGGGGGCTTCCAGGGAGAGGAGGCTGACTGAGGGTGGCTGGTGATTCCGAGTTGCACAAACTGTGAGGGTCAGCTGGGATTTTCTTTTTCTTTTTCTTCTTCTTTTAATTTTTCCTTTTTAGTTGAAGAGAGGTTGAGAGATTTATTTTTTCCTAAGGAGAGGAAACTGTGGGGGACCATTTGGAGTGATGGAATGACAAAAGCCAGACCGGAGGGGGCTCGCGGAGGTTACTCCCACGGAAGTGGTGCTACTCGGGCTTCTTAAGTTGTGGAGACGCTCAGGGAAAAGTTGGGCTGACAGGGAAGGGTTCTAGCGGGTGGAGAGGTGGGGCTTGCAGGGGAAGAGTGGGGAGAGCTGGTGGGCGCCGCATGGTGATGGGGCGGGGGTCGCTAAGGAAGGAAGAACGCGACGGGGGCTCCTGGGGAGGAGGCGGCGGCGTGGGGCTTGGCATCATGGCGGGGGGTGGCTTCCCATGCGATGAGGATCGTGGAGCCCCCTGGGGCGGAGGCGGCGCGGGCTAGGGGCGAGGGCTGTGAGTGTGAGCGGTGGTGGGGACTCCTCCGAGTGGGGTTAGTGGGATGGTGGGACGACTTTCTTGGGCAGAAGACAGGAGTGGAGAGAGATTTCATCTTATTTATTAATTATTAGCGGTGGTGGGGACTCCTCCGAGTGGGGTTAGTGGGATGGTGGGACGACTTTCTTGGGCAGAAGACAGGAGTGGAGAGAGATTTCATCTTATTTATTAATTATTAGCGGTGGTGGGGACTCCTCCGAGTGGGGTTAGTGGGATGGTGGGACGACTTTCTTGGGCAGAAGACAGGAGTGGAGAGAGATTTCATCTTATTTATTAATTATTAGCGGTGGTGGGGACTCCTCCGAGTGGGGTTAGTGGGATGGTGGGATGACTTTCTTGGGCAGAAGACAAGAGTGGAGAGAGATTTCATCTTATTTATTAATTATTATTATTATTATTATTATTATTATTATTTTTGAGAAAGAGAAGCAGTGGAGCCCCGAGTGGAAGGAGTTTCTGGAGCTGAGGCAGGGATTTTGGGGGGGGGGGGGCGGGGACTGGGGGAGGTACCTGTGCCTTCTTCTCCTCTAATGCGAGATCTCGCTCCTTGCCCTCCACCAGCCGCCGACCATGGCCGCGCTCTGACCCCCTCCCCGGCCGCAGCCTCCTCCTCGCCGCCCCCCTCCCCAGCCCCGCCGGCCCCGGGCCCCCCGCTTCTGCCTGCGCTGTGAACCCCCCCCCAGCCGCCGGCACGGCCCCGCCCCCGCTGCCCCGGTGGTGGCCCACGGCCCCCCGGCTGCCCGTGGTCAAACTGGAGTCGCTGAAGCGCTGGAACGAAGAGCGGGGCCTCTGGTGCGAGAAGGGGGTGCAGGTGCTGCTGACGACGGTGGGCGCCTTCGCCGCCTTCGGCCTCATGACCATCGCCATCAGCACTGACTACTGGCTCTACACGCGCGCCCTCATCTGCAACACCACCAACCTCACGGCCGGCGGCGACGACGGGACCCCCCACCGCGGGGGCGGCGGCGCCTCGGAGAAGAAGGACCCCGGCGGCCTCACGCACTCGGGCCTCTGGAGGATCTGCTGCCTGGAAGGTAGGGTGCGGGCGGCCCTCCCCGCAGCCCCCGCCGCTCCCCTCCGAGAGACCCTGAGCCTCCCGGGGCTGCCTGTCCCTGATCCTGGGGCCCCCTTGGGCACCCCTCCTCCTCTGCCAGAGGGGCTTCTGCGCCTTCCCACTCGCGCCCCTGACCTCCTCTCCCCTCCTTCCCACTCCTCCCTGCGTCCTGGCACCCTGCGGAATTCCTCGGCATGCTCCCTCTGCAGCCCCTCTGCCTCTCCGCTGAACCCCCTTATCCTATCTTTCCCTAGTCCGTGTCTCCTGCGCTGCCCCATCACACCCCTGCATCTTCCCTCTCTCCAGTACCTGGGGCTCCTCCTGTTTCATTTCTTCCACTCTGCCCTGTGCCTTTTCTCTTTTTTTTTTTTTTTTTGACAAGGTCTCACTCTGTCGCCCAGGCTGGAGTACGGTGGCACAATCACAGCTCACTGCAGCCTCGAATCCCTAGGCTCAAGCCATCCTCCCACCTCTGCCTCCTGAGTAGCTGGGACCACAGGCATGAGCCACTGTGCCCAGCTAATTTTTTTTATTATTTGTAGAGATGAGGTCTCCTGTTGCCCAGGCTGGTCTCGAGCTCCTGAGCTCAAGAGATCCTCCTGCCTTGGCCTCCAAAGTGCTGGGATGAAGGGCATGAGCCACTGCACCCAGCAGCCTCTTTCTCCCTCTTTCCCGTCAGTTCATCTTGACCCTGCTCCTCCGCTCCACCTGCCCCTTCATTTCCTCTCCCTCGTGCCCCGTGACATCTTCTCTCTCCCGACATTTCCCCCCCAGTCCTCTGAAGTCCCCTGCCTCTCCCGCCCCCTTTCACGGCCCAGTCTTCCGGTCTGTCTCTTTCCCCTTCTCTTTGGCTGCTGCTCCCCTGAAACTTCGTGCCTTAACTCGCCCTCACTCATGACTTTCTCTCTTTTCTGCCTTGTGCTTCTCCTCCTGTTCATCTTTCTCTTCCCATCAGTGCCCCCACCCATGTCTCTCCCACCAGGGTGCCCTCCAACCTCCCATCCTGGTCCTTTCCTCCTTTTTCCTTTAGTGGACTCCACTTCCTCTTCCTCCACTCATGCCTCCTTCGACGTCTTCCTGACTCGATGCCTCAGGCCTTCACGTTAAGGCTTCTCGCTCCTGCCCCTGCTACCTCCTCGGATCTTCGACTTGGTTCTTTTCCTCTGTCCTGTTCTCCCTCTCACAGCTTCTCTCCTAGCTCGGCTCCCTGGCTCTCGACTTCCCCACTTCTCCAAGACTCCTGCCCTCTGCTGTGCCAACCCCTTCTCTCTCCCACTCTTAGCATCAGTATTTCTTTCCTGAGTATCAAGTAGCTGCGGGGCTGGGAAGCAGGAGTCTTGGGTGCCAGTTCTGCTGCATATCTGCCCTGCTGTGTGACCACTGTCTTCCCTCCTGCACCCCAGCCTCACAGCCCTTGTCTGCAACGTGAAGGAGTGGAACCAGCCATCCTGATGCCCCCTTCGGCCAAAAGATTGAAATCTCTTGCTTCTCTTTTTCATCCCCCTCTATTTCCTCTGCCCCTTCTTCCTCTGTTTTGCTGAGTGTTCACGACAAGCCGGGAACGTTATCTCGTTTAATCCTATGAGGTGGGCACCACCTCGCTGTTGGGGATGGGTAAACTGAGGCTCAGAGAAGTGAAGTCACTTGCCCAAGGTCACCTAGCTGAGAAAGGGGCCGAGCCAAGAGCAGAACTCGAATCTCATGGATGGGATTCACAGATGCGCTCTGTCTAGTGTACAAAGTGTTTAAAACTGAAAGCAAAATCTGAATCCATTGCCAACAGTTAAAAATAGGGAGGCTTCCCATTGTAGTTCTGATTTCCGGCTTCTTCTGAGCTGGCGGAAGATCTAGCACAAGCCTGTGTTCTACCCTGACCACGATGGGCCGGATCTGAGCAGCAGCTGGGGGGTCTCCACTTCCCCACAGTCACCTCCATCTGCTCCGTCTCGCCTCCCATTCCTCCCACGGCTCTCGTGATGTTCTTTGCCTCTCCTGTGGAAGTTTGAGTTCATGTCCATTCACTGGTCTGACCAAGTACCAGGCATAGAGCCAAGTGTGAGGGCTCCCATCATGGGAGCCCTAGGACAGCACGTGGCATCTAGTAGGGATGTCATTCATTCATTCATTCGTTCATTCAACGTCCCATTTTTATTGAGTTTATATTATGTGCCAGGCATTGTTCTGGATTCTGGGGCTGCAGCAGTGGAAAACAAACAGACAAAACCTCCTGTCGTTATATATCTTATATTCTAAGGGAGAGACAGATAATGATGGAGGTAAAGTCAACCTTTAGGGTGTTAGATAGAACTGAGTGCTAAGGAGGACAAGGAGTTGGGGGAGGGGATGGGAGGGGTCAGGGATCCCCGTGGGAAGTAGATAAGGAATCTAGGAAAAGCTTCCCCGAGCAGGTGACATTTGATCACAGGTCTGAAGGAAGTAAGAGATGGAGGAAAGTGCTTCAGACTGTAGGAATAGCAGGCGCAGAGGCCCTGAGGTGGGAGTGTGGCTGTGTGTTGATCAAGCCAGTGTGAGGTCAGCGTGGCCGGGGCAGAGTGGGTGGCGGAGAACGTAGGAGTAAGAGGTGCAGTCGTAGGGGTATCAGGGTCCCCATCCCACAGGTTCTGTTTTTTAAAAATTATTTATTTATTTATTTATTTATTGAAACAGAGTCTTGCTTTGTCACCCAAGCTGTAGTGCAGTGGCGTGATCTTGGCTTACTGCAACTTCGGCCTCCTGGGTTCAAGCGATTCTCATACCTCAGCCTCCCGAGTAGCTGGAATCACAGGTGTGTGCCACCATGCCCGGCTAATTTTTGTATTTTTAGTAGAGACAGGGTTTTACCATGTTGGCCAGGCTGGTCTCGAACTTCTGACCTCAAGTGATTGGCCCGCCTAGGCCTCCCAAAGTGCTGGGATTACAGATGTGAGCCACCATGCCTGGCCAGCTTCTGTGTTTGTTTTTGTTTTGTTTTTCTTTTTTTGTTTTTAGGCAGGGTTTTGCTCTGTCACCCAGGCTGGCGTGCAGTGGTAAGACCATAGCTCACTGCAGCCTTGAACCCCTGAACCCAAGCCGTCCTCTTGCCTCAGCCTCCCAAATAGCTAGAACTACAGGCACATGCCCCCATTTTTTGTAGACACAGGGTCTCACTATATTGCCCAGGCTGGTCTCAAACTCCTGGGCTCAAGCAATCCTCCGGCCTCAGCCTCCCGATGTGTTGGGATTACAGATGTCAGCCACTGCACCCGGCCTCACGGCTTCTTATACATCCCAGAAAGCACTTTGCTTTAGATTCGGAGATGGGAGCCGTTGAAGGTTCTTGAGCAGAGGAGTCACACGAGCTGACTTACATTTTTGCGGTATGTTTCTTGCTGCTGTGTTAACAAATGACCGAGGGGAAGGCAAATGAGACAACGAGAGGCTCATCTAGGGTGGGGGCAGCAGGGTTTGGGAAGTTGTTTGAATTTTGAGTATATTCTGGAGCTACCGTGGGCAGGAGTTGCTGATGGAGCAGTTGTAGGATATGAGAGAGAAGAGCCAGGGGCGTCTCCAAAGCAGGGTTTTTCCACCGCAGCATGGTTGATATTTTGGGGTGGATAATTCTGTGTGGAGGGGCCGTCCTATGCATTGTAGGATGCTGAGCAACAGCCTTGATCTCTCCTACTAGGATGCCAGCAGCGCCCTTCCCAGTCGTGACAACCAAAATTGTAAATTGTGTCTAAACATTGTCAGCTGTCTCCTGGGGGATAAAATCGCCCTGAGTTGAGAATCACCGCTCTAAGGCTTTGGCCTGAGCTCCTGAGAATAGGGGAGCCATTCATAAGATGAAACAGCAGCTGTTTTATTTATTTTCTCTTATCAAATTTATTATGAAGGAGAGGGACCATGGGCTCAGTTTTGGGCATGTTAAATTTACGATGCCCATTAACAGATAACATCTGGACAGAGGTCAGCACAGTGAAGGTCCTATAAAGTGCCATATAGTAAAGATTTCAGGCTTTGTGGAGCAGTCTCTATCACGACTACTCGTGAAAACGACCAAGACAGTCTGTAAGTGAGTGTGGCTGTGTTCCAATGAGACTTCATTTATGGACACTAAAATCTGAATTTCACTGGGCGCAGTGGCTCACACCTGTAATCCCAGCACTTTGGGAGGCCAAAGCAGGCGGATCACCTGAGGTCAGGAGTTCAAGACCAGCCTGGCCAACATGGTGAAAACTGGTCTCCACTAAAAATACGAAAATTAGCCAGGCGTGGTGGCACGCGCCTGTAGTCCCAGCTACTTGGTAGGCTGAGGCAGGAGAATCGCTTGAACCCAGGAGGTGGAGGTTGCAGTGAGCCGAGATCGCATCACTGCACTCTAGCCTGGGCAACAGAGAGAGACTCTAAGAAAAAAAAACTTTTTTTTTTGAATTCCATGTCATTTTCACATGCCACAAAATCATCTTCTTCTTTGACATTTTCTCAATCATTAAAAACACATAAAACCCATTCTTAGCTGGATTTGGCCTGTGAGCCATAGCTGGCTGACCAGTGATTTAGGCTGCTAGAGATATGATGTAGGAGGCCAGAGGCTGGGCTGGAGATATCAGTTTGAGGGGCATCATCATATAGATGAATCAGATGGATGGAATCACTTAGAGAAGAGACAGTTGGGTGCAGTGGCTCACACCTATAATCCCAGCACTTTGGGAGGCCAAGGCAGGAAGATCACTTGAGCCCAGGAGTTCGAGACCAGCCAGGGGAAAACAGTGAGACCTTGTCTCTACAAATAATTTAAAAATTAGCTGGAAGTGCTGGTGCGTGCCTGTGGTCCCAGCTACTCAGGAGGCTTAGGTGGGAGGATTGCTTAAACCCAGGAAGTCGAGGCTAAAGTGAGACATGATCATACCACTACACTCCAGTCTGGGCGACAGGGCAAGACCCCATCTCAAAAAAAACAAAAAAAAAAAGAGAGAGAAGAGACCAGAACAAATGATAAAATGTCCTTATGTCATTGAAGGCTTAAGCTTTCGGCCAGTCTACTATTAAAATGTGAGGGAGATGGCCGGGCGCGGTGGCTCACGCCTGTAATTCCAGCACTTTGGGAGGCTGAGACAGGCGGATCACGAGGTCAGGAGTTCGAGACCAGCCTGACCAACATGGTGAAACCCTGTCTCTACTAAAAATACAAAAATTAGCCGGGCGTGGTGGCGTGTACCTATAATCCCAGCTACTCGGGAGGCTGAGGCAGGAGAATCCCTTTAACCCTGGAGGTGGAGGTTTGCAGTGAGCTGAGATCGTGCCACTGCACTCCAGCTTGGGCAACAGAGTGAGACTCTATCTCAAAAAAAAAAAAAAAAAAAAAAAGGGAGGGAGGTGAGAAGTCACCAAAGGAGTGGAGAAAGGAGTGGCCACAGGTTTGGGGAAAAACAGGTCCTTGGATGTCTTGGAAGCCAAAGGAAGTTAGCGTTTCAAGGAGAGGAGGAATGAAGGCTGACTCTGTTGTTGTTGTAATTGTCATTCATTTGTCACTGAATGCGCACAATAACCCTGCAAAGTAGGTACTTTATTTATTTATTTTTATTAATTTTGTTTTCGAGACAGATTCTTGCTCTGTCACCCAGGCTGGAGTGCAGAGGCGCGATCTCAACCCACTGCAACCTCCACATCCCGGGTTCAAGCAATTCTCCCGCCTCAGCCTCCTGAGTAGCTGGGATTACAGGTACCCACCACCACACCCGGCTAATTTTTGTACTTTTAGTAGAGACGGGGTTTCACCATGTTGACCAGGCTGATCTCAAACTCCGGCCTCAGGTGATCTGCCCGCCTTGGCCTCCCAAAGTTCTGGGATTATAGGTGTAAGCCACCGCGCCCAGCCGGTACTTTTATTATTCCCATTCTAAAAGAAGAAGTGAAGCTCAGAGAGGTGAAGTGAGTTGCCCAAGATCACACAGTTAATATGCAGTAGGGTCTGGATTTGTTTTTGTTTCTGATTTGTTTACTTTTTTTTTTTTTTTTAGAGATGGGTCTCACCACATTGCCCAGCCTGGTCTAGAACTCCTGGGCTCAAGCAATCCTCTCACCCCCGGCCTCTCAACGCATTGGGATTACAGGAGTGAGCCACCCTGCCCGGCCCAGCATCTGGATTTGAATCCAGGTGTGTCTGGTTTTCTAGGAGAATGAAGCAACAAATCCACTTGCTTTCAGCCCATCGGGGCTCCAGGGGTGTAGAAACGGGGTCCCCCTGAGTCATTGCGTCCTGCAGCCACTGTGCTCCTGGGAACCCTTGGGCTCAATCTCCATTTCCCTTTGGAGTGTGTCTGAGAGATGCAGTAGAATGTAATGACTGAAACAAGCTCGGAGGCTGCTCTGCCTAAGGAGCGGCCGTTCTTTATTCCTTTACTGTCTTTAATAAACTTGCTTTCAGCTGGGCGCGGTGGCTCACACCTGTAATCCCAGCACTTTGGGAAGCCGAGGCGGGTGGATCACCTGAGGCCAGGAGTTCGAGACCAGCCTGGTCAACATGGCGAAACCCTGTCTCTACTAAATATACAAAAATATTAGCCAGGGCTGGTGGCAAGCGCCTGTAACCCCAGGTAATCAGGAGGCTGGCAGGGCGCGGTGGCTCATGCCTGTAATCCCAGCACTTTGGGAGGCCGAGGCGGGCGGATCACGAGGTCAGGAGATCGAGACCATCCTGGCTAACACGGTGAAACCCCATCTCTACTAAAAATACAAAAAATTAGCCAGGCGCAGTGGCGGGCGCCTGTGGTCCCAGCTACTTGGGAGGCTGAGGCAGGAGAATCGCTTGAACCCAGGAGGCAGAGGTTGCAGTGAGCCGAGATGGCGCCACCGCACTACAGCCTGGGGAACAGAGTGAGATCCCAGAGTGAGAAAGAAAAAAGAAATATAACACAAGGATGGGCCAGTGGCTCACGCCTTGTAATCCCAGCACTTTGGGAGGCTGAGGTGGACGGATCACTTGAGGTCAGGAGTTCGAGTCCAGCCTGGCCTATATGGTGAAACCCCGTCTCTACTAAAAATACAAAAATTAGTCGGGCGTAGTTGTGGGTGCTTGTAGTCCCAGCTACTGGGGAGGCTGAGGCAGGAGAATCGCTTGAACCCAGGAGGCGGAGGTTGCTGTGAGCTGAGATGGCGCCACCGCACTACAGCCTGGGCAACAGAGTGAGATTCCAGAGTGAGAAAGAAAAAGGAAATATAACACAAGGATGGGCCACTGGCTCACCCCTGTAATCCCAGCATTTTGGGAGGCCGAGGTGAGAGGATTGCTTGAGTCCAGGAGTTCAAGACCAGCCTGGGCAACATAGGGAGACCCCGCCTGTGTAAAAAATTAAAAATTAGTTGGGCATGGTGATACATGCCTGTAGTCCCCACTACTAGGGAGGCTGAGGTAGAAGGATTGCTTGAGCCCAGAAGGTCGAGGCTGCAGTGAGCTGTGATTGTGCCACTGCACTCCAGCCTGGGTGATAGAGCAAGACCCTATCTCAAAAAAAAAAAAAAAGAAAAGAAAAGAAAAGAAAAAAAGAAATATAACATGGGTGACCATATATAGTTAAAATTTTTAGGCTGGGCACGGTGGCTCACGCCTGTAATCCCAGCACTTTGGGAGGCCGAGGTGGGTGGATCACGTGAGGTCGGGAGTTGGAGACCAGCCTGGCCAACATGGTGAAACCCCGTCTCTACTAAAAAAACAAAATTTAGCCAGGTGCAGTGGTGGGCAACTGTAATTCCAGCTACTCGGGAGGCTGAGGCAGGAGAATTGCTTGAACTCGGGAGGTGGAGTTTGCAGTGAGCCAAGATTGTGCCACTGCTCTCCAGCCTGGGCAACAGATTGAGGCCCTGTCTCAAAAAAAAAAAAAGAAAATTAAAATTTTTCTAGTAGCTACATTAAAATAAATAAAAAGGAACAGGTACCCAGCATAGCCAAGATATTATCACTTGAACATGTAATCAATATAAAAATTATTAATGAAATATTATACATAGACACTCTCTCTCCCTTTTTCCCCATCCTGAGTCTGAAACCCAGTAAATATTTTACCCTCACAGAACCTCTCCATTGCCACATTTCAAGTGTTGGGAGCTGGAGGCATCTGCATGGGACAGCCCAGCTTGTGCCCCCTCCTCAGGGATTTCAGCCACACCCCGAGGTCTTCTCTCAGGACTCAAGAGTCTGGGCCCACAGCCCTATTTATTAGTGCCGACCATACAGAGCCCCTTTGCTAGCACTTTGCCCTGCTTATTATCTCATTAAGCCCTCGCCACTTTGCCAGGGGAATGTATTATTAGCAGGAATCTGATGGCCAGAAAGGGGAAGTGGCTCAGCCTGGACTACCCAGCATGTGAGGGGCAGAGTGGGTTGGATCCCAGTTCTCCACGTGTCCGCACTGCAAGAAAGCTGCCCCTTAACCCTTGCATGCCCGGGTCTGCGCTAGGCAGCCCCTGGGAGGAGACTCAGGGCCATGACATCACCATCCATGCACAAGAAAAACTCATAGCTTGATCGGTGGCATTAAGCATAACTACTGTGAATTCTGTGCCTAACTTCCTTTTTTTTCAGACGGAGTCTCTCTCTGTCCCCCAGGCTGGAGTGCGCTGGAGTGCACTGGCGTGATATCGGCTCACTGCAAACTCCGCTGCCTGGGTTCAAGCAATTCTCCTGCCTCAGCCTCCTGAGTAGCTGGGATTACAGGCACCCATCACCACGCTGGGCTACTTTTTGTATTTTTCAGTAGAGACAGGGTTTCACCATGTTGGCCAGGATGGTCTTGAACTCCTGACCTCAGGTGATCTGCCCACCTCGCCCTCACAAAGTGCTGGGATTACAGCTGTGAGCCACTGCGCCTGGTCTTCTGTGCCTTTCTTTCTTGCTTGCTTTCTTTCTTTTTTTTTTCTTTCTTCTCTTTTCTTCTTTTCTTTTTTTTTTTTTTTTTGAGACAGAGTTTCACTCTTGTCGCCCAGGCTGGAGTGCAATGGTGTGATCTCTGCTCACTGAAACCTCCACCTCCCAGGTTCAAGCAATTCTCCTGTCTCAGCCTCCCGAGTAGTTGGGATTATAGGCACCTGCCACCATGCCTGGCTAATTTTTGTATTTTTAGAAGAGACAGGGTTTCACCACATTGGCCAGGCTGGTCTCGAACTCCTGACCTCAGGTGATCCACCCGCTTTGGCCTCCCAAAGTGCTGGGATTACAGGCGTGAGCCACCGCGCCTGGGCTTCTGTGCCTAACTTTCACTGAAATTTCACTGAAGCCCTCTAAAGTCACACTACCATCCTCAATTTCCCAATGAGAGAGCAGAGGCTCAGGGACGATCCGGTTCCAAAACCACGCAGCTGGGAAGTGGTACGTTGGGATGTGTGTCCAGAGAGTTGGATTCCAGAGCCCACGATCAATAACCCCCACAGCCACCAGACTCTACTGTCTTAAATATGCTGAACTCCCAAACCGAGCTGTGCTGGAAGGAACCTCTCCCCATCACTCACCCCCAATAGGGCTTTGGGCAACTTCTTCAACTCCCTATGCCTCCATTTCCTCATTTGTAAAGCAAGGATGCTGTCACTGCCTACCTCCGAGGGTTTGTCCTAGGGACTGAGCAAGTTATTAACCACCTGTCAAATGCTTGGAGCAGTACCTGGTGCACGGTTAGTGCTCAGTCAGAACTAGTTATTATTACTGTCACCACTAACCTGTTCAGCAATCCGGTGTGCCATGTGGTTTACATGCTCAGTCTCATTTAATCATCACGAATATTTTGAGAGAATTACTATGATCCCATTCAAGAAAGGAGGGACCAGGCTGGGCGCGGTGGCTCATGCCTGTAATCCCAGCACTTTGGGAGGCTGACGTGGGTGGATCACCTGAGGCCAGGAGTTCGAGACCAGCCTGGCTAACATGGTGAAACCCCATCTCTACTTAACATACAAAAAATTAGCCAGGGGTGGTGGCAGGTGCCCGTAATCCCAGGTACTTGGGAGGCTGAGGCAGGAGAATCATTTGAACCTGGGAGGGGGAGTTTGCAGTGAGCCGAGATTGTGCCAATGCACTCCAGCCTGGGAAACAGAGTGAGACTCTATCTCTTAAAAAAAATAAATAAATAAAAACTGGACAAGATGGCTTACCCCTGTACTCCCAGCACTTTGGAAGGCCGAGGCAGGAGGATCGCCTGAGGTCGGGAGATCGAGACCATCCTGGCTAACACAGTGAAACCCCGTCTCTACTAAAAATACAAAAATTAGCTGGGCATGGTGGCACACGCCTGTAATCCCAGCTACTCAGGAGCTGAGGCAAGAGAATGGCTTGAACCCAGGAGGTGGAAGTTGCAGTGAGCCGAAATCGAGCCATTGCACTCCAGCCTGGTCGACAGAGTGAGACTCCATCCCAAAAAAAAAGAAAGAAAGGAGGGACATTGAGCTTGTCATCTTACCTACCACACCATGGTGGAGGTGCTGATGGGTTAAGAGTTTGTATGTGGGAGTTGTATATTCATTCACTCATTCACTCATTCATTCGTTCATTCATTTTGATAATTGTAGTAAATTATACATAACATAAATTTACCATCTTCATCATTTTTAAGTATGCATTTCAGTAGTGGTAAGTGCAACCAATTTCCAGAACTCTTTTCGTCTTGCAAAATGGAAACTCAGTACCCGTTAAATAACTCCACATCCCCCCACCCTCCAGCCCTGGCAACTACCATGACACTTTGTCTCTATGAATTTGATTATTCCAGGAATTTCATATAAGTGGAATGACACAGTATTTGTCTTTTTGTTACTGGCTTATTTCACTGAGTATAATGTCTTCAAGGTTTATCTATGTTTATAGCATGTATCAGAATTTGCTTCCCTTTGAAGGCTGAATAATATTCCATTGTATGTACATAGCACATGTTGTTTATCCTTTCATCTGTCAACGGGCACTGGGGTGTTTCCGCTTTTTGGCTATTGTGAAAAATGCTACTATGAACACGAGTGTATGAATATCTATTTGAGTGCCTGCTTTTAATTCTTTTGGGTCTATCACCAGTACTGGCATTGCTGGATCATATGATGATTCTATTTGTAGTTTTTGAGGAACCTCGACACTGTTTCCCATAGCCACTGCACCATTTTATATTTCTACCAACAGTGCACAAGGTTCCAATTTCTCCACATCCTTCATAACACGTGTTATTTTATTTATTTATTTATTTATTTAATTTATTTATTTTTGAGACAGAGTCTCGCTCTGTCACCCAGGCTGGAGTGCAGTGGCATGATCTTGGCTCACTGCAACCTCCACCTCCTGGGTTCAAGCGATTCTCCTGCCTCAGCCTCCCAAGTAGCTGGGACTATAGGCACACACCACCATGCCCAGCTAATTTTTGTATTTTTAGTAGAGACAGGGTTTCACCATGTTGGCCAGGATGGTCTCGATCTCTTGACCACGTGATCCGCCCACCTCGGCCTCTCAAAGTGCTGGGATTACTGACGTGAGCTACCGCACCCAGCCTATTTTATTTTATTTTTTTATTTATTTAGAGATGGAATCTTGCTCTGTCACCAGGCTGGAGTGCAGTGGCGCTATCTTGGCTCACTGCAACCTCCACCTCCCGGCTTCAAGTGATTCTCCTGCCTCAGCCTCCCTAGTAGCTGGGACTACAGGTGCACACCACCATGCCCAGCTAATTTTTGTGTTTTTAGTAGAGACGGGGTTTCACTATGTTGGCCAGGATGGTCTCGATTCTCTTGACCTTGTGATCCACCCACCTCAGCCTCCCAAAATGCTGGGATCACAGGCGTGAGCTCCTGCGCCTGGCCTATTTTGCTTATTTTTAATAGTAACCATACTAACGAATATGAGGTGGTATCTCACTGTGGTTTTGATTGCATTTCCCCAATGATTAGTGAAATTGAGCATCTTTTCATGTGCTTGTGGACCCATTCAATCATTCTTTTTTTTTCTTTTTTGAGACTGAGTCTCGCTCTCTCGCCCAGGCTGGAGTGCAGTGGCGCGATCTCAGCGCGCTGCAACCTCCTCTTCCCAGATTCAAGCAATTCACCTGCCTCAGGCTCCCAAGTAGCTGGGACTACAAGCGTATGCCCCCACACCCGGCTAACTTTTGTATTTTTAGTAGTGATGGGGTTTTACCATGTTGGCCAGGCTGGTCTCAAACTCCTGACCTCAGGTGATCCACCCACTTGGTCTCCCAAATGGCTACGATTACAGACGTGAGCCACCACACCTGGCCCATTCAACCATTCTCTCATTAAAAATACTTATTAAGCACTCAATATGCACTAGGCACTGTTCTAGATGCTGGTAATACAGTGTCGAACAGCCCAGATGCTCACATTCATGATGTGTGTTTGAGTTTTGTTGCCACCATCAGCTGCGAAATGATGACCCTTTTCTGTTTCTCAGTTTCCACGTTTGGGTAATGGGTGCTATACATCAGCTGCTATCAACCGAGTACTTAATTGTGTTCAAGGCCAAGTGCTAAATCTCCACCTAGACCCAATCCCTCATATCAGTCCCATGAGGTAGGTCCTGTTCTCTGCATTTTATAGGTGGGGAAACTGAAGCAAGCTGGCCTATGTAACACCAGCAAGGACACAGAATAAGGAAGTGGTGGAGGCCAGCGCAGTGGCTCATGCCTGTAGTCCCAGCACTTTTGGAGGCTGAGGCGGGCGGATCACTTGAAGTCAGGAGTTCAAGACCAGCCTGGGCAAAGTGGGCAACATGGGGAAACCCTGTCTATACAGAAAATGCAATATTTAGCTGGGCATGGTGGCGCAAGCCTGTAGTCCCAGCTACTCAGGAGGCTGAGGCAGGAGGACCACTTGAGCCCAGGAGGTGGAGGTTGCAGTGAGCCGAGATTGTGCCACTGCACTCCAAACTTGGGCAACAGAGGGAGACCCTGTCTCAAAGAATAAAAAAAATGGAGACGTTCCAATACCTAACATTTGGCTGCCACAGCACACAAACCACATGATCTATTTCATAGGACTCTTGGGAGCATCAAATGAGTTGGCCCACCTAGCAAGCACCAAACGCACATTAGCTCTTGCCAGTATTACTCACTCCCTTATATTAATTCTTCCCAGTTCCTCCTTTATCCCTATTCTTTCCCCTACTTTCCTTTGCTGGTCATGGTCTGCCTGTGATCTCACCTTCTGCTATGCTTATATTCATTCATTAATTCATTCATTCATTCTTCATTCAACCCTCATTTCTTTCTCTCTCTCTTTTTTTTTTCTTTTGAGACGGAGTCTCGCTTTGTCACCCAGGCTGGAGTGTAATGGTGCAGCCTTGGCTCACTGCAACCTCCACCTCCTGGGTTCAAGTGGTTCTCCTGCCTCAGCCTCCCGAGTAGCTGGGATTACAGGCACCCGCCACCATGCCCAGCTAATTTTTGTATTTTTAGTAGAGATAGGGTTTCACCATGTTGGTCAGGCTGGTCTTGAACTCCCGACCTCAAGTGATCCACCCGCCTTGGCCTCCCAAAGTGCAGGGATTACAGGTGTGAGCCACCGTGCCCGGCCTCAGCCCTTATTTCTTGAGGTCTCCCGTGTGCCAGGCCTACTGCCAAGAAATGCTGGGACACACAGAGGAATCGGACTCCCATGCCCTACCCCCTCCAGGAACTCTCAGCTTACCGAGGACGAAGAAGATCATCTACCAACTAATGCATGTCCTACGGGGCACCTCAGAGCAGGAAACTGACCCAAGTTCGGTGGGAGGAATGAGTGTGCATGTGTGTCTGTGTGTGTCTAGGGAAAGCCTCCTCAAGAAGGTGCCTCCTGAGCTGCCTGCTGCAGGTAAAGTACTACATCAGCAAAGAATGTGAGCTGGAATGTTCCACAGCATGGGCAGAGGTCTGCAGAACTGGACAGAGCTGGGCAGTTGAGGAAACTACATTGTTTATACTTATATTTTTAATTTTTTTCTCCAGCTATGTGCTAGAGGTGGTAAAACATTAACTGTTCCCAAGGATGAGAAAATAGCTGAGGATGAGCATCTTAGGAGGGGAAGGAGATGAGGATGCATGACCCCTAGAGGCATACTCCACCCCTCACACACCTCTGCTTGCTTCAACTACTCCATTTCTCTCCAGAAGGTTCCAGGTTCCCTGCAGAAAGAGACTGGAACCTCTCTCTCCCCATCCCCACAGGACTAGAGACTACAACTCCCATGATCCACTGCGGCTGCTCTTCTCACAACTGGACTCCAGACTTCACGGGGTCTCATGGGAAATGTAGTCCTCATCGGCTTCCGCATCACTTTCCTTGTTTTTTTTCCCACGCATTTCCAGACTTTTCAACCAATTGAGAGGTGGGAAGCGCCTTGCTATTATTGAAGCCAACAACACCCTCTTTCTTACAGAGGTGGGAGCCGGAAGTCCAGAGTGCTGGAGCAACTTAGCGCAGCTTACAGGACCAAGGTCCTGTAGCCTTGCAGTGAGTGCTGCAAGGATGTTAGACTTTGGGTTTTTTTCCTTGCTTTTCTTCTTTTCTTTAACAGGCGGGGAAACAGACCAGAGAAGTTGAAAGTTTGTCCCATATCACGAGTCGGGCTCAGGAGCCAGGACTTGCGGTCTCCCAAGCAGCCCAGAGAGAGAAGGGGTTTGGGGAAGGGAAGGGTCGGTTGTCAGTGGGGTTGCCCCGCCCCCAACCCTGAAGTATCCGCCCCCACCACTGCCCTCCCCGCTCCTCCAGGGTTGAAAAGAGGCGTCTGCGTGAAGATCAATCATTTCCCGGAGGACACGGACTACGACCACGACAGCGCGGAGTATCTACTCCGTACGTGGGGGTCCGGGACAGACGTGGGGAGTGGGTCAAATCGCGGGGCCTGGAAGGCGTCGGGGTGGGTGCCGGGAAAAGGCACTGGGACTCCGGCACTTGGATCGACACGCCGAGGTTAGCCTCCCAGCCAATCCGAGTCCAGATAGTGAGATCCTCTGGTCCCCGATTGGCTGACTGATCTCGTTCCCGCCCCCTCCTCTCACCTTGGGGCGGGCTGAGGGAGGATCCTGGGCGCTAATTGGCCGCTTTGCTCTCTTTGGCCCTCGCGGCGACTCTGCGCCGTGACTGGTTGTGGAATCCCGGACTGGGATTGGCCACCGCGCCGCAGAGCTGTGGGGCAATCTGCGGCGGTGACGGGCCACTACTGGGAGCCGGCTGGGAAAGCCTGTATTGCCATTGGTAGCTACCCCGAGAACGCGGCAAATCCTAAATGATGATTGGCTGCGGCCTCAGCCAGGTTCCGAAATCGCAAAATCTAGTTGCCTGGGGTTTTAGGGGTGGGTGGAAAGGAAGGACTGCAGAGAAAAAGAGGAGGGCGGGGCGGGGAGTGGGGGCGGGGAGAGAGAGATAAGGGGAAGAAGGGAGGGAGGAAAAGAGGGAGAAAGAGAGATAGACGAAGTCAGGCCTAAAGGGGGTAGGGAGGGAGGGAAGGAGGAAGGGAGAGGAAGGGAGTGAAGAGAAGAGAAACCTGGAAGATTGAAGAAACCAGGCAGAAAAGGAGGGGAGAGAGAGACCCAGGAAGATAGAGGAGGCCAGGCGAAAAAAGGGGTGGGGTGGGGTGGGGTGGGGAAAGACCTAGGAAGACAGATGAGGCCAGGCAGAAAAAAAAAGAGGGGGGAGAGACCTAGGAAGATAGGTGAAGCCAGACAGAAAAAGTTGTGGGTGGGGGTGGCTAGGAAGACAGATGAGGCCAGGGAGAAAAAGTGGGAGAGAGACTTAGGAAGACAGATGAGGCCAGGCAGAAAAAGCGGGGTGGGGGGGGACCTATGAAGACATACGAGGCCAAGCAGATAAGAGGAGAGAGGGGAGACAGAGCCAGAAAGATAGATGAAGCCAGCAATAAAACTGGGTGGGGTGGGGGCGTGAGGAGAAGAAGGGAAGAGAAACTCAGAAGTAGATTCAGCCTGGCAGAAACGGGAGGAGGAGGAGGAAGGAAGGAATGTAGAGAGAGAGAGAAACCCAGATAGATGAAGCGAGGCAGAAAATGGGAGGGGGTGTGGAGAGAGGTAGTAAGTGATTTGCGGGATATGGAGAAAGAAATTCGCAGACGAGAGGAAGGAAGGGACGAGAAAGAGAAAGGGAGAGGATCCATGGAGAAGTTGGGAGAAAAACAGGGAGAGTGATTTCGATAAATAAAGAGGGGGAAAGATATTCCAAGAGAGAGAAAAATAGTCCGAAGAAAAAAGAAAAGGACAAAGAAAAAGAGGGAGAGAAAATCAGACCGAGAAATAGAGAAATTTTAAAAACAGGAGAGAGAATGAGGCAACAGTAAAATAAACCAGAACACAGCCGGAGAGAGAGAATCACAGAACTGTCGGGAGGCGCCGCGAGATGGGGGGCCGGGAAGGGGGCGCAGGCGGCCGCGTCTGACCGCCCTCGCTCTCCCTCCTTTTCCTTTCCTTCCTCCCCCGCAGGAGTTGTCCGGGCCTCCAGCATCTTCCCCATCCTTAGCGCCATCCTGCTGCTGCTCGGGGGTGTGTGCGTGGCGGCCTCCCGCGTCTACAAGTCCAAGAGGAACATCATTCTGGGCGCAGGGATCCTGTTCGTGGCAGCAGGTGAGAGGCAGAGGGAGGGGGCGACCGGGGCGGCCCACCTGGGCGCGCACGTGTGTGTGTGTGTGTGTGTGTGTGTGTGCGCGCGCGCGCGTGAGTGCAAGTGCGCGTTCGTGTGTCTGCAAAGCCACCTTGCCCCGAGCACCCCCGGGGGCCCGGAGCCTTCCTAGGCGGTCCCCAAGCTCCATCGCCACCCGCTGGGTAAGGTGGGTGTAGTTCTCGCGTCGCCTTCGGAGGAGTAAACCGACACAGGCAGGTGTCTGGCGCGTAAGACGCCGGGCGCTTAGGATCCCAAGCCCGCCGTCCTGGAGACGGAAGGGGAGGAGCTGGGGAGGGGGTGGGACCTTGAGACACAATTGGGCTCTTGAGGATAGAGAGGCGGGGCTGGGTCTTGGAGGGCGGGCCCAGGAGAGGTAGAAAGTGATCTGAGCGCCGATGAGGAGCCTGCTTTAAGGGGCGGGCCTTTGGAGACTTTGGTGGATCCAAGAGGGGGCTGGTCCTGGGAAACCGTCCAGGGCCGGGAAGTGGAAACTAAAGGGGCTGGGTAAGGGAGACTGAATCGGCCCTTGCCCGTGGCCATTTGGAGAAGGAGAGGCTAGAAAAGACGGGGCGATGCCTGGAAAAGCCAAAGGGGGAGGGGTTATGTCCTTAAGGGCACAGAGAATCAACCTGGCTGATTGAAGCAAGAGGCCGACCAAAGCCAGTCAGTACCTGGGATTGGCCGTCTCAAGAGCTAGGGCCTAGACGAGCAGAGAGCTAGGACTGGAACACTTAAGAGGCACGCAATTAAGGGGTAAGGCCCCCTTTCTACCCCGTATGAGTAGCATTGGGAAATTCCAGGGGCAGAGCTTTTTTGGAGGAGTAGAATACAGAGAAGAGGGAGGGCTTTGCATATTTGAAGAGCAGGGTGTGCTTTGGGGATGGGTCTAGATCTGCAAGGGGTGGGGCTTGGAGGATCTGAAAGGCCGGAGTAGCTGGACCTGAGACCGGCAAGGACCCGAGACCGGCAAGGACCCTGGCCAAGATCCGCACGGGGCGGGGTTTGGTAAGCTGGAGGTGGGGCCTAGAGTAGAAGGCGGGGCCTGCTTTATTAAAGGCAAATTTTTGACCAGTAGGGGAGGGCCTAGAATGGATACTCCGGCAGGAATTATATGAAGAGAGATTAGATAAGTGAAAGGCAGGGCCTGATCACAGCAGGATGACATCATTAACAGAGTTCAAAGGAGCAGAGGGATGAGGCTTGGGAAAAACCCAGGTTTATAACGTTAAGGGTGGAGGTAGACTAACTAGGGCAGGGCCTGGAAACTCATCTCATCAAAGGTGGGTTTTAGACCAGTCAGGGCAGGGCCTGGACTCGCTGGGAGTGGGGCTTAGGCCACCTAGGGGTGGGGCCTGGACCGCTTGGGGTGGAGTTACCACCAGCCAGGGTGGGGTTTAGACCAGCAGAGTTGGGACCTTAGCTAGAGGAGTGGGGTTTATGCCATGTGGGGGCAGCCCAGACCATCTGGGGGTGGGTCCTAGACCACCTGGGGCAGAGTTTAGACCAGCCAGGGCTGGGTTAGACCGGCAGAGGTGGGCCGTGGGCTATCTGGGGGCAGGACCTGGACCATCCAGGGCCGTGTCTGGACCATTCAGGGCAGGGCCTGGACCACCTGGGGGTGGAATTTAGACCATCTGAGGGGGTGCTTGAGCCTGCCTGGGCCAGGACCACGCATGATGCAGTCTGGACCATTGGCGGCCCTACACCACCTGGGGGATGGAGTTTCGACCAGCCGGGGTTGGATTAGACCAGCAGAGGTGAGGCCTGGGCCAGCTAAGAGTGGGCCGGAGCCCTCTGGGTTGGAGCTTAGACCAGCAGGGAAGCGCCTAGAGCATCGGGCGGGGAGTTGTGTTCACTTCTGGCAGGACTTGGGTCAGCCAGATCCAGGACGGGGGTCTAGACCACTCGGGGTGGGGCCTAGACCGCCTGGGGGTGGCGCCTGGGCCCGCTGGCGCAGGCGGGCAGGGGTCGGGGCCGGGGGCGGGGGCGGGGCCGGGGGTGGCCTCGAGGCTCCCGTCTGACCGTCCCCGCCCAGGCCTGAGCAACATCATCGGCGTGATCGTGTACATCTCCGCCAACGCGGGCGAGCCGGGCCCGAAGCGGGACGAGGAGAAGAAAAACCACTACTCGTACGGCTGGTCCTTCTACTTCGGCGGGCTGTCGTTCATCCTGGCCGAGGTGATAGGCGTGCTGGCCGTCAACATCTACATCGAGCGCAGCCGCGAGGCGCACTGCCAGTCTCGCTCGGACCTGCTCAAGGCCGGCGGGGGCGCGGGCGGCAGTGGCGGGAGCGGCCCCTCGGCCATCCTCCGTCTGCCCAGTTACCGCTTCCGCTACCGCCGCCGCTCCCGCTCTAGCTCCCGCTCCAGCGAGCCGTCGCCGTCGCGGGACGCGTCTCCCGGCGGCCCCGGGGGCCCGGGCTTTGCCTCCACGGACATCTCCATGTACACGCTCAGCCGCGACCCCTCCAAGGGCAGCGTGGCCGCGGGGCTGGCGGGGGCCGGCGGCGGCGGCGGCGGCGCCGTGGGGGCGTTCGGCGGCGCGGCCGGGGGCGCCGGGGGCGGCGGCGGAGGCGGCGGCGGGGCGGGTGCCGAGCGGGACCGCGGGGGGGCGTCCGGCTTCCTCACGCTGCACAACGCCTTCCCCAAGGAGGCGGGCGGCGGCGTCACGGTCACGGTCACCGGGCCGCCCGCCCCGCCCGCGCCCGCGCCACCCGCGCCCTCTGCGCCCGCCCCCGGGACCCTGGCCAAGGAGGCCGCCGCCTCCAACACCAACACGCTCAACAGGAAAACCACGCCTGTGTAGGGGCGCGGCGGGGGAGCCGAGGGGCGTGTCCGGGGCGCGTGCGCGGGCGCGCGTGCATCGAGGCTGCCGGGGTCGGGGGCGCCCCCGCTTTCCCCCGTGAGCGCGCTGGAGACTGCTGGGCCCGCCCCACGCCCACCCTCCCCGCCCCCCTCCCCCTCCGAAGCAGGGACCCCGAGGGAGGGGGCAGGGGAGGGAGGGGGCCGCTGTGAGGGAGCGTCGTGTTTTATTTTTTTGGGGGATCTATGGGGAGGGGGGAGGGCCATGGTGTTTTTTGCAGTTTCGAGATGTTTTCTTTTTCATGTTTTGCTGTGTGCATGGGGGGCGGGGCGGGGGGAGGGGAGGGAGGGACTCCCAGCCCAGCCCAACTCCTGGAGAGGGGCCCATAATACACGAATACATAGTTACACCCACAAACTATATATATGCCCTATATAAAGAGACACAGCGAAGGGATGCAGAAAGGCAGAAAGAAGGGTTGGACGCGGGCATTCATTCATTTTTTTCATTCATTATTCCACAAGGGCTTATTAAGCACCTACTGTGTACCAGGCACTGGTACATAAGAAGGCATTGGAGCAGGGGACACGAACGAGGCACAGAAAGGGCCTTCTCATTCATTCATTCATTACCGGCAATTTATTTGTGCGCCTTAAAAAGCTAGGCATTGTGCTCCGTGCTCAGCGTGCAGGAGGCAGGAAAACAGCCAGGGGCCCCGACGTCTCATAGAGTAAACATCTTGTGCATGAGACAGGCATTAATCGATCATGTACATACACAATAAATTACAGTTAGGCTATAGGAGAAACGAGATGCTATGAAATGCTCCATCAGGGGAGCCTAACCCAGTTGTGAGGAAGAGATTTCAGTGGACAGTGAAAGGATGAGAAGAAGCCAGCAGGGCGGAGCTGGGGCAGGAGTGTGGCAGGCAGAGCAGCACGTGCAAAGGCCCCGGGGCAGGAAGGAGCTTGCAGCGAGGGCTGAAGGGTAGTGAGGCAGGTGAGCGGGGATCAAGGTGAGGCCGGAGACACAGACAGGGCCAGATTGTGCAGGGGCTCGTAGGTCAGGAGTTCAGATTTTATTCTAGGAGTGGTGAGGGCCGTGGAACGGGTTTAAGCAGGACGCTAACGTGAATGGTGTACAAAGGGAAGACAGGAACTCGGAGGCAAGAGTAGGAGGCAGAGATGTGCTGAAATACAGCATCAAACATGGGCACGGGCCCTTGGAGCTCACACTCTTGTGGGAGGAAGCACGTAATTACACAGATGCTGAAGCATAGTCATGGTGTCTGGTGTGCAGGAGAAAGCCGTGGGGCTTAGAGACTCATGTGTCTGTCACTCGTTCATTCAGCCACTCACCCATTGCCATTTTTGGCCATCTGCTAAGGTACCAGGAAGTGTGTTAGGATCCAGATCCCCAGGGGTGAAACAGACTCTAGCCCTGCTCTCAAGCAGTTTATTGTCATCAAACACCGCCATCCAGGCAGGGCAATCGGTGCTGGAACCCGGACCACCGTGGGTACCGTGGCACACGGTGGACAGAGTGACCAACTGCCAGGAGTGAGCAGCACTTGGGGTAGGCTTCCTGGAGAATATGATGCCCATTCTGGGTCTTGAAGAAATGAGTGGGCATCTTCTGGTTGATGAAAGGCATGAGAAAGGCTTGTGGGGCCAAAGAACAACTTGGGTGAAAACGGGAGGAAGTGAACGAGCATGATGTATTGGGGTCAGTGCTAACAGTTCTGGGATGCTGATGTACAAGGTGGGGCTGGGAGATGAGGCCGGGAAAGTAGCCACAAGCTAGAGTGTAAAGGTACCAGGGTGGCCGGGCGCGGTGGCTCATGCCTGTAATCCCAGCGCTTTGGGAGGCTGAGGCTGGAGTATCACTTGAGCCCAGGAGTTTGAGACCAGCCTGGATAACATGGCGAAACCCTGTCTCTACAAAACATTAAAAAAAATTAGCCGGGCGTGGTGGAGCACACCTGTGGACACAGCTACTCAGGAGGCTGAGGGAGGAGGACCATTTGACTCCAAGAGTTCGAGGCTGCAGTGAGCTAGGATCGCGGCACTACACTCCAGCCTGAGCAACAGACTGAGATCCTGTCTCAGAAAAAAAGAGAAAAAGGTGCCTGAGTTCCAGGCAGAGGGACTGAGGCTCTTCTAAGGATGGTGAGAGAGGATGACAGCTGCGCGGGGGCAAGGGCTGTGCGGTGATTGGAGGGGATGGGTTTGAAGTTCACTGAGAAGGCAGAGGGGACAGCGCCCAGTAGGCTTCCCTTCCATATTTGCTCAGCAAGTGTTTCCTGAGGCCTCCCCCGAAGCCTTGTGCTGGGCGGTGCTGGGAGTGGAGAGGTGATTTTGATCTTGCCCTGCTCTCAAGGGGCTCCCAGTCTGGCGGGAAAACAGGCACAGACGCAGCTTGAGGAGGACGTGGCAGCGGTGGTGCCATGCTGCCAGGGGCTCTGCGTGCCCTTCTCTTGACGGAAGGGTACAGATCAGAGCTGGGTGTTCAGAATTTCTCTCCGAGGCCTGTGTGGAAGGACCAGGAAGAGAGAGACTGAAGGTCCCTAGGAAGAATTCTGCCAAGGCGGTTTCAGGAAGAGATGCTGGGAAATGTAGGAAAAGGAATACAAATCAGTGAGACGGAGAAGCGCTGAGTGAGAGAGACGGATACGTGGAGAGAAGAGGGATGCCGGAGCGGGTGTTAAAAGAGACAAATCTGGCCGGGTGCTGTGGCTCCTAATCCCAGCACTTTGGGAGACTGAGGCAGGCAGATTGAGCTCAGGAGTTCCAGACCAGCCAACATATTGAAATCTTGTCTCTACCAAAAATACAAAAATTAGCCGGGTGTGGTGGTGCACGCCTGTAGTCCCGGCTACTCAGGAGGCTGAGGTGAAAGGATCTCGCTTGGGCCTGGGAGGGTGAGGCTGCAGTGACCCGTGATGGCACCACTGCGCTCCAGCCTGGGCGAAAGAGCGAGACTCTGTCTCAAAAAAAAAAAAAAAATTGAGAGACAGCAAATATTTGCTGGAAGAGGGAGAGGGAACTGGTTAGGGGAGAATGGATTCTAGAGTCTGAAGGCCAAACAGAACGAGAGAGAGAGAGAGAGAGAGAGAAAGAATGAGGTTGAGGGTAGGCAGGAGGAAGAGCAAGATGGGGAGGGAGGGGGAGAGCAGGAGAGACCAAACTAGTAGAGTCACAGACAGAGAAAAAGTCAAAGACAGGAAGGTGATACAGAGGAGAGAGAAGAGGAAGAGGAGAGACTGACAGGTGCACAAATCAGAGAAGTCCCAGAGATAGCAGAAACACACACAGAGACAGAGATAGAGAGGGAGAGGTAAGCCGGAGACAGACTCAGAGATTCGCACAAAAAGCAACGTGGAGACTCAGAAGCAAGCGCAGCGTCAAGGAATGCTCCATTTCTGGTGTGTTGTTTTCCCAGTATTCAAGAAATATTTATTGAGTGCCAACCTGTTCTAGACCCAATCTCGGCCAGGGGATGTGGTGGCAAATAGACGGACAAGGGCCTGCTCTCCTGAAACACACTGGAGAGATAAACAATAAATAATATCATTTCAGTAACCAAAAAGTGCTTTAAAAATTAAGCTGAAGGCCGGGCGCAGTGGCTCATGCCTGTAATCCCAGCACTTTGGGAGGCCGAGGCTGGTGGATCACTTGAGGTCAGGAGTTCGAGACCAGCCTGGTCAACATGGTGAAACTTCATCTCTACCAATAAATAAATAAAGTAGCTGGGTGTGCTGGTGTGCCTGTAGTCCCAGCTACTTGGGAGGCTGAGAAAGAAGGATCACTTGAACCCAGGAGGCAGAGGTTGCAGTGAGCTGAGATCGCGCCACTGCACTCCAGCCTGGGCGACAGTGAGTGGTAACAGAATGACAGAGCAAGGATGACTTTAGATGAGGTCCTTGGAGTAGACCTTGTGGCAGAGGTCACAGAGATGTGGATTGTGAGTAGGAAAGAGAGGTGAGAAAGTCTGGGGGCCAGGCATTCCACCCACCAGAGGCAGCCCCAAAGCCCAGAAAAGTAGCAGGTCTTCGAGGAGGCCTGTGCGGTGAGCAGATCCACCATAGGACAGAGGCACAGGGTAGGGGCTGATCAGTTAGGGCCTTGGATCCTTGGGAAGAAATCTGAATTTTATTCTAGATCTGATGGGAAGTGCTTGGAGGGTTTTGAGCACAGGCATGCCATGATCATATTTTTATTTTCTTATTTATATTTATTTTGAAAAAGAGTCTTGCTCTGTCTCAGGCTGGAGTCCAGTGGGCTGATCTCGGCTCACTGCCAACCTCCGCCTCCCAAGTTCAAGTGATTCTCCTGCCTCAGCCTCCTGAGTAGCTGGGATTACAGGCATGTGCCACCACGCCTGGCTAATTTTTTTGTATTTTTAGTAAAGACGGGATTTCACCGTGTTGGCCAGGCCAATCTGAAATTCCTGGCTTCAAATGATCCACCTGCCTCGGCCTCCCAAAATGCTGGGATTACAGGAGTGAGCCACTGCGCCCGGCCTCATATTTTTATTTAAACAAGAACAGCAGAATTACATTGCTGTGCTGAGCATACGTAGACTTCAGGAGTCAAAGGGGAAGGAAGGAGGTAGCGGGCTGTTGCCTTCCTCTGGTTGCTGGAGGCCTGGACCAAGGTGGAGTTAGTGGGATGGAGGAAGTGGAAGAAGGCATGGGATTTTGGAGGCTAGAGCCTGCATTGGTGGTGAACTGGATGTCATAGAGGAGGGAAGGAAAAGGAACCAGGAAGAGAAGAACTCTCTGAATTGGGCACGCACATCTCTGATGGGCACCGATGAGGATTGTTACCAGGAACGAGGAGACTGGGATCAGGAAAGTGGCTTTGGGAGGGAGGAACCAAGGCTTCTCTTTTGGATGTGTCAAGATAGATCTGCCTTCGAGAAATCCGAGTTGTGGTATCAAATAGCCAGTTGGATATGTGAGACTGGAGTTTGGGGGAAAGAGAGGCCGTGGCTCAAAAACGTAAGTTTTGGAAACGTCAACATAAAGCCACAGGATTGGGTGACGTGGCCTAGCAGGGGGGTGGGGACAGAGAAGCGACCCTGGCCAGAGCCTTGGGGACATCTACATCTGGGGGAGAAGGGGATGTAGCAAAACGAGCTTAGGAGTGATCTCGAGGTAGGCTGAAACCAGGAGGGTTACAGAGGGCAAATGCACCTTTGTGTTTCAAGAAGGAGAGGAGACAGCCAGCTGTGCCAAGGGCTGCTGAGACTTGGACAAGGATGCAGAGAGCAGAGTGACCATTAGGTCTGATGACATGGACAGGGTTGGTGATCTTGATAAGATAAGATGTCAGTTCAGTGCAGTGGTGGGGACAGAAGCCCTGCTGGAGTGGAGGGGAGAGAGAATTTGGGGGGAAGACAGAAGGAAAGGGAATTCAGGCAAGTGTGTGTGTGTGTGTGTGTGTGTGTGTGTGTGTAACTGACACAAAGGCCAGGTGCGATGGCTCACGTGTGTAATCCCAGCACTTTGGGAGGCCGAAGTGGGTGGATCACTTGAGGTCAGGAGTTCGAGACCAGCCTGGCCAATATGGTGAAACCCCGTCTCTACTAAAAATACAGAAATTAGACAGGTGCGGTGGTGCACACCTGTAATCCCAGCTACTTGAGAGGCTGAAGCAGGAGAATCTCTTGGGCCCAGGAGGCAGAGGTTGCAGTGAGCCAAGATCACACCACTGCACTCTAGCCTGGGTGACAGAGCAAGACTCTGTCTCAAAAAAGAAAAAAGGTAAAAAAAAAAAAAAATGACCCTGAAAGGAAGTAGGGAGACATGCAGATAGGGAGATGGGAGGCAGAAAATTGCATCCTGCAATTAGCTGTCACAGCAGGCAGGAGCAAGAGAGATGGGGAAGCCCAGGGCCAGGAGGGGAAGATGAATTCAGGGGGCAGGGAAGAGAGGATGCTGTCAGCTAGGCTCTGGCAGATCCCCTAGCCAGGGATGCTCTGCCCAGCTCCTGTCTCTTGCTGCTGTCAGCGCCGGGCACACTCTGGGATTCCCCCTGTAGACCCTGTCAAGACCTATTGAGGTGAAGGGGAAGAACACGTTTTCATCATTCATTTTCAGAAATAAACATTCACTCAGTTCTTGGAAATACTTTCTGGCCAGGCTTGGGGGCTCATGCCTGTAATCCCAGCACTCTGGGAGGCCAAGACAGGAGGATTGCTTGAGGCTTGGCGTTTGAGACCAGCCTGGGCAATATAGTAAGACCCCGTCTCTACAAAAATGAAAAATGAGCTGTGGCGTGGTGGCTCACGCCTGTAGTCCTAGATACTCGGGAGGCTGAGGCGGGAGGATTGCTTGAGTCCAGGAGTTTAAGGTTGCAGTGAGCTATGATTGCACCATTGCACTTCAGGCTGGGCCACAGAGCAAGACCCTGTCTCAGAAAACAGAAAGAAAGAAAGTCAAAGAAATAAAGTCAAAGACAAGAAGGTGATACAGAGAAGACAGAAAAGGAGGAGGAGAGAGACTGACAGGTACACAAATCAGAGAAGTCCCAGAGATAACAAAAACACAACCACAGAGATAGGGAGACGTAAGCCGGAGAAAGACCCAGAGATTCGCATAGAAAGCAACGTGGAGACTCAGAAGCAAGCACAGCATCAAGGAATGATCAATAAAAAGAAAAAAAAATATTTCCTGAGGACTTCCAAGTACAAGGCCCTGCAATCTCAGGCCACTTCTGTCCCATCTCTGCCTTCAGAGGGGGGGACAGGTAGTCCAGACAATTAGAATACAGAGGGGGCTGTGTTCTGACGGGGCCACGCGGGCATTGAGGAAACGCAGCAGGCCCCTCCCCTAGCTGGGGCGGGGATGTCTGTGTGCCATCATCTCACTCCATCTGGTCATTCCTTTGCCCATTCATCCATCCATTCATTCAAGTCACCCCATGCACATTTTCCAAGACTGCCTGTGACCTGGCCCTGTGCCGGGTAGAGCTGAGGATGCCAAGGTGAATTCCTCCTGTGCCTGGCCCCGGCCCCAGTCTGCTGGAAGAACCAGACACAGACAATCACACTGCGGGGAAACACGTGCTCCATCGGAAAAGTCCAGAGCAGGGGGTGGGCAGAGAGGCCCAGCGTGCACCAGAGCCTCGCTCAGGTCAGCGCCAGGCCTGCCTGGAGCAGCCAACTGTGGGAGAAGAAGGAGTTGGTGAAAGGTGGGTCCCACCTGGGCCGTCCACAGAAGGGCTGAGGGGTAGGGGGTGAGGGGTTGAAGATCAGGCCCTGCCGCCATGCCACACGGCTGTCCTCTGTCCCTGCTCCTGGGGGAGCTGAAACTGCATGGAAGGTCCCCCAGGGGTGCCCCGTCTAATAAACTCGATGAAGAGGAGTGCTGCTTTCATTCTGTGCCCCTGACAGCCGGCCCTGCCCTGAGGCCTGCGCTTTCTCCAACATGGAAATCAGGCCTTCCATCCTTCAAGACCCAGGGTTCTGGCCCCAGTCTCCTCCCTGAGGCCCAGGACTCTGGGTCTGCCAACGCCTTGACCAGGAGTCCAGGCTCCCCGGCCCTCCTCCTCCCTCAGACCCAGGAGTCCAGGCCCAGCCCCTCCTCCCTCAGATCCAGGAGTCCAGGCCCCCTGCCCCCTCCTCCCTCAGACCCAGGAGTCCAGGCCCAGGCCTTCCTCCCTCAGACCCAGGAGCCCAGGCCCCCAGCCCCTCCTCCCTCAGACCCAGGAGCCCAGGCCCCCAGCCCCTCCTCCCTCAGACCCAGGAGCCCAGGCCCCCAGCCCCTCCTCCCTCAGACCCAGGAGTCCAGGCCCCCAGCCCCTCCTCCTTCAGACCCAGGAGTTCAGGCCCCAGTCCCTCCTCCCTCAGACCCAGAAGTCCAGGCCCCCAGCCCCTCCTCCCTCAGACTCAGGAGCCCAGGCCCCCAGCCCCTCCTCCCTCAGACCCAGGAGTCCAGGCCCCAGCCCCTCCTCCCTCAGACCCAGGAGTCCAGACCCCCAGCCCCTCCTCCCTCAGACCCAGGAGCCCAGGCCCCCAACCCCTCCTCCCTCAGACCCAGGAGTCCAGGCCCCCAGCCCCTCCTCCCTCAGACCCAGGAGTCCAGGCCCCCAGCCCCTCCTCCTTCAGACCCAGGAGTTCAGGCCCCAGTCCCTCCTCCCTCAGACCCAGAAGTCCAGGCCCCAGTCCCTCCTCCCTCAGACTCAGGAGCCCAGGCCCAGCCCCTCCTCCCTCAGACCCAGGAGTCCAGACCCCAGCCCCTCCTCCCTCAGACCCAGGAGTTCAGGCCCCCAGCCCCTCCTCCCTCAGACTCAGGAGCCCAGGACCTAGGAGACCAGGTTCCTCTCCTCTCAGATCCAAGATTCTGGGTACCCAGGCCTTCTTCCTCTACCACTCAGAAGTGGGGTACCGAGGCTTCTTCTCCCTTAGGGACCCAAGACTCCTGGCCTCAGGCCCTCCTCCCTGAGACCCGGGGCCCTGCCTCCCGCCCCTCCTCCCTGGTAACCCCAGTCAGACTTGCTGCCCCGCCCGTCTCCTGCTGCCCGGGAGACTGCGGAGCTGGGACTCTCGGCGCCGCTCTTGCCCCTTAGTGAAATGAAAGTCCCATCAGGCTCGGCCCCTTCCTCCCCGGGCGGCCTCCCTCCCCCCTTCCTCGTCCCCTTAAAACACCCGGGATCCCTATGGCAACAGGCGCCGGGCGACAGGTGCGGGTGTTATTTACGGGTCAAGCCCGAAATAGCCCCGAGGGTGGAGGGTGGAGGGTGGGGGGTGGGCGGGTGGGGACGAGGCCGGGCGCGGGCGGAGGCCAGGCCGGTGGCGGTGGCGGGCACAGCCGGACGCTTCGGAGGCAGCGCGGAGCTGGGGTCGGCGCGGGGCCGAGGCAGGAGAGCGAGAGGGGCCCCTGCTCGGGAGTCGGGGGTGGGAGCCCCGAGGGGGGGCCCTGGCCTGGGGCTGAGCCTGGCGCGAACCCGACCGGGAAGGCCCTGGGAGCCCGGGGGAGGGAGACGGACTGATCCCGAAGGGGCGCAGCGTCTCTTGCGGGTCGCGGTTGGCCTTTGAACCCTGGGGGGACTCAGTCCTGGTTTTCCGAGCCGCAGTGCGGACCACAGCCCCATAGTGTGAGCCCCAGGAGGGCCCCCGGTCCCATCTGCCCCAGCCCTCGGGGAGGCCCCGTAGCCTCCCGCCTCTGGACTCCACTCTGTCTTCCGGCCACCGGCCCCTTTTCCAGGCTCAGTAGAGACCTCGGATCTTTTCTGAATGGCAGGGGAGACCCCTATCCCCTTTTCCTGAATTCCAGCGAGGCCCAGTCCTCTTCTGAGCCCCAGCCAGGGCTCTGTTCTTCTCCTTCTGTGGATGCCGGGGTCCTACTGCCTCTCTTGAGACCCGGATTGAATTCCGACCTCCCCTTGGGAGCTTCCCGGGACCCCAGGTCTTCCTTTTCCGAATCCCAGAGGGTCCCCAAGTCCTCTGTTCTCAAACTCTGAGCCCAAGGGAACCCCGGCCACATCTCCTCCAAACACACACAGGACCTCAGGTCCCTTCCTGGGTACCCCAAACTCTTAGCCCTAGTGGGGTGCTCAGATCTCTCAGGAAAACCAGTTTCCCTTTTGTTAACCCCCCAGCGGGGACCCCAAAGCAGCCCCTTGGAGCTGCAGGGAGCTTCAGCGGGCACCAGTTCTCATTCCTCTGGAGCTCTTGGGGGGACTCCCTCCTGGGAAGCCGAATTCTATCTCTAAACCTCAGGGTGGGGGCCTTGTTTTTCCTCTGGGCCCCGTCTTCTTTGCCAAGTTCTTGAGGGCAACCTAGACCCTCCTCTGAACCCCAGAGGCTTCCCCAGCCCTGGGGATCATTTTTCTCTTCTGAACCCCAGAAGCAATCTCGACTTTCGCATTTGAGATTCCAGACAGGACTCGGCTCTCCCTCTTTCATACCCAGGGGAAACTGAGTCCCTCACCCCCTTCAAGACCCCAGGCCGCTCCTCGCTCCCGCCCCTCGAGGCCCTTCGCCGGCTCTGCCTCCTCCCCCTTCCCGACCCCACCGGCCATAAGATGATGTGGTCCAACTTCTTCCTGCAAGAGGAGAACCGGCGGCGGGGGGCCGCGGGCCGGCGGCGGGCGCACGGGCAGGGCAGGTCGGGGCTGACGCCCGAGCGCGAGGGGAAGGTGAAGCTGGCGCTGCTGCTGGCCGCCGTGGGCGCCACGCTGGCGGTGCTGTCCGTGGGCACCGAGTTCTGGGTGGAGCTCAACACCTACAAGGCCAACGGCAGCGCCGTGTGCGAAGCGGCCCACCTGGGGCTGTGGAAGGCGTGCACCAAGCGGCTGTGGCAGGCGGACGTGCCCGTGGACAGGGACACCTGCGGCCCCGCGGAGCTGCCCGGAGGTGAGCAGCCGCCGCCCCGAGCGCAGGGCTTGCGTCCCACGGACAGGGAGGGAGAGGGGCCCGTGTCCGAGGAGAAAACCCGCCCCAGGGACAAAAGCCTGAGCCCGGAGGAGACAGCTTGCCTCGCAGTAAGCGCCAGTGCCCACTTCGTCCTCTGCTCTCAGAAACTGCTGAGAGATAGAGGGATCCCCCAGATATGGCCCAGGTCCCTCACGGGCCTACCGCCAGAGAACCTGTGCCTTAGAGCTTGCTTTCCTGCTACAGACTGTACCCCAAGACCAGAATGTGCCTACAGGGAGTCTGTGCCCCCAGGCCATCCTGTACCCCCAGACCAGGCTGTGACCTGAGACCCCCTCAGACGAGTCTGTACCCCTATTCTGCACCTCTAAAGAGAGCTTGTGCCCCCGCCTACAGCCTGTGCCCCAAGACCATCCTGTACCCCGACTATCCTGTACCCCCAGATGAGCCTGTGTCCCCAGCTACAGTTTCCACCCCCAGACTAACATGCACCCCTAGACCAGTCTATACCCCCAGACCAGCCTGCATCCTTACACCAGCCTGTGCCCTCAGATCAGCCTGCACCTCCACACCAGGCTATGGTCCCAGATGATTCTATGACCCCCAAAGTCCCTGCCCCCACACAGCCAATGTTCCCAGGCATCGCTGTGTCCCCCCAGACCAGCCTACAGCTCTAGAGAGAGCCTGTGTCACTAGAAAAATCTTGCCTGTGTCCCCAGACCCAGCCTGTGATTCCAGACACAGCTGGTGTCCTCAGATAGCCTGTGCCCACCCCAGACAGCCTGCACCCTCTGGAAGTGCCTGTGCCCTGGAGACAGCCCGTGCCCACTCTGCATGTGCCCACAGACAGCCTGTGCCCATGGAGAGACAGCCTGGGTTCCTGGTGTCAGCTTCCTCTTCCCAGCCTGGAGACAGCTTGCGCTCCCATCCTGTGAGCCCTGGGGAGACAGACGCCCACCCCAAAGCAGGATCTATGCCTGTTCCCCACCTACTGCTTCCACCAAACCAAGCTCTCACCAGACGCCTCCCAACACCCGAGGGCAGACCTTGTTCCTTCCCTGCAATGTTCTTCACTTCCTGTCCTCTCGCCTCCAAATGCCCAGACTGGACATTTCAGCGTTTCTCATTTTCTCCGAGAGACATTCCCATACTCCCTCCTTTCCCAAATCATGGCTGTTTTATCCCTGGGCATGGCAGAGAGCTGTTCCATACCTCCCTGACACGCCACGCCACGGCTTGTGCTTATACCAGGGGGACATTCTATACCCCTTGGGAACTGGATGAAATCTCCTTCTACCTCCACTGACCCATGGAAAATACCTGGCACTCCTCAGAGCCCATTTGGGCTGTCATATATTTGATCACCCATATGAGATCTCCAGCACTCTTCAGTCTCCAAAGACGGTCCTATCATCCCAGTGCCCCTCAAAGAATATGGCCTATTTTTCTGGGCTCCGTATGAGATTTCCCTCGTCCCTCACTTCTCCAGATGTGATATCTTATATGTGTAGAGTGCAAAATAGGATGTCCCAAGCCCTCGATAGGACAGTGGGATGCCAGGCCCCCCGGCTGTCTGAGCTACCCACTTGGTGTCCAGATGGGCTACCCTTGATCATTTTATTTCTGCAGATGGGCTGTCTCTGGCCCCTCAGGGGTCTCATAAAGGATGATCTCAAACTTTTGCAAAATGGGAGTCCCCAGTAATAAGAATAGTAGCTGCTTATGTAATGCCTGGTTCTCATCTCAGTGTTTTATGTACATTAACTCATCAAGCATCATAGCTAGCCTATGAGTCGTTATTATCACTCCCGTTCTAGAGAAGAGAAAAATGAGGGGGCGAGAAATCTCGGTGGCTCGGTCTATGCACCCAGGCTAGTTAGATGGAATTTGAAGCTTGGTTGCCTCTCTTCTCAACAACTGCATTATATCACATCTCACTGGTCCATCAAGAGATCCCAAAGGTCAAAGGTCCTGGGACAATGGAGGGGTGGCCCATCCCATCTCACCGCATTGTATGGGGTTCCTTGCATCCCTTGCTGTCCCCTCCATTGATCAGAAAGGACTTCAGTCTTCCAGCAGGGCCATTAACGTTATCTTACAAACCCAACCCCTCAGAGGACATCTCTCAATCTTCATTATCTCAGAGAAATATCTCACACTCACCACTGCCCATCAAAAGGCATCCCTGGCTCCCTTGGCTATAAGTATGGAATGTGGGGGTGACCCTTACCCTGCACTTTTCCAGATGGGATGTGTCATGTTTGGGGGTGGTCGAATTGGGATGTGCTAAACTATTAGTAGCCAAAAGAGGATGCCAGGCAACCTACATTGTCCCAGAAGGGCCGTCACACTTCCCTTGTGGATGTAGACCGTGTTTCCCGCAATGACTGCTTCAAAGAGCACCTGCACCCTTCGCTCAGTGACGTGAAGCACCCTTTACCTCTTTTTCTTTGAAATGGAGTTTTGCTCTTGTTGCCCCGGCTGGAGTGCAATGGCACGATCTCGGCCCACTGCAACCTCTGCCTCCAAGGTTCAAGCAATTCTCCTGCCTCTGTCTCCCAAGTAGCTGGGATTACAGGCATGCACCACAACATCCGGCTAATTTTTGTATTTTTAGTAGAGACGGGGTTTCACCATGTTGACGAGGCTGGTCTCAAACTCCTGACCTCAGGTGATCTGCCCGCCTCGGCCTCCCAAAGTGCTGGGATGACAGGCATGAGCCACCACGCGCAGCCCAGCATCCTCTACCTCTTGCTGCTGCATAAGAACTCACATATCCCACTCCTCCTGGCCGGACATCTCACCCCTTCACCTCCCCTCGGGGTACTTGGGGAGCGCCCGCCCACACCACCTCACCTGACTCAGGGATTGATTTCTTGTCCCTTCATATCCTTGTTCAAATTGAAAAGTTCAATTTTTCACATTCATGGACTGCCTGGTCCCTCTTCTATGGCCTTTACTCCTGTTATTCTCGACCTCTCTTCTCTCTTTCTGTGCCTCAGTTTCCCCATCTGTAGAATAAGAGAGTAGGTCAGGCTAGGTGAATTCTGAGGGAATTTCTGGGTCTAAAATGCACTTCAGAAAGTGCTCCCCTCCCTTCCTTCATTTCTCCTTCCTTCTCTCCCTTTCTTCCTTTTTCTGTCTTTCTTAACTTTAAAATTTCTCTCTCTCTCTTTTTTTTTTTGAGATGTAGTCTTGCTCTGTCACCCATGCTGGATTGCAGTGGTGCCATCTCAGCTCACTGCAACCTCTGCTTCCCGGGTTCAAGCGACTCTCCTGCCTCAGCCTCCTGAGTAGCTGGGATTACAGGCATGTGCCACCACTCCCGGCTAATTTTTGTACTTTTAGTAGAGATGGGGTTTCACCATATTGACAAGGCTGGTCTCGAACTCCTGACCCCAAGTGATCTGCCTGCCTTGGCCTCCCAATGTGTTGGGATTACAGGCATGAGCCAGCACACCCGGCCCTGTGCTTTGTTTTATATTATTTTTTCCTCGTTCTTTTCCAGCTCATCTCTTTAATGTGTTTGATATACACTCACAGATATGTATTTTGACTTGGAAAATATATAGTGTTAGTTTATATGTGTGTTTTACATAAATGAGATCATGCTATTGATTTTGTCTGATCTTTGGGATTTTTTTTTTTTTTTTTTTTTTTGAGATGGGATCTCACTCTATCACCCAGGCTGGAGTGCAGTAGTACAATCTTGGCTCACTGCAACCTCTGCCTCCCAGGCTGAAGGGATCCTCTTGCCTCAGCCTCCCGAGTAGCTGGGATTACAGGTGTGTGCTGCCACACCCAGCTGATTTTTTGTATTTTTGGTACAGACGGGGTTTCACCACGTTGGCCAGGCTGGTCTCAAACTCCTGAGCTCAAGTGATTCTCCTGCCTCGGCCTCCCAAAGTGCAGGGATTACAGGTGTGAGCCACCTTTCCTGGCCTCAATTTTTGGATTTTTAAATTAAATTATTAATATTAATTATCATTATTGTTTTGATCAACACTGTGTTTCTCAAATCTCTCCATCTTGCTTTAGGTTATTCTAATTCATGGCTATATGTACTGGAGAGATTTTCACAAGGACTGTCTGTGTCATTTACTTGTCTGTTCCCCATTAGATGGACACCTGACTTGATTCTGACTCCATGTTACTTATAAACAGTGCTGCTGTAAACATCTGCATATATATTCCTGTTTTGTTTTTTTTTTCTGGAGTTATACCCTGCAATGAAATTGTTGAGCCACAGGCTATGAACATTCTTCATTTCATAAAGTACCTCAGAGTGCCTTCCCAAAAGACTAGGAGTACCCGTTCATACACGGTGTTTCCTCTTATCTTTTCAAACGCTTGATATGACCCTTTTAATGTTGGCCAATCTAATTGATGGGAAGTGGTGGCTCCCTGCTGATTCCGGCTGCCTCTCTCTGATCCCTGGTGAAGTGGGGCATCTCTCCATGGACTTATGAGTTACCCAGGCTTCCTCTTTTGTGAATTACTATTCATACCCTTTGCCCATTTGTCAACTGGGTTCTCTCTCTCTTCTTGCTAATCCGCAGGAGCTCTTTGTGTGTTCTAGGTAGGAATCCTTCCTGAGACAGGATTCCTTTCTGAGTCTGTTAGTCTTCTGCTACTTGTATCTTGGTATCCTTTGTTGAATCAAGTGATTATCCATATGTAATCCCACTTGACCCTCAACAAACCCATACGAAGGGGCCAGGAAAGAGATTATTATCTCGTTTTAAAGAGGAGGAACTAGAGACCCAGAGAGGCTAATGGCGCACTTGGGGCCACAGGTCTGGGGCTCAGAGCCCCGGGTAGGAGTCCCAGCTCCTAGATGGCAGTGTGGTCGCAGGTGGCTTTCACACCTCTGGGCATCATTTTTCTCCTCTGTGTATCAGGGATGCTGATGTCCAAGTTTTAGGCTCCCGTGGGCTGTTAACTGTCCAGCCCTGAGCTTACGCAAGGGACCTCACATCCTCATGTCTGTTTTCTCTCTCCTGCTCCCACAGAAGCAAACTGCACCTATTTTAAATTCTTCACCACGGGGGAGAATGCACGCATCTTTCAGAGAACCACAAAGAAAGGTGAGAACTTTTCACCCCCTGCTGGGTGACAGGTGGGGGAAATGCTGAGCGTGCTGGAGGAGTTCTAGAGAGAGTTATCCCCTCCTCTGCTTTACCCCAGGGCAGGTCTCGTGTCTATAATCTGTGGCTGTCCCCTGGGGAGTGCTGGCGGGAGAGTTAATGATGGGGACATGGTGCTCTAGAGAATCTAGAGAACTCTTTTTTTTTTTTTTTTTTGAGATGATGTCTTGCTCTGTCACCCAGGCTGGAGTGCAGTGGCACAATCTCGGCTCACTGCAACCTCCGCCTCCCAGGTTCAAGCAATTCACCTACCTCAGCCTCCTGAGTAGCTGAGACTATAGGCGCCCACCATCATGCCCAGCTAATTTTTATATTTTTAGTAGAGATGGGGTTTCACCATGTTGACCAGGCTGGTCTTGAACTCCTGACCTCAGGTGATCCCTCTCCTCAGCCTCCCAAAGTGCTGGGATGACAGGCGTGAGCCACTGCACCTAGCTGTGCCTAGAGCTCTTACCCCATCTCTGCCTATGCCACGTTCTGTGTCACCCCGGGCAAGTCGCAGCCCCTCTCTGTGGGTAGCACTTGGACATCTCACAAACCTGCAGGCATCAAGTACTGACCACAGTGCTGGGCACTCCATCTGTAAGATCTCCAGTCCTCGCAGTAGCCCTGCAGGGTGGGGGCTTTATCTTCCATCTTCCAGAAGTCCAGGAATGGTTACAATTATTCTTCCCAGGAAAATTTTTCACCATGTTGGCCAGCCTGGTCTTGAACTCTCCTGATCTCAAGTGATCCACCCACCTTGGCCTCCCAAAGTGCTGGGATTATAGGTGTGAGCCACCGCACCTGGTCCACAGGAGGAAATTTAGGCTGAGAAGGGTTCAGCCTAAATTCCTACTGGAATCTGGAAAATCCTACTAGAATCTTCCATGTAGGAAGTAGTTGGTGAGATTTCCAACCTGGATCATTCCACTGTAGCACACTGCCTTTGCCATCGTCTCCCACACACCCCACTGCCTCAGCTTCCTCAACTGTAAACCAGTGGTAACCAGATCCTAAGTAATAGTTGGTAATTCTCAACTCTTTCTAATCCTGGCCCTCTCCTCCCTTTGCTCAGTGACTTTAGAGAAATAACTGACCCTTTCTGAGTCTTAATTCCTTCAACAGTGTAAGTAAAATGTTGGGCTGGATGATACTCTACTTGAAAATTCTTCTCTCGTCCCGAATCTTACATCTTCCTGGTTCTGGGTTCCTATGGGTGAATCCTCCTCATTCCCTACATCCCATGTTCTCTGCTTCTTTCCTCTCTCCTGCTGGCAGAGGTGAATCTGGCAGCTGCGGTGATAGCAGTGCTGGGCCTGGCAGTCATGGCCTTGGGGTGCCTCTGTATCATCATGGTGCTCAGTAAAGGTGCAGAGTTCCTGCTCCGAGTTGGAGCCGTCTGCTTTGGCCTCTCAGGTGAGGGTTCAGAGCCTGGAGGCTGAGGACATTGCATGCTGGGAGGATCTCCAGGCACTGTTGCATGCTGGGAGATGGGGTCTCTATGCACTGTTGCACGCTCAGAGATGGAATCTCTATGCACTGTTGCATGCTGGGAGTAGGGTCTCCACACACTGTTGCATGCTGGGAGTAGGATCTCCACACACTGTTGCACGCTGGGAGGTGGGATCTCCAAGCCCTGTTGCATGCTTGGAGTTGAGGGGAAGCCCAAGGGCTATAGTAGGTTCAAAGATGGGAGAACCCCAACAACCGGGCTAAGGATTGGAGGGTGTCCAAACATTGTTTTAGATTTGGACCTGGGATTTCCAATCACTGTTGCATGCTAGGCATTAGAGAAAGCGCAAGGACTATAGAGGTCTCAAAAATTGGAGAGTTCTAAGCCCTGTTGTTGGCTGGGAATTGGAAGCTGTCCAAACGCTTTTCAAGGTTTGAACATGGAGTCCCCAAACACTGTTTCATGCTGAGATGTTTTAAGCACTATAGCGTGTTGAGAGGTCAGGGAAGCCCAGGGGCTATAGCAGGCTCAAAGGTGGAAGAGTTCCAAGCCCTATTGTTGGCTCAGAATTTGATGGTCTCTAAATGCTCTTTTAGATTTGAGACTTGAGGTCTGCAAGGACTGTTGCATTCTTGGAGCTGAAGGTCTAAATAAAATGCTGCATCTTGTGAAATGTAGCCCTCAGTAATAAACAACACTTCAGTTTATTGTACTTCCAGTTCAAATCCTTACAACAGCACTATTAGGCAGGGCTTACTATCCCCCATTTTATTTACTTATTTATTTTTGAGACAGAGTCTCCCTTTGTCTCCCAGGCTGGAGTGTAATGGCATGATCTCGGCTCACTGCAACCTCCGCCTGCTGGGTTCAAGTGATTCTTCTGCCTCAGTTTCCCAAGTAGCTGGGATTACAAGCAGGCACCACCACGCCTGGCTAATTTTTGTATTTTTCGGTAGAGACAGGGTTTCACCACATAAGCCAGGCTGGTCTCGAACTCCTGACGTCAAGTGATCTGCCTGTCTTGGCCTCCCAAAGTGCTGGGATTATAGGCATGAGCCACCACACACAGCTTCCCCCATTTTATAAATGAGGAAATTGAGGCTCAGAGAAGTCAGATGAATTACTCATGGGCACACAATCAATGATGGCATGATGGCAGAGGTGGGATTTTAAACTCGGTTTTCTTTCTTTCTTTTTTGAGATGGAGTCTCACTCTGTCGCCCAGGCTGGAGTGCAGTGGCACGATTTCAGCTCACTACAACCTCTGCCTCTAGGTTCCAGCCCAAGCTGTGCCCTGAATCACTGTGTGGCCTTGGGAAGGTTCCTTTTATTTTCTGGGCCTTGGTTTTCTTCTTGGATCAAATGTTTTCTTTTCTTTTCTTTCTTTTTTTTTTTTTGAGACAGAGTTTCGCTCTTGTTGCCCACGCTGGAGTGCAGTGGCACAATCTCAGCTCACTGCAACCTCCGCCTCTCAGGTTCAAGCAATTCTCCTGACTCAGCCTCCCAAGTAGCTAGGATTACAGGTGTGTGCCACCACGCCTGGCTAATTTTTGTATTTTTAGTAGAGACAGGGTTTCATCATGTTGACCAGGCTGGTCTCCAACTCCTGACCTCAAGTGATCCACCCACCTTGGCCTCCCAAAGTGCTGGGATTACAGGCGTGAGCCACCGCGCCCGGCCAAGACTTTCATAAAACACTTTTATATCAACACCTTCCTGTGCACCCCCAGGGGTAATGCAGGTGTGAGTTTAATAATAACGCCAGCACCAAATTCCTACCAAGCTACAAATTCCATGAAAACAGACATCATCTTTATCTTTTTCATCGTTCTGTCCTCAGGGATTTAGAGAGGGCCTCTCTGGGGAGGTGACATTGAAGATGTCAAAGTATGGATAGACAAGCTGGGAGAGTTTGCTGCATTGCAGATCTTGAAAGAAAGCCAGTGTGACAGGAGTGTGGAGAGAGACAGGGAGACTGGTGTAAAAGATGTCACTGCATTAATGTGACATTAATGTCACTGGTCCTGTGACATTAACAGGGAATCAAAAAGATCTGGGTTGGAGTCCCAACTTCTTAACAGCCATGTAATTGGGGCAAACCTTTTTCTATCTCTGAGCTTAAATCTCCTTATAGCCATGAACTCACTCATCCATGTATCTGTTAGTATTGTGTCCATCCTATCCATCCATCCATTTATCCTTCCGTTGATTGATCAGTTTCCTCCTTCTCTCCCCTTCCTTCCCCTCTCTCTCTTTCCCTATGTCTCTTTCTATCTCTCTCTTTTTTTTTTGTTTTTGAGACAGGGTCTCGCTCTCTCATCCAGGCTGGAGTACAGTGGTGCAATCTCATCTCACTGCAACTTCGACTTCCAAGGCTCAAGTGATTGTCCTCCCTACCTTTCAGCCTCCTGAGTAGCTGGGAATACAGGTGCATGCCGCCAAGCCCGGCTAATTTTCGGTTTTTTTGTTTTTTTTGTTTTTTTTTTTTTTGTAGAGATAGGGTTTCGCTGTGTTGCCCAGGCTGGTCTCCAACTCCTGAGCTCAAGTGATCCGCCCACCTCGGCCTCCCAAAAGTGCTGGGATTATAGGTATGAGCCACCAAGCCCGGCCCCTCTCTCTTTTCTTTCTTTTCCACCCTCTTTCCCTTCCTCTCTCCCTCCAATCATCTATTTCTCCTTTTTTTTTTTTTTACTTGTCCATTCATTTAACAAGTATTTCTTTAATATCCAGTGAGTCCCAGATGCTGTGCTAGGAGCCGCTGAGGACGCAACGATGAATAAAATAAAGATGATGTTTGTTCTCATGGAATTTGTAGCTTGCTAGGAATTTAGTGCTGGTGTTATTATTGAACTCACACCTGCATTACTCCTGGGGGTGCACAGGAAACTGTTGATATAAAAGTGTTTTATGAAAGTCTTGAGCACAAAAATGTTCCACAGATTGTACAACCAATTGAGAGTGAAGAAGGATTTGATGTTGTAATTACTGTGGTTAGATTGCGTGTCAGGGACTGGGGCAGGTTGGGATTTTGAGGTCTCCCTAAATAAAGGGTCGTGTTCAGGTTGTCTTGTTTCTCTCCTTATAATACATATATCAGCTGTTGTTCTAGTTTTAGAGGTATGAGACAGAGAAGTCTGCTGCCCTCGTGGATTTATAGTGCAGTGGGAGAGACAGAAATGAGATAAAGAGACATTAGTCATACAAATCAATATACATTCATAACTACCAACTGTGATGAATGCTATAGATAAAAAGTACAGAGTATGAGAAAAATGTATGACAGGAGACCCACTGTAGATTTAGGTGGCAGTGGTTAGTGAAGGCGTCCCTTTGAAACATGTACTTCATACAGAGATGTGAAGAATAAGGACATCTAAGACAGGCTCAGGGAGGGGGAGGCGGAAAATTATTCCAAGCAGCATAAAGGTCTTCAAGCCTGAACAAATCTGGTGCATTGAAAGTCCTGCTCCACGCTGCGAGAGTGTGGGAGGAGCAGCTTGAGAGGAGGCTGGAGAAGCCGCAGGAGCCAGACCCGCATGCCTTTTTATTTATTTTATTTATTTTTTATTTTTGAGACAGTTTTGCTCTGTCACCCAGGCTGGAGTGCAGCGGTGCGATCTCGGCTCACTGCAACCTCTGCCTCCCGGGTTCCAGCGATTCTCCTGCCACAGCCTCGGAAGTAGCTGGGATTACAGGTGCCTGCCACCACACCTGGCTAAGTTTTGTATTTTTAATAGAGACTGGGTTTCTCCATGTTGGCCAGGCTGGTCTCGAACTCCTGACCTCAGGTGATCCACCTGCCTTGGCCTCCGAAAGTGCTGGGATTACAGGCATGAGCCACCCTGCCTAGCCATCCACCAGCAAATTCTATTGGCACTGCTTCCAAAATGTGTTTTGAATGCAAACACTTCCCTCGGTTTCACTAATCCAAGCCACGGCTATATTTCCCCGAGGTAATTTCTATGGCCTCCTAACTCTTCTCTATGCTTCTCCTTTTAACCTCCTCAAGTCCATTCTCCACAGAGCAGCTAGAGTGATACTTCTATTTTTTTAATTTTAAATTTTTTAAGACAGGGTCTGGCTCTGTCGCCCAGGCTGATGTACAGTGGCACAATCACAGCTCACTGCAGCCTCAACCTCCTGGGCTCAAGCAATCCTCCCACCTCATCCTCGAGTAGCTGGGACCACAGGCACACGTCACCACTCTGGGCTAATTTTTAAAATTATTTGCAGAGATGAGGTCTCACTATGTTGCCCAGGCTAATCTTGAATTCCTGGACTCAAGCAGTCCTCTCGCTTCAGCCTCCCAAACTATTGGGATGACAGGCATGAGCCACCGCACCCGGCCAAGTGATACTTTTTTTTTTTTGAGACGGAGTTTCGCTCTTGTTGCCCAGGCTGGAGTGCAATGGCACGATCTCGACTCACTGAAACGTCTGACTCCTGGATTCAAGCGAGTCTCCTGCCTCAGCCTCCCGAGCTGGGATTACAGGCATGCGCCACCACGCCTGGTTAATTTTGTATTTTTGTGTGTGTGTGTGTGTGTGTGTGTGTGTGTGTGTGTGTGTGTGTGTGTGTGTGTGTTTAGTAGAGATGGGCTTTCTCCATGTTGGCCAGGCTGGCCTCGAACTCCTGATGACCTCAGGTGATCTGCCCGCCTCAGCCTCCCAAAGTGTTGGGATTACAGGTGTGAGCCACCACGCCTGGCCCCTAAGTGATACTTTTATATCATAAGTCGGATCACGGATTCTCCCCAGAATAAAAGCCACTTAAATTCCTACTGCTAGAATAACATGGTGGCAAGGCCTCGCGCGGGCTGACTCCCGGCGCCCTGCGACTCCCTCTCCTGCCACCTGCTCTCCCTGCTCCGGCCACGCCAGCCTCTGCTGTTCCCCAGACGCTCTAAGCTCATTCCTCCCGCAGCGTGTTTTCCCGGGCTGCCTCCTCGGCCTGGAGCGTTCTTCCGCCGGCGCTTCACGTGTCTCGTTTCCTCGCATTGTTTAAGTCTCTGGTCAAATGTCACCACCTCAGAGAGACCAGCACTGACCATCGTGTCTAAAGGGGACTCATTTGGTATCCAAGAAAATGTTAAAAATAAATAAATAAATAAATAAATAAAAGAGGGGGGCGCGGTGGCTCACGCCTGTAATCCCAACACTTTGGGAGGCCGAGGCAGGTGGCTCACAAGATCAGGAGTTGGAGACCAGCCTGACTACCATGGTGAAACCCTGACTCTACTAAAATACAAAAATCAGCCGGGCGTGGTGGCGGGCGCCTGTAATCCCAGCTAAGCAGGAGGCTGAGGCGGGAGAATCGCTTGAACCCGGGAGGTGGAGGTTGCAGTGAGCTGGGATCGCGCCACTGCACTCCAGCCTGGGCGACAGAGCGAGACTCCATCTCAAAAATAAATAAATAAATAAATAAATAAATAAATAAATAAATAATAATAAAAGAAAGAGCACGTGAGAGAAACTGGGCGCGGTGGCTCACGCCTGCAATCCCAGCACTTTGGGAGGGCGAGGTACGTGATCCCTTGAGCCCAGGAGTTCGAGACCAGCCTGGGCAACATAGTGAAACCCCATCTCTACCAAAAATACAAAAACTAGCTAGTCTCATAACCTGATCTCAAAAAAAAATAGATAAAAATTTAAAAATAAAATAAACTGGCCGGGCATGGTGGTTCATGCCTGTAATCCCAGCACTTTGGGAGGCTGAGGCGGGCAGATCTCAGGATTAGGAGTTCGAGACCAGCCTGGCCAACGTGGTGAAACCCCGTTTTTACTAAGATATAAAAAATTAGGCGGGCATGGTGGTGATGCCTGTAGTCCCAGCTACTAAGGAGGCTGAGGCAGGGGAATCACTTGAATTCAAGAGGTGGAGATTGCAGTGAGCCAAGATCGCGCCACTGCACTCCAGCCTGGGCAACAGAGTGAGACTCCCTCTTAAAATAAAATAAAATAAAATAAAATAAAATAAAATAAAATAAAATAAAATAAAATAAACCAGGCGCGGTGGCTCACTCCTGTTATCCCATAACTTTGGGAGCCGAGGCTGGCAGATCACTTAAGGCCAGGAGTTTGAGACCAACCTGACCAACATGGTGAAACCCTGTCTCTACTAAAAATACAAAAATTAGCTGGGCGTGGCGGCGGGTGCCTGTAATCCCAGCAACTCGGGAGGCTGAGGTGGGAGGATCATTTGAACCTGGGAGGTGGAGGTAGAAGTGAGCTGAGATCGCACCACTGCACTCCATCCTGGGTGACAGAGCAAGACTCTGTTTCAAAAATAAATAAATAAATAAATAAATAAATAAAATAAGAAAGAAAGAAGACTCATTTCTAGCTGGGACTTTACCTGCTTTATTTTTCTTCACAGAATTTATCACTACCTGAAATTCTCTGCTTATTTATGCCCGTATTCATTTGCCAGGGCCACTATAAGAAAGTACCACAGCCTGGGTGGCTCTCTATTTATTTATGCCCGTATTCATTTGCCAGGGCCACCATAAGAAAGTACCACAGCCTGGGTGGCTGTGGTACAACAGAGATTGATTTCCTCACCGTTCTGGAGGCTGGAGGTCTAAGACCAACGCGTCCACAGGGAAGTTTTCTCCAAGGCTTCTCTTCTTGTCTTGTAAATGGCCAACTTATCCCTGTATCTTCACATGGTCTTCCCTCTGTACTGGTCTGTGTCCCCAGTTCCTTCTTTCTTTTCTTTTTTTTTTTTTTTTTTTTTTGTTGAGTCAGAGTCTGGCTCTGTCACCCAGATTGGAGTGCAGTGGTGTGATCTCTCTCTGCTCACTGCAACCTCCCCCTCCCGGGTTCAAGTGATTCTCCTGCCTCAGCCTCCCGAGTAGCTGGGATTACAGGCACCCGCCATGACACCCAGCTAATTTTTGTATTTTTTAGTAGAGAGGGGGTTTCTCTATGTTGGCCAGGCTGGTCTCGAACTCCTGGCCTCAGGTGATCTGCCCACCTCTGCCTCCCAGAGTATTGGGACTACAGCCGTGAGCCACTGTGCCCGGCCTTCTTTTTTTTATTTTGTTATTTTATTTTATTTTATTTTATTTTGTAGAGACAGGGTCTCACTCTGTTGCCCAGGCTGATCTTGAATTCCTGGCCTCAAGAGATCCTCCTGCCTGAAATTTTTTTTATCTCATAAGGACACCAGTCACATTGGATTAGGGTTCCTTCTGATGACTTCGCTTTAACTTAATTATCTGTTTGTGTGTGTGTGTGTTTGTTTTGTTTTGTTTTTTGAGACAGGGTCTCACTCTGTTGCCCAGGCTGAAGTGCAGTGGTTCGATCTCAGCTCACTGCAGCCTCTGCCTGCAGGATTCAAGCGATTCTCATGCCTCAGCCTCCCGAGTAGCTGGGATTACACGCATGCACCACCACGCCTGGCTAACTTTTGTATTTTTAGTAGGGATGGGGTTTCACCGTGTTGGTCAGGCTGGTCTCAAACTCCTGCGATCCGCTCGCCTTGGCCTCCCAAAGTGCTGGAATGACAGGCGTGAGCCACTGCACCCAGCCTTAACTTAATTCTGTCTTTAAGAACTCTATATCCAAATACAGTCATGTTCTGAGGTACTTGGGGTCAGGACCCCAAAACATCAACTTTTTTGTGGAGGACACAACTCAGCCCTCAACAGTGCATTTAACTGATAATTGTCCATCTCTCCTTCTTGGATGAAACTCCAGAAGGACAGGGATTTAGTTGTAGTATCATTTATGTATCATATTATATGTATTTTGTAATAAGAGCTCAATGAACATCTGTTGAATGAATCAAAGAATGCATGAATCAGGTCTGCTGTGGTGGCTCACACCTGGAATCCCAACATTTTGGGAGGCTGAGGCAGGAGGATTGTTTGAGGCCAGGAGTTTGAGACCAGCCCGGGGCAATGTAGAAAGATCCCGTCTCTACAAAATAAAATGAAATAATTAGCCATGGCAGCTTGCGATGTAGTCCCAGCTACTCAGGAGGCTGAGGCAGGAGGAGGGCTTGAGCCTGGGAGGTCAAGGTTGCATGCAGTGAGCTATGATCGCGCCACTGCACTCCAGCCTGGGTGGCTGAGACCTTGTCACTAAAAAAGAGAAAAGAAAAAAAAAAAAGATTGAATTAGGAAAGGAATGAAGGGGAGTCCTTGTCTAAATGCTTTTCCACCTCCCGTTCTGTAATGTTGGGCTGCATGGAGCAAAGAAGGGGCTTTTAAATCACAGCATCCTGGCTGCATTCTCCAGGCCCTGAATCAAAACCACAGTGAATGGCTGGGCACGGTGGCTCAGGCCTGTAATCCCAGCACTTTGGGAAGTGGATAGATCACCTGAGGTCAGGAGTTTGAGACCAGCCTGGCCAACACGGTGAAACCCCATCTCTACTAAAAATACAAAAATGAGCCAGGCGTGGTGGCAAGAGCCTGTAGTCCCAGCTACTCAAGAGGCTGAGGCAGGAGAGTCTCTTGAACCCGAGAGGCAGAGGCTGCAGTGAGCTGAGATTGCACCATTGCACTCCAGCCTGGATGACAGAGTGAGATTCCGACTCAAAACAAAACCAAAACCGGTAAACAAACAAACAGAAAAAAACACCACAGTGGGGCTGGGGCGCAGGGAGGAAGCAGGGTCAGGAACTGGGGTTGGGGCAGGACTCCAGGGTCTGGAGAGAAGGCGGCTGGGATCCATGACTCATGCGTGACTCTCAGACGGTCCTGCATGACCTGGCCCCTGCCCGCCCCTGCAGTTCCATTACCGCCTCTCTCCCCAACCCCAACTCTCCTTGCTCCCACCACACTCAGCTTTTCTCTTTTCTCCAAACACTCTGTGCTGCGTCCTACACAGGACCCTCGCGTCAGCACCTCCTTCTGCTCGGAACAGCCGTTGCTTCGTTTTGAGCATGACTGACTTCTTTTCATCCTTCAGGTCCCAGCTCAAATGGCTTTTCTCGACACCATCCAAAGTCCCTGCTCCACCCCTGGGTGCCACTCTCTCTGTTTCTATTTCCTTCCTTTCATGCATCACCCTCTGAGATTATCTTGTCTCCTCATTTGTTTATTTTGGACATTGCAACCTGGCAGCCTGCAGGCCCTCGATGGCCAGGAGATGTGCTTTGTTTGCCAGGCAGTGTGTAAAGATTTCTTCGAGTTGACGTTTAAAGGTTGGGAGAATTCCCATAAAAATAATAATCATTTAAGCAATTATAGGCCGGGTGCGGCAGTTCACCCCTGTAATCCCAGCACTATGGGAGGCCAAGGTGAGTGGATCGCTTGAGGTCAGGAGTTCTAGACCAGCCTGGCCAACATGGTGAAACCATGACTCTACTAAAAATACAAAAATTGCCGGGCGCGGTGGCTCACGTCTGTAATCCCAGCACTTTGGGAGGCCGAGGCAGGTGGATCACAAGGTCAGAAGTTCGAGACCAGCCTGGCCAACGTGGTGAAACCCCGTCTCTACTAAAAACACAAAAATTAGCCAGGCGTGGTGGCGTGTGTCTGTAATCCCAGCTACTCAGGAGGCTGAGGCAGGAGAATCACTTGAACTGGGGAGGTGGAGGTTGCAGTGAGCTGAGATCATGTCACTGCGTTGCAGTGAGCTGAGATCATGTCACTGCACTCTAGCCTGGGCAACAGAGTGAGACTCCATCTAAAAAAAAAAAAAAAAAAATTAGCCAGGCGTGGTGGAGCACACCTGTAGTCGCAGGTACTCAGGAGGCTGAGCATGAGAATCGCTTGAACCTGGGAGGCGGAAGCTGCAATGAGCTGAGATCATGCTGTTGAGCAGCTGCAGCTGGCTTCTGCCATCATTTCTACCTTACTTGCCGCCCTGTGTGTTTACACTTTCTCATGCCCCCTGCAGGCATTTGAGTTTTGCAAATTTTGGTTTATTTGTTTACTGTCTATCTCCAAGTAATATATAAGCTCCACGAGGGTAGGGTCTTTCTCTATCATGTTCTTTCTTTTTCTTCTTTTTTGCTTTTTTTAAAAAAAAAAAATCAGCCTGTAATCCCAGCTACTCGGGAGGCTGAGGCGGGAGAATCACTTGAAACCAGAAGGCAGAGGTTGCAGTGAGCCGAGATTGCCACTGCACTCCAGCCTGGGTGTAAGAGCGAAACTCCGTCTCAAAAAAAAAATAAAAAATAAAAAATTGCATTGCAATATGACTTTATCTTTATTTTGTGACCCCTCCCCCTCTATCACTCTTTTAAAAAACTTGCATGGAGACTATTTCTTTTCTTTCTTTTTTTTTTTTTTTTGTTGCCCAGGCTGGAGTGCAATGGCGTGATCTTGGCTCACCACAACCTCCGCCTCCCAGGTTCAAGCAATTCTCCTGCCTCAGCCTCCCGAGTAGCTGGGATTACAGGTGCACACCACCACGCCCAGCTAATTTTGTAGTAGAGATAGGGTTTCTTCATGTTGGTCAGGCTGGTCTTGAACTCCTGACCTCAGGTGATCCACCCGCCTCGGCCTCCCAAAGTGCTGGGATTACAGGCGTGAGTCACTGTGCCCGGCCCAATTTTTGTATTTTTAGTAGAGATGGGATTTCACCTTGTTGGCCAGGCCAGTCTCAAACTCCTGGCCTCTAGTGATCCAATCGCTTCAGTCTCCCAAAGTGCTGGGATTGTAGGTGTGCCTGGCCGCTAATGGAGTCTTAATTTGAATTTTGTGTTTTCTGATTCCTGTGTTTGCTTTAAGAAAAAAAAGTTGTGGGAAAATGTGCTAAACATAAAATGTGTAATTTTAACCATTTCCCCTTTTTATTTTCAATTTTTATTTATTTATATATTTTTAAGAATTGGGATCTTGCTGTGTTGTCCAGGCTGGAGTGTACTGGTGTGATCACGGTTCACTGCTGCCTCATCCTTCTGGGCTCAAATGATCCTCCCACCTCAGCCTCCTGAGTAGCTGGGACTACAAGCGTGCACCACCACACCTGGCTAATTTTTTAAAATTTTTTTTTTGTAGAGATGGAGTCTTGCTATGTTGCCCAGGCTGGTCTCAAAATCCTGGCCTCAGGCAATCCTTCGTCCTCGGCGTCCCAAAGCGCTTGGATTACAGGTGTGAGCCACAGCACCCAGCCTCCTCTTTTATTTTTAGTTGACATGTAGTACTTGTACATATCTGTGGGAAACAGAAGGATGGTTTGATGCATGTAAACAATGCATAATGATCAGATCAGGGCAATTAGCCTATCCACCTCTTCAAACTTGATCATTTCTTCATGTTGTGACCATTTCAAAATCCTCTCCTCTAGCTCTTTGAAAATACACAGCCAGGCACGGTGGCTCTCACCTGTCATCTCAGCACTTTGGGAGGCCGAGGTGGGTGGACCACTTGAGGTCAGGAGTTCCAGACTAGTCTGGCCAACATGGTGAAACCCCGTCTCTACTAAAAAAAAAAAAAAAATATATATATATATATATATATACACACACACACACACACAAAAATTAGCCAGGCGTGGTAGCGCACGTGTGTAATCCCAGCCACTCAGGAGGCTGAGGCAGGAGAGTCGCTTGAACCCCAGCTACTCGGGAGACTGAGGCAGAAGAATCAGGAGGCGGAGTTTGCAATAAGCTGAGATCGCACCACTGCACTCCAGCCTGGGTGACAGAGCAAGACTCCGTCTCAAAAAAAAAAAAAAAAAAAAAAACAAAACAAAACAAAAACAAAAAACTAAGGAACCATATTCACCCTACAGTGCTGCGAACACCAGAACGCGTTTCTCCCGTCTAGCTGTGATTCTATATCCGCCTTTTAATCATTTTCCAGCGTACGGTTCTGTGGCATCAATTCCGTTCACATTGTTATGCAACTATCACCCCCATCCACCTTCAGAACGATTTGCGTCTTCCCCAGCTGAAATTCTATACCTGTTAAACACCAACTCCCCTTTTTCCTCTTCCCTCCGGCCCTCGGCAACCATCCTTCTACTTTCTGTCTCTATGACTTTGTGTCTTGTTTTTTTTTTTCTTTATCTCCAGCTTCCCAAATGCTGCCTGCTATATAGTAGGTGTTTAGTAAGTATTTGTTGAGTGCACGCGTGGGAAGGTGCCAGGGTGGGCGGGAGGGCTGGGAGCGGATGGCGGAGATGTTCAGACACAGCTGGGGTCGCGGGCGTCTGACTGCGAGCTGTCCTCTCTCCCGCAGGCCTGCTGCTCTTGGTGAGCCTGGAGGTGTTCCGGCATTCCGTGAGGGCCCTGCTGCAGAGAGTCAGCCCGGAGCCTCCCCCGGCCCCACGCCTCACCTACGAGTACTCCTGGTCCCTGGGCTGCGGCGTGGGGGCCGGCCTGATCCTGCTGTTGGGGGCCGGCTGCTTTCTGCTGCTCACACTGCCTTCCTGGCCCTGGGGGTCCCTCTGTCCCAAGCGGGGGCACCGGGCCACCTAGAGCCACGCGTGAGACTTCTCTAAGCAACCACCGAGCCCTTTGACCTTCTCCATTGTACCCCCAAGATCTTTTTGCCCCATCTCCTAGAGAAACTGTGTTCTCCCTGCTCGGGGGCCCATGTTTTTTTACACGCCTGCCTCCTGTCCCCTTATCCTTTCTCCCTCTGTAAATACGTTTTTCTCTGTGGCTGTATGTGGGTTGCTTGGGGGTGGGATGGGAAGAGGCTCTTTGCAAACGAGGGTCCCCAGAGAAGACTGGCGGGGACCTGATGGGGTAGCTGGGGTGTGGGGTTGGGGGATGAGGTCAGGGGGTCTTGGGTGGGAGTTGGGGGCCCCTTCATTTCCCAGGTCTGGATCGATTCACTTGCCGGGAGAGACTTTTTACAACTCATCTGCAGCTCCGGGTGCGGTTGGGGGAGATAGCGAAGGGTCTGGCCTCGCTGTGATCTGATTTGGGATTAAAGGTTTGGAAATTTAACAACTTTGCTTTGGAGTCTATTTGTGATGTGATCGTGCATTCTGGGGTAAAGAAAAGTGACCCCATATTCCCTCCAGAAACATACCCTCCAGAAACACTTTTAAGCCCAGAAGTCACATGAAAACGAACCCATACACAATGGTTGAGAGTGTGGAAAACACAATATATTTTTTATTTTTATTTTTATTTTGAGACGGAGTCTTGCTCTGTCTCCCAGGCTGGAGTGTAGTGCTGCAATCTTGGCTCACCGCAACCTCCGCCTCCTGGGCTCAAGTGATTCTCCTGCCTCAGCCTCGCAAGTAGCTGCGTTTACAGGCACGAGCCACCATGCCCAGCTAATTTTTGTATTTTTTTTTTTTTTTTAGAAGAGACGGGGTTTTACCATGTTAACCAGGCTGGTCTCGAACTCCTGATCTCAAGTGATCCACCTGTCTCAGCCTCCCAAAGTGCTGGGATTACAGGCGTGAGCCACCGTACCCCACCCAGATTTCCCCTTTACACATGACTCCTGTCATACGTGATTAGGATTTACCCCCAATGACCTTATTTTAACTTGATTATCTCTGTAAAGACCGTATCTCCAAATGAGGTCACATTCTTAGGTACTGGGGGTTAGGGTCCAACATATATATATATATATACATTTTGTAGGGGAGAACATTCAACCATTAACAGTGTATATATTCTAAATTGTGTTTTCTGGTCGGGTGTGGCGGCTCACGCCTGTAATCCCAGCACTTTGGGATGCCAAGGCGGGTGGATCACCTGAGGTCAGGAGTTCAAGACCAGCCTGGCCAACACGGTGAACCCCCGTCTCTACTAAAAATACAAAAATTAGCTGGGTGTGGTGGCAGGCACCTGTAATCCCAGCTACTCGGGAGGCTGAGTCAGGAGAATTGCTTGAACCTGGGAGTTGGAGGTTGCAGTGAGCCGGGATCTCGCCACTGCACTCCAGCCTGGGTGACAGAGCAAGACTCCGTCTCAAAAAAAAAAAAAAAAAAAAAAAAAATCAAAAAGGTGGGGGGAAGGGGGATTGGTTCAGGAAAGCCTTCCGAAGAAGATGACGAACTTGAGTCTTCAAGGTGAGTAAGAATCAGAGAAAGTGGAGAACGTCACGGGCGTTCCAGCTGGGTGGGAGAGCCTGGACAGAAACAAGAGGAAAAACATGATGAACCTGTGAGTGAGGAAATGTGAACGCTGGTGTTCAGAGTGAGACACAGGAAACGTGAGAGGGTTGGGGTGGGCTGTCTTATGAACAAGGTGGAGAGACTCAGATGCTCAACAGAACAGCTTGGCCTTTACCCTGAGGGTACTGAGGAGCCATGGGAGCTTGCTGAGCAGAGACACACTGGCATCAGGTCAAGGGGTTGAAACAAGGTTTCTTATTCTTGAAGTCACTAAATTGCAGACCCGGAAGACAGACTAGTGGTTGCCAGGTGTTAAGAAAAGGGTGAGTCTTGGCCCCACGCGACGGCTCATGCCTGTAACTCCAGCACCTTGGGAGGTCGAGGCGGGTGGATCACCTGAGGTCAGGAGTTCGAGATCTGCCTGGCCAACATGGTGAAACCCTGTCTCTACTAAAAACAAACAAACAAACAAAACAAATCAACAACAACAAAACATACAAAAATTAGCTGGGTGTGGTGGCTCACATCTGTAATCCCAGCACCTTCGGAAATGCCTGTTCTAATTTAGGTCCATGGGCACAGGCCCTAGGGTAGAGCCCTTGCCAGAGACCCTGCCCTTCTCTACCCAGCAGTTCTCTGCCCCCCTCCCATATCAAAATGCTTTTTCTGCATCTATTGAGATGATCATGTGATTTTATTTTTATTTTTATTTTGCAGTCTCACTCTGTCGCCCAGGCTGGAGGGCAGTGGTGCGATCTCGGCTCACGGCAACCTCCGCCTCCCGGGTTCAAGCAATTCTTGTGCCTCAGCCACCCCAGTACCTGGGATTACAGGTGTGCGCCACCAGACCCAGCTAATTTTTGTATTTTTAGCACAGATGGGGTGTCACCACGTTGGCCTGGCTGGTCTTGAACGCCTGACCTCAAGTGATCGTCCCACCTCCGCCTCCCAAAGTGCTGGGGTTACAGGCGTGAGCCACCGCGCCCAGCTGACCATGCGATTTTTGTTTCTAATTCTGCATTCTTCCATTCAACAAGCAGAAGTGCCCCGCAGTGCCTGGGCACCTGGGAGCCAGGCTGGTGTGAAAGCCCAGCTCCCCGACCTATGGCTGGGGCAACAGCTTCACCTCTCTCTGTCTTCGTTCCTTCATCCCTAAAGACGGTGCGTGAGCTCAATCCTGTACCTACTCCCAGGAGTCACCGTCGGGAGTAAACGCCATCATGAGCCCTGCAAAGCTCCCAGGAGACCGCCTGGCACGTGGTCGCAACTCGATCTGCCTTTGCTGTTAGTTTTTCTCAAGTGGCACTTACAGAGTAAACAGGGACCCCCGACGACGAGCTGACAGCCTGCTGATGGAAACAGATACTAATCACATCACTGAAGTAATGAGCGTGCAATTATAAACCAAGTTAAGTGCTAGGAGACAAGAGAGTCCACAATTTTTTTTTTGTTGTTTGACTTTGTGCCCAGCCAGGTCAGGGAAGCCTCAAGAGACATCTGCCATGGGGGTGGCGGAGATAGTTGGTCTTGGGGGAATGGCCCTTCCTTCCTTCCTTCCTTCCTTCCTTCCTTCCTTCCTTCCTTCCTTCCTTCCTTCCTTCCTTCTTTTCTTTCTTCCTCTTTCTTTCTTTCTTCTCTCTCTCTCTCTCTTTCTTTCTTTCCTTCTTTCTTTTTCTTTTTTTTTTTTTGAGCCGAAGTCTCGCTCTGTCACCCAGGCTGGAGCTCGGTGGTGCAATCTCGGCTCACTGCAAGCTCCACCTCCCAGGTTCACGCCATTCTCCTGCCTCAGCCTCCCGAGTAGCTGGGACTACAGGCGCCCGCCACCAAGCCTGGCTAATTTTTTTGTATTTTTTTTTAGTACAGACGGGGTTTCACCTTGTTAGCCAGGATGGTCTCGATCTCCTGACCTCATGATCCACCCGCCTCAGTCTCCCAAACTGCTGGAATTACAGGCGCGAGCCACTGCGTCTGGCCTCTCTCTCTTCCTCCCTCCCTCCCTTCCTTTCTTCCTTTTTCTTTCTTTCTTTCTTTTTTCTTCTTTCTTTCTTTCTTTGTTTCTTTCTCTTTCTCTTTCTCTCTTTCTCTCTCTCTTTCTTTCTTTCTCTCTTTCTTTCTTTCTTTTCAAGATGGAGTCTCACTCTGTCCCCCAGGCTGGAGTGCAATGGCACAATCATGGCTCACTGCAGCCTCGACTTTCCAGGTTCAAGCGATTCTCGTGCTTCAGTCCCCCAAATCCCTGGGACTACAGGCACACACAGCCACAGCCAGCTAAGTTTTTGTATTTTTTGTAGAGATGGGGATCTCCCACTGTTGCCTACATTGGTCTTGCACTTCTGGTCTCAAGTGACCCACTCGCCCTGGCCTCCCAAAATGCTGGGATTACAGGCATGAGCTACCGTGCCTGGCCACTCTTCATTAAAAAAAAGATAAATAAATAGAGATGGGGTCTCACTGTGTTGCCCAGGCTGGTCTCAAACACCAAGGCTCGTATGATTCTCCTGCCTCGGCCTCCCAGGTACATGAACCACCGCACCTGGTGGGAATGGCTCTTTGTCCAGTGGGGTCATCATTCTGAAAACTCTTTCTTACCCGGGGTCAGGGCAGGGAAGGTTCAAAGCCAGAGACTCAAGAGAAAAGGGAGATGGCAATTTTCCCCCAAACCCTCCCTGACCACACTCCGAGTGGTTCCCCCACGGCCAGTTCAGGCTTCAGCTCTGGGTGGGGAGAGACTGGAGGGAGGGGAAGGCAGAGATATAACATAGATTGATCAGAAGTGGGAGAAGGAATTACAGACCTCACAAAGACAAATGACTGGAATCACATCATCCTATGAAACAATGTATTGTTGGGGCTCAGAAAACAATACCCCCGAAGTAAGGATGACGTTTGTCAGGTGGAGCATTTGAACTAAAGGAGATTAGAAGGTCTCAGAGGCGGCCGGGCCATCATCTCTACAAAAAATACAAAATAACTAGCTGGGTATGGTGGTAAGTGTCTGTAGTCCCAGTTACTGAGGAGGCTGAGGCAGGAGAATCACTTGAACCCAGGAGATGGAGTTTCAGTGAGCCGAGATCATGCCACTGCACTCCAGCCTGGGTGACAGAGTGAGACCCTGTCTCAAAATAAAATAAAATAAATAAAATAAAATAAAATAAATTAGCTGCTGCTGCTGCTGATGCACAGTGCTATGTATGAGTGTTCCAACAGTAGCTATTTTAATTAAATTAATTTTTTTGAGACAGGGTCTCTCTCTTTCACCCAGGCTGGAGTGCCGTGGCGTGATCACAGCTCACTGCAGCCTTGACCTCCCAGGCTCAAGTGATCCTCCCACCTCAGCCTGCTGAATAGCCGGAACTGCAGGTGCATGCCACCACACCAGGCCAATTTAAATTTTTTTTTTAAAGAGATGAGATTTCACCATGTTGCCCAAGCTGGTCTTGAACTCCTGAGCTCAAGCGATCTGCCCACCTCAACCTCCCGAAGTGCTGCAATTACAGACATGAGCCATCGCGTCCAGCCTATTTTAATTTTATAACCTCTCATGAAATCTCTCCTTCCTCAATTTCTCTTCTGAGGGTTCTGACTTTAGCCGGAATTGGAAAGAGGCCCAATGCTTCATGAAGGATGACAGCTGGAGAAGTACTAGAAGGTTGCCTGGCAACAGTGGTGTTAGGGCAGAAAGGAGCAAGTCCCTGGGTGGTTTCCTAGCAGAAGGAATGTGGGCAGGGCTGAGCCTAGGAAGCAAGATAGGAGATGACAAGGGTGCCCAGATCATCAACTTCTGAAGAATTTCTCATCCCTGCACCCCAGAGCCTCTGGACACAGCCCATCTCTCATCTCTCTCTCTCTCTCTCTCTCTGTCTCTCTCTTTTTCTCCCCTCCCTTCTCATCTTTTCCTCGTCTTTTTTCCCTTTCCCTCTCATCCCTCCCTCCTCCTCCTTTTACTTCTTTCTTCCTTTTCTTCTTCCTCTTCCTCCTTCTCCTATTACTATTACTACTGATAATAACAATAGCTAACATTTGTTAAATGCCTCATCTGAGAGATTTTCTTTCGGGGTGATTAAAAGTTTCTGATGCTAGGCCAGGTGCTGGGGCTCACACCTTTAATCCCAGCACTTTGGGAGGCCAAGTTAGGCAGATCGCTTGAGCTCAGGAGTTCAAGAACAGCCTGGGCAACATGGTGAAAGCCAGTTCCCTATAAAAAAAAAATACAAAAATTAGCCAGGCATGGCGGTGCATGCCTGCGGTCCCAGCTACTCGGGAGGCTGAGGTGGGAAGATCACTTGAGCCCAGAAGGTCAAGGCTGCAGTGAGCTGTGATTGCACCCTTGCAATCCAGCCTGGAAGACAGAGTGAGACCCTGTCTTGAAAAAAAAGAAAAAAAAAAAAGGCCAGGCGCGGTGGTTCACGCCTGTAATCCCAGCACTTTGGGAGGCTGAGGTGGGCAGATCATGAGGTCAGGAGATCGAGACCATCCTGGCTAACATGGTGAAACCCCGTCTCTACTTAAAAAAAGTACAAAAAATTAGCTGGGCGTGGTGATGGGCACCTGTAGTCCCAGCTGCTCGGGAGGCTGAGGCAGGAGAATGGCACGAACCCAGGAGGTGGAGGTTGCAGTGAGCCAAGATCACACCACTTCACTCCAGTCTGGGCAACAGTGCAAGACTCCGTCTCAAAAAAAAAAAAAATTTTTTTTCCTGACACTAGATAGTGGCAATGCTTGCACAACATTTTGGAGGTACTTATGTACTTAGTATCAGTAAGTATAGTACATTTTTTAAATAGTTAGAATGGTAAAATCTTGCTTTAAGTAACGGTAAGATTTTACCACAAAAATAAAGTCCAGGCATGGGTAAAGAATAGTTTACGACCACTATGAAATAAAGAGAAGTGAGCATGAGGAGGTTCTGAAATGGGTATCACTCCCTGATAAGAAGCTAGAAGGAGGCCAGGCGCGGTGGCTCACGCCTGTAGCCCCAGCACTTTGGGAGGCTGAGGTGGGCAGATCACGAGGTCAGGAGTTCAAGACCAGCCTGGCCAATATGGTGAAACCCCATCTCTGCTAAAAATACAAAAATTAGCTGGGCATGGTGGTAGGTGCCTGTAATTTCAGCTACTCGGAAGGCTGAGGCAGGAGAATCGCTTGAACCTTGGAGGCGGAGGTTGCCTCCAAGATCACGCCACTGCACTCCAGCCTGGGCAACAGAGCGAGACTCCGTCTCCAAAAAAAAAAAAAAACAAGGAAGATAGAAGGGGAGAAGGGAGTTGTTGAGCTGTTGCCTCACCCTTGAGCATGGTCTGGACAGGACACAATGTGTGGAGCTGCCCCGGGTCATGGGTGACCAGGAGGCAACAGGCCAAACATTGAAGACATGAGTGGTAAAACAGAAAGGGCTTGGTTCTTAGCAACATGCATGAGTTTTTGCACAAAATCTTCCTGTTAGGCAAGGTAACTAAATATCTTTTTTGTTTAGGTAATCAGTTCTTCAAAACTGAGCCCATGTTGATAAGTTACTCCACCAAAGGGTGGAGTACAGTAAAGAAATGAGGCTTGTGGTTACAGATGAAGCAATGTCTTTGAGAAAAGCCCTTCTTTGCCACAATCACTTTTTTTTTTTCTTTTGAGACAGGGTCTCTCTCTGTCGCCCAGGTTGGAGTGCAGTGGCGTGATCTTGGCTCACTGCAACCCCTTTCCCCCTGGTTCAAGCGATTCTCCTGCCTCAGCCTCCTGAGTAGCTGTGATTACAGGCACCCACCACCACGCCCAGCTAATTTTTGTATTTTTAGTAAAGACGGGGTTTTGCCATGTTGGCCAGGCTGGTCTTGAACTCCTGACCTCAGGTGACCCGCCCGCCTCGGCCTCCCAAAGTGCTGGATTAGGCCTATAAAAGCCATTTTAACTGCGGTGAGAGGATATATGTGTCATGTAGTTTAGCCAGGCATCGTGGTGCACACCTGTAGTCCCAGCTACTCAGGAGGCTGAGGTGGGGGGATGACTTGAGCCTGGAGGCTGCAGTGAGCCATGATCGTGTCCCTGCATTCCAGCCTGGGCAACAGACCCTGCCTCAAAAAAAATACATAAAATAAAAATTAAACTGAAATAGGGTTGCCAGATTCAATGTAGGATGCCCAGTTGATTTCAAAACTCAGATAAACAACAAATAAAATGTTTAAGTCTAAGTACAGCCCCCAAACTGCATGAGATATACTTACATTCAAAATTTTTTTGTTTATCTAAAACTTTAAATTTAACTGGGCATCCTGTATTTTAATGTCCCAAGTCTAGCAATTCTATTTTAAAAGAATCCCTCTGTCTGCTACGTTGAGAGCAGATGGTCAAGGCGGGAAATGAAGGTAGAAGCAGGGAGATGGTTTAGGACGCTATTGTGATCAGGTGAGAAGGGCTGAGTCAGACCAGAGGGTGCCAGCAAGGCTGAAGACCCACCCTGTTCCCAGCCCCGCCCCTCCTGCTGCCCTTAACTGATGTGACACAATCCTTGTGAGGTCTGTGGACAGAGCGGGGGAACTGCACGGAATCTGACAATATCAACCTAAAAATTATTCACTGCCTACTCATTTCCCGTGCAAGGACAAACAAGAGTGCTGAAATGCGAGGCTTGCAAAGCCACAAGATAGGGAGGGCTTAATCATTTGCTTGCCTGCCTTATCAGTGTTACGAAGGCATTTTCCACCTTCCACTTCCTTTTCCGTTTGGACAAAAATTCAAACTTCTAGGCCAGGCGCGGTGGCTCACCCCTATTATCCCAGCACTTTGGGAGGCCGAGGCGGGTGGATCACTTGGGGTCAGCAGTTCGAGACCAGCCTGGCCAACATGGTGAAACCCCGTCTCTATTAAAAATACAAAAATTAGCTGGGCCTGGTGGTGCATGGCTGTAATCACAGCTATCTGGAGGCTGAGGCTGGAGAATCGCTTGAACCCAGGAGGCGGGGGTTGCAGTGAGCTGAGATTATGCTACCGCACTCTAGCCTGGGCAATAGAGTGAGACTCAGTCTCAAACAAAACAAAACAAAACAAACAAAAAAAACCACACGCACACACACACACTCAAACTTCTTTTATTTTTTGAGACAGATTTTCGCTCTTGTTGCCCAGCCTGGAATGCAATGGCACGAGCTTGGCTCACTGCACCCCCCCTCTCAGGTTCAAGCGATTCTGCTGCCTCAGCCTCCCAAGTAACTGGGATTACAGGCATGCGCCACCACGCCCGGCTAACTTTGTATTTTTAGTAGAGATGAGGTTTCTCTATGTTGGTCAGGCTGGTCTCCTGCCTCGGCCTCCCAAAGTGCTGGGATGACAGGCATGAGCCACTGGGCCCAGCTACATTCAAACTTCTTTTTTTTTTTTTGAGACGGAGTCTCGCTCTGTCGCCCAAGCTGGAGTGCAGTGGTGCGATCTCAGCTCACTGCAAGCTCCGCCTCCCGGGTTCACGCCATTCTCCTGCCTCAGCCTCCCAAGTAGCTGGGACTACAGGCGTCCACCACCACACCTGGCTAATTTTTTGTATTTTTGGTAGAGACGGGGTTTCACCGTGTTAGCCAGGATGGTCTTGATTTCCTGACCTCGTGATCTGCCCCGCCTTGGCCTCCCAAAGTGCTGGGGTAACAGGCGTGAGCCACTGCACCCGGCCCCACATTCAAACTTCTTATCACAACTTGCAAAGTTCTGCATGATCCGGGCTTAGCACCTCCCTTCTCCTGCTGTGCTCTAGCCGGCTCACTTTGCCTCAGCCACGCTGGCCTGTGTCCATTCTTGGAACTAGTACTGGCCAGGCTTGCTCCTGCCCCAGGGCCTTTGCCTGCGCTGTGCCTTCTGCCTGAAGTGTCATTCTCTTTGCATTTCTCATGGCTGGATACTTACACTGTTTTTAATTCTCAGCTTCAACATATTTTCATCCAAGTCTTCCCTTACCCACTTTGCAAAGGAAAGACCCACCTCCCATACACTCATTGTGTTATAGTGCATCCCTCTTGATTTCTAGCATGTCTCTTGTTACAATCTACAGTTTGTTGTTTTTTTCTTTCAGATGGAGTCTTGCTCTGTCGCCCAGGCTGGAGTGCAGTGGTGTGACCTCAACTCACTGCAACCTCTGCCTCCCGGGTTCAAGTGATTCTCGTGCCTCAGCCTCCCAAGTAGCTGGGACTACACGCGTCCACCACCACGCCCAGCTAATTTTTGTATTTTTAGTGGAGATGGGGTTTCACCATGTTGGTCAGGCTGGTCTGGAAGTCCTGACCTCATGATCCGCCAGCCTCGGTCTCCCAAAGTGCTGGGATTGCAGGCATGAGCCGCCGCACCCAGCCAACAGTAACAGTCTTTTCAAAATGCCTGGTCCATAGTACGTGCTCGACAAATATTTGTGAAATCACTGGATACATAAGACAGTTCCAGGGAAGGGGAGTAGCTTGCTCAGAACAGGGAAGCTGCCCAGGAGTCTTTCCCCTGATTCTCAGACCACGATCCCGTGCTCAGCTCCTCGCGGATTCAAGGCTGATGAAGGCAAGGGCCACACTGTCACCCACTCTTTGAAAGCCCCAAACCAGAAGTCATTCCGGGGTGGCTGTTCAAGGTTCTTCACTGATCAGGTCTCTTGGTAACAAGTGTTGGCCTCCCACAGGTACATGTCAGCATCTCCTTCCTTTCAGAGGCTGAATGCTTGTCCATTTATGTAGATCCCACACTTTCTTTACACATTCATTCATTGATGGCACTTACATTGCTTCCATTTCTTGGTTTTTGTGAATAATGCTGTTAAGAACATCAACGTATAAATTATCTCTTCCGGCCGAGCGTGGTGGCTCACGCCTGTAATCCCAGTACTTCGGGAGGCCAAGGAGGGTGGATCACTTGGGCCCAGGAGTTCAAGACTAGCCTAGGCAACATGGTGAAACCCTGTCTCTACAAAAGTAAAATAAAATAAAATTAAAATTAAAAGTAGCTGGGCTTGGTGGTGCATGCCTGTAGTCCCAACTATTCAGGAGGCTGAAGTGAGAAGGTCGCTCGAGCCCAGGAGGTCGAGGCTGCAATAAGTAAGCCAAGATCACACTACTGTATTACTCACCAGGCAACAGAGAGAGAGACCCTGTCTCAAAAATAAATACACAGATAGGCTGGGGGCAGTGACTCATGCCTGTAATCCTTGGCTTGGGAAGCCGAGGAGGGTGGATCACCTGAGGTCAGGAGTTCAAGACCACCCGGGTCAACATGGCAAAACCCCATCTCTACTAAAAATACAAAAATTAGCTGGGCATGGTGTTAGGTGCCTGTAGTCCCAGCTACTCGGGAGACTGAGGCAGCAGAATCACTTAAACCCAGGAGGCAGAGGTTGCAGTGAGCTGAGATCGCACCACTGCATTCCAGCCTGGCTGACAGAGTGAGACTCCGTCTCAAAAAATACATACATACATACATACATATCTCTTCAAGATCCTGCTTGGAATTCTTTTGGGTATCTCCCCAGAAATGGAATTGCTGGATCCCATGGTAATTCTATTTTATGAGTTAGAACTTGATGGCCTGAATTTTTGTGGTGTCAGCTGCAGACTCACAGTGAGGGAAGCCCAGGAGGGGATGGGCTTTAAGAGGATGATGCTGCAACAGAGGGGCTTTAGTTAACACGGATGTGCTGTGTTCTTGAGCCTTCCTAAGAGAGTAGATTGTAAGTGTTCTTACCACACACACAAAAATGATAAATGTGAGGCAATGCACATGTAAATTAGCTCAATTTAGCCTTTTCACAACGTATACTATTTCAGCACATCATGTTGTACACCATAAGTACATACAATTTTTATTTGCCCTAAAAAATAAATCAGTAATGCTTAAAAAAATTAAATTTCATATTGTAGGGGGGGAAACAGTGCATGATGTTGCAATGTACTGCGTTTCATTTCCTGAAGCGTCAGCGAAAGACCAGCCCTGGGGTAGAAGACCGGAGCGGAGGGAGCGTGGCCTCCCCAGCTCCCCACTTCCTTCTCAAGCTGCAGGCTGAACTAGGGTCTCTGGAACTGGGCTAAGGCGCCCCCGTGTCTGCAGCCTCTCTGCGGGGCTTCATGGACTCCAGCAAAAGGCTTGAGGCTGGAAACGAGGGTATGAGCGTGCGGAGAGGTAGGGTGAGGTTGGGTTTCTGCAAGGAAATAATAATCACCGTGCTTAACTGATGTACTAGGCACCAGGCTGAAGGCCCCATCAGCTGGCGAGGCTGGGAGAGAAATTGACATCCCCTCTTGCTGCCCCGCCGTTGGCTGGAAACAGTCATGAGCCGCCACCTAGCGGCGAAAATGACAGCAACAACTTGGACCTAGAGCTGGGGCCACGGAACGAAAGGCGTCATCCCTTTAAATTAGGACAATTGCCCTCTCTCAGGGCAGCTTCTCTGTTCTGGTTACCTGCTGACTTACACCCAGTCACCCCAAACTTCGTGGCAAAAAACAACTGCTATTTATCCATCCATCCTTCCTTCCTTCCTTCCTTCCTTCTTTCCTTCCTTCCTTCCTTCCTTCCTTCCTTTTATGAGGCAGAGTCTCGCTCTGTCGTCCAGGCTGGAGTGCAGTGGTGCGATCTTGGCTCACTGCAGCCTCCATCTCCCGGGTTCAAGCGGGATTCCCCTGCCTCAGCCTCCCTGCTAGCTGGGATTACAGGTACGAGCCACCACGCCCAGCTAATTTTTGTATTTTTAGTAGAGACGGGGTTTCACCACGTTGGCCAGGCTGGTCTTGAATTCCTGACCTTAGGTGACCCGCCTGCCTCAGCCTCCCAAAGTGCTGGGATTACAGGTGTGAGCCACCACGCCCGGCTATAGTTTATTTATACTCGTAGATTCTAGCAGTCAAGAATTTGGACAGAGTACAGCAAGGGTGGTTTTATCTGCAGCCTCAGCTGCAAAGACTGGAATGGAGGGTGCCGGAATTATCTGGAAGATCTGGGAGCGTCTTCACTCATACGTCCGGTGTCTGGGCTGGATGACTCCACGGTTGTGCGCAGCTGGAGGACAGCTGACCCGAGTGCCCACACGTGGCCTCTCTGTGTGACTTGGGCTTCCTCACAGCATGGTGGTCTCAGGACAGGCAGACTTCCTGCATGACGTTTGGTTCAGCAAACAAGGCAGAAGGTGAATCACCTTTTATGATCTAGACTCAGAAGTTGCCTCTAGGCTGGAGTGCAGTGGTGTAATTATAGCTCACTGCAGCCTTGACCTCCTGGACTCAAGAGATCCTCCTGCCTCAGCCTCCCAAATAGTTGGAACTACAGGCATATGCCACCATGCCTGGATAATTTTTAGTTTATTTGTTAAATGTAGAGACGGTGTCTATTCTGACTCTATCAGCCGAAGCAGTCAGGGACTCACCAATATTTCAGAGCAAGGAGCTATAGACTGCACCTGTAGAAGGGAGAATGTCAGCTGGGCGCGGTGGCTCATGCCTGTAATCCCAGCACTTTGGGAGGCCGAGGCAGGTGGATTACCTGAGGTCAGGAGTTTGAGACCAGCCTGGCTAACATGGTGAAACCCCGTTTCTACTAAAAATACACACACACACACACACACACACACACACACACACACACACACACACAAAATTAGCCAGGCATGGTGGCGGGTGCCTGTAATCCCAGCTACTCTGGAGGCTGAGGCAGGAGAATTGCCTGAACCTGGGAGGTGGAGGTTGCAGTGAGCTGAGATCGTGCCATTGCACTCTAGCTTGGACAACAAGAGCGAAACTCCATCTCAAAAAAAAAAAAAAAAAAAGAAGAGAGAATGTCTAACAACTTGCAGCTGTGTTTTAAAACTGGATGTTCTCCCTGAGGACTTGAATATAAAGCTTTGTCAGTTGCTTGGTGTGGTGAAGCAATGAGAGTGTTTTTTTCGGGGGAGGAGGTGTCAGATAGATCAAGAATTTATAATTAGCATAAGAAATGTACTTCTTAACAAAGCCAGCCTGGGCAACATAGTGAGATTCCCATCTCTACAAAAAAAAAAAAAAAAAAATTAGCCCAGTGTGGTGGTGCACACCTGTGGCCCCAGCTACTTGGGAGGCTGAGGCAGGAGGATTGCTTGAGCCTGGGAGGTCAAGGCTGCAGTGAGCTATGATTGTGCCACTGCACTCCAGTCTGTGTGACAGTGCAAGACCCTGTCTCAAAAAATAAAAAGAAAAAAAAAGAAACATACTAAAAAAGGACACATATTAGCAATATGAAACAAGAACAATTTTCCATAAAGCAAGAGGCTTATGGAAATAAAAAGTATAAAAATACATGATGGTAAAAAATATATAACATTATCCTCTAACAGAATAGGCAGTAGGGTGGGTGCCGTGGCTCACGCCTGTAATCCCAGCACTTTGAGAGGCTGAGGTGGGATGATCACTTGAGACCAGGAGTTCGAGACCAGTCTGGGCAACATGGTGAGACCGTGTCTCTTTAAAAAAAAAAAAAAAAAAGGCAGAATTGATACAGCTGAAGAAAAATGAACAAGTAAGAAAATGTGGTGGAGGAACTTCTCCAGGAAGCTGATATAATTATATTAAGATCAGAAAAAATAAGAGAAAAGTCATCGTACGATATAAGGGACAGGTGTTTCTCAAAATCCAAAATCTTCTCTGCTAAGAGAATCCTGATTTTGTTTTTGTTTTTGTTTCTTGAGATGCAGTCTTGCTCTGTCGCCCAGGCTAGAGTGCAGTGGTGCAATCTCAGCTCACTGCAAACTCCACCTCCCAGATTCAAGTGATTCTCCTGCCTCAGCCTCCCCAGTAGCTGGATTACAGGTGCTCGCCACCACACCCAGCTAATTTTTGAATTTTTAGTAGAGACGGGGTTTCACCATGTTGGTCAGGCTGGTCTCAAACTCCTGACCTCGTGATTCGCCCACCTCAGCCTCCCAAAGTGCTGGGATTACAGGCCTGAGCCACCGCACCCAGCCGAGAACCCTGATTTTGTTCAGGTGTCAGTTGGCCACCCTTGTTCCTTGGAGACTTGGCCCTTTTCTAGTTTCAGGCATGAATCTTGATTAGTCTAAGGCTTAGTGACGTGCTGGTTGTGAAAGTGTGGTCCCTGAACCAGCAGCGTCAGCATCACCTGGGAGCTCGTCAGAAAGGCAAATTCTTGAGCCCCACCCCAGACCTACTGAATCAGTCAGAAACTCTGAAGGTGAGCTTTTCCTTTCTCCTCCTCTCCAACCTATGGTTTGACAAGTCCTCCAGGTGATTCTGATGCACACTGAAGTTTAAACACCTTTAGCCCAGTTAGGTAAACTCACGCCCACTGCTAGTGGTTATTTAAGGAAGGGGCTGGATGCAATTGTGTTTCTTGAGATGTGAGTGGAAATCTCGTGGGAGGCTTCCTCATGTTGGAGAGGGCCGCGTTGGAAGGGCCTTTCTATGCCCTTCGTCTGCTTTTTATCTCATCCTTTCCAAAAAATTAACTTTTTATTTATTTATTTGAGACAGAGTCTTGCTCTTGTCGCCCAGGCTGGAGTGCAGTGGCGCGATCTCGGCTCACTGCAACCTCCACCTCCTGGGTTCAAGCAATTCTCCTGCCTCAGCCTCCCGAGTAGCTGGGGCTACAGGCACCTGCTACTATGCCCAGCTAATTTTTGTATTTTCCGTAGAGACAGGGCTTCACCATGTTGGCCAGGCTGGTCTCAAACTCCTGACCTCAAGTGATCTGCCCACCTCAGCCTCCCAAAGTGCTGGCATTACAGGAGCGAGCCACCTCACCTGGCTTAACTTTTTATTTTAAAATAGTTCTGGAGGCCAGGTGTGGCAGCTCACGCCTATAATCCCAGCACTTTGGGAGTCTGAGGCAGAAGGATCTCTTGAGCCCAGGTGTTCAAGACCAGCCTGGGCAACATGGCAAAATCCCATCTCTACAAAAAAGTTTTTAAAAATTAGCATTTGCCTGTGCGTCCAGCTTCTCAGGAAGCTGAGGCGGGAGGATCACTTGAGCTTAGGAGGTCAAGGCTGCAGTGAGACACCATACTGGGATTACAGGCGTGAGACACCACTCCAGGTCTGGGTTCTCTTTTTTTTTTTTTTTTTTTTTGAGACAGAGTCTCACTCTTTCGCCCAGGCTGCAATGAAGTGGCACCATCTTGGCTCACAGCAACCTCCACCCCGCAGATTCAAGCGATTCTCCTGCCTCAGCCTCCTGAGCAGCTGGGATTACAGGCGCCCGCCACCAAGCCTGGCTAATTTTTATATTTTAGAGATGCCCAGGCTGGAGTACAGTGGTGCGATCTCAGCTCAACACAACCTCCACCTCCCGGATTCAAGTGATTCTCCTGCCTCAGCCTCCCCATTAGCTGAGATTACAGGCATGCACCACCACGCCCGGCTAATTTTGTATTTTTAGTAGAGACAGGGTTTCTCTGTGTTGGTCAGGTTGGTCTCCAATTCCTGACCTCCGGTGATCTGCCTGCCTCGGCCTCCCAAAGTGCTGGGATTACGGGTGTGAGCCACTGTGCCCGGCTGATCTTACATTTTCTTGTGCACTTATTCATGAGCTTTTTTTTTTTTTATGAAAATGAATTCCTACCATCCATTCTCCTTCCAAACTGCTCATACCCAGTATTCCCAAGGTTTTTGCACATGTATATAACAGAATGTCAAAGTAGATTCATTGCAATCTCAGTTTCTGCTCAGGCCCAAAGATTATAGATGCCAGCGAGGTCAGATCTCACAGTAAGGCCATTTCTGCATGACTTCAGGAGAAAATGCTGAAAACCTAATTTCCCCACACCCTTGGCCTCTTGTCCACCTGAAGGTAAGAAAGGAGTGTTGGGGGGAAGGGGGAGGGATAGCATTAGGAGATATACCTAATGCTAAATGACGAGTTAGTGGGTGCAGCACACCAGCATGGCACATGTATACATATGTAACTAACCTGCACATTGTGCACATGTACCCTAAAACTTAAAGTATAATAATAATAAAATAAAATAAAAATAAATAAATAAATAAAAATTAAAAAAAGAAAAAAAAAAGAAAGGAGTGTTGAGATTAGAAGGTATTTTTTTTCCTATTGGGATACAGGTGGTGTTTGGTTGCATGAGTAAGTTCTTTAGTGGTGCTTTGTGAGATTGTGGTGTAGCCATCACCCAAGCAGTATACACTGCACCCCATTTATAGTCTTTTATCCCTCGCCCCCCTCTCACCTTTCCCCCCAAGTCCCCAAAGTCCATTGTATCATTCTTATGCCTTTGCATCCTCATAGTTTAGCTCCCACATATCAGTGAGAACATATGATGTTTGGTTTTCCATTCCTGAGTTACTTCACTTAGAATAATAGTCTCCAGAGATTAGAAGAGTTTTTGTTTTGTTTTGTTTCTGTGTGTTTGTTTACGTAAGCTGTTGGTGTGCTGTGAGTCCCATCCTCTGTCCACCGTAGATGTGTGATGGAGGATGACAGTCTCTTCAACTGGACAATTCAGAGTAGTTATATGGGGTGAGGGGCGGGTCCAGAGAGGAATGGGGTCTGATATGGTTTGGCTTTATGTCCCCACCCAAATCTCATCTTGAATTGTAATCCCCAGGTGTTGGGGGAGGAACCTGGTGGGAGGTGATTGAATCATGGAGGTGGCTTCTACCTTGTTGTTCTCATGATAAAGTGAGTTCTCAGGAGATCTGATGGTTTTATAAGCGTTTGGCAAGTTCCTCCTTTGCTTGCTCTTCTCTCTCTCTTGTTGCCTTGTGAAGAAGATATTTGCTTCTCCTTCCCCTTCTGCCATGACTGTAGTTTCCTGAGGCCACCCTAGCCATGTGGAATTGTAAGTCAATTAAATCTCTTTCTTTTTTTTTTGAGACTGAGCCCCCCTGTCATCCAGGCTGGTGTGCAGTGGTGCAATCTCAGCTCACTGCAACCTCCGCCTCCTGGGTTCAAGCGATTCTCCTGCCTCAGCCTACCGAGTAACTGGGACAACAGGCATGCGCCAATAGCCGGCTAATTTTGTATTTTTAGTAGAGGTGGCGTTCACCATGTTGACCAGGCTAGTCTCGAACTCCTAACCTCAAGTGATCCGCCCACCTCAGCCTCCCAAAGTGCTAAGATTACAGGTGTGAGCCACCACACACGGCCTCGGCTATTTATAGCAGTGTGAGAACGGGCTAACACAGGGTCTTTCCTCACTGGAGAGAGAGGGTGGGAGGAGAGAGAGAGGGTGGGAGGGGAGAGAGGGGAGAGGGGAGAAATGGGGGAGGGGGGGAGAGGGGGGAGAGAGAATGAATATGAGAATGAATGTACCAGGAGCTTTTATCCTTTGCAGGAGCGCCACCTGGAGGTAGGAGGTGAAGTCTGCAGAGAGAAGCTGGAAATGTACTGACGGATCCCCAAGGATTCAGTAATGTGACCAAGTGGAGGAGCTGCATTTACAGGCATCAAGGGAACTGCAGGTGAGAGGTCTGCAGCCTTGCAAGAGAGTGGGGGAAGCAGGAGAAGCTCCACGTGGGGAGATAAAGGAAAAGCTGACCACGCTTCCTCCACGTTGCAGGCAACCTGCCGAAAGGATTTTAATCACTGAGCTGACACTGTATTTTTTTCTTGTATGTGACTTTTTTAAGAAGCAGCTGGAAGTCTTTATGACCTAAGATGACTATAAAAATTATGAGAAGGCCGGGCGCAGTGGCTCACACCTGTAATCCTAGCACTTTGGGAGGCCAAGGTGGGCGGATCACTTAAGGTCAGGAGTTCGAGACCAGCCTGGCCAACATGGCGAAACCCTGTCTCTACTAAAAATACAAAAATTAGCTGGGCGTGGTAGCACATGCTTGTAATCCCAGCTGCTCGGGAGGCTGAGGCAGGAGAATCACTTGAACCTGGGAGGCAGAGGTTGCAGTGAACCATGACTGCACCATAGCACTCCAGGCTGGGCAACAGAGCAAGACTGTCTCAAAAAAAAAAAAAGTTATGAGACTTGCTTTACATGTCACCCAAGGGCACAGGTAAAGAATTAGACCTAGGAGTTGGGTTGATAGGGCAATGGGAAAAAAGAAAAAAATTGTTTACTGAATCAAGGGAATAATCACACCTACATCTTTGCAACTCACGTGCTTACAACTAGGGCAACCAAATTGTTCCGGTTCGCCCAGGATTTTCTCTGGTTTAGCCCTGAAATTTCTGTGTCCTGGGAAATTCCTCATTTCTATTTTAAAACCGAAAGTCCCACATCCTAAGACACACACACACGCCCCTGCACACACCAATCCTGGTAAAACGGTAACAGTTGGTCATACTATCTACAACAACCCTATTCGAGATCTGTGTCTTCACGATGAGGAAAGGCACATGCAGTTCTGGAGATTTTAACACGTGTTCCCAAGGTCACACAACCTGCCCTTGTATCCAGCACTGAAAGCAGATGACTCTCCTCTTTCCACGATTCTAAGCCTCTTCCCGTAGCATGTCCCATGTGGAGGAGAAAAGTTAAGAAAATGAAACTGGCCAAAACTTGCTACTGCATTTGTGATTTTAGAAAGTAAATGATCAGACATTATTAAAATTATCAATGCAAAAAGAAAGTGAGACTGAACAGATTGTTTACCTTAACAAGATCAAGTTAAACTCGTATAGGGCTTATATATAATGCCGCTTAAAAGCTCAAGTTTATGCGGGGCAGTTTTGGTGGAAGAAGCTCAGGCAGTCCCTCTGGTGGTCGTTATAGATCTGGCCGTGGAACTGGTGGATATGAAAACAGAAGGTTCTAAAAACAGCAGAAAAGGGCAACAGTTCTTAGCAGGAGAGACAGTGAGGAAAGCTGCAGGTTACTTGGAGACAGTCATCCCAAATGCATTAGAGGAGGTGTAAAAATCTGCCACAGAAGGAACAATGATCCATAGTCAGAAAAGTTACTGCAGCTTAAGCAGGAAACCCTTCTTGTTCAGGACTGTCATAGCCACAGTTTGCAAAAAGTGCAGCTATTGATTAATGTGATGTAGTGTCAATTAGAGGTACATCCCTGAGGTCTTTAAAACAAAACAAACTCAGCCAGGCACGGTGGCTCACACCTGTAATCCCAGTGCTTTGGGAAGCTGAGGCAGGCAGATCACCTGAGGCTGGGAGATTGAGACCAGCCTGGCTAACATGGTGAAACCCCGTCTCTACGAAAAATACAAAAATTAGCCCGGCATGGTGGTGGGCGCCTGTAATCCCAGCTACTCAGGAGGCTAAGGCAGGAGAATTGCTTGAACCCAGGAGGTGGAGGTTTCAGTGAGCCAAGATCGTGCCACTGCACTCCAGCCTGGGTGACAAGAGTGAAACTCCGTCTCAAAAAATAAATTAAATAAATAAATAATTAGCTGGACGTGGTGGCAGGCACCTGTAATCCCAGCTACTTGGGAGGCTGAGGCAGGAGAATCACTTGAGCCTGGGAGGTGGAGGTTGCAGTGACCAGAGATCGTGCCACTGAACGCCAGCCTGGGCAACAGAGCAAGATTCTGTCTCAAAAACAAAAACAAAAACAAAAAAAGGCTCAAGTTTATGAATGAACTGTTCATATCAGGTGATGGTCTTTCAAAATAATGACTGTTTTGTACCAACTATTGTGCTCATGTGATTGATTGAACAATGCTTCCAAAGAATTTGAAACAATAAGGCAAAGAAACCTAATGTTCATAACAGAAAAAAAAATTAAATGTATAGCACTAGAAAAATTGATTTTTTTTTTTTTGAGACAGGGTCTCACTCTGTCACCCAGGCTGGAGTGCAGTGGTGCAATGATGGCTCACTGCAGCCTCCACCTCCTGGGCTCCAGCGATCCTCCTGCCTCAGCCTCTAGAGTAGCCCGGACTACAAGCATGCACCACCATGCTCAGCTAATTTTTGTATTTTTAGTATAGACAGGGTTTTACCATTTTCCCCAGGCTGGTCTCGAACTCCTATGCTCAAGCAATCAACTTGCCTCAGCCTCCCAAAGTGCTGGGATTACAGGCATGAACCACAGAGCCTGGCATGATACTAGAAAAATTCTTTTTTTTTTTTTGACATTTAAGTTCAGGGGTACATGGGCAGGATGTGCAGGTTTGTTACACGGGTAAACGTGTGTCATGGGGGTTTGTTGTACAGATTATTTTTTTTCTAGTGTATTTACTACTTCCTGATTATCAGATTATTTTATCACCCAGTTATTAAGCCTAGTACCCACTAGTTATTTTTCCTGATCCTCTCTCTGCTACCACCCTCCACCCTCTGACAGGCCCCAGCATGTGTGAAAAATTCTTATAGTCTTCTAGAAAATACAATAGGTAGCCTTTGGAACATAGGGTATCATAAAGAGAAGCTGTAGAAAATATATTTCTTTGAATTTTTTTTTTTTTTTTTTTTTACAAATGATCACTATAATGTTTAAAATATGTTTACCACCTACAGTTGTGTGCTAGGGAAGCCATAACAAAATGCCCCCCACTGGGGGGCTTATGGGACAGAAATGGATTTTCTCACCGTTCTGCAGGCTGGAAATCCAAGATGGAGGTGCCAGTAGGGTCAGTTTCTCCCGGGGTCTCTCTGCTTTGTATGCAGATGGCCGCCTTCTTGCTGTGTCTCCACGTGGTCTTTCCTCTGGATGTACATATCCTGGTGTCCTTTTCTTTTTTTTTTTTTTGAGTTGGAGTCTTACTCTGTTGCCCAGCTGGAGTGCAATGACACGATCTCAGCTCACTGCAGCCTCTGCCTCCTGGATTCAAGCGATTCCCCTGCCTCAGCCTATCGAGTAGCTGGGATTACAGGCGTGCACCACCGCGCCCAGCTAATTTTTGTATTTTTAGTAGACATGGGGTTTGGCCATGTTGGCCAGGCTGGTCTTGAACTCCTGACCTCAGGCGATCCGCCCACCTGGGCTTCCCAAAGTGCTGAAATTACAGGCGTGAGCCACCACACGTAGCCCCTAGTGTCTTTTTTATGTCCAAATTTCCTTTTTTCACAACGGCCTCTTGTCTCTAAATACAGTCACATTCTGAGTTACTGGGAGTTAGGATTCAGCACACGAATTTTGAGGAGATGTAATTCAGCCCATAATTAAGCCCTATCCTCATCAGACTGATGATCTGTGCTTTCTCTGAACTAACAGGATTTATATATTCCTTTTTAACAGCAAGGAACTCAGGTTCTCCATGGCCCCTTTATGAAGTTGCTCCTGCTGGTACATGACCCTCAGTTAGTTTCCTGAAGTTATTTACAAAGCCACCTCCACATGTGTTGAGCCTCTTCAGTTTACTTCAAATCCTGGGCCTGTGCTGCATGGCGGTGCTTTCCACAGATTCATATGTTAGATCTTTTCTATTTTTTTTTCTGAGACAGAGTTTCCCTCTGTCGCCCAGGCTGGAGTGCAATGGTGTGATCTCGGCTCACTGCAACCTCTGCCTCCTGGGTTCAAGCAATTCTCCTGCCTCAGCCTCCTGAGTAGCAGGGACTACAGGCGTGTGCCACTATTCCCAGCTAATTTTTGTATTTTTAGTAGAGGCAGGGTTTCACCATATTGGCCAGGATGGTCTCGATCTCTTGACCCCATGATCCTCCCACTTTGACCTCCCAAAGTGTTGGGATTACAGGTGTGAGCTACCGCGCCTGGCCACATATTAAATCTTTTTTTTTTTTTTTTTTTTTGAGACAGAGTCTTGCTCTGTCACCCAGGCTGGAGTGCAATGATGGATCTCGGCTCACTGCAAGCTCCGCCTCCCAGGTTCATGCCATTTTCCTGCCTCAGCCTCCCGAGTAGCTGAGACTACAGGCACCCGCCACCACACCTGGCTAATTTTTTGTATTTATAGTAGAGATATGTTAGCCAGGATGGTCTCGATCTCCTGACCTCATGATCCACCCACCTCGGCCTCCCAAAGTGCTGGGATTACAGGCGTGAGCCACCGCGCCCGGCCTCATGTTAAATCTTGACACCCAATGTGATCTGAGAGGTTGGGCCTTTGGTGATGGCAGCAGCCACTCCAGACGGCTTGCTGCTGCCATGACGCCACCTGCCCCAGGGAGGCCCAGCCCGGGCTATACACGCTATGGAGCCGCAGGGAGCCCTGCCCCTTCCGAGTTGGGGCGGGAGCTCCCAGGGTGATGCTACAGCTGTCCAAACCCCAGCTGTGGATCCGAGCCTCCCTCAGATCGTATCACATATCAAGACTTACTCTTGTTGACAAAAAGAGTCAAACTCTATAAAATATTTGAAGAGATTTATTCTGAGCCAAATATGATAATGACCATGGCCCCTGACACAGCCCTAAGGAGGTCCTGAGACCATGTACCCAAGGTGGTCGGGGGGCAGCTTGGTTTTATACATTTTAGGGAGGCGTGAGGCATCAATCAAACACATTTGAGAAATACATTGGTTTGGTCCAGAAAGGCTGGACAATTTGAAGGAGGCAGGGCCTTCCAGGCTTTAGGTAAATTAAAACATTTTCTGGTTGACAATTGGTTGAGTTTGTCTAAAGACCTGGGATTAATAGAGAGGAAATATTCAGGTTAAGATAAAAGATTGTGGAGACCAAGGTTCTTTTGAAGTCTTATAGTGGCTGCCCTTAGAGACAATAGATGACAAATGTTTCCTACTCAGACCTTCAAAAGTTGCTAGATTCTCAGTTAACCTCCTCAGGATTGGGAGGTCCTGGAGGAAAAAGATCTAGCAATGTTAACAGAGATCCTTTACATATGCAAATATTCCCCCCCACCAAGGACAGCTTTGCAGGGCCATTTAAAAATATGGCAAAGAAACATGTTTTGGGGTAAAATATTTTTATTTTCTTCTTTGTTAGGTAATGTTATGCCAGAGTCAGATTGGAAAGTAAGTCACGATATATAGGGCTAAATAAAACCCATCTGATGAGAATTTATGGTTTGTAGGGCATGAGACCCCAGACCCCTTAGATAAGAATCTGGGCAAGATAAAAAAAAAAAATCAGAGCTGAGTCCTCACTATGGTAATTCAGTGAGTGTGACTACCAGCATAGATGTCCATAAAGGATATCCATTAGGGCCACCCATTTTAATAATGTTTGCCAGGACCCTTCAATCAAAACAAAATCCATTCTCAGAATAGCTTAGAATCAAAGGAGGACTTTTTGGGTTTTTTTGGTTCAAGAAGGATTGGGCAAGAAAACTGCAGGGAGTGAAGGAATGCTGAGCTTTGGAAGCAATTAGAACCAAGAAAACAAAAGCTGAAAGCACTGTTACTCACTCCCGCTTCCCGGATGCTCCCTGAGTCATCTTTGTGTTTCTCCATAAAGACTGGCTTCCTCCACATGGCGAGACAGATGGCCACCAAGAACTCCCAAGCTTAAAAAAGAATGACTCTCTGTGGCAAGAAAACAAAGAGACACTCCTCCCCACCTTGCTACTCCCTATGTGGCCTCCACACTGCAACCTGGGACTGTGTAGTGAGGGGAGGGGGAGCGAAGAAGTTTGCGTTAGTCTGTTTTCACACTGCTGATAAAGACATACCTGAGACTGAGTAATTTATTTTTATTTTTATTTTTATTTATTTATTTTTTTGAGACGCACTCTGTCACCCAGGCTGGAGTGCAGTGGCACGATCTCCGCTCACTGCAAGCTCCGCCTCCCGGGGTCACACCATTCTCCTGCCTCAGCCTCCTGAGTAGCTGGGACTACAGGCGCCCGCCACCGCGCCCGGCTAATTTTTTGTATTTTTAGTAGAGACGGGGTTTCACTGTGTTATCCAGGATGGTCTCGATCTCCTGACCTCATGATCCACCCGCCTCGGCCTCCCAGAGTGCTGGGATTACAGGCGTGAGCCACTGCGCCCAGTCAGTTTACTTTTTAAAAAAGAGGTATAACGGACTTACAGTTCCACATGGCTGGGGAGGCCTCACAATCATGGCAGAAGGTGAAAGGCACATCTTACATGGTGGCAGACGACAGAGAAATGAGAGAGCCAAGCAAAAGGGGAAACCCGTTATAAAAACCTCAGCTCTCCTGAGACTTGTTCACTACCATGAGAACGGCATGGGGGAATGTGTGGGTGGAGGATTAGCCAGGTGCTGAGGCAAGAGACTGAAGGCACAAACTGTTGCAGTATAATAAAGAAAATAGAATAAGAATAGTCATAATACAAATTAGATGTAGAGATGATCATGGACAATTATCAATCATTATTATAAACATTATTAATCATTAGCTTTTAATATTACTCTTTGCTGCATTACTAATATAACCTAGGAATAACCGGCGGGTATAGGGTCAGGTGCTGAAGGGACATGGTGAGAAGTGACCTAGAAGGCAAGAGGTGAGCCCTCTGTCACGCGTGCATCAGGGCCGCTTGAGGGGTCCTTGGTCAAGCGGTAACGCCAGTGTCTGGGAAGGCACCCGTTACTTAGCAGACGGTGAAAGGGAGTCTCCTTTCCTTGGAGGAGTCAGGGAACACTCTGCTCCACCAGCTTCTTGTGGAAGGCTGGATATTATCCAGGCCTGCCCGCAGTCATCCGGAGGCCTAAACCCCTCCCTGTGGTGCTGTGCTTCAGTGCTCACACTCCTTGTCCACTTTCATGCTCCTCCCGTACTCCTGGCTCCTCTTTGAAGTTCATAGTAGATAGCGGTAGAAGAAATAGTGAAAGTCTTAAAGTCTTTGATCTTTCTTATAAGTGCATGGAAGAAAACGCTGACGTATGCTGCCTTCTCCCTCTCTCTCTGCTTCGGCTACCTAAGAGGGAAGGGCCCCCTCTCCTGTGATCACACGACTTGCTTCACCTTGTCAATCACTTCGAAGATTCACCCTGCTTACCCTGCCCCCTTATCTTGTATGCAATAAGTATCAGCGCGCCCAGCCGTTATGGGCCACTACCGGTCTCCGCGTCTTGATGGTTGTGGTCCTCCGGGCCCAGCTGTTTTCTCTTTATCTCTTTGTCTTGTGTCTTTATTTCTTACAATCTCTTATCTCTGCACACGGGGAGAACACCTGCAAAGCCCCATAGGACCCTGCAGGAATCCACCCCCATGATTGAATTATCTCCCACTGGGTCCATCCCACAACACATGGGAATTATGGGAGCTACAACTGAAGATGAGATTTGGGTGGGGACACAGACACAAGCCATATATCAAGGTTGTTCCTTCAGATGCAGCAATCCTGGGAGCTTCTGGTTAGGACAAGATACAAGCAGAGACAGCTTCATGGGTATTGTAAACTCAATGTTTGTGTCCCGACAAAATTCAGCTGTTGGAACCTAACCCCAAGGTGATGGTATTTGTAATACGGGAGCTAAAAAGAAATTATTGAGGCAGACAGTGAGGGTAAGAGAGTCCTCAGTAAGGTTTCCTATTAATAAAGAGCAGCCCCCAAATAATTTCTTTTCTAACAGAAAGCAGCCTGAAACATCAAGCTGCAAGCATAGATAAACAAGCTAAAATCTTGCATCAGCTGTGCCAATAGAAAACGGATGCCTGGGAGCCGGGTATATTCAACATGGAGGTTCCCTCTTCCCTTTTCTTTGTCCCCACATGTGCAGTAAAAAAGCAGACAACATGGCCCCGGCCAGGCAGAGACCCTACCTACGTAATAAAAGATTAGGGTGGGATGGCCAGCTTCTTTGGGGGCTATGCAAACGTCATACCTGGTCCGACTAATCTCTCAGGCCCTATGTAAATCAGACAGCACCTCCTCAAGCTTGTCTATAAAAGCCCCATGCATTTCACCACAAAACCAGGGGTCCCACTCGGGAACCCCTCTCTTCTCTGTGCAAAAGAGAGAACTATTCTCTTTTCTCTTTCTTTTGCTTATTAAGCCTTCACTCTTTTTTTTTTTTTTTTTTTTGAGATGGAGTCTGGCTCTGTCATTCAGGCTGGAGTGCAGTGGCACGATTTCGGCTCACTTCAACCTCCGCCTCCCAGGTGCAAGCAATTCTCCTGCCTCAGCCTCCCAAGTAGCTGGGATGACAGGCACCCACCACTGCGCCCAGCTAATTTTTATATTTTTAGTAGAGATGGGGTTTCACCGTGTTGGTCAGGCTGGTTTCGAACTCCTGATCTCAGGTGATCCGCCCCCCACTCGGTCTCCCAAAGTCCTGAGATTACAGGCGTGAGCCACTGCGCCCGGCCCAGTCTCTTTCACTATGTAAGGACACAGCAAGAAGGTGCCAGCTATGAACCAGGAAAAAAGCCCTCAGCAGACACTGAATCTACCAGTGCTTTGGTCTTGGACTTCCAGCCTCCAGAACCATGAGAAATAACTATGTGTTGTCTGTAAGCTGCCAGGTCTTTGGTATGTTGATAGCAGCCTGGATGGACTAAGACACTCTCTCCTTCCCTCTCATGCCCTGGACCCTCATCAGGGCCAGAAGTGGTTGGGGTGATGGCCCAAGCAGACTTTAAAAAGCACTGGCCTAGCACAAGGGTTGGCACGCTAGAGCCCACAGCTTGTTTTTGCAAATAAAATTTTTTGTTTTTAAAACAACTTTCTGGGCTGGGCACGGTGGCTCACGCCTGTAATCCCAGCACTATGGGAAGCCGAGGCAGGCGGATGACTTGAGGTCAGGAGCTCAAGACCAGCCTGGCCAACATGGTGAAACCCCATCTCTACTAAAAATACAAAAAAATTAGCCTGGTGTGATGGCAGAAGCTTGTAATCCCAGCTACTCAGGAGGCTGAGACAGGAGAATCATTTGAACCTGCGGGGAGAGGTTGCAGCGAGCTGAGATCACGCCACTGCACTCTGGCGCCTGGGCGACAGAGCAAGACTCCATCAAAAAAAAAAAAACTTTCTATAGATACATAATATTTATGCATATTTATGACATACATGTGATAGTTTGATACATGCACAGAATGTATAATACTCAAATTAGGGTATTTAGGATATTCACCACCTCAAACATTTATCTTTTTTTTTATCTTTTCGAGACAGAGTCTCTCTCTGTCGCCCAGGCTGGAGTACAGTGGTGTGATCTTGGCTCACTGCAACCTCTGCCTCCCGAGTTCAAGCAATTCTTCTGCCTCAGCCTCCCAAGTGGCTGGGATTACAGGTGTGCGCCACCACACCCAGCTAATTTTTGTATTTTTAGTGGAGATGGGGTTTCACCTTGTTGGCCAGGCTGGTCTTGAACTCCTGACCTCAGGTGATCCACCCATCTTGGCCTCTCAAAGTGTTGGGATTACAGGAGTGAGCCACTGCACCTGGCTCATTTATCGTTTGTGTTGGGAATGTTTCAAATCTTCTCTTCTAGCTATTTTGAAATATACAATATATTGCTGTTAACTATAGTCACCCTTCTGTGCTATTGAACACTTGAACTTATTCCTTCTATCCAACTGTGTTTGTGCCCATTAACTATCCCACCCCTTCTAGCCTTTGATAACTGACTCTCTCTTTACCTTCATGAGATCTACTTTTTTAGCTCCTACATGAGTGAGAACATGAAGTTGTAAATAAAGTTTTATTCTAACACCGCCACACCTACTTGTTTACATATCAGCGATGGCTGCTTTCATGGTACAACAGCAGAGTGGGGTAGTCTCAGCAGAGATCCTACAGCCCACAAAGCTGGACGTGTTACTCTCTGGTCCTTTTGTTTTCTGCCCTCTGGTCTAGGAGTTTGCAGCTCTGGGCGTTTTTTGTTTTTTTTTTTTTTTTTTTTTGAGATGGAGTCTCACTCCATTGCCCAGGCTGGAATTCAATGGCGCCATCTCAGCTCACTGCAATCTCTGCCTCCTGGGTTCAAGCGATTCTTCTGCCTCAGTCTCCCAAGTAGCGGGGATTACAGGCGCCTGCCACCACGTCCAACTAATTTTTTATTTTTAGTAGAGATGGGATTTCACCATGTTGGTCAGGCTGGTCTTGAACTCTGACCTCAGATGATCCACCCACCTCGGCCTCCCAAAGTGCTGGGATGACAGGCGTGAGCCCGGCCGTTTTCTTTTTTGCTTGTTGTGCTTCCTGGAGATGCTCAGTAATTCTTACATTCTTTCCTGGATAGCTGGTCAATCATTATTTATTATTTCCTTGAATTGTTCTAGGAGGAAATGTGGGGTAGAAAGAGTATGGTGGGGTTCTTGGGCATGAATAATCCATAAATAAGTCAGATTTCTTTTTAAGACGAGAAACTTAATTTTATTGATATGGACGAAGAGCAAGGAAACACAGTATCTGCATCTCCAGATTTCCGATAACCTTGGCCAGCACGATCCCCCCTCCTTTAGTGGCCAGGGCTGTCTTCTTGCTACACTTTCAGTGCCGCATATTCATGAGATCCTGGGGGCTCCTGGGTGGTGTCTGAAGCTGCCTCAGACAGGGCGCTGGTGCTTAGCTCAGCATAGGTCACTCCTTGGGGGTCTGCCGTCTTTGGAGAAAATAGATGAATATTAGAACTGAGTGTTCAATATGGCAGCCACTAGCCACACATGGCTATTGACATTTAAGTTAATTACAATTAAATTTAATTTAAAACCCAGGTCCTCGGTCACACCAGATGCATTTCTTTTTCTTTTCTGTTTTTATAACCCTTTATGCCTGTGACATCAATGGATCTGCGTAAGCCTTTTTTCATTTTTTTTAAATTTTTATTTATTTATTTATTTTGGGACAGAGTCTGGCTCTGTCGCCCAGGCTGGAGTGCGGTGGCGTGATCTCGGCTCACTGCAACCTCCGCCTCCCGGGTTCAAGCCATTCTCCTGGCTCAGCCTCCTGAGTAGCTGGGATTACAGGCGCCCACTACCACGCCCAGCTAATTTTTTGTATCTTTAGTAGAGATGGGGTTTCACCATGTTAACCAGGATGGTCTCGATCTCCTGACCTCATGATCCGCCCGCCTCGGCCTCCCAAAGTGCTGGGATTACAGGCGTGAGCCACCGCGCCCGGCCCATGCATAAGCCTTTTAAATGGAGATTTTGGTTCCCATTAGGGGAGTTTCGTGACTTGTCTAAGACCACATGCGTGATAAACAGTATACATTTCTGTATGGGCTTAACCAGGAGGCACACACGACCAGCCCATTGTGGTGAGGGAGCTCTTGTGGGACTCCTAAGCGGGAGGACTCACCGAGAGAGATACCCTTTCCATATTGGATAAATCTGCCTCTGAGTGAGAAAGGAAAAAAAAAAATCAGTTCTCAGCTGCAGAAGTCAGAACTTAGTCTTTCTATCCGGTGATTCCCTTAAACTTCCCCTGTCCCTTACCGGCAGCCTCCTGCTCCGGAAGTTTGGAATGGCTGGTTCTGAAAGAGAGAGACACACGTGAAAGGATGGGATGTGAAGATTTCGGGGAGAGGGTGAGGGCAATGGAGGGGAGAGGAAGGGAGAAGAAGGGAGAGGAGGAAGGTCACAGAATGGGCTGGGGTGGGGGCTCAGGGTGCCAATCCCGGATGTGCCAATGGGTTCCCTTGAGAATGACATGGGAATAAGTGGAGCATGAGCTATGCCAAGCATCTACCTCTTGGTGGATTCCTCAGATGATGAACCTACAAAAAATGCAGGAGGAATTTACCTACCGAGAAAATCCTTCACTCCCCCTCTCTCCCTTTGCGTTCTCTGAGCTCACTGTGCTGGCTGCATCTGTAGATGATGAAGACTGAGAGGAAGAGGAGAAGGATGGAGATGCAGCTGAAGATGGCGACAAAGATGGTTCTGGTGTCTGGAGGGGGAAGAGCAGGTCAGGGAATCAGCCTGGCTCCTGAAATCCACTGATAGGGGCGAGCCGAAAAGCTAAGAGAAGCCAGACAGATGGCCTGGCTTCCAAGCCTGGATCTCCCACCTCGGAGCTGGAACTTCCTATTGCTTTGGGGAATTTCCTTAATCTTCTCCAAGCTTCTGTTTCCCCATCTGTAAAGTGAGGATAGCAGCAGTAGCTACTTTATTGGATGGTGGGTCAGTACCTATAGAAAGGGCTGGAACAGTGCTTGGCGCATAGGAAATTCCAAAAATTCCCAGGGAATGTTTGGTGCATAGCAATGATATTGATCATTTATTGTGAGCCAGCTCTGTTCCAGGTGCTCCATATATATATATACGTGTGTGTGTGTGTATATATATATATAAATGTATATATATGTGTGTGTATATATAAATGTGTATATATATATATATATATATATATATATATACATATATATATATATATACACACTTTTTTTTTTTTGAGATGGAGTCGTGTTCTGTCACCCAGGCTGGAGTGTGATCCTGGCTCACTGCAACCTCCACCTCCCTGGTTCAAACAATTCTCCTGACTCAGCCTCCTGAGTAGTTGGGATTACAGGCGTGAGCCACCACATCTGTCTGTGTAATCACTGTCTGAAATCCACTGATGGGGTGAGTAGAAAAGCTAAGAGAAGCCAGACAGATGGCCTGGCTTCCAAGCCTGGATCTCCCACCTTGGAGCTGGAACTTCCTTGGAGCTGGACATTTCGACCAATAGACTTTGAGTAAAGCAGATGACCCACTGTCATAGGGGTGGGCCTCATCCAATCAGTTGAAGACTTTAAGACTTTAAGAGAAAAGACTGAGGTCCCCCAAGGTGGAAGGAATTCTGCCTCCAGACTCAAGCTGCAATATCAAGTCTCCCCTGGATCCCCTGCCTGCCTGCCCTGCAGATTTCAGACTTGCCAGCTCCCCACAATCACGTGAACCAATCCATTAAAATCAATCTCTCTCTCCATATATGTATATACATGTATATGTTCTCTTTTTTTTTTTTGAGACAAAGTCTCACTCTTATCGTCCAGGCTGGAGTGCAATAGTGCAATCTTGGCTCACTGCAAGCTCCGCCTCCCGGGTTCAAGCAATTCTCCTGCCTTAGCCTCCTGAGTAGCTGGGATTACAGGTGCCCACCATCACGCCCGGCTAATTTTTGTATTTTTAGTAGAGACGGGGTTTCGCCATGTTGGCCACGCTGGTCTTGAACTACTGACCTCAGGCAATCTGCCTGCCTCGGCCTCCCAAAGTGCTGGGATTACAGGCGTGAGCCACCACACCCAGCTTATATCTATATGTTCTATTGGTTCTGTTTTTCTGGAAAACCCTGGCTAACACAGACATGATCTCAGCTCTTAACTTCAAACATATTTCCTTTTTCTTTTTTTAAAGGAGAGAGAGAGATGTGAAAGGACGGGATGTGAAGATTATGGGGAGAGGGTGAGGGCAATGGAGGGGAGAGGAGGGGAGAGGAGGGAGGTCACAGATGGGAGCTCAGGATGCCAATCCCAGATGTGCCAATGGGTTCCCATTGTTGCCCAGGCTAGAGTGCAGTGGTGTGATCATACTCGAATTCCTGGGCTCAAGTGGTCCTCCTCACTCGGCCTCCAGGGTAGCTGGGAGTACAGACCACCACGCCCAGCCAACTTCAAACACACTTCAATGAGCTCGTTGATGCCAGGTAATGAACAGCAGTGACACGGGCATGGAAGGCGTTTAGAGTGGGGAGGGGTGGGGCTCTCTGAAGGAGACATGATTCCCCAAGACACAGAACAAGGGATCAGCTGGGAGAATTCAGGGAGGATTCCTAATAAGAACAGGGTTAGAGCAGGGTAGAAAAGAATGACCAGTGGCCGGGCACGGTGGCTCACGCCTGTAATCCTGGCACTTTGGGAGAGTGAAGTAGGTGGATCACTTGAGGTCTGGAGTTCGAGACCAGCCTGGCCAACATGGTGAAACCCTGTCTCTACTGAAAATATAAAAAATAAGCTGGGCATGGTGGCGCACGCCTGTAGTCCCAGCTACTCAGGAGGCTGAGAGAAGAGAATTGCTTGAACCTGGGAGGCGGAGGTTGCAGTGAGCCGAGATCGCATCACTGCATCATACACTCAACTGACCAAGACTCCAACTCAAAAAAGCATCCCTCTCAGGAGATAAAATTTCTACCAATTAAAAAACAAAAACAAAACAAAACAAAAAAAACTAGTTCTTGAGCAATATTGCCATGCAAGTCTACATCATAGCGTTTTAAAGTCTTAACAACAACCCTGCAAGGTAGTACAATTATTTCCCTCCCACTGGTGAAGGGCATGCATTCCCGTGTGACTCCTGGGATTACAGCAAGGGTTGTGTCCAAAGCTCACAGCGTTGAGGAAGAGAGAGCAACCTGTTACTAAAGCTAGGCGACAGAGTCCATGCAGTTCCCCCCCGTTTTTTGTTTTTCTTGGCACTTTAGATTCAAGAAACACAAGTCGTGAGACTTTAAGGAGTAAGTAGCAGAAACGTGATTAAGGAAAAAAGTTGAGCAACTATAGAAGTGAGGCCCCAGAAAGGGGCTTCACCAAGACCCCCGCTATCTTTGTTAGTGTGCTTTGAGTCTGAGAATTTTTCCTAGGTGTGCAATGATCTGTGGTCACATTACAGAGCCAAGTCTGAGATGCTTCACACGCCTGGTCCTCTGCACCAACAGAGGGTCTCCCATCCAGACGCTTCCCCTACTTGGTTCGCTATGTTTGCATTGGCATTTCTACATATCTATATATAGAGAATTACCTATCTAATTTATCTATCTCGCTAATCTATCTACCATCTGTCTAGGTATCTATTATCTATCTACCTATCTATCTTTATCTGTCTCTGTACCTACTTACCTATCATCTATCCAATCTATCCGTCCTATCTAATTATGATTTATCTATCTACCTACTTGCCTATCACCTATCCAATCTATCTATCCTATCATATGTAATTAACTATCTGTCTGTCTAATTTTTCTATCTTGTTAATCTATCACTTATCTAGGCATCTATGTATCTATCTTTATCTGTCTATCCACCTGCTTACCTGCTGTCTGTCTAATCTATCCATCCTATCATATCTAATTATCACTTATCTATCTACCGACTTACCTATCATCTAGTTACCAAATCTATCATCTATCTAATGTATCTATCAATCATAACCAGTTATCTATCATCTATCATCTATCATCTGTATGTATCTGTCTATTCACCTACTATTATCTATTTAATCTATTCTATCTAGTTATCTATCTATCTATCCACCTACTTATCTAATTTTTCTATCTTGCAACTCTATCACCTATCTAGGTATCTATGTATCTATCTGTGTATCTGTATATCTATCTATCTATCTAGCTAGCTTTATCTAGCTACCTAGTTACCTATCATCTATCTATCTAATCTATCATCTATCTAATGTATCTATCAATCATATCTAATTATCTGTCTATCTAATCATCTATCTTATCTATTATATCTAGTTATCTATCATCTAGCTAGCTAGCTAATCTATCTGTATCTATCTACCTACTTACCTATCGTCTATTTATCTATCTAATCTATCATATCTAGTTATCTATCTACTTACTTATCTAACCTGTTGTATCTAGTTATCTATCTACCTACTTACCTATCATCTGTCTATCTATCTAATCTGTCCATCGTATCTAGCTACTTATCTACCTATCATCTATGTATCTATCTAATCTATCATATCTAGTTATCTATTTATCTGCCTACTTGCCTATTATCTATCACATCTAATTATCTATCTATCCCCCTCCCTGAAATAAGGTTCTTTCTGAGCTGATCATCAGGGAGCAGCAAAAGGAGTGGGGAGTTTGAAACAAGACATATTTGAGTTCTAGTACTGGGTCTCCTACCTCCTGACTTTGTAAATGTTCCCTTCCCTTTCTGGAATACGTTATTTTTTGGTTAAATATAAGGAGGGGGCAGAGAGCTAATAATATCTAACTTGAAGAGTTAGGTAATGATGAAAAATCCTGGCTTTAAAGCGCTCAGTCTAGAAACTGACTCATTGTGTCGGATAATGGGATTGTAGGTATAATGATGATTTTTTTTCACCCAATATTCCACCTACACCCATCTCTCTCTGTAATAGATTCTGTCAATGTTCCTCAACCCATGTTCCCCAGATCCCTTTCCCATTTTTATGCATTCTAGATCGTGGCTTCTTTCCCTTTCCAAAGTGAACATTTGTATCTCTTCTTTGGGGGACTGCCTGGGAGAACTCCAAATGCCTTGGAATTTACATGCCCGGGACAAACTGCCACTGACGGCTGTGGGGACCCCAGCTCCCTAGCCTCTGGTCTTCGACCTTCTCTGTCTCCACTGCTTTCTGCAGGATGGAGCCAAAGATACCATCTGAGGGACACAGATATCCCACACTTGTTTAATCTATTTTCCTCCCAGCCCTTCTTCCCCACTCCCTAAAATGTAATTTTCAAGCCAGGCGTGGTGGCTCACACCTGTAATCCCAGCACTTTGGGAGGTCGAGGCAGGCAGAGCACCTGAGGTCAGGAGTTCGAGACCAGCCTGACCAACATGGAGAAACCCCGTCTCTACTAAAAATAGAATATTAGCTGGGTGTGGTGGTGCATGCCTGTAATCCCAGCTATTTGGGAGGCTGAGGCAGGAGAATCTCTTGAACCTGGTAGGCGGAGGTTGCAGTGAGCCAAGATCACGCCATTGCACTCCAGCCTGGGCAACAAGAGCGAAACTCTGTCTCAAAACTAAATAAATAATAAATAAAATAAAACGTCACTTTCACACTAATGCTGTCTAAGAGCCTGCTTCTGGTGGAGCTGAATCAGAGAACCCCTCAAAAGCAACAATTTTTTTTTTTTTGAGACAGTCTCACTCTGTCTCCCAGGCTGGAGTGCAGTGGTACAATCTCGGCTTTGGAACCTCCCCCTCTGGGGTTCAAGCAATTCTCCTGCCTCAGCCTCCCAAGGAGCTGGGATTACAAGCACCCGCCACCTCACCCCGCTAATTTTTTATATTTCTAGTAGAGATGAGGTTTCACCATGTTGGTTAGGCTGGTCTCAAACTCCAGAGCTCAAGTGTTCTGCCCACTTTGGCCTCCCAAAGTGCTGGGATTACATAAGCCACCATGCCTGGCCATAAGCAACAATTCTATCAGTGCATCTCCAAGGACTTATGAAAACAGGGCAGGAACAGCTGCTCCTGGACTCTCAGTTTCCCCAGATGGAAGCAGAGAAACAGCAGCCTTGCCTTGTCCTTTCTGTTCTCCCCTTTTCCAGCCTACGGTATCTTTCACACAGCAATTCACTAGAAATGAGAAGTACATTATTGCAAAATTCTCATCTTCATATGACCCCATAATCAGCTGAACTGGGTTCACCCTGAGATGTCCACAGATCCTGGCCAAATGTTGCATCAGTATTTGCAAATTGCCAGAATAAATCATAACTTGCTACGCTACTAAAGTCAGCGTGAGCAACAAGATACAGCCTGACACGGGGCATAAATGGAGGCACAGGCACCAGAAAGAAAGTCAAGTCTTGTGTGATAAAATTCATCTTCATTCTCTACATTGCGATTGAACATAGAGTCGTTTTCTAGTGTGTTTTAGGCATATAAATACAGGCTGGGGACATCATACCTGTGCTTACAGATATTTTACTTTTATTTTATTTATTTACTGAAACAGGGTCTCGCTCTGTCACCCAGGCTGGAGTGCTGTGGCGCAATCACAGTTCACTGAAGCCTCAACCTCCTGGGCGCAAACGATCTTTCTGCCTGAGCCTCCCAAGTAGCTGGGACTACAGGTGCACACCACCACGCCTGGCTAATTTTTGTATTTTTTGTAGAGATGGGATCTTACCAAGTTGTCCAGGCTGGTCTTGAACCCCTGGGCTCAAGTGATCCTCCTGCCTCATCTTCCCAAAGTCCTGGTATTACAGACGTGAGCCACTGCGCCCGGCAAAGATATTTTATTCTGTTTAGAATTGTGATGATACAAATTTGAACTCAAAAAGTACATTTTAAGAAATTATATAATACCCACTGGGATGGCTATAATTTAAAAAAAGAAAAGTAAGTGTTGACAAGGATGTGGAGATATTGGAACCCACATATATTACTGGAAGGAATATAACATGATACAGCCACAATGGAAAATGATTTGGCAGTTCCTCAAAAAGTTGAACATAATAGTCACCATATGTCCTAGCAAATCCACTTCTAGGTACATACTCAAGATAATTTACAGCGCGGAGACAAACAGATACTCCTACCACAGTGTTCCAGCACCATTACTCGCTTTAGCCAAGAGGTGCAGACAACACAAATGTCCATCAAAAGAAGAACGGGGCCAGGCACAGTAGCTCAAGTCTGTAATCCCAGCACTTTGGGAAGCTGAGGCGTGTGGATCACCTGAGGTCAGGAGTTCGAGACCAGCCTAGCCAACATGGTGAAACCCCCTCTCTACTAAAAATACACAAATTAGCTAGGCATGGTGACGGGCGCCTGTAGGTCCAGCTACTCAGGAGGTTAAGGCAAAAGAATCACTTAAACCTGGGAGGCGGAGGTTGCAGTGAGCTGAGATTGTGCCACTGCACTCCAGCCTGGGCGACAGAGCAAGACTCCGTCTCAAAAAAACAAAAACAAAAACAAAAAAAAGAATGGATAAGCAAAATGTGGTCTATCCATACAATACGATGCTTTTCACCATGACAAGAAATGAAACATTGATGCATGCTACAGTACAGACAAACTTTGAAAACATTATGCTAAAGAGAAAGGAGCTAGTCACAAAGGATCACATAGTGTATGAATCCACTTACACAAAATGTCCAGAATAGACAAAATCATAGACACAGAGAAGCATATGAATGGTTGGAAGGGCCTGGTGGGAAAGTGGGAAATGAGGAGTGACTGCTTAATGGGTACAAGATTTTCTTTTAGGGTGATGAGAATGTTCTGGAATTATGTAGTGGTGATGGTTATACTACCTCATGAAGATACAAAATGCCAGTGAATTGGACACTTTACAAGGGTGAATTTTTGGACTGTGAATTATATATCAATAAAAAAAGAAAGAAAATAAATGATACAAGAGCTCAAAATAGAAAAGCTTCTCTTCCTCCTCCCCCTCACACCTCACTAGATCTCCCACCTCGTTTCTGATACTTCTGTGTTCCTCTCTCCCATTAGATTTCATATCTTTCTCAGAAAACGTTCCTGACGTGAATTGTGTTCGTAGTGCTAGGGTAGCAGACATTTCCCAAGCCTACTATCATGGAATAAAAACGTTTCAAATAGTTATCTTGCAAGAACACTTTGGAGGATACCTTTTTGAAAACCGATTATACCAGCACAGACTGCTAGCAACAACCTTCAGCAACTTTGGCTCTTTGGAGTAGGTTGCAGGAAGATTATGACTTGCTGAAAGGAAGGATGATTAAGCATCTAGATGCCAATTTATATTCTGCATTTGGCCCTTAAAGTCTGGATGAGTTCCTGTTTCAGCCGAATGCTGCCAAAAGCTCTAACTTTTTAATTTTTTTTTTTTTTTTTTTTTTTTGGAGACAGAGTCTCACTCTGTTGCCCAGGCTGGAGGGCAGTGGTGTAATCTCGGCTCACTGCAACCTCTGCCTCCCAGGTTCAAGCAATTCTCCTGCCTCAGTCACTTGAGTAGCTGGGAATACAGGCGCCCACCACAATGCCCAGCAAATTTTTGTATTTTTAGTAGAGACAGGGTTTCACCATGTTGCCCAGGCTGGTTTCGAACTCCTGACCTCAGGTGATCCGCCCACCTCGGCCTCCCAAAGTGCTGGGATTACAGATGTGAGCCACCTCGCCTGGCCCAAAAGCTCTAATTTTTATGAGAAACTCTGAGGACAGAATCTTAGTCAATTGTTAATGAATAAGCAACATTAGAAAAAAAATTCAATATTCACCTATTTTTGAGAATTTTAGAGTTATAACAAACTCTTGATTATATATATTCCTGAAGTACCTACTCTGCGTAGGTCCTGGTCCTACTCCCCAAATGGGTCACTGAAAAATTCACCCCCATTATTCCCCAAATCCCACCCTAGTTTTTCATCATGTCATATGGCAAACAACGCACTCTGTGCTGTTTTACACACCAGCTTCTTCAGAACCCGGAAGCACTTTAGAGGTTATCTCCCCTCATCCTCCACCCCCCAAAACACAGCAGTTTCCCCAATAACATTGAGAAAATGGGCTTTAAAGTTCTTCTAGGCCGGGTGCGGTGGCTCATGCCTGTAATCCCAACACTTTGAGAGGCCGAGGCGGGGGAATTGCTTGAGGTCAGGAGTTTGATACCAGCCTGGCCAACATGGTGAAACCCCATCTCTACTAAAAACAAAAAACAAAAAACAAAACTGAGCTGGATATGGTGGTGGGTGCCTGTAATCCCAGCTATTCGGGAGGCCGAGGCAGGAGAATTGCTTGAACCCAGAACCCAGGAAGTGGAGGTTGCAGTGAGCTGAGATTGTGCCACTTCACGCCACCCTGGGGGACAGAACAAGACTCTTTCTCAAAAAAATAAATAGGCCGTGTGCGGTGGCTCACGCCTGTAATCCCAGCACTTTGGGAGGCTGAGGCGGGCAGATCACAAGGTCAGGAGTTCGAGACCAGCCTGGCCAACATGGTGAAACCCCGTCTCTACTAAAAATACAAAAATTAGCTGGGTGTGGTGGTGCGTGCCTGTAGTCCCAGCTATTCGGGAGGCTGAGGCAGGAAAATTGCTTGAATCCGGGAGGCGAAGGTTGCAGTGAGCTGAGATTGCGCCACTGTACTCCAGCCTTGGTGACAAAGCGAGACTCTATCTCAAAAAACAAACAAACAAACAAACAAACAAATAAATAAAGTTCTCCTTGTGCACTTTAAGCAAAGGTGATCATGAAGCAGATCTCATTGGGAAAAACATCTCCTTTCTAATTATCTTACCTGTTTTCATTGAGGGAGCTTCAAGTTCATCGTGTTTATCTAGAAAATAGGAGGGAAGAAAAGGAATTACACTAATCATACAGGAACCTTGGGGACAGGAGTCCTCACGTCCTACTTATAGACATCCTGTTCTTCTTTGGGAAGCAGAAAAGAGAATGGCTTCTCCATTCCCTAGATGCTCCCTGGGTCCTCAGAGCATGGACAGAGCCTCAGATTACTCTTCTTAATAGTCCTGGAGTTTGATAGTATTTTTAATAACAAAAATATTTATGAATGACCCTGCTAACGCCCCCTCCAGTTTGATTCCTTGCCAGTCTTCTCTATCTTGACAAAGAACACCATTCACCCAAATTCTTTCTTTCTTTTATTTTTTTTGAGTCTTGCACTGTTACCCAAGCTGGAGTGCAGTGGCATGATCTCAGCTCACTGCAACCTCCGCCTCCCGGGTTCAAGAGATTCTCCTGCCTCAGCCTTCCAAGTAGCTGGGACTACAGGCGCCCGCCACCACACCCTGCTAATTTTTGTATTTTTAGTAGAGACAGGGTTTCACCATGTTGGCCAGGCTGGTCTCAAACTCCTGGCCTCAAGTGATCAACCTGCCTTGGCCACTCAGAATACTGGGATTCCAGGCATGAGCCACTGCACCTGGCCTATATTTCTATCTCCACAGTGGCACCATTTAGTCTAAGTTAAAATATCACCTACTTGGCCGGGCGCAGTGGCTCACGCCTGTAATCCCAGCACTTTGGGAGGCCGAGGCGGGCAGATCACAAGGTCAGGAGATCGAGACCATCCTGGCTAACATGGTGAAACCCCGTCTCTACTAAAAATACAAAAAGTTAGCCGAGCGTGGTGGCGGGCCCCTGTAGTCCCAGCTACTCGGGAGGCTGAGGCAGGAGAATGGCGTGAACCCGGGAGGCGGAGCTTGCAGTGAGCCGAGATCGCGCCACTGCACTCCAGCCTGAGGGACAGAGCCAGACTCCGTCTCAAAAAAAAAATAAAAATAAAAATAAAAATGAAATGAAATATCACCTACTCACCAGTCCCTGGCAACCACCAGTTGCTTCTGTGAGTTTGGCTTTTTTAGACTACACATATGAGTGAGATCCTGCAGAATTTGTCTTTCTGAGTCTGGCTTATTTTGTTTAGCATGATATATGCGGAGATGTTGATGAAAGGGTATAAGTTTCCAGTTCTAAGATGAAGAAGTTCAGGTGCTCAGCATGGTGGCAATGGATGTGCTAATTAATTTGACTGTGATAATCATTACACAATGTACAGGTGGATCAAATCATCAGATTGTATACCTTGAATATATACAATCTTCATTTGTCAATTTGATATTTTTAAATTTAAAAAGTCGTATTGCCTGAAACGCACCAACTCTTACTACATCTAGTCCCTTATTTTCCAAAAGCAGCCAGAGGCCGGGCATGATGGCCTGTGCCTGTAATCTCAGATGCTTGGGAGGCTGAGGTGGGAGGATTACCTGGGCCTGGGAGGTCAAGGCTGCAGTGAGCTGTGATTGCACCACTGCACTCCAGCCTGGGCAACCGAGTGGGACCCTGTCTCAAAAAAAAAAAAAAAAAAAAAAGCAGCCAGTGACCCTTCCAGCATATAAATAAAATCATGCCATCCTCCAGCTCAACTTCATCAGTGGGTTCCTGTTCTTTCAAAGCAGACTCTAGGACCAGTTCAAACACCCACAAGATCCTAGATGCTCTAGGCCCTGCCTTATGTCCTCCTTTCTGTGTCTCAATCATTCCAGGAACACTCACACTTCTGAGACTTTGCTTTTGCTGCTCTCTCTCCCTGGAGGGCTGTTCTCCAGATATCGGTGTGGTTGGGTCATTCTCATCCTTCATGCTTGTGGCAGATAGACCCTAAGGGGGCACTCAGGAGACTCAGGAGCCCTGCTTCCTGGTGTTCATGCCTTTGTCTAATCCCCTCACCTTGAGTGTGGAGATCTGTGACTTTCTTCTCACCAATAGCTATGGCAAAGGTGATGGGATGTTATGCTCTTGATTATGTTACATTACATAAAACTCTGTTTGCTAGGGCATTTGCTCTCTCTTTCTTCTCTCTCTCTCAATCTCTCTTCTTGCAAGTGCTGCAGAATCATTCTAGCATGAATCCTACAGCTATAAAGAACCAGATATTGCTATCAACCACAGGAGTGGAGAAATGGACCCTTCCCCAGTCAAGCCTCCAGATGAGCCAGATGAGAACACAGCCCTTGTTGACACCTTGATTGCATCCTTATGAGACCCAAAGCAGAGGACTCAGCTAAGCTGTGCCTGGACTCCTGACCCACATCAACTGTGAGATAATAAATAGGTGTTTCAGGCTGCTAAATTAGTGGTAATTTGTTATGCAGCTGTAGATCACTAATACAATGCCTCTCACAGTTATTCTCCATCTATAATGTGTTTTTTAATTACTCTGATAGCTTGCTCTTATTTCTTTCTTTCTTCCAAAGAAGAATGTGAGCTCCTGTTGGCCAGAGACCTGGTCTGTCTCAGTTCCTACAATATGCTCAGGATCTACCAAAGTATCTGAATTTGTAGGGTGAATGGGCAGCTATTTTTGTGCCAGGTATTTTGCATTAATTTTTTTTTGTAATGGAAGCATTTATATGCCCATTTTGTAATAAGTAAAAAGTAGTATAATAAAAAAGTAAAAAGTAGTATAATAAAGTGATTTGCAAAGCAGCAAACAGATTGTATATGGAAGGCTGACCTGGAAAATCAACCACTGGAAATTGATACTATAGCCTGTCTTGTGATGTAATGGTACAGCTGCGATAGAGGTGAAGAAATCAGGAAACAGTAGATGATATGCCAGAGAACATAATTGGGAAATGGCAAATAATCGCGAGGCTTTTAGGGCTAAAGTGTGGGTGCAGAAATTCTTAAGACTACAAGAACGAGTTATGGGGAATACAATTTGAAATCAATATCAAAGTGATGAGCACCTTGTTGGAGTATCATTGATCAAGAGCCTCAGAAAGAGGGTAAATCAGAGGTGAAACATTAAGTATTCAGTTACTCATCATGCCCCAAGCCCAGGCTAAGTCATTGGTGTGGACCCACGGCTACTTCTACACTACACTGATGACTGTAAAGTCTCTCCAGGGATTTCCCATGATATGGCAGGACTGACCTACTGGAAGCAACTGTGGTCAGTTGAGAGGTATTGTTTAGTGACTAATAAATGAATGGATGAATGGATGGATGGATGGATGGATGGATGGATAGATGGATAGGTGGGTGGGGGTGAGTGAATGGGTGAAAGGGTGGATGAGTGGATGAATGGGTGGAAGGATGGACAAATGAGTGGCTGGGTAAATAGATGGGTAGGTAGGTAGATAGATGGATGAAGGGGTGGGTGGACAGATGAATGGAAGGGTTGGTGGTTGGATGGATTAATGGATAGATGAATGGATGGATGGATGGATGGATGGATGGATGGATGAGTTGATGGATAGATGGATAAGTGAGTGGATGGATGGGTGAATGAGTGGGTAGGAGGGTGGATGGGTTGGTAGGTGGGTAGATGGGTGGGTGGGTTGATAGATGGGTGGGTAGATTGATAGATGGATGGGTGAGTAGATAAATGGGTAGATGAAAGTGATGCAAAATTATTCTTTATCCCTCTTCCTTGGGATCTCAAGTCATGTATGTTACAATCCTCCCACGTGCATCTTCTCACTGTGGTCCTCATCATTTTTTTTTCAGTTACCTGCACCGTGCCTCCCATACTTTTCCACACAATGGGATCTCTTAGCCCCACAATCCATTATTTGCCATTCCTACATCCCTCATAGAGCACTGGACACTCTTTCTGGCTTTCCTTCTCTGGCATAATGAAATATAAATTTTCATTTATGTCTGAATAGCAACTGTGAAGCTCATTGTTTTTGTGACACCGGGGAGGTCACCTAATCTCTATGAGCAAAAAGAAGTTAGTAACACAACCACCCTCATAGGAAGTGAAGACTGAATGAGTTAGTGGAGGCAAGTTACCTGTCGTGGAGACAGGAACATAGAAAATGCTGGATACATGTCAAATGCCAGTGTTATCACTCTATCCTCACCTGTCACCCAGATCTCCAGCTTGTTGCTGGGGAAGGAGGCCAAGTGTGATGAGTTGCTCAGGTAATACACACAGCTGTAGTTTCCACTGTCATTACTTGTCACGTTCCAGAGCATGAAATCAGTCTGGTTTTTTCTTACTTGCCTGACTTGTAATGGTTCTGGGATCCCCATTTTCAACAGAGCAATTACAATACATTCGGTTCCATTGTATGGAGTGAGACATCGAAGTGTCCTGAGACCTGGAGTCATCCCAGGGTCTACATTGACTGAGAGCAAAGGTTCTGGGAGTGATCCTGAAGAGGACAAGGCAATGGAGGTAAAGAGAAGGGCCAGGGCTTTTCCATTTTCTACTGCACTTGGGGACTATCTCATCCATCTCTCCGTATTAACCATGTCTTTCATCTTCTGCATTTGATGCTTTAACATCTTGGGGCCTTGCTGCCCTTGGTGGGACCTCCCCTCGCAGGGTTAGTTAATTTCTAGAGCCAGTAAACAACTTGTCCTCAAGGATGTCCCTCAAATGCAAGCCAATAGATCCAGAGCCCATACTCTCAACCACCTTAATTATGGGGCTCTCACACTCAAGGTCAATGTTGTCCTCTCCTAATCACCCCAGGTCCAAGAACTAGACAACCAGGGACAGCCTCTACACCCCAAAGCCAATTCTTTTTTTGTTTTTCTTTTCTTTCTTTCTTTTCTTTTCTTTTCTTTTTTTTTTTTTTTTTTTTTTTTTGAGACAGGTTCTCATTCTATCACCCAGGCTTGAGTGCAGTGGCACGATCTTGGCTCACCGCAGCCTCTGCCTCTGGGGTTCAAGCAATTCTCGTGCCTCAGCCTCCCGAGTAGCTGAAAGCACAGGTGCACACCACCACACCCAGGTAATTATTGTATTTTTGTAGAGATGGAGTTTCGCCATGTTACCCAGGCTGATGTCAAACTCCTGACCTCAGGTGATCCACCCTCCTAGGCCTCCCAAAGTGCTAGGATTACAGGCATGAACCACCACACCTGGCCAACTCTAATCTTGTTCTCCCCACAAAATACAATCAAAGCTCTGGTCCACAGTTCTTCCTCCTCCCTCTGCCCCTCATTGACCCTGGTGCTTCCCCACATACTCCCCCCAGTATAGCCTTCCTCCTCCTCTTGGGAACTGTAACAGACCATCTTTTCCATGGCAATCATCACTTGGTCTGTCAGTCTTACCATACCCCAATTTTCTATTAACTGACCATATTCTACACCACCCTCCCACATCCACATCATTGGGACCCTCTCAGAATCTCTGATGAGAATCTTGCTCCACATTCGGTTCCCATTTCCACATTGAAGGTGTTGCATCTATCCTTCTTCTTCTTTTTTTTTTTTAGACGGAGTCTTGCTCTTTCATCCAGGCTGCAGTGCAGTGGCACAATCTCAGCTCATTACAACCTCTGCCTTCTGGGCTCAAGAGATTCTCTTCCTGCCTCAGCCTCCCTAGTAGCTGGGATTACAGGCGCCTGCCACCACGCCCAGCTAATTTTTGTATTTTAAGTAGAGGTGAGGTTTCACCATGTTGGCCAGGCTGGTCTCGAACTCCCGACCTCAAGTGATCTGCCCACCTCTGCCTCCCAAAGTGCTGGGATTACAGGCATGAGCCACCGCGCCGTGCCTGGCCTGCATCTATCTTTTTGTCTCCTAGATTCCTTCTTCCCCAGCCATGTCCCACGACAGGAAAAGAAATACGTGCATCAGGCAGGCTTTGGTGACTCACGCCTGTAATCCCAGCACTTTGGGAGGCCAAGGCAGGAGGATCACCTGAGCTCAGGAGTTCAAGACCAGCCTGGGCAACATAGATCCTGTCTCAACAAGTAATTTAAAAATTAGCCAGGCATGGTGGTGCTTGCCTGTACTCCCAGCTACTTGGGAGGCTGATGTGGGAAAATCGCTTGAGCCTGGGAGGTCGAGGCTGCAGTGAATTGTGTTCATGCCACTGCACTCCTGCCTGGGTGACAGAGCGAGATTCTGTCAAAAAAAAAAAAAGCAGCCGAGCGCAGTGGCTCACTCCTGTAATCTCAGCACTTTGGGAGGCTGAGGTGGGCAGATCACTTGAGGTCAGCAGTTCGAGATCAGCCTGGCCAACATGGTAAAACCCTGTCTCTACTAAAATACAAAAATTAGCCAGGTGTGGTGGCGCACCCCTGTAGTTCCAGCTACTCGGGAGGCTGAGGCAGGTGAATTGCATGAACCCAGGAGGCGGGGGTTGCAGTGAGCTGAGATCATGCCACTGTACTCCAGCCTGGGCAACAGAGCAAGACTCCCTCTCAAAAAAAAAAAAAAGGCTGGGTGTGGAGGTTCACGTTTATAATCCCAGCCCTTTGGGAGGCCGAGGCAGATGGATCACTTGAGGTCAGGAGTTTGAGATCAACCTCACCAATATGGTACAACCTCATCTTTATTAAAAATACAAAAATTAGGCCGGGCGCGGTGGCTCATGCCTGTAATCCCAGCACTTTGGGAGGCGGAGGCAGGTGGATCACAAGGTCAGGAGATGGAGACCATCCTGGCTAACATGGCGAAACCCCATCTCTACTAAAAACACAAACAATTAGCTGGGCGTGGTGGCGGGCGCCTGTAGTCCCAGCTACTCGGGAGGCTGAGGAGGGAGAATTGCTTGAACCCAGGAGGCAGAAGTTGCAGTGAGCCGAGATCGTGCCACTGCACTCCAGCCTGGGAGACACAGCAAGACTCTGTCTTAAAAAAAAAAAAGCAAAGCCAAACCAAAGAAATGTGTGCATCAAAGAGTACATCTGCCCTTCTCACCTGTGACCACCAGCTGCAAGTGTTCACTGCTTTCTGACCACTCATGGGAGGCTGTTGTCTTGTAGGCACAAAAGTACCTCCCAGCATCCTTAGGCTTCAGGTCCGTGAAGGGGAATTCAGCTTCGTTTTCTGCCGAGCTCTGTTCCTGCTTGTACCCAGAGTCGTTCACCTTGCGCAGCACAAATGTCACATTCTGGGAATGAGCCTGACACTTCAGGGTCACATTGCTCTCGGCTTCAACCACCGAGCTGGGCCAGGCGTGGAGGGAGGGCTTGGGCGGTTTCTCTGGAAACAATTCAGAGTTAATTTGAGTCTAGAATTCAGACGATTAAAGGAAAAGGTCATGAAGCGTGGGATGCAGGAATAAAAGTTTAAGTAGGAGAAAACTCACCATTCTTTTTCTCATCTTCGTAGCCCAGACACAGCCCTGGAAGAGAAATCTCAATGAGAGAAAAATTATGTGCTTGTCCTTGAGTACAAATCCAGCAGAGAACGTATGACTAGCTCTTTATAGGTCTGAGATATATATATATATATAATGTATATATGTATTATATATAATAAATGTATTAAGTATATGTACACATATTACATATAATACATATATAAATATAATATATATATTAAATATATGTATTACATATATGTATATATTTTTGGCAGATATCTCCCCAGACTTACCTCTTACTTTTGTTCCATTGTTTGTCATTCAGAAGCTACGTGTATGGAGAAAATTCCAGCAACTTCTTCTTTCTTTTTTTTTTTTTTTTTTTGAAATGTAGTCTTGCTCTGTTGCACAGGCTGGAGTGCAATGACATGATCTCAGTTCACTGCAACCTCCGCCTCCCAGGTTCAAGCAATTTTCCTGCCTCAGCCTCCCGAGTAGCTGGGACTACAGGCACCCGCCACCACACCTGGCTAATTTTTGCATTTTTAGTAGAGACAGGGTCTCACCATGTTGGCCAGGCTGGTCTTGAACTCCTGACCTCAGGTGATCCACACGCCTCGGCCTCCCAAAGTGCTGGGATTACAGGCGTGAGCCACTGCCCCCGGCCCAGCAACCTTTTCTGATGTATTGAATTGCTTTCATGAGTAATCCTTTCACCATCTAGAAATTGTTCAACATTCACCTATGCTTTTTTCTGGTATTTTCTGTGATTGCAGTGTTTTGTTTTGTTTTGAGACAGAGTCTCGCTGTGTCACCCAGGCTGGAGTGCAGTGGTGCAGTCTCAGCTCACTGCAACCTCCTCCACCCCCTGGGTTCAAGTGATACTCGTACCTCAGGCTCCAGAGTAGCTGGGACTACAGGTGTGTGCCATCGTGCCCAGCTAATTTTTGTTGTTGTTGTTGTAGAGATGGGGTTTCACCATGTTGCCCAGGCTGGTCTCAAACTCCTGAGCTCAAGTGATCCACCCGCCTCAGCCTCCCAAAGCGCTGGGATTACAGGCATGAGCCACCGTGCCCGGCCTGATTGCAGTTTTACCCTTGCCACTTAAATAATGCAAAGGTTATTTTATCGTGGAGTGAGAGTGGTGGGTTTTTTTTTTTTTTTTATTTTTCGAGATGGAGTCTCGCTCTGTCACCCAGGCTGGAGTGCAGTGGCGCGATCTCGGCTCACCGCAAGCTCTGCCTCCCGGGTTCACGCCATTCTCCTGCCTCGGCCTCCCGAGTAGCTGGGACTACAGGCACCCGCCACCAAGCCCAGCTAATTAATTTTTTTGTATTTTTAGTAGAGACGGGGTTTCACTGTGTTAGCCAGGATGGTCTTGATCTCCTGACCTCGTGATCCACCCGCCTCGGACTCCCAAAGTGCTGGGATTACAGGCATCAGCCACCGCGCCCGGCCGAGAGGAGGGTTTTCTTGCTCAATTCCAATAGAGAGAATCTGCTCCCCCTTCCCCGTGTCTTCTGGTCCCAAATACTCTCCTCACTTTAGCTTTGGTTTCCACTTACATTATCCCCTCCCTCTTCTGTGTTCTGTTCTCTACATTCCCCGCTGGGAAGGTAGCGTCTTAAACTTGGGTGGAAAATGGGATGTCAGTCATGGGGCTTGTTTCAGGGTGAAGTTACGTAGAATTTAGGTAGAAATTCTCTAGAGCCACGACAGTGTCTCAGGACATTGGTTCCTTGTTGACACAGGTGCCGATACAGAACGTGACCCCCCACCAAGCTTCACCACAGAGGAATGAGGTGGAGGCCTCACGATGGACCGAAGCTGCGTTGGCAGCGAGATTAGCTGGGATTGGCAGGTAGGAAACAGCCTCTGGGTGGGCAGGGCATCCCAGGACTCAGGCTCTGTTTTGAGACCCTCCCCAAATCCCGCTTTTAGATTCATGTCATCTCATCTCTGCTATCCACCCATCGTCTGTTCAAACAGTGATTCCTATATTCTTTTTTCTTTTTGAGACAGGGTCTCACTCTGTGGCCCAGGCTGGAGTGCCAGGGTGCAGTCACAGCTCACTGCAGCCTCAACCTCCTGGGCTCAAGTGATCCATCCATCTCAGCCTCCCAAATAACTGGGACTACAGGCATGCACCACCACGCTGGCTGATTTTAAAATTTTTTTGTAGAGATGAGGACTCACGATGTTGCCCAGGCTGGTCTCGAACACCTGAGTTCAAGTGATTCTCCCACCTTGGCCTCCCAACATGCTGGGATTACAGGTGTGAGCTACCTGCACCCAGCCCAATTCCCATATTCTTTTTCTTTTCTTTTTTTTTTTTTTTTTTTGACATGGAGTCTCCCTCTGTCACCCAGGCTGGAGGGCAGCGGTGCTATCTTAGCTCACTGCAACCTCTGCCTCCCAGGTTCAAGCGATTTTCCTGCCTCAGCCTCCCGAGTAGCTGGGATTACAGGTCCTTGCCACCATGCCCAGCTAATTTTTGTATTTTTAGTAGAGACGGGGTTTCACCATGTTGGCCAGTCTGGTCTCAAACTCCTGACCTCAAGAGATCTGCCCGCCTGGGCCTCCCAAAGTCCTGAGATTACAGGCGTGAGCCACCACACCTGGCTGATTTGTGTTTCTTGAAAAGAGAAGTTCAAGTTGTAACTCCCAGGACCTGCGAATGTGACCTTATTTGAAAATAGCATTGTCTGATCTTTGCAGATGTAATTAATTAAACTAAGATGAGGTCATACTAGAGTAGGCTGGGTATCTAATCCAATATAACTTACAAGAAGAGAAAAAGAGAGACAGAGACACACAGAAGGAAGACGGCCATGCGAAGACAGAGGCAGAGAGGCCAGGCTGCAATCATAGTGCTTTGGGATGCCAAGATAGGAGAATTGCTTGAGCCCAGGAGTTGGAGACTAGCCTGGGCAATATAGCAAGATCCCATCTCTAAAACAGAAATTATTTTAATTAGTCCAACATGGTGGTGTGCACCTGTAGTCCTAGCTGCTCAGAAGGCTGCGGGGAGGACTGCTTGAGCTCAGGAGGTTGAGGCTGCAGTGAGCTATGGTGGTACCACTGCACTCCGGCCTGGGCAACTGAGTGAGACCCTGTCTAAAGAAAAGAAAAAAAAAAACAGAGCCAACGATTGGAGTGATGCATCTACAAGTTAAAGAATGCCGGGAGCGCTGGCTCACGCCTGTAATCTCAACAGTTTGGGAGGCTGAGGCGGGCAGATCACCTGAGGTCAGGAGTTCGAGGCCAGCCTGGCCAACGTGGTGAAACCCTGTCTCTACTAAAAATACAAAAATTAGCCAGGCATGGTGGTCCATGCTTGTAATCCCAGCTACTTGGGAGGCTAAGGCAGGAGAATTGATTGAACCCAGGAGGTGGAGGTTGCAGTGAGAAAGATCATGCCACTGCACTCTAGCCTGGGTGACAGAGCAAGACTCCGCCTCAAGAAAAAAAAAAAATGCCAAGAATTGTCAGCCATCACTAGAAGAGGGGCATAAAACAGACGCTCCTTCATAGTTCTCAGAAGGAATCAACATTGCAAACACCTTGGTTTCAGACTTCTCATCTCCCCAACTTAAAGCAATTCTAATTCCTTTAAGCCACCAGGCTTGTAGTACTTTGGTATGGCAGCCATTGGGGGATGAGGTCAGTCTCCTGGTTGCCCAGCTTACTGTGCTCAGCAGCTGGAGGCTTGGGTATGAACCCGATAGTCATCTCTAAGGCACAAATAGCCGGGTGCAGTGGCTCACACCTGTAATCCCAGCACTTTAGGAGGTTGAAGTGGGTAGATCACCTGAGTTCAGGAGTTTGAGACCAGCCTGGCCAACATGGTGAAACCCCATCTCTACTAAAAACACAAAAAATTAGCCAGGCGTGGTGGCGTGTGCCTATAATCCCAGCTTCTCGGGAGGCGGAGGCAGGAGAATCGCTTGAACCCAGGAGGTGGAGGTTGCAGTGAGCTGAGATCACACCACTGCACTCCAGCCTGGGAGACAAAGCAAGACTCTGTCAAAAAAAAAAAAAAATGCTCATCTAAGGTGCAAATGTGTGTAGGAGACGAGCATTACCCCACAAGGAAGGGCTGCACCCAGAAAAGGAGGAAGGAACTGAAGCAGACGAAGCACGTCGATGTCCACCGCACCCCCCGTGCACCAGGGAGGAACTGGGGCCTTAGGGAGGTGGAGCTCTGCTGGGTCAAGCCTAGAGTTTCTATGTAGTAAAGCCGAGATTATAACCCAGGTCATCCGTTTCACAGTGTGAGCTCTGTCTGAATACATCAGGTTCAATTGGAGGATGGTTAAAATCAGCCTAAGAATCGAGCTGGTCAGAAAATTGTCTTCTTGGGGCCAGGTGTGGTGGCTCACGCCTGTAATCCCAGCACTTTGGGAGGCTGAGGCGGGCGGATCACCTGAGGTCAGGGGCTCGAGACCAGCCTGACCAACATGGTGAAACCCCGTCTCTACTTAAAATACAAAAGTCAGCCGGGTGTGGTGGCCTGCACCTGTAGTCCCACCTACTCGGGAGGCTGAGGCAGGAGAATCGCTTGAACCTGGGAGACGGAGGTTGCAGTGAGCCCAGATCACGCCATTGCACTCCAGCCTGGGCTACAGAGTGAGACTCTGTCTCATAAATAAATGCATACATACATAAATAAATAAATAAGAGAGAGAGAGAAGAAAATTGTCTTTTTGCCCACAGCCTTGCACCCTGTAGATCCCTAAGCCCAGCCCTCCTCTATTCCGACGGAGGATGATGGCAGTACTGCGGTATTTAGCGGCTGCAGACTCGGAGACCCCACAGCAGCTCTGCCTTTCCCAGCGGAGTCTGTCCCCGTGTCTCTGCAGCGCGGCCTCCTCCTCGCTTGCATGTGGGCGGCAGAACTCACAGAACCCACAGCCCAGACCCACCCACCGCAGGTGTGCAACACCTGGAAGTCATTACTTCCACACACCGCATTTCCACCTGGACTGCCACTCCCACATGAGTTTTTCTCACCAGCCCAAGCCCATTCGTCCCAGTCCTGGAGACTCACCGAGGCAAAGCAGGGAGAGGAATTCTGCGGTCATAGCGTCCCTTCTGCCAGAACCAAGGCCCCGCCTTGGGTTTTACCCTTCAAAGGCGGAGCGGGACTGGGCCGGCCGCAGCTCTCCGGCTGCCCGGTTCGTCCCCAGGATGTGCAGATAGAGGAGGTTTTGCTCTGACACTCTGGTTCTCTGCCCCACTCTTGCAGTTTCCTTCTCACAACCGACTCAGGAAACAAGAAGCCGTCGATGATAACTTCTTCCCCATGAATCCGGTGTGTGTGGCCCCACCCGCCCGAGCTCTGTCCTACCTTATCTGAAGTTCTGCCAAGAGTTTTCTGTAAATGTAATTTTTTATTTTAAAACACTAATACCGGCCGGACGCGGTGGCTCACGCCTGTAATCCCAGCACCTTGAGAGGCTGAGGCGGGCGGATCACCTGAGGTCGGGAGTTCAAGACCAGCCTGACCAAAATGGAGAAACCCCCGTCTCTACTAAAAATACAAAATTAGCCAGGCATGGTGGCGCATGCCTGTAATCCCAGCTACTCCGGAGGCTGAGACAGGAGAATGGCTTGAACCCAGGAGGCGGAGGTTGCTGTGAGCCAAGATTGTGCCACTGCACTCCAGCCTGGACAACAACGGTGAAACTGTCTCAAACAAGCAAACAAACAAACATTAATACCTATAGCTTTATAGCTTCCGTGTACCCACTAGCCAGCTCCCCACAATGTTAACCTTTTTTTGGGGGGCGGGGGGGACAGAGTCTTGCTCTGTCACCCAGGCTGGAGTGCAGTGGCGCGATCTCGGCTCACTGCAACCTCTGCCTCATGGGTTTAAGGATTCTCCTGCCTCAGACTCCCAAGTAGCTGGGATTACAAGCATGCACCACCACACCCAGCTAATTTTTTGTAGAGATGGGATTTCACCATGTGGGCCAGGCTGGTCTTGAACTCCTGGTCTCTAGTGACCCGCCCACCTCAGCCTCCCAAAGTGCTGGGATTACAGGCATAAGCCACTGTGCCCGGCCAATGGTAATCTCTTATAATTACAGTACTTTTTTTTTTTTTTTTTTTTTTTGAGACAGAATCTCTGTCAGCCAGGCTGGAGTGCAGTGGCACAATCTTGGCTCACTGCAACCTCTGCCTCCCGGGTTCAAGCGATTCTCCTGCCTCAGCCTCCCGAGTTGCCGGGATGACAGGTGTCCGCCACCACTCTTGGCTAATTTTTTTTGTTCTTTTTAGTAGAAACGAGGTTTTGCCATGTTGCCCAGGCTGGTCTCGAACTTCTGACCTCAGGCGATCCGCCTGCCTCGGCCTCCCAAACTGCTGGGATTACAGGCGTGAGCCACCACGCCCGGCGTATGGCACATTTTCAAAACCAGAGACTTTGCACTGGCATCACACGTTTAACCAGGTTCCAGAGGTCACTCAGATCTCACCAGTTTGTGCATAATTCGTTTCTCTTTTTCTCTTCCTCTTCCTTCTATTTCTATTTCCTTTTCTCCTTTTCCTTCTTTTCTCCTGCTCTTCCTCCTCTTCCACCTTCTTTTCCTCCTCCCTTTTCTTTGCCTATGGGTATAGTTCTGTAACATTTTATTGCCTGTATGTATGGCTTTATAGAACCACCGCCACAATCAAGACACAGAACTGTCCCACCACCACGTAGGAACTCCCTCATGCTGCCCCTTTATAATCGCTCTCCCACCCTAGCACCTGCTAATCTGTTCTACGTCTCTATCACTTTGTCACTTTGAGACTCTTGTATAAATGGAATCGTCCATCGCCTCACCTTCTGAGGGTGACCTTTTTCACTCAGCACAATGCCTGTGAGATTCATTCAAATGGTTGTGTGTTATGATGATGGATACATTAGCCGGGCGTGGTGGCACACGCCCATAGTCCCAGCTACTCAGGAGGCTGAGGCAGGAGAATCGCTTGAACCCGGGAGGCGGAGGTTGCAGTGAGCTGAGATCACGCCACTGCACTCCAGCCTGGGTCACAGAGCAAGACTCCATCAAAAAAAAAGAATTATCTAATGGATACAATGTGTGTCACTGGGTTAGTGGATACCTGAAAGCCCTAACTTCATCATTTTGGAATCTATCCATGCAATAAAGTTACACTTGTACCCCATAAACGTATACAAATAAAAAATAATCGTCTGGGCATGATGACTTACCGCTGTAATCCCAGCACTTTGGGAGGCTGAGGCGGGATTACAGGTGTGAGCCACCATGCCCGGCCTATACTTTCTATCTTAATAACTACAAAAATAATAACTTGCTGGATGGGTCCCTGTGCCCACCCCGTCCTGTCCTAAGTGAGGAGGATGGGAAGAAAGCCATCGTCCTGTCCTGGTGCGGCTCTCAAACAGCTGGAAATGCTGGCTGCACAGGAAACTCTAAGGATCGGCAGCTCTAGCGCATGCTACCCTTGGCAGCTGTGTGGTCTGTGGATAGAGAAGGACCAACCTGTGGTTAGTGGAGGAAGAGGAGGAATATTGCTTTGATAAGCACATCCTCAGAGTTATAACAGAGGAGACAATAGTTATAAAATAAGAATGATATTTACGAAAAATAATAAGACTATTAACAAGAAACAGCAACAAATCTTGAAAACAAAATGTAACAACAAAACATAAATGTTGACTTTTTTTTTTTTTTTTTTTTTGAGACGGAGTCTCGCTCTGTCGCCCAGGCTGCAGTGCAGTGGTGAGATCTCGGCTCACTGCAACCTCTGCCTCCCGGGTTCCAGCAATTCTCCTGCCTCAGCCTCCTGAGTAGCTGGGATTACAGGCATGCACCACCACGCCCAGCTAATTTTTGTATTTTTAGTAGAGATGGGGTTTCACCATATTGGCCAGGATGGTCTCGATCTCTTGACCTTGTGATCCGCCCACCTCGGCCTCCCAGAGTGCTGGGATTATAGGCATGAGCCACAGCACCTGGCAACTGTTGACATTTTACATCTGCACCAGTAAGACTGGCTACCAATTACAAGCAAATGGATGCCATGGATAGAATGGAATTCCTGCCAAACTGGGTAAAATGTTGGAAACATATAAAATAAAATGTAAAAGAAATGTATTATAAATACAGGCTGGGCGTGGTGGCTCATGCCTGTAATCCCAGCACTTTGGGAAGCCAAGGTGGGCAGATCACTTGAGGTCAGGAGTTCGAGACCAGCCTCGCCAACATGGTGAAACCCCGTCTCTACTAACACACAAAAATTAGCCAGGCATGGTGGTGGGCGCCTGTAATCCCAGCTACTTGAGAGGCTGAGGCAGGAGAGTCACTTGAACCTGAGAGGGAGGTTGCAGTGAGCTGAAATTACGCCACTGCACTCCAGCCTGGGTGACAGAGTGAGACTCCCTCTCCAAAAAAAAAGAAAGAAAGAATGTATTATAAATACATATGACCAAGCACAGTGGCTAACGCCTGTAGTCCTGGCACTTTGGGAGGCCAAGATGAGAGGATCACTTGAGTCCAAGAGTTCGAGACCAAGTTGGGCCATATGGTGGAACCCGGCTTCTACAAAAAATACAAAATTTAGTCCGGCATGATGGCACACACCTGTGGTCCCAGCTACTCAGAAGGCTGAGATGGGAGGATTACTTTAGCCTGGGAGGTCGAGGCTGCAGTGAGCCGTGATCTAGCCACTACACTCCAGCCTGGGCGACAGAGTGAGACCCTGTCTCAAAATAAATAAATATAATAAATAAATAAATATGTATATCCCAATATTGGACTAAATGCTGGTCCAGAAGCACAAAATAGAAAGAACGGAGAGGAAGTATTAATAAATATTACACAGGAAGCAATGTTTTTCCCTTCGTGTGGAGGAAGAGTTCCCCGCAGGTGAGAGTCACCTACTACTCAATCTGACTCTGAAGTTTTAAGTATTGATTCAAGTTATCAAAAATGTATTAAGGGCTGGGCACGGTGACTCAAGCCTGCAATCCCAGCACTTTGGGAGGCCGAGGTGGGCTGATCACTTGAGCTCAGGTGTTCAAGACCAGCCTGGCCAACATGGGTGAAACCCCATCTCTACTAAAAGTACAAAAATTAGCTGGGCATGGTGGCAGGCGCCTGTAATCCCAGCGACTTGGGAGGCTAAGGCAGGAGAATCGCTTAAACCCAGGAGGTGGAGGTTGCAGTGAGCCGAGATCTTGCCATTGCACTGCAGCCTGGGTGACAGAGCGAGACTCCGTCTCAAAGAAAAAAAAAAAAAGTATTACGTGGCTCATTGTGCCCAATTCTGTCCTCTGTCCCCAGTGAAAAGTACAGGAAGAAGAAAGCCACCATCCTGCCCTACAGCAGATCCCAACAGAGCTGAGAGTGCAGGTTCCACAGAAAGCGGTTAAGGCTCAGCTGGTCCAACCCATCATTCCCTGGGCAGCTGTGGGATCTATGGCTAGAGAAGAACAGAGCTGAGCTTAGAGGGGAAGGAAGAGGAGGAAGATTGTTTTCTCCCGGCATCCAAACACAGCTTTTCAACCAGGGGGAGCACCACCCTCACTTCCCATCGCCCCATCCAGGGATATTTGAAAGGTATGAGAGTAGTGGCTTTTTTGTTGTTGTTGTTTCACAATAATTAGGTCTCCAACAGGTGTTCAATGGGAAAGGAAGTATTAGCAATGTCGAGTTACGTGTTCCTATAATGGACAAGACAGTCTCACATGGTGAAGGACTATTGCACTTTAAACACCATTTGTGGCCATGCCCGGTGGTGCACACCTGTAATCCCAGCACTTTGGGAGGCTGAGGCAGGTGGATCACTTGAGGCCAGGAGTTCGAGACCAGCCTGACCAATGTGGCGAAACCCCGTCTCTCCTAAAAATACAAAAAAATTAGCCAGATGGTGGCAGGTGCCTGTAGTTGCAGCCACTTGGGAGGCTGAGGCAGGAGAATCACTTGAACCTGGCAGGCGGAGGTTGCAATGAGCCGAGATCGCACCACTGCACTCTGGCCTGGGCGACAAAGCGAGACTCTGTCTCAAAACAAACAAACAAACAAAAAAACAAAAAATACCATTTGTGCCCATGTGGAGAAACGTGTGAAGTCCCCATGGTAGAGTCTGATGTTTAAAGAACCCCATATGGATTGAATGCACAGCAGGGCGGCTACAGTTCACAAGGCTGCACTGGGTAATTACAATTTGCTAAGAAGGTGGATCTTAAACAGAAAGGTCCATAAGCTAGATTGAGATAACCATTGTCACAATGAGTGAAATTTCTTCCTCGGCACACAATTAATTACTTAGTTAGTAGGAAAGTTCCCAGAAGGTGGATCTTAAACAGAAAAGTCCATTAGCTACATTGTGATAATCATGTCACAATTAGTGAAATTTCTTCTTTGGTACACAATTAATTATTTAGTAGGGAGGTTCCCAGAAGGTGGATCTTAAACAGAAAGGTTCGTTAGCTACATTGTGATACTCATGTCACAATCAGTGAAATTTCTTCCTTGGTACACAATAAATTACTTAGTAGGAGGGTTCCCCACCCGTAGGCTTATGGGGGTATAATTGATAAATCAAAATGGAATATATCAAAACATCACGTTGTACACAAATATAACTCCATTTTTATTTGTCGATTAGATCTCAATAAATCTGGAGCAGAAGAGAATTCCATATCTCTACAGCAGCCCATGAAAGAGAGAGGGGATCCGTGTTTTAACTTGGATCTGTTACTGGAAAGGGGTCCCAGTCCAGACCCCAAGAGAGGGTTCTCGGATCTCACACAAGTAAGAACTCAGGGTGAGTACACAGAGTAAAGTGAAGGCAAGTTTATTAAGAAAGTCAAGGAATATGGCTGCTCCATAGGCAGAGCAGTCCAGAGGGCTGTCAGTCGGCTATTTTTGTGGTTATTTCTTGATCGTATGCTAAACAAGGGGTGGACTGTTCATGAGTTTTCCAGGAAAGGGGAGGGGATTTCCCTGGAACTGAGAGTCCCTCCCTCGTTTAGCTTCTGGAAGTTGCCATGGCATCTGTAAGCTGTCTTGGTGGCGGTGGGAGTGTCTTTTAGCATGCAAATGCATTATAATTAGCAAATAATGTGCAGTGAGGACGACCAGAAGTCACTTTTGTTGCCATCTTGGATTTGGCAGGTTTTGGCTGGCTTCTTTGTTGCATCTTTGTGTCTTTGGGTCTTTGTGACCTGTATGTTGTGACCTGTCTCATCCTGTGACTTAGAAAGCCTCAACCCCCTGGGAATGCAGTCCAGCAGGTTGCAGCCTCAGTTTACCCAGCCCCGGTTCAAGATGGAGTCACTCTGGTTTGAAGGCCTCTGATTCACCTGGAGACACATTCCGGCTGTACCAGGCCTCCACCAGGAAAGCTCCCATGATAACCACAATTACGGCAGCCAGACCCAGTCGTACGAAGTTACCCAGGGAGTAGTTGCTCGATGTGGTACCTGGGGGAACTGAAAGAGAGAAGGGGCTCAGCACTGACCCTCAGAGGGTATCCCTCCTTCTCAAATGGCCCCACCAAATCTGACTATCATCACCCACTTAATGTTTTCGGTTTTTTGGTTTTTTTTTTTGAGACGGAGTTTTACTCTTGTTGACCAGGCTGGAGTGCAGTGGTGTAATCTCAGCTCACCACAACCTCTGCCTCCCAGGTTCAAGCCTCCCTGCCTCAGCCTCCCAAGTAGCTGGGATTACAGGCATGTGCCACCATGCCCGGCTAATTTTATATTTTTAGTAGAGACGGGGTTTCGCCATGTTGGCCAGGCTGGTCTTGAACTCCCGACCTCAGGTGACCCGCCCACCTCAGCCTCCCAAAGTGCTGGGATTACAGGTGTGAGCCACCGCGCCCGGCCACCCACTTAATGTTTTCTAGCCAGTAGTCCACTGTACTTTAAAGTTTTAATTGAACTTTTTTTTTTTCTTGAGATCAAGTTTTGCTCTTGTTGCCCAGACTGGAGTGTAATGGCACAATCTCAGCTCACTACAACCTCTGCCTCCCGGGTTCAAGTGATTCTCCTGTCTCAGCCTCCCAAGCAGCTGAGATTATGAGCATGTGCCACCACACCCGGCTAATTTTGTATTTTTAGTAGAGACGGGGTTTCTCCATGTTGGTCAGGCTGGTCTCGAACTCCTGACCTCAGGTGATCCACCCGCCTTGGCCTCCCAAAGTGTTGGGATTATAGGCATAAACCACCATGCCTGGCCATAATTGAGCTCTTTAAAGTTTTAATCCCTGAAAACAAAAGATGGAATCTTTGTTGTTGTTTTTGAGACGACGTCTCACTCTGTTGCTCAGGCTGGAGTGCAGCGACGCAGTCTCGGTTCACTGCAACCTCCACCTCCTGGGTTCAAGCGATTCTCCTGCCTCAGCCTCCCGAATAGCTAGGATTACAGGCACCTACCACCACACCCGGCTAATTTTTGTATTTTTAATAGAGATGGGTTTTCGCCATGTTGGCCAAACTGGTTTCGAACTCCTGGCCTCAAGTGATTCGCCTGCCTCGGCCTCCCAAGGTGCTGGGATTACAGGCCTGAGCCACCGCGCCCGGCCAAGATATGCAATCCTAATGAGTTGTAATGGGAGTTCCTTTATCTTCCTTCCTTGATATTCACTCCACCTTAGCTCTCTTCCTTCGTTTATTTGCTCTTTATCCCATTTCCACCTTCCCACATTGCCTTTTCTCCTCCCGCATCCTTATGTTAAGGAATAGTCTTGGGGCAGCACATGAGACGGAAGGAGCTCTACAGAGCCCCGAATTCCGTGGCTGGATCAGCATCCTCGCAGCACACACTGCTGTGCAGCAGTGCACCTGAGAAAGTTTGAGTTGAGGCCGGGCACAGTAGCTCACGCCTGTAATCCCAGCACTGTGGGAGGCTAAAGTGGGAGGATTGCTTGAGGCCAGGAGTTCGAGAGCAGCCTGGGCAACATGGCGAAACCCCATGTCTACTAAAAATACAAAAAAATTAGCCGGGTGTGGTGGCGGGTGCCTGTAATCCCAGCTACTCAGGAGGCTGAGGCAGGAGAATTACTTGACCTGGGCCTGGGGTTGGGGGGTGGAGGCTGCAGTGAGCTCAGATTGTGCCACTACACTCCAGCTTGGGCGACAGAGTGAGACTCCATCTCAAAGAAAACAAACAAACAAACAAAACCCTAGCCTCCAGATTTTCAGGGAGGCTGATTTGAGTAATAATAAAACTCTGATTGGCCAGGTGCAGTGGCTCATGCCTGTAATCCCAGCACTTTGGGAGGCCCAAGCGGGCAGATCACGAGGTCAGGAGTTCGAGACCAGCCTGGCCAATATGGTAAAACCCCATCTCTACTAAAAATACAAAAATTAGCCAGGCAGGGTGGCACACATATAGTCCCAGCTACTCGGGAGGCTGAGGCAGAAGAATCGTTTGAACCTGGGAGGCAGAGGTTTCATTGAGCCGAGATCGCGCCACTGCACTCCAGCCTGGGCAACAGAGCAAGACTCCGTCTCAAACAAACAAACAAACAAAAAAACTCTGGTCTCCCACTTACCTGGCTCAATGTGTATTAAACTCTTTTTTGCAATTCCTCTGTCTTGATGAATGGGCTTCATCCAGGCACCCGGCAAGAGCTGTAATGTAACTCATTACAGCAGTTACAACAGATGAAAAATAATTTACAGAGCTGAGGAAGCAGAGTGCTAGCACCCAGTAAGGCAGGAAACAAGATACTTTCAGAAGAATTCTAGCAGTCAATAAAAGACATGGGTAGACTTCGCATCCACGGCATAGAAGCAGGAGGCTGTGCAAACACCATGTTCTGAGGATGAGATAATTTTTTTTTTAAATTTGAAACTGGGTCTCACTATGTTGCCCAGGCTGGTCTCAAACTCCTGGGCTCAAGCAATTCTCCAGCCTCAGCCTCCCAAAGTGCTGGGATTACAGGCCTGAGCCACCACACATGACTGAGAAAGAATTATTGAGAGTGAAATCACTAACACCAAGAAAAAACAAAACACGCCATGCACAGTGGTTCACACCTGCAATCCCAGCCCTTTGGGAGGCCGAGGTGAGCGGATCACCTGAGGCCAGGGGTTCAAGACCAGCCTGGTCAACATGGTCAGAACCCCATCTCTACTAAAAATACAAAAATTAGCCAGGCGTGGTGGCGGGCACATGTAATCCCAGCTACTCAAGTGGCTGAGGCAGGAGAATTGCTTAAACTCGGGAGGCAGAGGTTGCAGTGAGCTGAGATCGCACCACTGCACTCCACCCTGGGCAACAGAGCGAGACTCTGTCTCAAAAACAAAATGAAACAAAACAAAACAAAAAACCAAAACGCTAAGAGATGCAAAGACTGGTAGAAGGAATCTGGTGCTGGTAGATTCATAATTTTCAAAAACAGCCTAGAAATTTTCCAAGGATGTAGTATAACAAAAAGGCAAAGGAGGGCCGGGCACGGTGGCTCACACCTGTAATCCCAGCACTTTGGGAGGCCGAGGCAGGCAGATCACCTGAGGTCAGGAGTTCAAGACCAGCCTGGTCAACACGGTGAAACCTTCATCGCTACTAAAAATAGAAAAATTAGCCGGATGGGTGGTGCAGGCCTGTAATCCTAGCTACCTGGGAGGCTGAGGCAGGAGAATCACTTGAACCTGGAAGGTGGAGGTTGCAGTGAGCGAAGATCGCGCCATTGCACTCCATCCTGGCAACAGAGTGAGACTCCATTTCAAAAAAAAAAAAAAAAAAAAAAAAGGCAAAGGAGTGGAAATTGTGAAAGGGAGGTTTTTTTGTTGTTTTGTTGTTTTTGTTTTTGTTTTTTGTTTTTTGTTTTTGAGACAGAGTCTCACTCTATTGCCCAGGCTGGAGTGCAGTGGCAAGATCTTGGCTCACTGCAACCTCCGCCTCCCATGTTCAAGCAATTCTCCTGCCTCAGCCTCCCAAGTAGCTGGGTCTACAGGTGCATGCCATCATACCTGGCTAATTTTTTATTTTTAGTAGAGACGGGGTTTCACTATGTTGGCCAGGCTGGTCTCAAATCCTTGACCTCAGATGATCCATCCACCTCGGCCTCCCAAAGTGCTGGGATGACAGGCATGAGCCACCACGCCAGGCCAGAAAGGGAAGATTTTGTTAAGAGCGATGATATTGTAAGTAATGAAGAAATGAGATTCACAGAAGAACAAAACAATCTCTGATTAAAAACAACACACACAGTTCCTCAAAACCATACACGCCCTTACCTGTCACCAATATCTCAAGCTGATCACTGGGTTCTGAGGCCCAGAAGGGAGACTTTGTCTGGTAGTACATGCAGCTGTAGTTCCCAGCATCGCCGGCTGTCACGTCCACCAGAGAGAAGTCTATCTCCTTCCCCGCTGGACTCTGCAGCTGGATGGGTGATGGCGTCCCTGCCTTCAGTAGAGCGAACATGATAGGCACAAACAATTGGTCTCGCTTCTGGCACTGCAGAGTCACCCTTCCACCTGCGGTCACTGTACCCCTTTGGTAGGTTCGGAGGAAAGGTTTAGATAAATGTCCTGTAAGAGAAGTCAGGTTCTGAGGTCCTGGGGAGAAGTCTGGAATCCCCCACTCACCCCTGTTCTCCTGGCCGGAGGCTCTCGTGGAGTGTGGGAAATGAGAGATTCCTGATCTCTTCTACCTTCCTCCACTTCCTACTCCGACCCCAGGACAGAGATTCTCCCTCCTACAAGACCTGTGTAAGGCCTGGCATGGTGGCTCACACCTGTAATCCCAGCACTTTGGGAGGCCAAGGCGGGTGGATCACCTGAGGTCAGGAGTTCGAGACCAGCCTGCCCAACATGGCGAAACCCTGTCTCTACTAAAAATACAAAAATTAGCCGGGCATGGTGGCAGGCACCTGTAATCCCAGCTGCTCAGGAGGCTGGAGCAGGAGAATCACTTGAGCCCAGGAGGCGGAAGTTGCAGTGAGCCGAGATGGCACCACTGCACTCTGGCCTGGGCGACAAAGTATAAAACCAACATATGCAATTTCGTTCCTGTCTCTCTCCCTCTCCCACCACCCCCAACTACTCTGAAGGTGGGACCCCTTTTCTCCCTCTGTTCCTCCACTTCCTCCCTCATCCCCTGTCCCCCGTATGTCATTGGCAGGCACCCTGTCTGTACCTGTCACCAACAGTAGAAGGACGTCACTGTGCTGTGAAAGGATGTGGGGGGATGCTTTTCTGTAGTATTCACAGGTGTACTCTCCAGCATTTCTGACTTTTAGATTATTGAGGTGAAATTCGGCCGCGCCCTCTGTAGAATCAAGGGGCTTCGGGGACTCCAGAATAATTCCTCCCTTCCTGAGAACAAAGCTCACACCTCTGGCAGGAGTCCAACATCGCAGCGTCACATTGCTGTTGGCAGGGACCACCGAGCTGGGCCAGGCACTGAGGGACGGCTTGGGCAGTGACCCTGGAAGGAAGCAGAGCCTGATGCTGGACCCGATGCCCTCCCCTGCTCTCAGGAAGCCCTTTTTAAAATTTATTATTATTATTATTATTTTGAGATGGAGTCTCCCTCTGTTGCCCAGGCTAGAGTGCAGTGGTGCAATCTCAGTTCACTGCAACCTCCGTCTCCTGGGTTAAAGCAATTCTCCTGCCTCAGCCTCCCAAGTAGGTGGGATTACAGGCACGCACCACCACACCCAGCTAATTTTGTATTTTAGTAGAGACAAGGTTTCACCATGTTGGCCAGGCTGGTCTCGAACTCCTGACCTCAGGTGATCCACCCACCTTGGCCTCCCAAAGTGCTGGGATTACAGGCGTGAACCCCTGAGCCCAATCAGGAATCCCATTTTAAGAAGGGAAGCGGGCTGGGTGCGGTGGCTCACGCCTGTAATCCCAGCACCTTGGGAGGCCAAGGCAGGCAGATCACGAGGTCATGAGATCGAGACCATCCTGGCCAACATGGTGAAACTCCGTCTCTACTAAAAATACAAAAATTAGCTGGGCGTGGTGGCAAGCACCCGTAGTCCCAGCTACTTGGGAGGCTGAGACAGGAGAATCACTTGAGCCCAGGAGGCGGAGGTTGCTGTAAGCCGAGATTGCACCACCGCACTCCAGCCTGGCGAAAGAGTGAGACTCCGTCAAAAAAAAAAGAGAAAAAGAGGGGGAAGGGGAAGAGAACAGCAGGGGATTTGGGATGACAGGCCAAGGAGGGTGTAGTTGAAGAAACACTCACCATCTCCCCTTGTGTCTCCTTGGCCCACGCACAGTCCTGCAAGACAATCCTCCGTGAGCCAGAAGCCCCTACCTGGAGCCACGTCACCCCCTGCCCTGACCCCTGGAGATCGTCCCAGAGTCTCCTGCTGAGAACAGACCCTTAGAGGTCATACGCTCAGGAGTTCTCATTCTCCCCACACTGGACTGTGGCTTCTGCTCGACTTCCAGCTCCTCCATCCTTTCCCAGAGATTCTCCTTGACCATCCTGTGTGGCTGTCACCTCCCCCTGCTCCAGGCCTTTCCCACAAATCCTTCCATTCTCATCTTCTGTTTGAAAACAGCACTCATTCTTACCATTTCTTTCTTTCTTTCTTTTTCTTTCCTTTCTTTCTTTCTTTTTTCTTTCTTTCATTCATTCTTTCTTTCATTCATTCCAGAGACAGAGTCTCGCTCTTTCTTTCTTTTTCTTTCTTTCTTTCTTTCTTTCATTCATTCTTTCTTTCTTTCATTCATTCCAGAGACAGAGTTGCGCTCTGTCGCCCAGGCTGGAGTAGAGTGACGCAATCTCGGCTCACTGCAACCTCCGCCTCCCGGGTTCAAGTGATTCTCCTGCCTCAGCCTCCCAAATAGCTGGGATCACAGGCATGCGCCAGGACGCCCGGCTGAGTTTTGTATTATTAGTAGAGACAGGGTTTCACCATATTGGCCAGGCTGGTCTCGAACTCCTGACCTCAGGTGATCCACCCACCTCGGCCTCCCAAAGTGCCGGGATTACAGGCATGAGCTTTGTGCCCAGCTTCTTTTTATTTTTTAATTTTTCATTTTATTATTGTGTTTTGAGACAGGGTCTCTCTCTGTTGCCCAGGTTGGAGTGCAGTGGCTCCATCATGGCTCACTGTAGCCTCCCAGGCTCAAGTGATCCTCCCACCTCAGCCTCCCGAGTAGCTGGGATCACAGGTGTGCACCACCACACCCGGCTAATTTTTTAGTCTTTCCCAGAGACAGAGTCTCCCTATGTTGCCCAGGCTCATGATCTCTTTTAATCCCTTCATGACTCCAAACAGGACAAAATTTATTGTTTGGTGTCCTGTAACAAGCCTCAAAACATCCAAATGGTCATTCCAGAAAGGGGAAAGCATACGTTCCTCCCTGTTTCACACATGGCTGCATTTGCTCTTCCTCCTTTTTAATTTTTTTTGATAGAGACAGGGCTGGGCTGGTTAAGAACTCTTGACCATGCCGGGCGCGGTGGCTCCCGCCTGTAATCCCAGCACTTTGGGAGGCCGAGGCAGGTGGATCACGAGGTCAGGAGTTGAAGACCAGCCTGGCCAACATGGTGAAACCCCGTCTCTACTAAAAATACAAAAATTAGCCAGGTGTGGTGATGGGCGCCTGTGATCCCAGCTACTCAGGAGGCTGAGGCAGAGAATCGCTTGAACCCAGGAGGCAGAGTTTGCAATGAGCTGAGATCGCACCACTGCACTCCAGCCTGGCCACAGCGCGAGACTCAGTTTCAGGAAAGAAAAAAAAAAGAGAAAGAAAAGAAAAAACATAATATCAAGCCTGTTTATGAACATTATCATAATAATGAGATTGATCTAACTCAAAGAAAGTTAGTTAGGCCTGTGTCTCTGAGAGATTTCCTCTTTTTCCCCTGTGTGAACAGTTTTAGGTCTCAGCAGGAAAAAGGAGAAGTTACCAGGCGTTTGTGCTACTATTACATCCATGAGCCAATCCATAAACTGACACTTCAAGTTTTGCAAAAGGAAATTGTGAACACCCAAAATGTTCAAACAACGTAAGTGTCCATCCATGGAAGAATGGATAAACACAGTGTGCTCTATATATTCAATGGGATTTTTCTTCTTTTTCTTCGTTTTTTTTTTTTTTTTTTTTGAGACATAGTTTCATTCTTGTTGCCCAGGCTGGAGTGCAATGGCGCGATCTCGGCTCACTGCAACCTCCGCCTCGCGGGTTCAAGTGATTCTCCTGCCTCAGCCTCCCAAGTAGCTGGGATTACAGCTCACTGCAACCTCCGCCTTGCAGGTTCAAGTGATTCTCCTGCCTCAGCCTCCCAAGTAGCTGGGATTACAGCTCACTGCAACCTCCGCCTTGTGGGTTCAAGTGATTCTCCTGCCTCAGCCTCCCAAGTAGCTGGGATTACAGGCATGCACCACCATGCCCAGCTAATTTTGTATTTTTTAGTAGAGACAGGGTTTCACCATGTTGGTCAGGCTGGTCTTGAACTCCCCACCTCAGGTGATCCGCCCATCTTAGCCTCCAAAATGCTTTTTTCTTTTTCTTTTCTTTCTTTCTTTTTTTTTTTTTTTTTTTTTTTTTGAGGCAGGGTCTCGCTCTGCTGCCCAGGCTGGAGTGCAATGATGTGATCCTAGTTCATTCCAGCATCAACTCCCTGGGCTCAGGTGATCCTCCCACCTCTGCCTCCCGAGTAGCTGGGACTACAGCTGCACACCACCATGCCCAGCTCATTTTTGTTGTTGTTGTTGTTTTTAATATTTATTTATTTATTTTGAGATGGAGTTTCGCTCTTGTTGCCCAGACTGGAGTGCAATGGCATGATCTCGGCTCACTGCAACCTCTGACTCCTGGGTTCAAGCGATTCTCTTGCCTCAGCCTCCCAAGTAGCTGGGATTACAGGCGCCCGCCACCACGCATGGCTAATTTTTATATTTTTAGTAGAAATGGGGTTTCACCCTATTGGCCAGGCTGTTCTCGAACTCCTTACGTCAGGTCATTGCAAAAAAAGTGCTGGGATTACAGGCGTGAGCCACCATGCCCAGCCTCATTTTTGTATTTTTTGTAGAGACAGGGTTTCACCATGTTGCCCAGGCTAGTCTCGAACTCCTGGGCTCAAGCGATCTGCCTGCCTCAGACTCTCAAAGTGCTGGGATTACAGGTGTGAGACACTGTGCTCGGCCTACAGTGGGATTTTAGCCATAAAAAGGAAAGGAAATCTGACATATCCTACAATATAGATGTAGCTCGAGGATATTATGCTGAGTAAACTAAGTCAGGCAAAAAAGAACAAGTGTTATGATTCCACTCATACATCCTAGAATAAGCAAATTCATAGAGATAAAAATTAGAATGGGCTGGACACGGTGGCTCACGCCTGTAATCCCAGCACTTTGGGAGGCCGAGACAGGCAGATCACAAAGTCAGGAGATCGAGACCAGCCTGGTCAACATGGTGAAACCTTGTCTCTACTAAAAAAAAAAAAAAAAAAAAACTTAGCCAGGCATGGTGGTGAGCGCCAGTGATCCCAGCTACTCGGGAGGGAGAGGCAGGAGAATCGCTTGAACCCAGGAGGCGGAGGTTGCAGTGAGCTGAGATTAGGCCACTGTACTCCAGCCTGGGTGACGAAGCAAGACTCCATCTCCGAAAAAAAAAAAAAAAAAAGAAATTAGAATGGAGGTTACCAGGGGCTGGGAGGACCGCGGCAAATACAGAGTTATTGGTTAGAGGGTGTAGCGTTCATATTGGGAATTGTGATTGTTAATTTGATTTATCAGCTAGACCAGGCCACAGGATGCTGGGATATCTGGTTAAACATTATTTCTGGGCGTGTCTGTGAGGGTGTTTTTAGAAAGATCAGCATTTGAATCTAATGCTGAGTCGGGCAGGTTGGCCTTCCTAATGGAGGTGGGTATTCTGCTGAGGGCCAGGATGGGAGAAAAAGGTGGCAGAGCCACCACAGTGGCTCACGCCTGTAATCCCAGCACTTTGGGAGGCCAAGGCAGAAGGGCTGCTTGAGGCCAGGAGTTTGAGACCAGCCTGAGTAACATAGTGAGATCCCGTCTCTACAAAAAATTTAAAAATTACACGGGGCACTGTGGCTCACGCCTGTAATCCCAGCACTTTGGGAGGCTGAGGCTGAGGCGGGCAGATCACCTGAGGTGATCACCTGAGGGAGCTCAAGACCAGCCTGGCCAACATGATGAAACCCCGTCTCTACTAAAAAGTACAAAAAATCAGCCGGGTGTGTGGTGGGCACCTGTAATCTCAGCTACCCAGGAGGCTGAGGCAGGAGAATTGCTTGAGCCCAGGAGGTGGAGGCTGCAGTGAGCTGTGGTCATACCACTGCACTCCAGCCTGGGTACAGAGTGAGACTTTGTCTCAAAAAAAGGAAAAGGAGGGAAGGAAGGAAGGAAGGAAGGAAGGAAGGGAAAGAGAGAGAGGAAGGAAGGAATGAAGGAGAAAGAGAAAGAAAGGAAGGAAGGAAGGAAGGAAGGAAGGAAGGAAGGAAGGAAGGAAGAAAGCAAGCAAGCAAGCAAGCAAGCAAGCAAGCAAGCAAGCAAGCAAGCAAGCAGGCAAGCAAGCGGGGGCTCACGCCTGTAATCCCAGCACTTTGGGAGGCCGAGGCGGGCAGATCAAGAAGTCAGGAGATGGAGACCATCCTGGCTAACACAGTGAAACCTACGAAAAAAGCCGGGCATGGTGGCGGGCGCCTGTAGTCCCAGCTACTCGGGAGGCTGAGGCAGGAGAATGGCGTGAACCCGGGAGGCGGAGCTTGCAGTGAGCAGAGATCGCACCACTGCACTCCAGCCTGGGCGACAGAGCGAGACTCCATCTCAAAAAAAAAAAAAAGAAAGAGAGAGAGAGGAAGGAAGGGAGGAAGGAAGGAAGGAAGGAAGGAAGGAAGGAAGGAAGGAAGGAAGGGAAGGAGAAAAAGAAAGAAAGGAAGGAAGGAAGGAAGAAAGAAAGAGGTTTTAGTGTAGATAGTGGTGATGGTTACACAGCGGCCTCAATTTACTTTATAGTTATCTATTTGACACTAAATTTTTATTTATGGTATTAAGGTTTCTGGGCCAGGCACAGTGGCTCACATCTGTAATCCCAGCACTTTGAGAGACTGAGGTGGGCAGATCACCTGAGGTCGGGAGTTCGAGACCAGCCTGGCCAACATGGTGAAACACCGTCTCTACTAAAAATACAAAAATTAACCAGGCATGGTGGCGCACCCCTGTAATCCAGTTACTCAGGAGGCTGAAGCAGGAGAATCGCTTGAACCCGGGAGGCAGAGGTTGTGGTGAGCCGAGATCACGCCATTGCACTACAGCCTGGGCAACAAGAGCAAAACCCTGTCTCAAAAAAATAAAATAAAATAAAATAAAATAAGGTTTCTATTCTGAATACTTTTACTTACACACAAAAAGTCAGAGTTGATCCTGAGAAAAGGGGTAAGCCAATGAAGCCAGGTGGTGGAGGCATTCAGCAAAACTCACGAAGTTGAAACTACAGGAGTTGAAGTTTGCAGAGCACTCGTTTCCAGGGAATGTCTGCAGTGCACTCAGCAGGACGTCTCACTCCTCCCGTGTGCTCAGTAAGCCAAAGTTGATGTTATTATTTCCATCCCCAGCCCAACTATCCCACCAGTTCCATGATTTTCTGCAGTCCCAGTGGATAGCCCTGTGAGACTTACTGAAACAGAGGAGGGAAAGCAGCTTAGGGATCATGATGGCTCCTTAGCCCTCCCAGAGTCCGTCTTGGGTTCTGCAGTCCACAGATGGGAGAAGAGCTGGAGTCGTCGCTGCCTCTCTCCCACCCCAGAGTGTGGGCAGTAACAGCCTTTCCTAGCCTTTCAGTTTCCCCTCCCATATCCACATTCAGGAAACATGTTGATGTTGCTGATTGCAACATGCTCCTTACACACACCAGTGTTCGAGCACTTGACTCACAGGAAATGCTCCTCTGTCTCAGGCAGATTTCAGGCATCAAACAGGTAACCCCGAAAATGCTTCAGACTTGGCCCTGAAGGGTTCGTATTGAAGAGATGAAAGCACTTCACTCTTTTTTTTTTTTTTGAGATGGTGTCTGGTTCTGTTACCTGGGCTGGAGTCCAGTGGCACGATCTCAGGTCATTGCAACTTCAGCCTCCTGGGTTCAAGCAATTCTCCGGCCTCAGCCTCCCAAGTAGCTGGGATTATAGGCGCATGCCACCATGCCCGGCTAATGTTTGTATTTTTAGTTAAGATGAGGTTTCACAAGTTAGCTGGGCTAGTCTTGAACTCCTCGCCTCAAGTGATCCACCTGCCTCGGCCTCCCAAACTGCTGGGATTACAGGCATGAGCCACTGTGCCAGGCCTTCATCACCATTTTTTTTTTCTTTTGAGACAGAGTTCCACTCTTTCGCCCAGGCTGGAGTGAAGTGGCAAAATCTCATCTCATTGCAACCTCCAACCCCCAGGTTCAAGCGGTTCTCCTGCCTCAGCCTCCCAAGTAGCTGGGATTACAGGAGCCCTTCAACACGCCCAGTTAATTTTTGTATTTTTTAGTAGAGATGAGGTTTCACCATGTTGGCCAGGCTGGTCTCAAACTCCTGATCTCAAGTGATCCACCCACCTCAGCCTCCCAAAGTGCTGGGATTACAGGCATGAGCCACTGTGCCCAGCCAGTCATGAGCTCATTTTTTAAGTTCAGAATATTTCAGTACATATCTATCTTTATCAAATAAGAACCATTTTAAAAATAATATAAGCACCACAGCACTGTCACATCAAGAAAGTTAAGAGTACCTCCTTGATACCAGCTAATACCCATTCAGTACTCAAATTTCCCTGATTGTCTCAAAAATGTCATTTCTATCAGGTTTTTAAAGAATAAATCAGGATCCAATAAAAGTCTACAGATTGCATTTGATAATTATGTTAATTTAGCCTGGCGCAGTGGCTCATGCCTGTAATCCCAACACTTTGGGAGACCGGGGCAGGTAGATAACCTGAGGTCAGGAGTTCGAGACCAGCCTGGCCAACCATGGTGAAACCTCATCTCTACTAAAAATACAAAAATTAGCTGGGCGTGGTGGTGCACGCCTGTAATCCCAGCTACTCAGGAGGCTGAGGCAGGAGAACTGCTTGAACCTGGGAGGCAAAGGTTGCAGTGAGCTGAGATCGCACCATTGCACTCCAGCCTGGGCAACAGAGTGAGACTCAGTCTCAAAAAAAAAAAAAAATGTTAATTTGAATCAGACAAAATTTTTTATTTTTTTGTTAAAATAAGAAATCAAGCAAGTTAGTTTTTAACCATGTTTTTTTTCATCTTGCATTTGGAAGAAGAGCAAAATGCCCCGAAGTCTCGTTTTTGTTTTCGGATTTTTTGTCTTGATAGCACCTACTCTTCTTACTGTTTTGGAACATAGAAAAGTCAACAAGGCAACAAATTATAAGGAGTAAAACCAACTATAATTACAGGTGTTTCTTTGAAAGTTATTTTCACAAGATGTGGCAATGATTTTTAAAGGCTTGGGACTCTTACAAGACCCTTTTGTTCAAATAACAGTTTTGTGTATGAATTTATTTCAACAGAGAACAATTTAGTAATGTTTGTGAATATTCATTTAGTTCTCCATATTGTACCAGAAAACAAGACTGATATTCTTGTGAATCTTCTCAATTCAACTCTTTATCAAATCAGATTCCTTAAATTAGTGTTGTGACTCAGAAAAAATCTTTCTCCTTATGCAGTATCAGGGAAAAGAGGACATCTCCTATATTTCTTCTTAACATCTCTGTTGCTAACAAGGAATATGCATATTTTAAAACTAGGCTCTGGAATTTTATCAGTCAACAGGAAAGGCCTGGTAAAGTTCCATTCCACTTGGAAATGAAGAAAGGAGACCCTGATTCAAAAAACGAAAAAAGAAAGAATAAAGAATAGCTTAGGGCCAGGCAAGGTGGATCACACCTGTAATCCTAAGATTTTGGGAGGTGAGGTAGGTGGAAGGCTTGATCCCAGGAGTTCAACACCAGCCTGGGCAACATGGCCTAATCCCATCTCTACAAAAAATACAAAAATTAGCCAGGCTTGGTGGTATATACCTGTAATCCCAGCTTCTCAGGAGGCTGAGGTGGGAGAATCACTTGAACCTGGGAGGGGGAGGTGGCAGTGAGCTGAGATCGCACCATTGTACCCCAGCCTGGGCAACAAGAGTGAAACTCCATCTCAAAAAATAATAATAAAATAAATAAATAAATAATCATTCACTTTGTTAGGTGTTTATCACACCTAACCTTAAGAATATGTTACCAAAATAAAAAGTCTTATAGATGAAATCATATTATATCTGAGGTTTACTTTAAAATACTCCAGGAGAAAATTTAAAATAGACTTGGGGGAGGGGACTTATCTGTAGTTATCTGCACATAATCTACATGATTATCTCAAAGCCATCCTTTTGCTGTTGAGAATTCTGATTTTTAGCTGGGCCCATTGGCACCCAGGTAAAAAACTACATTCTTCAGTGTCACTTACAGGTAGATGTAGCCGTAAGTCTTCATCTAGGACAATGATAAATAAGCATAAATATTGTAGACAGCTTCCAAAAGGTTCTTTAATGAAGTACACTTTCCTTCCTTCACTTAACTGCCTAAAATGTGGATGTGATGACTGGTATTCTAGCGTCATCTTGAACCATGAAGATGAGATGAGGTTCAAGATGGTGGAGGGTGAGCCAGAAGTAACTTAGGTCCATAATGCTTTTTGGAGTCACTGTGCCAGCCTTGGACTGCTCCCTTCAGATTTATTCTACATAAGGGAGAAATCAATTGGTATTAGTTTTAAGTCATCATTATTTAGTTCTCTTTTGGGTTTAGGTTATCAATTACTGTGTTAACAAACCACCCCAAAACTGAGTAACTTAGAGTAACAATCTTGTTTTTTTTTTTTTTTAATCATTCCTGATCTGGTGAGATGACTGGGCTCAGTTGAGCGGTTCTTCGGTTCAATGTGATGTCTTCCTGGGCTTCAGTCATCAGGGTGGCTCAACTGAGCTGGAATCTCCAAGATGGCACTTGCAAATGGCTGGCTGTTGATGCTGGATGTTGGTTGAAAGCTCGGCTAGGACTGTTGAATGATGTACCTGCACATGGCCTCTCCATTTGATTCAGACTTCTTGGAGGATAGCATCTGGGTTTCAAGAGGGGATGTCACAAGAGAGCTTTCTAAAATAGAGAAGGCGGCTGGGCATGGTGGCTCACGTCTGTAATCCCAGCACTTTGGGAGGCCGAGGTGGGTGGATCACCTGAGGTCAGGAGTTCAACATCAGCCTGGCCAACATGGTAAAACCCCGTCTCTACTAAAAACAAAATTAAAAAAAATTAGCCGGGTGTGTTTGTGCACACCTGTAATCCCAGCTACTCAGGAGGCCGAGGCAGGAGAATTGCTTGAACCTGGGAGGCGGAAGTTGCAGTGAGCCGAGATCACACCACTGCACTCCAGCCTGGGCAACAGAATGAGACTCTGTCTCAAATAAATAAATAAATAAATAAAATAAAGAAGGCAAAAGTTGTTTGTCCCTTTAAAGACTAAGCCTGGAACTGACACAGTTTCTCTTCTTCTACAGTCTTAAGGAAAGGCCAGATTCAAGGGGAGGGAAAATAAACTCTACCTCTCTATAGGGACAGTGACAAAGAATTGGAGGCCATCTTTAGTCTGTCATGTGTTATGGTCAATGGAAATAGATATATATATATTTACTGAGTGCCTGAGTCCCACCGAGAGATTTTAATTATTTTTTTATTTTTGTTTTTTTAAGATGGAATTTTGCTCTTGTTGCCCAGGCTGAAGTGCAATGGCATGATCTCAGCTCACTGCAACCTCTGCCTCCCGGGTTCAAGCGATTCTCCTGCCTCAGCCTCCCAAGTAGCTCGGATTACAGGCAAGTGCCACCACACCCAGTTAATTTTGTATTTTTTAGTAGAGATGGGATTTCTCCATGTTGGTCAGGCTGGTCTTGAACTCTTGACCTCAGGTGATCTGCCCACCTTGGCCTCCCAAAGTGCTGGGATTACAGGTGTGAGCCACCGTGCCCAGTCGAGATTTTAATTTTTATAATGGGTATAGGATGAGGCCTGGGTGTCTCATTCTGTGTTTTAAATGTTCCTGGGAAATTCTAATGTGCAGTCAAGTTTGAGAACCACTGGGTTGGAACACATAACCTCCTTCCCATCTCAGACCCTGAAACATCCTGAAAACTCCTGTATCTGGAGTTTTTCCCCCATTTTTGCTTGGCTAACTTTGACTCTTCCCTCAGAAACCAGCTTCAGAATCTTTTCTTTAGCAAAGACTTCCCTGCAAGTTCTTTAACAGCACTTATCTCAGCTGTGACAAAATCATCAATGGTGTAATTGTGTCTTTTTAATGTCTTTTCCCCTATTCTTCATAATCGTCAAAGTAAAGGATAGCTCTTCTCTCAGTCAGAACTATTAATAGATGCTGTAATGGAAATGAAACAAGACTCTCAGACTCTTGTTAAAGTAAGAAGTCTAGCAGAGTCTCAGGCTTTAATTTTTTTTTTCCGATCATAAATGTGGGAGAAAGATCATTTAACCTGCTGCTAAGGTTTGAATATTTGTTCCCTTGAAAACTCATGTTGAACCAGCCTGGGCAACATAGGGAGACCCTGTCTCTACAAATAATTTAAAAATTAGCCAGGTGAGGTGGCACATGCCTGTGATCCCAGCTACTCAGGAGGCTGAAGTGGGAGGATCACCTGAGCCCAGAAAGCTGAGGATGCAGTGAACCGTGATTGCACCACTGCACTCCAGCCTGTGCAACACAGTGAGACCCTGTCTCAAAAAATAAATAGGTAAATAAGCTGAGTGTGGTGGCTCACACCTGTAATCTCAGCACTTTAGGAAGCCAAGGTGGGCAGATCACATGAGGTCAGGAGTTTGAGACTAGCTGGCCAACATGATGAAACCCTGTCTCTACTAAAAATACAAAAATTACCCGGGCATGGTGGCACGTGCCTGTAATACCAGCTACTCAGGAGGCTGAGGCAGGAGAATCACTTGAACCTGGGAGGTGGAGGTTATAATGAGCTGAGATCATGCCACTGCTGTCCAGCCTGGGTGACATAGCAAGACATTGTCTCAAAAAATACATAAATAAATAATAAATAAACTTATGGTGAAACTGAATCCCTAATGTGGCCGTATTGATAGGTCGGGCATTTAAGAGGTGATTGGGTCATGAGGACTCTTTTCTCATGAATGAACTAATCCATTCATGGATTAATGATTAATGGATTAGTGAGTTAATGGATTAATGGGTTACCCTGGGAGTGAGACTGGTGGCTTTATCAGAAGAGGAAGAGAGACTTAAGTAGCACGCTCAGCTCTTTTGCCCTGTGATGCCCTGTGCCACCTCGGAACCCTCCAGAGAGTCCCCAACAGCAAGAAGGTCCTCACCAGATGCAGCCCCTCCACCTTGGACTTTCCAACCTCCATTAACTACAGGAAATAAATTCCTTTTCTTTATAAGTTATCTGGTTTCAAGTGTTCTGTTCTAAGCAACAGAATACAGACTAAGACACAGACACCAATGCATAGCTTCTGATTTAACAGAATTGTTTTTACAAGCATTTATTCTGCTTGGAAATTCAGATGTCAATCATAAGATTGTTACCAGGGCAACAAAATATTAAGTAAGACCACCAAATGGCACCAAGGTTTCTCCTTCAAAATAATGATTGCAATACTGGCAATAATTTCTAATGTCTTTGGACTCCTACAAGATTATTTTGTGCAAATTACACTTCAAAGCACAGATTTATGGAACCACAGAATGGAACACTGGCTGCTGTAATAAATATCCATAGATCTCCATACTACATAAGACTATAAAACACATTTAGAGCCTTTTTAATATTCTCAGTTTATTAACTTATCAATCCACATTCCGTTTTTTTGTTTGTTTGTTTTGTTTTGTTTTTTTACTTTAAGTTCTAGGGTACATGTGCATAATGTACAGGTTTGATACATGTGCCATGTTGGTTTGCTCCACCCATCAAGTTATCATTTACATTAGGTATTTCTCCTAATGCTATCCCTCCCCCAGCCCCCCACCCCACTCTGTTTTTTTTTTTGTTTTTTTTTTTTTAAGACAGGGTCTCACTGTGTCACCCAGGTTGGAGTGCAGTGGTGTGATCTCGACTCACTGCAACCTCTGCCTCTCGGGTTCAAGTGATTCTCTTGCCCCAGCCCTCCCAAGTACAAGGAATTACAGGGTTGTGCCACCACGCTGGGCTAATTTTTGTACTTTTAGTAGAGACAGTGTTTTGCCATGTTGGCCAGGGCTGGTCTCGAACTTCTGGGCCCAAGTGATCCGCCTGCCTCGACCTCCCAAAGTTCTGGGATTACAGGTGTGAACCACCATGCCTCGCCTAAACTACATTCTTGAATTAGTTTTATGGCACAGAATATCTTTTTCTCCTCTCTCAATGCCCTCTCTCTCTCTAGCTCCCTCTCCTCCCCTACAGCTGCAAAGAAGAGATCTTCTTAATCCATTTCTTAAACTTCTTTTGATCAATTATAAAGAATTTTTTTTTTAGATGGAGTCTCACTCTGTCACCCAGGATGGAGTACAATGGCACAATCTCAGCTCACTGCAACCTCTGCCTCCCGGGTTCAAGTGATTCTCCTGCCTCAGCCTCCCAAGTAGCTGGGACTACAGGCATGTGCCACTATGCCCAGCTACTTTTTTTTTTTTTTTTTTTGTATTTTTAGTAGAGACGGGGTTTCACCATGTTAGCCAGGATGGTCTTGATCTCCTGACCTCATGATCCGCCCACCTCAGCCTTCCAAAGTGCTGGGACTACAGGCGTGTGCCACTACACCCGGCTACTTTTTTTTTTGTGTGTGTGTGTGTTTAGTAGAGATGGAGTTTCACCATGTTAGCCAAGATGGTCTCGATCTCCTGACCTTGTGATCCGCCCGCCTCAGCCTCCCAAAGTGCTGGGATTACAGGTGTAAGCCACTGTGCCCGGCCAATTATAAATATTTTTTAAGGCTAAACTCTGGAATTTTGCTAGTTAGCCTTAAAAGCACAAAGCAGGCCTATAAAGTTCAATTTTACTGGTAGAAAGCAAGAAATGGATGAATAGGATGTTCGCTGACAACCATGCAATTGAAACCTCCTTTGCAAAAATTACGAGAGTGAGCAAAGGATGGCAGTGAAGGAGATCGGATCTGGCCAGCCCCTACCTTGCCTTTGGCCCTCAAACTGCCTGTAGTTATTCCTGGGTTTAGGCTAATCTGACTTGTCTCTTTGGGAGACATTTATTTTATTTTCTTTTATATTTCCTTGAGACGGAGTCTCGCTCTGTAGCCCGGGCTGGAGTGCAGTGGTGAGATCTCGGTTCACCGCAACCTCTGCATCCTAGTTCAAGGGATTCTCCTGCCTCAGCCTCCAGAGTAGCTGGAATTACAGGTGCCTGCCACCATGCCCGACTAATTTTTGTATTTTTAGTAGAGACGGGGTTTCACCATGTTGGCCAGGCTGGTCTGAAACTCCTGACCTCAAGTGATCCGCCCGCCTTGGCCTCCCAAAGTGCTGGGATTAGAGGAAAGAAGGAAAGGAAGGAAAAGAAAGGAAAAGAGAGGAGAGGAGAGGGGAGGGGAGGGGAAGGGAGAGAAAGGAAAGGAAAGGGAGAGAAAGGGAAGAGAGAAAGAAAGAAGAAAAGAGAGAAAGAAAGAAAGAAAGAAAAGAAAAAGAAAGAAAGAAAAAGAAAGAAAGAAGAAAAAAGAAAAGAGAAAAGGAAGGAGGGAGGGAGGGAGGCAAGGAAGGAAGGAAGCAAGAAAGAGAGAAAGAGAAAAGAGGCTCCTTATAAACAACAAAAGACACCCTTCTCACCAAGGGTTTTTGGAAATTCCAGAGTGATGGGGTGAGAAGGGTGTCTTTGGAACCAAAGCTGAAGACCAAGTACATATTTCTTACTATATCACGGTATCACGGGAGGTAAAACGGAGGTGTCCTTGAAGCAGCTCCTCCCCAGCCCCCAATCCTCTTGTGTGCCCGGAGGATCAGAAGAGGTCCCGCCGAGACTCAGCTTAGCTGTGGTTCAAGCCTCTGATTGCGTGGATAAGTACCAGGTTTCCAGAGTGCCAGGGCGGGGCTGCCCCTTGCGGTGGCATTAACTTTCCATGGCTATTTAAAATCAGCAGAGGACACACGATCTTCAGATGGGTCCTGTTTTACTTCCATATTTTCTCCTAGAGAGAAGAAAAATCATTAAACTTTTTTTTGTTTGTTTTTTGTTTTTTTGTTTTATTCGTTGTTTTTCTTTTTTTTGGGACGGAGTCTCGCTCTGTGGCCCAGGCTGGAGTGCAATGGCGTGTATCAGCTCACTGCAACCTCTGCCTCCAGGGTTCAAGTGATTCTCCTGCCTCAGCCTCCCGAGTAGCTGGGATTACAGCTTTGTATTTTTAGTAGAGTCGGGGTTTCACTATATTGGCCAGGGTGGTCTCCAACTCCTGACCTCAGGTGATCTGCCTGCCTTGGCCTCCCAAAGTGCTGGGATTACAGGCGTGAACCACCGCACCTGGCCTACTGTATTTTTTTTTTTTTTGAATAGAGAAGGGAGTCTCAAACTCTTGGCCTCAAGCCATCCTCCTGCCTCAGCTTCCCAAAATGCTGGGATTACGAGTGAGCCACTGCACCTATCCCACCCCCTCCCACCCTCATTTTTAGAAGGGCACAGGCTAGAGACCATATTTCCATCAGTCACTTTTGCGGCTAGACCTGGCCATGAGACTAAGTTCTAGCCAATGGGATGCGATAGGAAGATATATGCTCAAATTCTAGGTCCTGCTCTTAAAAAATAATTGTGTGGGCCGGGCGCAGTGGCTCACGCCTGTAATTCCAGTACTTTGGGAGGCTGAGGCAGGCGGATCACGAGGTCAGGAAATCGAGACCATCCTGGATAACACGGTGAAACCCCGTCTCTACTAAAAATACAAAAAAAATTAGCCGGGTGTGGTGGTGGACGCCTGTAGTCCCAGCTACTCGGGAGGCTGAGGCAGGAGAATGGCGTGAACCCGGGAGGCGGAGCTTGCAGTGAGCCGAGATCGCGCCACTGCACTCCAGCCTGGGCGACAGAGCAAGACTCCAACTCGGAAAAAAAAAATAATAATAATTGTGTGAGCCCTTTTCTCTCTGTCCTCTCCACTTTCTTGGGGCTCAGAACCAGAAATTAAAGCTACATGTTGATAAAAGCAAAACCATCCCACCTTAACAAGTAAATCGTTGAGATTGCCCAGTGATTTACTGTTAAGTGAGAGAGAGGTACATTTATATCTAGTTTTTTTCCGGTGGTGAAGGAGATTCTTTTTTTCTCTCTCTCTCTCTTTTTTATGAGATGGAGCTTGGCTCTTGTTGCCCAGGCTGGAGTGCAATGGCACGACCTCGGCTCAGTGAAACCTCCGCCTCCCGGGTTCAAGTGATTCTCCTGCCTCAGCCTCCCGAGTAGCTGGGATTACAGGCATGCACCACCACACCAGGCTAATTTTTTGTATTTAGTAGAGACAGGGTTTCACCATGTTAATCAGGCTGCTCTCGAACTCCTGACCTCAGGTGATCCACCTGCCTTGGCCTCCCAAAGTGCTAGGATTACAGGTGTGCGCCACTGCACCTGGCCGGGAGATTCTTTTTTACAACAGCTTAAAGTGCTCTGTAACCAATACACTATGCAGTGATTTGGTTAATACTTTGTGAGTTCCATGAGTGCAGGGTTTACGTCTGCTATTGCTCCCCACTGGACCGCCGGACTCTAGCACAATGCCATGCACGGTAGACATTGAATACATGAGTGATACGAGGATGAATGAGACTAGGGGAAATCAGTGGAAGCCCTAGGCCTGGCGCAGTGACTCACTCCTGGAATCCCAGCACTTTGGGAGGCCAAGGAAGGAGGATGGCTTGAGGCCAGGCATTCAAGACCAGCCTGGACAACATGGTGAGACCCCATAGCTATAAAAAGTAAACAATTAGCCGGGCGCGGTGGCTCACGCCTGTAATTCCAGCACTTTGGGAGGCCGAGGCGGGTGGATCACGAGGTCAATAGATCGAGACCATCCTGGCCAACATGGTGAAACCCCATCTCTACTAAAAATACAAAAGTTAGCTGGGCGTGGTGGTGGCACACGCCTGTAATCCCAGCTACTCGGGAGGCCGAGGCAGGAGAATCGCTTGAACCCAGGAGGCGGAGGTTGCAGTGAGCCGAGATCGCGTCATTGCACTACAGCCTGGCAACAGAGCGAGACTCCATCTCAAAAAAAAATAATAATAATAATAGTAATAATAAATTGGCCAGGCGTGGTGATGGCAGTGTTGTCATTGCTTTAAGAGGCAGGAACAGGGGGAAAAGACCCAGCAGTCTAACCACACAGACAAGTCCCAAGTTAAGCACTTCTGTGTGACTTGGGGGCTGTTGATAAAGATCAGAAATAACCTATGTGGATCACCCAGCAAAATGACCAGTATGAAAAGATGTTCAGTGGTAGAAAATGAAATAAGCATTGTGACTACAACTCACTCAATAAGCATTCATTGAACACTGGTCACTGGTAAACTGCTATGAAGAAATCTCAGCTGGGTGCAGTGGCTCACGCTTGTAATCCCAGCACTTTAAAGGGAGACCAAGGTGGGCAGATGGATCACTTTAGGTCAAGCGTTCGAGAACAGCCTGGCCAACATGGTGAAACCCCATCTCTACTAAAAACACAAAATTAGCCGGGCATGGTGGCAGGTGCCTGTAATCCCAGCTACTTGGGAGGCTGAGGCAGGAGAATCGTTTGAACCCGGGAGGTGGAGATTGTAGTGAGCTGAGATCACAACACTGCACTCCAACCTGGGAAACAGAGCAAGACTCCATCTCAAAAAGAAAAAAAATCTCAAGCTTATTGGATAGATAAATGCACAGGTAGATAGATGGATATTGAATGAATAAATAGTTCAGTGGATTAAAAACTGGTTAATGAAGAAATGGATGGGTAAATGGATGGAAATATGAATGAATGCATGATGGATAAGGACAAATGAAATAGACAAATGTACAAATGAAAGCAAAGGAAAAAGAGATGCTCAATAGAAATGAATAAGGATGAGAATCAATGCTAGACATGAATGAGTGAATGGTGAATGAAGGAGTGATTGAATGGATGAATACATGGAGTTAAGTTGAAGTACAAACTCGGCCAAGACTTCTTTTTCTCTGCTTTGGGTGGAAATACATTTTAAAAAAAAGAGGGCCGGGCACGGTGGCTCATGCCTGTAATCCCAGCACTTTGGGAGGCTGAGGCGGGCGGATCACCTGAGTTTGGGAGTTCGAGGCCAGCCTGACCTACACAGAGAAACCCTGTTTCTACTCAAAATACAAAATTAGCCAGGTGTGGTGGCTCACACCTGTAATCCCAGCTACTCGGGAGGCTGAGGCAGGAGAATCACTTGAACCTGGGAGGCGGAGGTTGTGGTGAGCCGAGATGGCGCCATTGCACTCCAGCCTGGGCAACAAGAGCGAAAGTCCACCTCAAAAAAAATAAAATAAAATAAAATAAAATAAAAAAAGAGGGAAAAAGGAAAAAAAAAGACTCCCTGATGTGCCACTGACTTCCTGTACATGTTTAGGTAAACTTAATATCACCTCTCTTTCCACCATTTTCCCATTTATAAAGTGGGAAGACTGGATTTGATGACATCACAGCCTCATCCAGGTCTGGTGCCTTCCTTATAACCTGCGTCTCTTCTTTATTCTTTTTTTTTTTTTTTTTTTTTTGAGACGGAGTTTTGCTCTGTCACCCAGGCTGGAGTGTGCAGTGATGCAATCTCGGCTCACTACAACCTCCGCCTCCTGGGTTCAAGCAATTCTCCTGCCTCAGCCTCCCGAGTAGCTGGGATTACAGGCGCCCGCCACCATGCCCGGCTAATTTTTGTATTTTTAGTAGAGACGGGGTTTTACCATGTTGTCCAGGCTGGTCTCGAACTTCTGACTTCGTGATCCACCTGCCTCAGCCTCCCAAAGTGCTAGGATCACAGGTGTGAGCCAGCACCCCCGGCTTATTCCTTTTTTAAAATTGTTATTATTTCCCACAGCCACATATGCCGGGGAGGTTGTCCCACATATGTTCTACCAAGGCCCCTCTGGCACTGAGATCAAACCCCGGAAGACCCGCTCAGTCTCTCCTCCCGTCTTTTCAACACGTTAGCGCCCCCAGGTGGCTAATTAGACTTCAAAATTCAGTTCTTGAGGCGGGCGGATCACTTGAGGTCAGGAGTTCAAGACCAGTCTGGTCAACATGGTGAAACCCCGTCTCTACTAAAAATACAAACATTAGCCGGACATGGTGGTACGCACCTGTAATCCCAGCTATTCGGGAGGCCGAGGCAGGTGGATCACTTGAGGTCAGGAGTTCGAGACCACCCTGGCCAATTTGGCAAAACTCCATCTCTACTAAAAATACAAAAATTAGCTGGGCGTGATGGCGCACACCTGTAATCCCAGCTACTCAGGAGACTGAGGCACGAGAATCACTTGAACCCGGGAGGCGGATGTTGCAGTGAACCGAGATCACGCCACTGCACTCCAGCCTGGGTGGAGTGAGATCTTCTCTCAAAAAAAAGAAAGAAAGAAAGAAAGAAAAAGTCGTGCTTGATTATGCTTGATGGCAAAAAGGTGAGACCTTCCTTTCGGCACTGAGTCTGGTAGAAATCGGTGTTACAGGGTAGCTAACATTTATTGAACACTTACTACGGGCCAGTTACTGCTTTAAATGTTTTATGTGTATTACCCACTGACTCCTACAACAATCCTATGAAGTGGGTTTTATCAGTGCATCCATTTTACCGTCAAGGCAAGAGAGAGTTGGGGAAGGGCGCTTTCTGAATGCTGCTACCGTGTCCAGAGTTGGTTCCTTCCTGTGGGTTTGTGGTCTCGCTGACTTTAAGAATGGAGCCAGGGACCTTCGTGGTGAGTGTTACAGCGCTTAAAGATGGCACGGACCTAAAGAGTTAGCAGCAGCAAGATTTATTGTGTAGAGCAAGAGAACAAAGCTCCCACAACGTGGAAGCAGACTCTGGTGGGGTGCCGCGCTCGCCAGCTTTTATTCCCTTATTGTCCCCGCCCGTGTCCTGCTGATTGGTCCATTTTACAGAGCGCTGATTGGTCCATCTTACAGAGTGCTGATTGGTCCATTTTACAATCCTCTTGTAAGACAGAAAAGTTCTCCAGGTCCCCATTCAACCCAGGAAGTCCAGCTGGCTTCACGTCTCACTACTACCTTTCTGTAGCTGCTACTACTACAGTGAGTAGACGGCAGTGCTGGGATTCGAACCCTCTGTCTTCTGGCTTGGAAGTCTTAACCACTAATCGCGTCTTCCTTTCAGCTACTCCTTGGGAAAGGCCTGGAAAGAAGCTACAGCACAGGGCACAGCGGGGTCTAAGGACCGTTCCGCGGAGCTCAGCCAGCAGGACTGTGGGGCTGCAGGAAAGGACAGTCCAGCCCAGGGTCCCAGCTTCTCCGCCACTCAGGTTGGAAGTCTCGGGCTGCAGTGCTCCTGGGGCTCAGGGGCGGATACCAGCAGGAGCGCGGTTCTGACTGCGCCAGTCAAAAGTGACCAGCGCGCCCAGGGAGATGAGGACCAGCCCGGCCAGCCCCAGGCGGACTAGGTTCCCCCGGGTGTAGTCGGAGGAGCCAGAGTCTGCGGGCGGAGCCGGGAGAGAGGGGCCATCAGCTCCCGGACCCCAAAGTCTGGGCCCTGAACTCCAGGTTTCCAGCCCCTGGGGTGGACTTAGGGACCTGACTCTACAGTCTCAAAGTTGAGGGGGAGTCGATGGAGGCTTCAACTCCTGGGTCCAGGAAGAAGGGGCTGGGGCCTGGACTGCTGGATCAGGAAGGAGGGGCTGGGGGCCTGGAGTCCTGGGTCCAGGAAGGAGGGGCTGGGGGCCTGGAGTCCTGGGTCTGAGGGAGGAGGTACTGGGGCCCGGGAATCCTGGGTCTGAGGGAGGAGGAGCTGGAGGACTAGACTCCTGGATCTGAGGGAGGAGGGGCTGGGTCCCAGGAATCCTGGGTCTGAGGGAGGAGGGGCTGCAGGACTAGACCCCTGGGTCTGAAGGAGGAGAGGCTGGGGGCCTGGGCTCCTGGGTCTGAGGGCGGAGGTCCTGGGGCCTGCATTCCTGGGGCGGAGGAGGCGGGCCGGGCCTCAGGGCCCTCACCTTCCCAGCTGATGACCAGCACCTCGCTGCGCTGCGACAGCACGTAGGGCGCGGAGGGCGTGTGATAGTAGCAGCTGTAGGTGCCGGGGGCGCGGGCGCCCAGCAGCGTGAAGTCGGCCCAGGGCTGCGCGGAGTGGCGGTACTGCAGCGGGGCCGCCACGCCCTCGCGGTACAGCACGAAGCTCATGTTCCGCAGGCGGCCCGCGCAGCGCAGGCTCACGTTGGCGCCAGGACCCACCACCGGCCCGGGCAGCGCCACCAGCGACGGCCGCGGCAGCTCCTCTGCAGAGACGGGGTGAGAGTCCGGGGCCGCGTGAGCGTCTTCCGCTCGCTCGCTCGCTCTGTTTCTCCTTCTCCTCTGTCTCTCGCTTTCTCTGTGCCTCTCTCTCTCTTTCTGCCTCTCTTTCTCTCTGCCTGTCTCTCTCTCTGTCTGCCTCTCTCTCTGCCTCCCTCTCTCTCTGCCTCCCTCTCTCTGCCTCCCTCTCTCTCTGCCTCCCTCTCTCTCTGCCTCCCTCTCTCTCTGCCTCCCTCTCTCTCTGCCTCCCTCTCTCTCTGCCTCCCTCTCTCTCTGCCTGCCTCTCTCTCTGCCTGCCTCTCTCTCTGCCTCCCTCTCTCTGCCTCCCTCTCTCTCTGCCTCCCTCTCTCTCTGCCTCCCTCTCTCTCTGCCTCCCTCTCTCTCTGCCTCCCTCTCTCTCTGCCTGCCTCTCTCTCTGCCTCCCTCTCTCTCTGCCTCCCTCTCTCTCTGCCTCCCTCTCTCTCTGCCTCCCTTTCTCCTTCTGCCTCTTTCTCTCTCTCTCCCCCCGCACTGTACCTCTCTCTCTCTCTGCTCCCCTGTCTCTCTCTCTCCCCCTAGTGTCTCTGTATCTGTCTTTTCTTGTGTCTGTGAATCTGTTTGCCCGCCTCGCTCTGTCTCTCTTTCCCTATATCTCTCTGTCCCTCCCCCAACTCCCTTGTTCCACCCACTTCTCCTCCCCGACCCCAGGACCTCACCTGTCACCAGCAGCTCCAGGACATCGCTGGGCTGGGACCAGACACCCGGCCCCCAGTCTGGCCTTCGGTAGCAGCAGCGGTAACTTCCCCCTTGGGCTGGAGTCACCTCCTCCAGAAAGAATTCTGCCAGCTCGGAGGACACATCCCGGAAGAGAAGGGGAGCGATCTCTCCAGGCTTGAAAAGTCCAAATCTCCAAGCGGGTTGGGGTGCCCGGCATCTCAAGGTCACGTTGACCCCAGGGGTCACAACTGTAGCCGGCTGAGCTCCCAGCCATGGCTTAGGGTGGTATGAAGCTGGGGGGACTGAATAAACGGGGCTGCCTGGGTCCTCGGGCCTCCTGGGAGCCCCAGAAGATGAAAGGGAAGTTGGGGAAGGAGGAAAATCACCTTGGACAATTACTGCCCCTTTCTTAGCCTCAGTTTCCTGTTTGTAAAATCAGGGAGAGACTGGACTACAATCAAGCCTTGTTAAAACCAGGTGCAAATCAGAGGGGCAGGACAGAAACTTCTGAGCTTTACTCCACAGTTTGTAAACACAGTTTCAAAAGGTCAGGTCCCAGAACTCTGTAATTTTATTATTATTATTATTTTTAAGTAATGAGATGGGAGGGGGCGGTCTCCCTATGTTGAGCAGGTTGGTCTTAAACTACTGGCCTCAAGCAATCCTCCCACCTCGGCCTCCCAAAGTGCTAAGTTTACAAGCTTGTGCCACCACACCCAGACTTTTTTTTTTTTTTTTTTTTTTTTTTTTGAGGCAGGGTCTTGCTCTGTTGCTCAGGCAGGAGTGCAGTGGCATGTTCTCAACTCACTGCAGCCTCAATCTCTTGGGCTCAAACAGTCCTCCACCTCAGCCTCCTGAGTACCTGGGACCACAGGCACATGCCACTACACCAGGCTAATTTTTTTTTTTTTAATTTTTAGTAGAGACGAGCATTCGCTATATTGCCCAGGCTACTCTTGAACTCTTGGGCTCAAGCAATCCTCCCACCTCGGCCTCCCAAAGTGCTGGGATTACAGGTGTGAGCCACCACGCCCAGCCAGAACTCTAATTTTAAATAGCTTTCCAGAATATTTGCAATATAGTATTTCAAGAGTTGCCAAAACTTGCTATTTGGAAAAGAAAAATGTTGGATCCCTACCTCATACCATTTCCCAAAACAACTTCCAGATTAATTAAAGACCCTGTGTTTCTTTTTTTTTAAACTATAAAAGTATTCAAAAAACTATAGGAAAATATATTTGTCTTGGGGTAAGGAAGGCTTCTTAAAATATAAAATAAAAAGTTGTATGGAAGATTAATTAATTTGACCACTTCAAATTTCTTAAGTTGTGTATGCTAAAAGACAAAACTAGAGGACAAATGATAGTACTGGCAGATATCACTTATTCACAAATCACACAAATTAAGAGTACAGGAAGGCTGTTGGGTCCGGTGGCTCACAGCTGTAATCCCAGCACTTTGGGAGGCCAAGGTGGGTGCATCACCTGAGGTCAGGAGTTCAAGACCAGCCTGACCAACATGGTAAAATCCCATCTCTACTAAAAACAGAAAAATTAGCCAGGCGTGGTAGTGCTAGCTTGTAGTTCCAGCTGTTTGGGATGCTGAGTAGGAGAATTACTTGAACCCTAGAGTCGGAGGCTGCAGTTAGCTGAGATCATGCCACTGCACTCCAGCCTGGGCAACAGAGTGAGAACTCCATGGTGGCATGCACTTTGGGAGGCTGAGGCTGGAGGATTGTCTGAGCCCAGGAATTCAAAGCTGCAGTGAGCTATGATAGAGCCACCGTACTCCAGCCCGGGTGACACAATGAGACCCCATCTCTAAAAATGAATAAAAATAAGGGTCGGGTGAGGGGGCTCATGTTTGTAATCCCAACACTTTGGGAGGCTGAGGCAGAGGGATCACCTGAGGTCAGGAGTTCCAGACCAGCCTGACCAACATGGGGAAACCCTGTCTCTACTAAAAATACAAAAATTATCCGGGCATTGTGGTGTGTGCCTGTAGTCCCAGCTACTCAGGAGGCTGAGGCAGGAGAATCCCTTGAACCCAGGAGGTGGTTGCAGTGAGCCGAGATTGCACCACTGCACTCCGGCCTGGGCGACAGAGAGAAACTGGTCTCAAAATAAATAAATAAATAAATAAAATAAATAGGTAGAGATAGCTATAGCGACACTGAAATATCTCCAAAAGAGTTTTTTTTGTTTGTTTGTTTGTTTTTGAAGTGGAGTCTTGCACTGTCACCCAGGCTGGAGTGCAGTGGCGCGATCTCAGCTTACTGCAACCTCTGCCTCCTGGGTTCAAGCGATTCTCTTGCCTCAGCCTCCTGAGTAGCTGGGATTACAGGTGCGTCCCACCACACCCGGCTAATTTTTTTTTTTTTTTTTTTTTTTTAGTAGAGACGGGGTTTCACCACATTAGCCAGGATGATCTCGATCTGACCTTGTGATCCGCCCGCCTCTGCCTCCCAAAGTGCTGGGATTACAGACGTTGGCCATTGCGCCCAGCCCAAGATCCTATTTCTTAAGCCCTGTACTGTGCCAGGCTCAGGGTTTTGCACATGTGATTTGATGAGATCTCACAGCGGCCCATTTTACAGAGAAGGAAATGGAGTCTTAGCAAGCTGTGACTTGTTCTAGGTCATATGGTCACATATAAATGAATACGATGGTGAAACTGAGGTCCTAGCTTAGGCCTCTGCCTCAGAAGTTCCTGGTCTTCAGTACTCACCTATAATGGCCACTAAGGGGAATGAGAAAAGAAGGAAGGAATGGAGGGAGGGAGGAAAATAAGGATATCTGGGATGGGATTGGGCACCAAAATAAAATCTGAGTAATTGGAAAAGGGGTGTCAGCAACAAAAGGAGAGTGGATGGGGTGGCTACTCACCAGACGGAGTGATGTCTGTGTGACACAGAGGCCCTGTAGGAGGTTGAGGGACTAGTTTCTTTTTCCTTTTTTTTTTTTTGTCTGAGGCAGAGTCTCACTCTGTCGCCCAGGCTGGAGTGTAGTGGTGTGATCTCAGCTCACTGCAACCTCTGCCTCCCAGGTTCAAGTGATTCTCCTGCCTCAGCCTCCGTAGTAGCTGGGACTACAAGTGCCCGCCACCACACCAGGCTAATCTTTGTATTTTTAGTAGAGAGGGGTTTCGCCATGTTGGTCAGGCTGGTCTTGAACTCCTGTCCTCAGGTGATCCACCCGCCTCGGCCTCCCAAAGTGCTGGGCCTCGGCTCCCACAGGCATGAGCCGCTGCGCCCAACAGCGAGTTCTTTTCAAAACCCTTTGTGGCCAGCCCCATCTCATTGGTAACCCAGGAATCTGAGTTCCCAGCTCCTATCTCCTCTGGGAAATGAGAATCTTATCCCTCCCTCCTCCTGTCTCAGTAGGCAGAAATTTGGACATCCATTGCCCACCTACCGAAGAAGTCTGAACGCAGACCCCTCTGGCCTGGGCAACCAAGAGTTCAGGCCCTTGAACTCCACCTTTCCAGGGAACAATGATCGTAGAGTTTCTCCTCTCACGAGTTCAGGAATCTGGGTCCCCATTTCCCTCTTCTCTCAGGAGCTAAGAGCCCTGTTCCCAGCCCCCTTTTCCCAGGGAATCAGGAGTCCTGGCTTCCATCCCCCTCCCATATAAGAATCTGGGAGTCCTCCCTGTCTCCTGACCTCTTCCTGCCTCAAGAACCAGAGATACCTGTCCCCACCTCCTTCCTCTTTCGGGAATCTGTGTTCTCTTGCTTTAGGACCCAGGGGTCTGGGCCCCAGCCCTGTTCTTTATTTGAACCTAGAATCCCAAACCTGCTGCCTGGTCCCCCTGCAGGGTGTCTGGGTCTCCATTGCCTCTCTCTCTGCCCCCAACCCCAGCCAGGAACCCAGGGAGAAGAAAGGGGTGACTCACAGAGGGTCAGCAGCTGGAGGATCAGCACCAGGGCCATGGTGGGCAGATACCCGCTAGAGCTGGAGCCAGGGCTTGGTCGCACCCTCTCCCCTCCCAGGAAATGAGGCAACATCAGAAAACCAGACCCAGATCCTCATTTACGGAAGAGAGTATCGAGGTGGGGGCCTGTGGGTGACTGTGTCATAGCCCTATGGCACTGTGGAAAAATTAGCAGGGGGTTCAGTCATAACCTGTGGTGTTCATTTATTTAACTCTAGAAACAAATACTAGTCAGGAGGTGGAGGCAGGAGGATCGCTTGAGCCCAAGAGTTCAAGAGCAGCCTGGGCAACAGAGCGAGACCCTGTCTAAAAAATAAATAAATAAATTGTGCCACTGCACTCCAGCCTGGGTGATAGAGTGAGACCATGTCTTTAAATATAGATAGACAGATAGAAAGATATCTGTCTGTTTTAAAAATAAGAACCTATTATGTGCCAGACTCTTGCTGTCATTGATTGACAGATAGATAAAAATTTGCACCTATTATGTGCCAGGCCCTTGCTGTGATTGAAAGATAGATAGATGGATGGATGGATAGATAGATAGATAGATAGATAGATAGATAGATAAAAATTAGCACCTGTTAAGTGCCAGGCCCTTGCTGTGATTGATTGATGGATAGATAAAAATTAACACCAATTATGTGCCAGGCCCTTGCTGTGATTAATTGATCGATTGATAGATTGGTTGACAGAGAAAAATTAGCACCTATTATGTGCCAGGCTCTTGGTGTGATACTGTGTTAGATAGATAGATAGATAAAAATTAGCCCCTCTAGGCCGGGCGCGGTTGTTCACGCCTGTAATCCCAGCACTTTGGGAGGCCAAGGCGGGTGGATCACCTGAGGTCGGGAAGTTCGAGACCAGCCTGACCAACATGGAGAAACCCCCGTCTCTCCTAAAAAAGAAAAATTAGCCGGCTGTGGAGGCGCGCGCCTGTAATCCCAGCTATTCAGGAGGCTGAGGCAGGAGAATCGCTTGAACTCGGGAGTCGGAGGTTGCTGTGAGCCGAGATCGCGCCATTGCACTCCAGCCTGGGCGACAGAGCTAGACTCAATCTCAGAAGAAAAAAAAAAAAATTAGAACCTATTACGTGCCAGACCCTCGCTGTGCCATGTTGGCAGGCACAGAGGGAACTCAGACTCCGTTACTGCTCTCAAGCAGCAGCTACCAGTCCGACTGAAAGACCAAGACCAGGTCAGTTTCTTTTTTTTTGAGACGGAGTCTCGCTCTGTCGCCCAGGCTGGAGTGCAGTGGTGTGATCTCGGCTCACTGCAAGCTCCGCCTCCCGGGTTCACGCCATTCTCCTGCCTTAGCCTCCCCAGTAGCTGGGACTACGGGCGCCCACCACCACGCCCGGCTAATTTGTGTTGTATTTTTAAGTAGAGACAGGGTTTCACCATGTTAGCCAGGATGGTCTAGATCTCCTGACCTCGTGATCCGCCCGCCTCGGCCTCCCAAAGTGCTGGGATTACAGGCGTGAGCCACCGCGCCTGGCCCAGACCAGGTCAGTTTCTTAAGTGATCTGAGCTATAATGGCGGTAACAGAGCACTGTGAGAGCCCGCAGAAAGCTCCTAACCCATCTGGGATGAGACCTAGCGCTTCCAGGACGAGCCGATGTTGAGCTGAGACCTCGAAGGACAGGTTAGTCATTCACCTTCTCCCGGGCTCAGTTTCTTCGTCTGTAAAATGGGCTTTCATACATAAACTATAAAATGGGGACTATTTTGTTCCGCCTTAGGTGGGTCGCAGCAGGAGGACTAGTCACTCCGGAGCGACTTCTAGGCTGAGACTAAGGAGATTCCACGCAGGTCCGCAAAGTCAGGCTTGCGCTTGCTCCTGACACCACTTCCTTTACCTCCACGGCTCCATCTTTGTTCTGCGCGAGTGCGCACGCGCAGGCTCCGAAAGCGGGCCGTCGCACAGAGGGACCACAACTCCCAGAGTGCTCCGCGTCCTTGCTTTCGCCTCTACTTGTGCTCCAGGGCGCACGCGCAGCCCTGGGAGCGGGTTCTCGCGCATAGGGACCACAACTCCCAGGGTGCTCCGCGTCCTCGCCGCTGTCGCCGCCGCGGAGACAAAGATGGCTGCGAGTAAGTGCAGGTGCCGGTGGCGCACGGGGCTCGGGTAGTTCTGGGAACCTCTGGGCGGTCCTGGGACTGAGGTGCGGCAGGGCAGGGGTGGAAGCGATGGGGTCCGTGCTGGAGGGGAACGCAGAAGTCACGAGGGGGCTCCTCCAGGGCAGGGGTGGCACGAGAGGGTTAGAGGTCACCGGGGGCAGCTACTTGCAGGGGTGACGCTTCTTGCCACCCCTTCAGGAGTCGGCGCCTTCCTCAAGAATGCCTGGGACAAGGAGCCAGTGCTGGTCGTGTCCTTCGTCGTCGGGGGCCTCGGTGCGTGAGTGCTCCAGGCGCAAACTTGCATCGTCCACCCCCGTCCCCCTACATCCCTCCATCTTGTACCCCTAAAGCCCTATCGCCGCCCTCGGGTCCCCTCTAGTGTGTCTGCACCCCCACGGCATCCCCTTATCTATCCCCATACCCATTATAACCTCTCCACCATCGCCCCCCGCGTTCCTCTCCACCTACCCAATACGCTCTTAACCCCTCTAAATGAGACGTTCTCAACCCTGCTTATGCCTTAACACCTGAGCACCAAAAAAAAGTCCAGATCCTCCTCCTCCTTTTCATCTTTCCTCTCCCCCATTCTGAATTGAGTTGGCTTGGGTGGAGGTGGGACTGGGGAATCTGTGTCTTGTGAAAATCCCCGTATGATCCCAATGTGCCTTGCTGATTGAAAATCTCTGCCCTCTGCCCTGGAACTGCCCTACTCACACTTTAATTAGCACCGGAGTTCCTGCAGGGATGGGGGCGGGGGATTGTTAAAATGTAGCTTTTTTTTTTGCGATGGAGTCTCACTCTCACCCAGGCTGAAGTGCAGTGGCGCGATCCCGGCTCACTGCAACCTCGGCCTCCTGGGTTCAAGGGATTCTCCTGCCTCAGCCTCCCGAGTAGCTGGGATTACAGGCGCCCAGCTAATTTTTTGTTTTTGTTTTTGAGACTGAGTCTCGCTCTGTCGCCCAGGCTGGAGTGCAGTGGCGCGATCTCGGTTCAGTGCAAGCCCCGCCTTCCGGGTTCACGCCATTCTCCTGCCTCAGCCTCCCGAGTAGCTGGGACTACAGGCGCCCGCCCCCATGCCCGGCTAATTTTTTGTATGTTCAATAGAGACGGGGTTTCACCGTGTTAGCCAGGATGGTCTCGATCTCCTAACCTCGTGATCCTCCCAACTCGGTCTCCCAAAGTGCTGGGATTACAGGCGTGAGCCACCGCGCCCGGCCAGCTTTTTTTTTTTTTTTTTTTTGAGATGGCGTCTCGCTCTGTCTTCCAGGCTACAGTGCAATGGTTTGATCATGGCTCACTGCAACCTCCGCCTCTAGGGTTCAAGTGATTCTCCTGCCTCCGCCTCCCAAGTAGCTGGGATTACAGGCGAGCACCACCACGCCCGGCTAATTTTTGTATTTTTAGTAGAGACAAGGTTTCACCATGTTGGCCAGGCTGGTCTTGAACTCCTGACCGCAAGTGATCTGCCTTCCCAAAGTGCTGGGATTACAGGGGTGAGCCACTGCGCCCGGCCAAACTGTAGGTTCTGATTCTGTAGGTCTGGGGTGGGGCATGGGATTCTGCATTTTTGAAGAGTTCCCAGGTCTTGTCAGTACTGCTGGTCCACCAGCCAGGCACTAGGTTAAGGTTCTGAACACTTATTCAGTATGGCAGCCACCAGCCACAACTGGCCACTGAGCATTTGAAGTGGTGCTGGTATGAATTGAGGTGGTATAAGACACTGGATTTCAAAAACTTAGTATAACAGAGTGTGTAAACTACCAATAATCTTTTGTTGATTACATGGCGAAGTGATGTTTTGGATGTACTATGGTTTTTTTTGTTTGTTTGTTTTTGTTTTTTTGAGACGGAGTTTCGCTTTTGTCCAGGCTAGAGTGCAATGGCCTGATCTCGGCTCACTGCAACCTCCGCCTCCCGGGTTCAAGCGATTCTCCTGTCTCAGCCTCCTTAGTAGCTGGGATTACAGGCGCATGCCACTACACCTGGCTGTTTTTGTATTTTCAGTAGAGACGGGGTTTCATCATATTGGTCAGGCTGGTCTCGAACTCCTGACCTCAGGTGATCCACCCGTCTCAGCCTCCTAAAGTCCTGGGATTATAGGCATGAGCCACCTCGCCCATCCAAGTATGTTTCTTAAAATTTGTTTCATCTGTATCTCTTATTTTTACTGTAGCTACTAGAAGATATAAAATTATATACCTGGCTCTTACCATCTGTCAGACAGCACTGGCCTAGAACATTCCTTTTATGAACTGTACCCCATCCCCCAGGACTCCTGGCTCCCACCCTAAATGGACTGTGGTCAGTGACTGTTGTTTGTGCAACCCTTTCTCCTCCAGTTTGTAAGGCTTTTTTTTTTTTTTTTTTTTTGGTGATGGAGTCTCTCTCTGTTGCCCAGGCTGGAGTGCAATGGCACAATCTGGGCTCACTGCAACCTCTGCCTCCCAGGCTCAAGGGATTCTTCTGCCTCAGCCTCCTGAGTAGCTGGGATTACAGGCTCCTGCCACCACGCCCGGCTAATTTTCGTATCTTTAGTAGAGATGGGGTTTCATCATGTTGTCCAGGCTGGTCGCGAACTCCTGACCTCAGGTGATCCGCCCACATTGGCCGCCCAAAGTGCTGGGATTACAGGCTTGAGCCACTGTGCCCGGCCAAATTTGTAACAGTCTTGATTTCTCCAGAACAGTCCCATGACACTACCCCCAGGATGCTCCATGATGACCCTACACTCAAACGTGCTCATTCCATGACCAACCCCACTGCTGCCTCCTCCAGGCCCCACGTATCTGTGAGTGTTAGGCTCCAACCCCTACCTCCACTTAACCCCCCAAAAAAGAGTTTTAAACCCTCCTGTCTATAAGTAGGGATCCCAAGGTACCAAGGATCCTCCTGGACGTGCTGGCCCTCCCTGCTGCCCTCCCCCTGCGCACTTTATCTTCCCTTTGCCAAGGCTCACCTTCTCTTCCCCTCTCTTCAGAGCCACCTTCCCCTGGGCCTCACCCCTGTGTCTCTCCACAGCTGTAATTCTGCCCCCATTGAGCCCCTACTTCAAGTACTCCGTCATGATCAACAAGGCCACGCCCTACAACTACCCAGGTGAGTGGGGGCCAGGCAGGGATCCCCGGAATAGGCCCAGCCTCCCTGTGCTGGCGTAAGGGCAGTTATGGGCAGGTCTTTCCTAAGCAGTTATCAGAGATTCTGCAGTGGTGCCCGGACCCCCCGTTCCATTTTTTAAGAATTGAGATATAATTCGTATACTATTCTGTGTTTGTGCTTCGTTTTTGTTTTTTGGGGTTTTTTTGAGACAGAGTCTCGCTCTGTCGCCAAGGCTGGAGTGCAGTGGCGCGATCTCAGCTCACTGCAAGCTCAGCCTCCCGAGTAGCTGGGACTACAGGTGCCCGCCACCACGACACGCAAACTTTTTCGTATTTTTTTAGTAGAGGCGGGGTTTCACCGTGTTAGCCAGGATTGTCTCGATCTCCTGACCTTGTGATCCACTCACCTCGGCCTCCCAAAGTGCTGGGATTACAGGTGTGAGCCACCGCGCCTGGCCTGTGCTTCGAGTTTCTATTACCTTTCCAGATTTCTGTCTCTCTCTGGGTTCCCATCTGTGGTGGTTTCTTGGTCTCCATCTTCTCAGGTTTCTGTCCTGTTTCCCCATCTCTTTTGACCCTAGCTCTCTAGTGCGCGGGATCTCTCCCTCGCTATCTCTCTGGTTTTCCGTGTCTCTCAGTCTCTGTATTTCCCGCCTCTTTCTGCATCACTGATTCTCTGACCCTTCCCCTCTCACCCCTGGGGTCCCCCTTCCCTCTCTGAACATAAAGCGACAGACCAGCTCTTCTCTCCAGGGCCCTGGAGACGTGCTGGTCTCAGTGGCCCACCTCCTGCCCCACAGTGCCCGTCCGTGATGATGGGAACATGCCCGACGTGCCCAGCCACCCCCAGGACCCTCAGGGCCCCAGCCTGGAGTGGCTGAAGAAACTGTGAGCACCTCCACTGACAGAGGCGGCCCCTCCCACGGCTCCCAATAAAAATGTGAAAACCAACCCCCGAACGTGAGCATGTGTGTGATCAGAGGTGGGAACAAGTAGACGGTGGCCGGGGTGAGTGTGGGGTCAGTTTATTGGGCATGCGTCAGTCAGAGGCTGGGCTGGCCAGGGTCGGGTAGGGCAGCAGTTTGTCTGGACCCCGAGAAACCCAACTGGAATCCAGGGCCTCATCTGCTTCAAAGCCAAAGTCTTCCTCAACCTTAATCTGCAGGAGATAAGGAACAAGGTGTTAACAGGCCTGGGAATCTAGAAAATCCCATCAGCTTCACCATTTTTGTTTTCATTTTGTTTTGCTTTTTAAAGAGACAGGGTCTCACTCTGTTGCCCAGGCTGGAGTGCAGTGGTGCCATCATAGTTCACTGCAGCCTCTGCCTCCCAGGCTCAAGTGATCCTCCCACCTCAGCTTCCCAAGTAGCTGGGACTACAGGCACTTGCCAACCAAGCCTAACATGTTTTTTCTTTTTGGTAGAGATGGGGTCTCAGTATGTTGCTCAGGCAGGTCTCAGACTCCTGGCCTCAAGTGATCCTCCCACCTAGGCCTCCCAAAGTGCCGGGATTACAGGCATGAGCCACTGCACCTGGCCAGCCTCACAGTTCTTGTCTGCCCAGGCCAGTCACCTTCCTCCTTACACCTCAGAGGCAATCCCAGTGTTCCTGGGTCCAGATGTTCTTCCAGCTTTCCTCCCCACACTGGGCCTTCCCTTCCACTCCGTCTTCTCTGATCCTTCCTTCTCCTCTACTCCCAGCCTTCTCTAGCTATTTTTCCTTCTCCAGGTCTTCCTCTTTCCCTTTCCAACTTTGCCTCCTTTTTACCCAAGCCTTTACCCCACTTTTTCCAACTACTTCCCTGCCTGATCCTAGGCCTCCAACATGTCCTGGTTCACCTCCCTTCTCCAACTTTCCCCAGCCCTGGGCCCCTCGGGGTGCAGAACCAAAACCCAAGAGCCCTGAACCTAACTCAGCCCCAGCCCTGGCCCCTCCCCTTGAGTCCCCCCTCCTTACCTGCACTGGCGCCGGCTCTGGAGCCCCAGTCCCTCCCCTTGAGTTCCCGCCTTCCTCACCTGCACCGGGGCCAGCTCTGGAGTCAGCGCATTTCCTGCTCGGCGTCCATCCCGTGGCACTCGCCGCCTCTTCCGCCCACTGGGCCCCTCACCGGGGGCTGGGCTGCCGGGTTCTGGGGGTGCAGGAGTCCTTCTGGGCGGGGACAGTGTCTCTTTCTCTGGAGGCTCATTCTCCGCATTGCCTGGGGTGGGGGCATCCGTGCCCTGGCTGCCCTCATCCTGGCAGGCAGGAGGGGGAGGTAGGTGATGGGTGGGTCCTGAGCTCCCAGTTCCTGACCCTCCTGGAGGCCCAACACTCACCTCCAGCACAATGGTGAACTGGCTGGCCCGGTAGTCATCCCCGTAGGAGTCCAGCACTCTCATGAGGAACCTGCTCAGGGGGAGAAGCCACCAACGGAATAACTTATCTCCTAGCGGCTGGGGAAAAGGGCCACAGGATAGAGCTCAGCTCCCACTCCACTCAACGCCAAAGCTGTCCTGGAGCCAGACGGTCCTGAGCTCTGGCACTGGAGGCCTGGGAGCCATGCCCTTGACCAGCCTTGAGACCTCGAGCAAGACAAGGCAACCATTCTGAGGCTGAGTTTCCTGCTCTGCAAACGACATGACACCCTCGGCTGGATGTTGCAGCGGTGACACTGAAGTAGTGACACCAGACGATTTCTGTACTTAATGTGATGTCAGCACTTAGTAAACATTCATATGTGAGTTATAATTTTTATTGATAACTGAAGAGAGGGGAGTACAGAACGCTCCTCCTAATGACCTCACCTCTTATAAACACCCCCTTCTCTTTTTTCCCCAGCCCCTGCCTCCAGAGTTCCTTAAGGTTCAATTGATGGAATGCCTCCTCTGCACCAGCACCTGGGCAGGTTTGTTGTTGTTGTTTTGCGACGGAATCTCACTCTGTCACCCAGGCTGGAGTGCAGTGGCGTGAATTTGGCTCACCACAACCTCCACCTCCCTGGTACCAGCGATTCTCCTGCCTCAGCCTCCCGAGTAGCTGGGACTACAGGCGCCTGCCACTACACCCGGCTAATTTTTTTGTATTTTTAGTAGAGACGGAGTTTCACCGTGTTAGCCAGGATGGTCCCGATCTCCTGACCTCGTGATCCGCCTGCCTCGGCCTCCCAAAGTGCTGGGATTACAGGCATGATGAGCCACTGCGCCCGGCCTATTTCAACTTAAGTGAAAATCTCACCTGTGGCCAGCGGCTACCGTGCTGGACAGCACAGGTACGGACAGAGGAACCCTGGGAGCCGCAGGTTTCAGCTTTGGGGAGGGAGGATGAACTAGCAGAGGCAGCCAAGAAGGAACAGCCGGAAAGGCAGGAGACCCCAGGTTGCTGGGTGCCCAGGATGGCAAGAATGGGCTCCAGGGAAGAGCACATAGCCCTGGGCCACTGTGCCGAGCCTGAGCCAAGGACTGAGATGAGAACTGTGGTTGACTCAGCAACGTGGAGCCATTCCTACAAAACTTGCTCCAGTTTTGCTGGTACAGGGACACTGCGAGTGGCAGGGGCAGCAGCCACCTGGGCAGGTTCTGTGGAGACACACAGTGGGAAGCTCTGAGCTCAGCTCACCACCTGCAAGCTCCGACAACCCTGCCGCAGCCTCATGATATTGGTGCTGCCCTTAGTTGATAGGAAACAGCTCAGAGAAGGGACACTGCTTGCTTAGAGTCACACAGCAAAAAAAAAAGAAAATACTTGCAGTCAGGTCTGTGCTCGTGTGCCTTCCATCCTGCTGTTCCCTCCCTTCAGGGGGAGGATGCCCTCCACCCGGCCCTCCCTCAGTCCCAGTGCTCAGCCCTCTCCACCCGGCCCTCCCTCAGTCCCAGTGCTCAGCCCTCTCCTCCAACACCGAATCCCACTCTTCCTCCTTGTTTGCCTCAGCCCCCGGCCCTCATCTCCGGCTTCTCCTTGTGGCTTGTGAGGGTTGGGTGGATGTGGAAGTGGGAGAGACAGAGGGGCTGGGAGCATTTGGGAGCTGAGGCTCACAGGCCCAGAGGGGACAGAGAAGGGGTTACCTCCGTTCCTGCTGCAGCCTCCGAGTTATCCTCTGCACCTGATGGAGCCTGTTCAGGACCCGCTCGTTCACCTATGGGGTGGGAAACGCCCATCAGCTGGATCCCACGGCTCCCGTTCATTTGTTTAACGGATGTTTAATGGGGCACGCACTAAACTCTGGAGACTGGCCAAAGACCATCCCGTGGCCTGAGGTCCTTCCACCTTCCCATCCCTCCGGCTCCCCTCTCACCATGCCACAGTCCTGAGTGCCCTCCAGTGGGGGCCTTCCGCGTGCTGTTCCTCTACCTGGACCCTCTCCCCAGTCATCCGCACAACTTACTCCCCACTCCAAGTCTTAGGTCAACTGTTACCTGCTCAGAGAGCCTGAACCTCCCATTAAGTCGAAACACACCAGGCCAGGTGCGGTGGCTCACGCCTGTAATCCCAGCACTTTGGGAGGCCGAGGCGAGTAGATCCCCTGAGGTCAGGAGTTCGAGACCAGCCTGGCCAACATGATGAAACCCCATCTCTACTAAAAATACAAAAAATTAGCTGGGCGTGGTGGCAGGTGCCTGCAGGATAGTCGCACGAACCTGGGAGGTGGAGGGGTGAAGTGAGTTGAGATCACCCCACTGCACTCCAGCCTGGGCAACAGAGCGAGGTTCTGTTTCAAAAAAAAAAATTGCAACACACCCGACCCCCCTTCCCATGCCAGAACCCCACCCGGCCATTCACTCCTGGCTTTATTTCCTCCTAGTGCTCATCTGAGGAGGCAGGACGCAGCCTCTCCGCCTCTTTGCTTATTCTGCTGACTGACCGCCTCTCCAGCCAGAGCATGAGCTGAAAAACGACAGCAACTTGTTTCTACATCCCGTGCCTTAACCAGAGCCTGGCACGTAGTACATCCTCGATGAACATTTGCAGAATCAATGACTTTGCAAAGTGAGAAGTGCTTGGTGAATACCAAAGAGTCAGACATGCTGGAGGTTAGGGCAGGAGGTGCGACTTTAGTTACGACCTGCAGAGAAGGCCCGTGGGCCCAGACTTGAATAAGGAGGAGACAAAGGGGTGACAGGAGGAAAGTATGCCAGGCTGAGGGGACAGCCCTGCACGCAGCTTCTGAGGACTCCAGCCTAGACATGGAGGGAGAGATGTGACTCAGCCAAACAGGGACCCAAAGACAGTGGCTGAAGCAGGTGCTGCTCCTGGGTCAGAAAGACCTGAGTTCCGGGCGGGGCACAGTGGCTCACGCCTGTAATCCCAGCACTTTGGGAGGCCGGGGCGGGCAGATCACTTGAGGTCAGGAGTTCAAGACCAGCCTGGCCAACATGGTGAAACCCCGTCTCTACTAAAGATACAAAAATTGGCCGGATGTTGTGGCACATGCCTGTAATCTCAGCTACTCAAGAGTTTGAGGTCGGGAGTTGCAGACCAGCCCGGCCAACATGATGAGACCTCATCTCTACTAAAAAAAAAAAAAAAAAAAGAAAAATACAAAAATTAGCTGGGTATGGTGGCGCATGCCTGTAATCCCAGTTTCTCAGGAGGCTGAGGCAGGAGAATCGCTTGAACCCAGGAGCTGGAGGTTGCAGTGAGCCGAGATCACACCACTGCCCTCCAGCCTGGGTGACAGAGTAAGACTCTGTCTCAAAAGAAAAAAAAAAAAAAAAAGTGCCAGGCACGGTGGCTCACGCTTGTAATCCCAGCACTTTCAGAGGCCAAGGCGAGCGGATCACCTGAGGTCAGGAGTTTGAGACCAGCCTAACGTGGTGAAACCCTGTCTCTACTAAAAATACAAAATTAGCCAGGTGTAGTGGCGCATGCCTGTAATCCCAGCTACTCGGGAGGCTGAGGCAGGAGAATCGCTTGAACCCAGGAGGCGGAGGTTGCAGTGAGCTGAGATTGCAGCATTGCACTCCAGCCTGGACAACAAGAGCGAAAATCCATCTAAAAAAAAAGAGTTCAAGTTTTGGCTCTGGCTTGGCACAGTGGCTCATGCCTATAATCCCAGCACTTTGAGAGGCCAGGAGTTCGACACCAGCCTGGGCAACAGAGTGAGACCCCAACACTCAAAAACTAACCAAAAAAATTAGCTGGGCTTGGTGGCTGTAGTCCCAGCTCCTTCGGAGGCTGAGATTGCTAGAGTCCAGGATGTTGGGGCTGCAGTGAGCCACAGTCATGCCACTGCACTCCAGCCTGGGCAACAGAGAAAGACCCTGTCTCAAAAAAAAAAAAAAAATCTCAGATCTGCCACTGCTGAGCTCTGAGCTTGGGTGCATTACTTAACCTCTCTGAGCCTTGATTTTCTATACTTGTAAAATAGTAGTAATCTATTCCTGGGGGTGGATTAATGGCAGAGGCTCCAGTTGAGTCCGTTTGGGCCTTGGTGTCTGTCTGTTAAACAGGGTTTGGAATATGCCCCTGGCCTCTAGCCTTCCTCCTTACAGAACTCCCCAATACTGTCATTAAGAATTGAGGCCAGATGTGGTGGCTCATGCCTGTAATCCTAGCATTTTGGGAGGTCAAGGCGAGTGGATCACTTGAGGTCAGGAGTTCAAGACCAGCCTGGGCAACATGGCAAAACCCCATCTCTACAAAAAGTACAAAAATTAGCCAGGTGTGGTGGTGTGTGCCTGTAGTCCCAGCTATTTTGGGGGCTGAGGCAGGAGGACTGCTTGAACCTGGGAGACTGAGGCTGCAATGAGCTGAGATTGCGCCACTGCACTCCAGCTTTGGTGACAAAGTGAGAACCTGTCTCAAGAAAGAGAAAAAGAGTTGAAGGCCAGGCGTGGTGGCTCAAGCCTGTAATCCCAGCACCTTGGGAGGCTGAGGTGGGCAGATCACCTGAGGTCAGGAGTTTGAGACCAGCCTGACCAACATGGTGAAACCCTGTCTCTACTAAAAATAGAAAAATTAGCTGGGTGTGGTGGCGGGCGCCTGTAATCCCAGCTACTAGGGAGGCTGAGTCAGGAGAATCACTTGAACCCAGGAGGTGGAGGTTACAGTGAGCTGAGATGGTGCCATTGCACTCCAGCCTGGGAGACAAGAGCGAGACTCCACCTCAAAAAAAAAAAAAAAAAAAAAAAAAAAAGTTGAATTATTTCCCCCAAAAGAGGGTGTTGAGGCTTTAACCCCCAGTACCTCAGGATCACCTTATATGGAGACAGTGTCGTTACAAAAGTAATCAAGTTCAAATGAAGCCAGTGGGTGGGCCCTAATCCAGTATGACTGGAGTCCTTATAAAAAGGGTAAATTGGGACACAGACACACACACAGGGAGCAGCAATGTGAAGATGAAGGCGGAGATCAGGGTGATGTTTGTACGTGCCAATGACTGCCAGAAACCTCCAGAAGCCAGGGGAGAGGCCTGGAAGATTCTCACAACCCTGTCGACACCTTGCCTTGGATGTCTAGCCTCCAGAACTGTCAGACAGGAATTTCTGTGCTTGAGGGACCCTATTTGTGATAAGTTCTGGGAGTCCAAGCAGACTAATACAACTGTCTTCAGAGTTTCAGGCATCCAGACCTGATGCTGTTCCTCCCCCATTTGAAACCCTTCAGTGGCTCCTTCACTCTCAAGGAAAAAAAAATATCCAGACTTCTTGTCCTGGTGTTCCTGGCCTGCCAAGATCTGAGCCCTGCCTGCTGTTTAATCCTCATTGATTGATTGATTGATTTTGAGACGGAGTCTCACTCTGTCACCCAGGCTGGAGTACAGCAGCATGATCTTGGCTCACTGCAACCTCCGCCTTCCGGGTTCAAGCAATTCTCATGCCTCAGCCTCCCTAGTAGCTGCGACTACAGGTGCGCACCACCACACCTGGCTAATTTTTTTGTATTTTAGTAGAGATGGGGTTTCACCATGTTGGCCAGGCTGGTCTCGAACTCCTAACCTCAGGTGATCCGCCTGCCTCAGCCTCCCAGTGCTAGGATTACAAGCGTGAGCCACCATGCCCAGCCCATCCTTATTCTCAGCAAGGAGGCTATTGCAGTCATTCAGCCCAGACAGCTGGAGTTTGCAATGGCAGCCATAGGGATGGAGGAGAGGAGAAGGGTCCAGAGACACTCAAGAGGCGGAATGAATGAGTCGAGAGGAGTGAATCCTGGCAGGGGTATGGGAGATGTGAAGAGCTTGGGCTTTCACCTGTGAGCGGTGCCACGCATTGAGAGGCCCCCGGGAGACATCAGAGAACCCATCTGCGTTGTCAGGGAAGCTCCACGGGAGATGGCCCTTCCAGGGGCCCGGCACAGGGCCAGACACATAATGCATGCTAAATGACTGAATATATAAGCTAAATGACTGAATATATCAGCAAGCCAAGAAAGGCTGGGCATGTGGAAAGGCAGAGATTGCGGGGGGCGGTAGTTTAGGCCAGGGGACCCCAAAACCGGGGGATCCGCACTCACCTACCTGCTCGATCTCCCGGCAGCGCCGACCTAGTGCCTGGTACTTTCTGCGATTTAATTCCCGCTGGCGCCGCCGCCGACCCCGGGCTGCCTCTTCCTCTTCATCTCGCTCCCGGAGCCCTGAGCCGCCCAGACCACCTGACACAAACTCCACTTCCGTCTCCAGCTCGCTCTCCAGGATGTGGCCACCAAATAGGGGAGGCAACGCCAACTCTGAGCCTGGCGGCGCTGAGAACTCCTCAAAGCCCACGGCTGCCATGGTCCTGAGAGGCAGGGAAAGGCTCAGGGGCCCTGGATCCTGGACCCCCAGCCCCTTCTCCCACTGAACCAGGAGCCCAGACCCCAACCCCTCCTCCCTGAGATCCTAGAATCCAGGCCCCCAGCCCCTCCTCCCTCAGACCGTAGAATCCAGCTCCCAGCCCTCCTCCCTCAGACCCAGAAGTCCAAGTCCGCAACCCACCCTTCGCAGCACCCACAGGGTTCAAGCCCTGACCCCCTCCTCCCAGGATGCAAGAGTCCAGACCTCCAGACTTTTTCTCTCCAAGGACCCAGGGAGTCCAAGCCCCAACCCTCAACCAGACGCAAGAGTCCTGGCTTCCAACCTCCTAGTCTGTCAGATCCAGCAGTCCAAACCCCTAACCTTCTCCTCCCTCAGGATGACCCCAGTCCATAAAAGGGTTCTAAGGTAAAGCAGTTGCATGAACTACAACCCCCATCAGACCTCAGCGTAAAAGCTCATATGGTTGCACACAATGCAGCTGCACTGTTTTCTGGGATTCGCACTTTTTCACAAGGGCTCAGCCACATACCCTTCTCTCTGCTCCAATTCCATCTCCGCGACCTCCGGAAGCCCCGGGCCTCAGAGCTTCCGACCTCTTCAATCTGTAGGTTAAGCCGTTCGCAAAACTACTTGTCCCATCAGGCTCAGCAGCCGAGGACGGCGGGACGTGGCCCTAGGCCTTGTGGGAGTTGTAGTTTCCTGTTTCCGGCTTCGCTTCGGCCCACCCCCACGTCCACCCCGAATCCCTGCTTAAAGGCCTTGCTTTCTTGTCTAACGCCGCAACCAGTCCTCTGAGTTGCCAACGTCTTTCTTCTTGTCTCGACGCCCCGTCGTCCGGCCACAGCGATTCTCTGCTTAGCAGGATCGGTCCACAGCGGGACGTGAGTCCCTTTCCTCCTCGCGGCTTACCGCCTCTCTCCGCCTAGTGCCAGGTGCTAATAAAGTTGTTGTTTCAAATGCGGCCAGGAACATCGCGAGCGGGGACCAATCAGAGAGTAGCTTTGCCTCTATAACGGCGCGAGAGTGAGACGTCATCGGTGAGCGACTAACGCTAGAAACAGTGGTGCGCGGAGAGGAGAGGTGAGTGTGATGGGGACCACGGGGAGCGGGAGGCTGGGCTCCTGGGTCTGGGAGAAGAAGTGTGTGAGGAAAAAGGC